>NC_000005.10:120109807-121359807 GCF_000001405.40 Homo sapiens | reverse complement strand
AACATGTCTCTCCTCAGCTGGGAATATTGTGGAAAGCAATGAGAGGGGTATACATAGAATCTTCCCAAAAGAAGCATTCTCATCTAGAAAAGTTTTCATACATTGAAACTTGCCCTCTCTGGCTACATTTGGAAAGCTTGGGTGACCATGTAAATCAGCCTGCTAACTTTCTAGAAAATGAAGAACGAAAAAACACGTAGATAAGATGCCTGTTGCCTCAGTTGTTCAATCTCCAAACTCATAGGCAAGGCTATCCTATAATATCCAATTGGTTAGGTGACTCATTAGTTTACTACAGATGCCTGAGCTAGCCAAACAGATCAGACTAGGTGGTCCATACCAGAAGAAGCACCTAGTAATAATTGTAAGTGATAATAATGTGATGGGGCCACTAAGTTTGCGGGTAGTTTATTACAGAACAAAAGTAAACTTACTCCCTGGACAACCCATACCAGAGGACAAAAGACAGTATGGTGATTTGAGATGCTTTAAAAAGAAATTTAATCCTAAGCCAAGTCTCTAGCACTGGGAAATTGTGCAAGGAGAGGAAGGTTCTTGAAAAACCAACAAATAATCTCAAGAGAATGAATATTTCATTGGCTGCTGCAAAAAGGGAACCAACTTCCAGTTAATATTTTACAGAGAAGTGACAACAAACAGTTTAACAAATGTGCTACAGGCACTCAAGTAAGAGGGGACGTGTTTCCCATTTCTACCATCCTCATTGCAGCACTGTAGGGGATGCATGCAAGAAGGAAGACTCTAATACCAATCATCCCTATGGCACAGGAGCTGAATTTCTAGACTGGCATGTTAGAGAAGAAAAAGAAGGGAGCAGTGTTTTTGAATCAACTATGAGACTGAACAGTTTGCAATGCTACCTTTCTCAGTAGCATTTGCAGACATGTGCCAAGGCTTTTGTATATAAAAGACTGCCTTATTTTGGATCTGAAAGCATCTGTTAATCTCTGTTTTTTAATGGTCATGAAACTAACGTTCACCAAAACTGTAGATTTGATGCAACTGGGAGTTGGTTATTTTTTTCTATCGGTAAGGTGGGAACCTTGGTTAATATTTTCTGACATAACAGATTGTGTATGGAAACGTTTTGAGCTAAATGAAATTTACTCATAACTTTTGAGTTAATTATTAACATATATCCTTAAATACATAGAACACCCAATATATGGAAATAGGTTTATCTGGATAAATGATTGATACGTGCCATCTTTTTGTTTTCATTTTCTTTCTCTGTTCTCTTTGCCCCTCTAAAGGATTAGCTAAAAGTAACAAAAGAAGATGGACAAAGCTCTCAGGGTAGACATATTGATACAAAACATCATCTTTCCTGATAAGCCATAGGATTTTTCCATTTTCCTGAATTTTCCATGCTTTTATTATCAGACCAGAAGAAAAAATTGATATATCTTAAATATCTTTTATTAATTTTAAAATTGAGGTAATTTAGTGATTCAGTTTGTCACAGCTGACAACCTAAGCAAATACCTTTCTATTGTGACTAATCCAAGAGCAGTTACATTACACAAGTGTCCTGTTTAATATCTTCAACATTCAATAAACTGAACAATGGTATGAAATTATTACACATACATAGGTATGTGTTTTCTATAAGGATATCAGCAATTAAGCTATTCACTCATAAAACAAATGTTTTGGTATGGTAGTTCCATGTGGCTAGAGTACTCTGAATGCTAAGGAAGGACAGACGGGTAGGGGATGTTTATGGGGTTATATCAAAGAAATATGTCACACTTCTGTATTTTAACTATGGTCAACATTTATTACATGATATAATAGAGGCATTTATAATGCTAGAATAGGGATAAGATTGCTACTTAATTTATAGGGATGAACATCTGATTTAACTCAGGAAATCAACTAAAATCTTTGCATCAAAACTGGTCTCCCATCTGTTATCCAAAATCTAACACTACTCCACATTACAGTACTTGGGATATCCTATAGTATAATGTAGTTCAGTAATGTGGCAACATGACATTTATTTTCTAATCAATTGTCATTTCCTTAGCTCTATTTATGAAAATGATATTTTAGCCTAAGTTAAAACTTTTCTTTTAAACATATTTTAACATTAGGCAATATCAGGATTGTTTAAGTGGGGGATGGAAATTATGGAACAAGATAGTTAATATGGGAAGAAGATGGTTACATGATATTGGCTAAAATATTTACATCACCCTCGTTAAATTGTCTTCTGGCAAAAATTTCTTCTCTGTGTTACAAACAGATTGCAGACAAGCTGAAACGAATTTCAACTCTCCCTTGTCTAACCAATTAAGGCATCCTATTTCTTGGTTTGATTGAGTTTGCCAGGAGGTATAAAAATTTTTGTGAGATATAAAATATTTGTGTATAAAATATTTTGTGAGGTATAAAATATTTGTGAGAAAATACTTCAGTGGAATTCAGATGTGGGTAGCATACAGGCCTATTAAACTCCATTTCATTAACAAAATATTATTTTTACAGAGAAGCATATTATTATATATTTTGATTGGAGATGCTTGCTCTGTGAACTTTGACAAGTTATTTAAGCTCTGTGTTCTCTTCTTTATTTATAAAATGAGATGAATTATATCCTTGAGTTACGTAGATTAAAAGAGTAAACTCTTGGAATAGTGCCTGACATATAGTAAGCACCATGTAAATGGTATTGGTTATGTATATTTGTGTTACAATGTTACCACAAACAGTAGTTTAAAGCAACACAGAATCCTGTGGATCAGCAGTAAGGACACAATTTAGTTGTTCTCTTCAAAGTTGCAGTCAAGGGGTCAATCCAGGTTGCAGTTTTGTCTCAAAGCTTGATTATGGAAGGATCTGCTTCCAAGCTCACTTGGTTGTTGGCAAAATTCACTTCCTTGTGGCTTGTTGGGCTGAGAGCTTGTTTCTTATTGTCTGTCCCTCAGTTCTTTGCCATGTGGGGCTTGCTTTACCTAAGCCAGCAAGAGAGAAGTCTCCTAGGAAAATGAATATTACAGTCTTATAAAATATAATCATGTAAATGCCATCTGATAACTTTTGCTGTATCCTATTGGTTAAAATCAAATCACAGCTTCTGGCCACACTGAGGGGGAAAGATAACACAAGAGTGTGAACACCAGGAAGCTAATATAATTAGGAATCATTTTAAAGTGTCCACATAAGTGTGTGTTGAACAAGAAATTGCTACTCACAGATTGATTTGTAAAAAATAAAATTATTCTTTATTGGTATATAGGAAGTTTAATCACATCAGTGGTGTGCTGGAGCCAGTTCATACCTGCTCATGATAGTTAATTGTGTGTATCTCTATCAAATGCCATGTTTAGTGGAATAATATTCTTATGTAAACATCAGTCATGGTTTGTGCATTTATGCCACTCAAATTGGCAAATGCTAAAAATGTGAGCTTTTTTAAATGAGAGGGACGGTTGTTAAACATTTACCCATTAAAATTTTCACATTTCATAGATATGCCTCAGCCTTAGTTATTGGAATTCTTCCACTATAGCTACTTGGAAACATCTTGATAAAATGTCAAGCAAGGATCCAGGAAAAACTTAGGTATTATCCTAGTGGTAAGAACCAAATTTGTCAAAAGATTTACCTTTACTAAACATTTTATTTAAGACAAGATAAAGTATGATCCACTCACATGTTAAAAACATAGAATATGTATGGAATGGTCTCTTCATCTATTAGATACCTTTAAAATTCCAGGCCAATGTTACACTTAGCAATTGTCAGAATGTATTTCTCTGTATTATAGTAAGTATAGTACTATGCTTCTCAAAATTAGTATTTCTCCAAATAGTGTCTTGCAGGAGGAACAAGTATGTGTTAAGTCCAACAATTCTATTCCTGATGGATATACATTCCATCAGTGATAAAATCACACTTTTTACAGCAATCTACCCATCTCTCATGTTTAAATGTCATATAATAGCAAAATTCATGTACCAGCATGTAATCTCAACAAAATATGTAGTCCTCATTGATGCTGTTAATTATTAGGTCAACTTAGTGTTGACAGTAGCATAATTGTGTTATTAGTTAATATTCTTAACTTTATTTTTGTTAGTATTTTCTAATGCTTACTACTGTATACCACCACTTAAGCCAATTTTAAAACAACAGGTGGGATGTGAATTAGAAGACAATCATCCTCTAATGTCCATTTTCTATGATACATATAATGAGATTCATTTGTGATTAAGGTAGCATATTGCTATTATTCTTAGTTTTCCTGATCAAGAAAGGGTTTTCCTTTCTTTATCTTGCTTTACTATAAATTATCAACAGAATATTTTGCCATAAGCTATGAGTATATAAAGTGTCTCTTCAAAGAAAAAGAAATGGCAGGCTTGACCAGAAATAGCCACTCCTGTATCCTGCCTCCATATGGAAGTTTAATGATCCCATCTGGGCAGGAATTCAAGATAAGCTCTCAAATTGTCACAACAAATTGAAAAGTTTTTATCTCTTACATCTGGCACCTAACAAATAAGTATCTATGTTAAATAAACAATACAGAATACTGTCACATACAGCAGTTGTGAAAGAACTTTACCATGAATTGGCTGTAATCCACCACCTTCTGAAAGCTCACTTAAGAATTTTGGTATTTGAGAAAGACAGTGAAAAAGGGAATCTAATGAGTGTTTCTAAATGTGGCTGTGAATCAGAAATAATGAGGGAGCTTATTAAAAATATGAACACCTACATTCTAGACCACACATACAAAATCAAAATCTTTATGAGAAGAGACAAAAATGTGTTTATGTAAAACATCTTACAGAAGATTGAGAAGATGTAACCAGTTGGGGAAAACTTGTTTATGAAAGCATGCCTGCAAAATGTAAAAACCTACTATCGTAAGGTGAAAGAAAACAAAAACACCTGAATCATTTATTCTTTCATTGCTGTGGAAAATTTCCCTACATCGGGATTTAAATGTATGCCCTTGGCAATTTATAGAATATCCAATTGAAGCAGTTTTTGCAAATTTTTGCAAAACCAAAGTCACTTATACTGTTAATTATGTCATCCAATGCCTTTTGATATATTTATTTTATAGTTCAGCGTTAAGGAAAACGTTTTTCTCTTCAGATGAGTTTGCATGGCTTCTTTTGTGATACGAGTAAATGATTTTCTCTTTTGTCTTATTTTTCAAGAAACACTAGTATAAAAATACCTAAATATAATAATAAATCAATACCTAACTGATAATTAATAATCTCTGCTATCTAGTATAGTTCTTTCCTTATTTCATTTATTTTGGGTTTGATTCTTTTAATTATTACATATTATAGGTGTTTTAATATGTGAGCTTTTTCTCATTTTTGAAAGGCAAAATACAAATAAACTAATGATAATTACATACTTATTAAACATTAACAGAGACTCGATAAGAATATGTGTCCTGATTGTGACAGTAATACACCTGGTAAACAAGAGAATACACTTGACAATAATTTGGGAGGAAATTATTCTTGAAACCTGACCCATGTAAGCTGCTTTTAAAGTGCTCACATTCTTAGGGAGTTCTAGGCAGTCTTTAGAAATACTAAATACATTTCTATTGTTTTATAAATTAAAAAATAAATGCTTGCGGAGTAATATACACATCCCTCGTCAGTAAAATATCAGCACGAGTTGTTAAGTCCTAGCCAAAAGTTTTTTTTTTCTTTTTTTTTTTTATTTAAGTTTAGGGTACATGTGCACAACGGCCAGGTTAGTTACATATGTATACATGTGCCATGTTGGTGTGCTGCACCCATTAACTCATCATTTAACATTAGGTATATCTCCTAATACTATCCTTCCCCCCTCCCCCCACCCCACAACAGGCCCCGGTGAGTGATGTTCCCCTTCCTGTGTCCATGTGTTCTCATTGTTCAATTCCCACCTATGAGTGAGAACATGCAGTGTTTGCTTTTTTTGTCCTTGCGATAGTTTGCTGAGAATGATGGTTTCCAGCTTCATCCATGTCCCTACAAAGGACATGAACTCATCAATTTTTATGGCTGCATAGTATTCCATGGTGTGTATGTGCCACATTTTCTTAATCCAGTCTATCCTTGTTGGACATTTGGGTTGGTTCCAAGTCTTTGCTATTGTGAATAGTGCCACAATAAACATGTGTGCATGTGTCTTCATAGCAGCATGATTTATAGCCCTTTGGGTATATACCCACTAATGGGATGGCTGGGTCAAATGGTATTTCTAGTTCTAGATCCCTGAGGAATCGCCACACTGACTTCCACAATGGTTGAACTAGTTTACAGTCCCACCAACAGTGTAAAAGTGTTCCTATTTCTCCACATCCTCTCCAGCACCTGTTGTTTCCTGACTTTTTAATGATCACCATTCTAACTGGTGTGAGATGGTATCTCATTGTGGTTTTGATTTGCATTTCTCTGATGGCCAGTGATGATGAGCATTTTCTCATGTGTCTTTTGGCTGCATAAATGTCTTCTTTAGAGAAGTGTCTGTTCATATCCTTCACCCACTTTTTGATGGGGTTGTTTGTTTTTTTCTTGTAAATTTGTTTGAGTTCATTGTAGATTCTGGATATTAGCCCTTTGTCAGATGAGTAGGTTGCGAAAATGTTCTCCCATTCTGTAGGTTGCCTGTTCACTCTGATGGTAGTTTCTTTTCCTGTGCAGAAGCTCTTTAGTTTAATTAGATCCCATTTGTCAATTTTGGCTTTTGTTGCCATTGCTTTTGGTGTTTTAAACATGAAGTCCTTGCTCATGCCTATGTCCTGAATGGTATTGCCTAGGTTTTCTTCTAGGGTTTTTATGGTTTCAGGTCTAACATTTAAGTCTTTAATCCATCTTGAATTAATTTTTGTATAAGGTGTAAGGAAGGGATCCAGTTTCAGCTTTCTACATATGGCTAGGCAGTTTTCTCAGCACCATTTATTAAATAGGGAATCGTTTCCCCATTGCTTGTTTTTGTCAGGTTTGTCAAAGATCAGATGGTTGTAGATATGCAGCATTATTTCTGAGGGCTCTGTTCTGTCCCATTGGTCTATATCTCTGTTTTGGTACCAGTACCATGCTGTTTTGGTTACTGTAGCCTTGTAGTATAGCTTGAAGTCAGGTAGCGTGATGCCTCCAGCTTTGTTCTTTTGGCTTAGGATTGACTTGGCAATGTGGGCTCTTTCTTGGTTCCATATGAACTTTAAAGTAGTTTTTTCCAATTCTGTGAAGAAAGTGATTGGTAGCTTGATGGGGATGGCATTGAATCTATAAATTACCTTGGGCAGTATGGCCATTTTCATGATATTGATTCTTCCTACCCATGAGCATGGAATGTTCTTCGAGGCTTGAATAAGTTGTCTTCTTACGGTGTGGTGTGATTGGGACTTGGAACAGCAGCCAAATTGACCAGATTTTTAAAAATGCTTCAGAAAGCCTCAACTTTATCTGGAAGCAACTATTCTTTTACCATAATCTATCCCTATATCTAATAATGCTTCTCTATTCTACTCAGTGTTTGCTTGAGTTTTATTCTATATTATTTATTTGTTGTTGATGTTATTCTAATCACCAAGTGGTAAAGTTTAAAAAATATTATCGGGTAGAAAGAGTTCATCCCTTCTATACATTATCAATGAGGTTCAAAATATTGCTCAGATTTTATTTCTACAATGTAATAGAATTGTGACAATAAGAAATCATATGGAAGGAGATATGTACAGGGGTTGAAGTATAATAGTCTTTCAATACATTCTCGTAGGAGCTTTTGCTGCTACATTATCATTCCAGTTGTAAATAATGAGTGTACTGGTTGACCCACTTCTTTATTATCCTAACTTTTAAAGAGTGCACATAGTCATTCTAAACACATTATTCTGGCATAAGACCACCCATTTTGCTGGGACCATTACTGGGAAAATTCCCTTCCTTGGTTTGAATTTCATGGTGCTCCCAGATGATGACTTTTGACCTAAACCCAGCAAAGAAGCATTTTTTTTTTCAGGTCTTTTAAGATCATTTCCATTCCAAGAGTTCCTTCAGAAAAAAATTTGCTATGTCTGACATAGTAAATTATAATATACATAAGACAAAAGTCTAAAAGTAGTCAATATACTTTCTAACCTTTCTGTACTGGTATAATGCCTCAATATCTTATGCAAAATTATCCTCTGACATAATTCTATTAATGTTTCACTCTAATACATTTAAGAAGGATTAATTCTAAAAATAAAATAACAAAGCATAGTTAATTTCTATTTTGCAAGTAGAAATTTGTATACAATAATCAGCTACTCGTGAAGAATGTGCCTTTTATGATAATTACTGGAGTGTTCATGAGTTTTGCCCTAGTCATATGTTTCATCTTCTTGCTCTGAGTAATACACAAAGAAAGCTAATGAGTATTTGTGATTCAATATGTAGCTGACATATGGAGCACATATAGGCAAAATATGAGGACATTTTATATCAATAAGGAAAAATCTGTTCAGGAGCAAGTGAGTGATAGAGGCCATAAATATTTAATCATAACTGAGGAAAAAAACAGGACAAGCTACTCAGAGATTAACTAGTTTGCGAAAATTTTTTAAAGCTCTTGTGCTATCATATTATCTGACCTCAAGTATCTAGAACTAAGACGTGTTCTCAGAATGAAAGTATATTTTTAAATGCCAACAACAAAAAAGGGTTTCAATAGACATAAAAGAGTGATATTCAATAAAATGAGAGGCATCTAAAAAATGGCTTATGTGAATGCATTTTTGAGTTTGCACTGCTGATTTATATCAGACATAAAATAGGAATTTTAAAATTTAGTTTAATAGCTTTAGATATCAAGTTGTATTTACACAAAGCATGGATATATAGTATTTAGAAACAGATGATTAATGTGGTTTGGATTTCGATAGAATATTTGATCTTTTAAAGAACAATAAACCATATTTTACAAGTAATTCAAGCAATAGACTAAATAAAATTAATCATTATTGAAGTTTGGTATGTCTATTGTACAATATGTTCTGAATTAGCATTCAATATGATCAGCCACATACAAGAACCTTACCACAATGACTCATGCTCAAACCTGAAAACAAGAAGAGATGATAAATGAACCTTGTGCAAACAAGAGCTATTGGCAATGACAAGGAATATCATTTTGTCCAGATTTCTAAAGAGCAACTCGTAATCTATAATCAGTTGACTTGCTTGTTGATATTTAAAAGTGAAACTAGAAACACTATTTCCCACATCATCTAATCGAGCACAAATAATTAGCTTCTTCATTTGAAAAGTAGTCCTTCCTTCAGCTTACTTTTGAAGCTGGCCATGAACTTAAGCATTTCAATCCATTATACAGTATCTGATTCTTCTCCCATGAGGGAAAATTCAGTCTGCCATGTTAGTGCCTTGTCATCATAATCATCCAAAGTATTCATTAAGTCTCTGCATGCAGCATTTAGTTGCACCAAATGAGTTCAACATGTGGGAAATGGAATCCAAGAAAGACAACATCACCTTCATTTCAAAGTGGTCATGTCTAGCCATATGGTGTGGACAAGAGAACGAGGAGAAAAGTGGAAAATTTAGGGACAAAAGTTTTTCTTCCTTCTATTCCTCTCAGAATTATAACCTTATGTTTGGAACTTTAGAAGCAACCACTGTTAAAGGTTAATGTTTCCTTGAGAATTTAGCACTTCCACTTATTTTACCATGAAATTCTGTTTCCATAATCCTTATGAGGTCCTCCGATTATGAATTCCAGAGGTTAGGGCTTAGCCAGCAAGAAAGAACCTGATGACTTGTAGAATCTCACCTAAAAAAACTAAGGTGGAATTAGTTAACTACGTTTAAAAATAAAAATAATTATAAATACAACAAATTATAACAAATTCCTGTCCATACAGGTAAAAGTGGGTACACAATGGATATCTTGCTGCTAGTGAGGAATCTGCCTTTTGAGTTCATTTCTCAAAATGTTGATAAATTTTTCCCCCAGCCATTTGTTTTTATCTTTTTGTCCTTGACTAACATGCCAAAGTTGCTGGCTAATGTTAGTGTCCACAGAGAAATCACTGGCTCCCCACGTGTTAGCTAAATGCAGATGTACTCACTTAATGTCATCTATAAGTTCTTGGAAACTATAACTTAAATGACATATAACAAACTCTGTTTTACAATAGGCTAATTGATTTGACCAACAGTTAAGTTTTTATAGCATATTTCTGGTCACAAAACATCACCAAACTTCTAAACAAAGACGCAAAAAACTTCTAATATTACATATTGAAATAAATGTGAGCTGTATATACATTTAAGAAAGATTAATAGAAACAATAATATAATTATTTACTCAATTTTTACTGAATCAAAGAGTGATGGCAATCACAATGTGGTGGGTTAAATTAAGGAGTAAATGTTTATCAAAAGAAAATATTGTAAGAAGCACTTCCTATCACCATACATTTCAAAACTCAAATATGGCAGGCTCACTGATGCTCTCTTACTGTATTGTCTATTGTGCATTTGCATGATTATTGTCTACATAATGAATTTTTATTTGGCAATCATTTGTATTATTTCATTCATTTATTTTTCAACCTGCTCATTCCAGTTCAGGTTTGTGTTGGCAGGAGTCTATCCCAGCAGCTCAGGGCGCAAGGTGGGAACAAACTTTTCAAAAGACTCCATTCCATCACAGGGTGCACTCAGACCCATACCCATACTCACTCCAGTTGAGACAATTTAGACGTTAGAGTATGCCTGGCTTGCACATCTTTGAGATATAGGAGGAAACTGGAGTGCCTGGAGAAAATCCATACAGACGTGGAGAAGCTGCAAACTGCACAGATGGTGGTTCTGCCAGGGAATCGATTTTTTTTTTTTTTATTTCTCATCAATGTTACAAGGAAAGACTTTGAAAAAAAAAATGACATTACTTGATGACCTACTGTACCAGATTTCCCTGGAGGCAGGGACATCTTTCAAAAAACCTGGGATTCTGAGAAGATAAAGTAGATGAAGGGTCCTTTACTTTGATAAGCCAACCTTCTTGGTTATATGCTTTTCATAGATAATAAAGTCTTAATTTACTTGAAAAAAGTGTGACAGTACAATATGTAGGTAAGATGTGGCTTCAACTTTATGCAGCAGGGCTCTCTGTAAAAGAGCTGAGTTGTTCAGGATAAAGCTGCCTGGCTATCCTTTAAATTATCTATTTGCCTCAGAACTTTGTTTCCTAAACCAAGCCTTAGCCTCTCCTGCTGCCTTTTTCAAGTGATCCCACTTTGAAACTTATCATTGTTCAAAGCTGTAGCTTTGAGATCTGGCAGGAAACATCTTCATTACCCTAAACTTCTTGCACAAGCCTGTCCATGCTGTGATTTGACCTCAATCTGCTTAAGGCTATCTTCTGTGCAAGTCTTCTACTAAGGTAGAGCCAAATGGACACCTGGAGACCATCACTATGAAAATCAAAGGCAAGGTTATTTTTAGCATCAGTTGGAAATTGGATGGTATGGGAGGCAGAATAATTGCCCCTTGCAACAAAGATTCCATGTCCAGATTCCCCAAACCTGTGAATGTGTTATGGAAAATGGCTAAATGTGATGTCATTAAATTAAGAACCTTGAGATAAGAAGAATATCATGGATTATCCAGGTGAACCTAATGTAACCACAGGAGTTCTTTTAACAGAAAGAGGAGGTGAACAATGAGAACACATGGACACAGGGAGGGGAACATCATACATGGGGACCTGTCAGGCCGTGGGGGGCAAGGGGAGGGATAGCATTAGGAGAAATATCTAATGTAGATGATGGGTTGATGGGTTCAGCAAACCACCATGGCACTTATACACCTATGTAACCTGCATGTTCTGCACATCTATCCCAGAACCTAAAGTATAATAATAATGATAATAAAACAACTCTCACCATTTAAAATTTCAGACTCCTTTCCTTCTCAATTCTTCACGATTTTCAATGAAAATATGTTTATGCCTCAAAAAAGAGGAAATTAGTATCATAGAGATATGAAAATGCTGTTAGACTGGTTTTGAAGATGGAGGAAAGGGACCCAAACCACGGAATGCAGAAGGCTCCCAGAAGCTGGAAAAGGCAAGAAAAAAGGCTTTACATTAATGAGCTAATGGCCAGTATCAAAACCTATTCCAAATATAGAATTTAGTATTGGCATTTTCAAGGTATTTTTATTAAAGTCTAGAATAAGAAAAGTATGTTTTTTTCCAGTCCCAGTTATCTGTTGTTGATAACAAACCACCCCCAATTATCTAGTTAATTTCATCAGTTTCAGAAATCACTGTATGCAATTCAATCTCTACCTCTACCCACAAGAAACATACACTGTGGGTTAGCTAGCCATAGAGTAATTACACTATTGCCTTTCTCCCATGCTCCACTGTATTTTTTTTAATATTGAATACATTTTAAAAGAAGATTTTAAATAAGAGTTTATAGGATCGTACTAATGGATATTAATTTTGTCTGGAATGCCCCCACCCCTAAGTCACAAAGTTTGAACCACATTTCAAAACAACCTGTGCTTCTTTCTGATGGTCCCTGAACAAATGTACAACATTAAAAATCCACAGTTTAAAGCCTAGTATATTTTTGCTTCCTAGTTTAAGAAAATTAAAATGCAGCATGTTTTGAATGCTTCTACACCAAGTTCAGTATGATTAAATTGCATGTATTTCAATTAGACCATTTAATTGTATTTTGTAATACCACTATTCTTAAAATTAAATCTGAAGGTAGGATAAAATATTAAGGATAGAAACAGAAGGCCAAGTTATTAATTAATGAAGATTAAAAAAATTATGACCATGCAAGAAAGATTGTGATCTTTAATAATATAAAGTAATTTAGCACTTTTTTTTTTTTTTTTTTTTTTTTTTTTTCTGAGACGGTGTCTCGCTGTGTCGCCCAAGCTGAAGTGCAATAGCGCAATCTCGGCTCACTGCAACCTCTGCCTCCCGGGTTCAGGTGATTCTCCCTGCCTCAGCCTCCCTAGTAGCTGGGATTATGGACACCTGCCACAATGCCTGGCTAATTTTTGTATTTTTAGTAGAGAGTGGGTTTCGCCATGTTGGCCAGGCTCTTCTCGAACTGCAGACCTCAGGTGACCCTCCCACTCTGGCCTCCCAAACTGCTGGGATTACAGGCATGAGCCACCATGCCCGGCCAGCACTTTTCTTTCTAATATTTCTTTTATTAATCCTAAGGACTAACAATAGTATTTACTAGTGACTTCTGAGCTAGTTTTGAAACATGTCTATACATAATTATCTCCAAAATACAGACGAGATCATTGAGAGTAAGATTTTATAAACATTTGGAAGACTGTCACAGCTGCACACAGGACAAACTAAGTTATTCAGTACTTTTGGTCAAGTCTTCCTTTTCCTCCATTAACTGTTTATAGATATACCTGTATTATATAGTAAGCTTGTATAGCTTAGGGTTTACTTGAGGTTCTCCTGGACACAAAATCAGCTTGACAATTCAACTGTATTTCCCTCACACCAATTCTTTCTTTAGTATAAGAAAATAGTGAGAATTAGAAGTTTTATAAAATGCTTTTCCATGGAAGTACATTTTTTAAATTTGTCGTAGATTCACAGGCAAATTTACTATTTCTATACCTTTCTTAAGATTGGAAATGGTTTTTACTCATCAACTATAGAGAAAATATAATGGTAAATATGAATGTCTTGTAGAAAAAATATTCTGCGTATTTTCAGCCATTAGATTCACCAACAATTTCATAGATCTCCATATGTTTTAAGTAGAATCAATCATGGCCCCATTCTGACTTCTGTGGGGTCCTAGCTATTTTTGTCTTCTTTGTCCTCGTTCTCTATTAAAACACACATAGACACATACAACACACACACAAATATTTAGATTTATGTTTCACAGCTACCTGAGTATAATGAACAAATTATTAATATTATATATTAACACATTTTTTGACCTAAAAGTTTATTATTTTCTTCTCATTTTAAAGGAAATTAAAACATTTTTCTGTGCCCCTAAAAGTAATGAGCATCCTAAGCACTGTACCTAATAAGTTGACCTCGGGGTCAAAAATAAATCTGTATTTTTCTTTGAAATAATTTTTACTTTAATGGGAAGTGTTTAAGTGTTAAAGAATACTTCAAAGTTGTACCAATCCTTGACTTTAGCAGAAATTTCAATCCTCAAATTATTTTCCAAGAATTGCTAAGAAGTGGTAAAATTGAGTGATTTGAAATTCACTCATTCTCCTGTAAAACTTACAATGGCACAAGAAAGCAGAAGTTATGTAGGCGTAAGTGTGACATAGTAGAAGTTGTTAGGAGCTTGAATATTCATCAGGGAGATAATTAAATTTTAAGTAATAAGATATTGTATTTATACCTACCTCAAAAAAATCCTATAGTCAGCCAAATAAAAATGAGAAACCTTGTGATCCCTGAAAAAAATTTATTTGATTTTATTTTTATTTATTTATTTTTGTTTATTTGTCCTGAATATTTGGAGTTACATGACAAATGTTTAATGGTATTGATGATGATGATGGGGGAAATGATAATGAAGGTGACATTGATTGAAGCAGAAAGAAATATATTAGAGATGTTTCCGAGCTAGGCTGTTTGGTGCTCAGGCTGAAATTAATCTTTCCCCCATATTGACAACCAGGGATGCTTGTCCATCTAGTAAGATCCCATGTGATTCGAGATGGAGAAATTTCTCTTCTGTGGCTCTAGATATATGGCAAATCCAGAGCTGAGAGCAGAGATAAAAGGTTAATTAGAAGCAGATATTCTAGTATGAATAAGGGGAGTCAAGTCATGAGGAAATGGGGTATGGGGGAGGCAAAGAAGAAACAAGTATCAACGTCACCAAATGAGGCAAAAAGTATGAGTATAATGGAAACAAAGATCAAAGTATGAGATTGCTTCTCCTGAATTTGTATTTGTACTTACTTGTAAGTGTGGAATGTACTTCCAGTTAAAAATTGAGAGCTCCAGCTTATAAAGATATTATATTGTTAAGACTTGAAGACATGAAGGCATCCCTACCACAGTGCCTGCTATATGGTAATTAATAGCAAATATTTAATACATATTTACAGATTAGGTATTACTTAACAAAATATTTGAAAGTAGAGAATATGATACAAAGAAGACAGAAGTTTTGGTTACAACTAGAAAAATAAAAACTATTAATCAATATATTCCAGTATGCTGATATTTAGGTTTTTTCCTTTCTTTTTAAAAATTATTTTGTAAACTTTTTATTGAAAATTTTTATTATTGCTAATTTGGTTTTTAATTTCAATGCATTTTCTTTTTACAGTTTAATTTTTTAATTTTATTTTTCCTTTTTGTATGGGTTTTTTTTTATTATACTTTAAGTTCTAGGGTACATGTGCACATGGAAAACGATTAGTAAGAAGTACACAGGAGAAAAAGGCATAAAGAGCCATATTCTCATTCTGGAGAAAAAAATAAAAAACTACATATAGTTTAAATAATATTTTTTAAGAATATGAATATTAAAGCAATACAATGGAAATTCTTTTTATGTAAATGGAAATACCCAGTTGTTTATATTTTACACTTTTGCTAATTGCAACAATATTTTCATAGAGAATATATGACCTAGGCTTATTGCACATGACCAAAATGACTAAAATGTCCTGTGAAAAAAAACTAGCATAACTAAAATTACAGTATACATTTATAAGATTTCCATTTACTCTCACCTTACAAATATTATGTTTTAAGATCTATTTTCTTTCTTTCTTTCTTTCTTTCTTTCTTTTTTTTTTTTTTTTTTGAGACGGAGCCTTGCTCTGTCTCCCAGGCTGGAGTGCAGTAGCGCGATCTCAGCTCACTGTAGGCTCCACCTCCCGGGTTCAAGCCATTCTCCTGCCTCAGCCTCCCAAGTAGCTGGGACTACAGCCGTCCGCCACCATACCCGGCTAATTTTTTTTGTATTTTTAGTTAGAGACAGGGTTTCACCGCATTGGCCAGGATGGTCTTGATCTTCTGACCTCGTGATCCGCCCACCTCAGCCTTCAAAGTGCTGGGATTACAGGCGTGAGCCACCGCGCCCGGCCAAGAACTATTTTCTGTGAGTTAATTTTTTTGCACAGAACTAGTCTATTACAATTTATATTTCTTTAGATGGATTATGTGTTTTTTGGCAACATATATTTGTGTATTATTTAAGTGGAGCACTTATTTTTAAAGAATATAAATTAAAGTATTCATGAATTGATTAGTATATTACAGATTAAGTTTTTCAAAGCAGCAGTGGAGCTGTATGTTAATGTATACTTTATAATTGAAATGGTACATATTGGTACAACTTAAGCCTTCCAGTATAAAATTTTCCTCCAGCTTTAATGAAGTATAATTTTTTTTTAAAAAAATTGAATATATTTAAGGTGTACAACATGGTTTTGATATATATGTACATACACATTATGATGTGATTACCACAATCAAATTGACATATCCATCAACTCATATAGTTACTGTTTTTGTATGTGTGTAGTGAAAACACTTAGCAAATTTCAAGTATATATGATTATTAACTATAGTTACCATGTTATACATTTGATTTCCAGAACTTATTCATTTTACAACTGAATGTTTATACCCCTTGACCAAACCCCCATAATTTTCTTTCTTCCTTCCTTTCTTTCCTTTCTTTCGATGGAGTTTCGCTCTTGTTGCCCAGGCTGGAATGCAATGACGTGATCTCGGCTCACTGCCACCTCTGCCTCCTGGGTTCAAGTGATTCTCCTGCCTCAGCCTCCCAAGTAGCTGGGATTACAGGCACCTGCCACCATGCCTGGCTAATTTTTTGTATTTTTAGTAGAGACAGGTTTTCACCATGTTGGCCAGGCTGGTCTCGAACTCCAGGCCTCAAGTGATCCGCCCACCTCAGCCTCCCAAAGTGCTGGGATTGTAAGCGTGAGCCACCATGCCTGACCAACCCCCCTAATTTTCATTACTCCCTGTTCCCCACAACTTCAAGCCATCATCTTTCTGTTCTCTGTTACAAGTTAGATTTCTTTTGATTGATTCTACATGTAAGTGAGATCATGCAGTATTTGTGGTTCTATGCCTGGCTCATTCCACTAAGCGTAATGTTCTCTAGATTCATATACATTATTGAAAATGGCTAGATTTCATCCTGTTTTAAAGCTGAATAATCTTTCAATATGTGATATAGTTTGTATATTTGTCCAAATCTCATGTTGAAATGTAATCCTCAGCACTGGAAGTGGGGCCTGGTGGGAGCTGACTGGATTACGGGGGTAGATTTCCCATGCATGGTTTAGCCTCACGCCCTTGGTGCTGTCCTCACAATTGTGAATGAAGACGTTTAAATGTGTGTGGCACCTCCCTCTCTCTCTCTTTGTCCCACCTGCTCCCCTTTTGCCTTTCCCCATGAGGCTTCCTGAAGCTGAGTAGGTGCCAGTGCCATACTTGTACAGTCTGCAGAACTGTGGCCAAATTAAACCTCGTTTCCTTATAAATTACCCACTCTCACGTATTTCTTTATAGCAATGCAAGTATGTCCTAATACATTTCCGTGTGTACACGTAACACATTTTCTTTACTCATCTATCGTCAGATGCTTAGGTTTTCCATATCTTGACTAATGTAAACAATTATGCAGTGAACATAGGAGTGCAGACATCTCTTTGAGATACTGATTTTAATTCCTTTTGTATATATACCTAGAAATGAAATTAGTAGGTCATATGTTGCTTCTATTTTTATTTTTTTGAGAAATCTCCATAATGTTTCTCATAATGGCTATACTAATTACATTTCCACAGAGTATAAATGATCTCATTTCTTCTTTTTTGTAAAACTAAAGAAAATTGACATATCTTTTACAAGAATACCAAAAAACGAAGACTCAAATCATAAAAATCAGGAAGAAAAAGGGGCCATTACAATTGACACCACAGAAACTCAATGGATCATAGGAGACTAGTATAAACAATTACACACCAACAAATTGAATAACCTAGAAAAAACTGACAAATTGCTAGAAACATACAACCTACTAAGGCTAATTTATGAATAAATATAAAACTTGAACATACTAATAATGAGCAAGGTGATTGAATTATTAATCAAGTATGTCTCAACAGAGTCCAGACTACATGGCTTCACTGGTGAATTCCATCAAACATTTAAATAATAATTAATAGCAGTCCTTCTCAAACTCTTCCAAAAACTGAAGAGGGAACACCACTGAACTCATTATATGAGGCCAGTATTACACTGATACTAAAGCCAGGCAAGGACATCACAAGAAAAGAAAATTAGAGGCCAAAATACTTGATAAACATAGATGTAAAAATCCTCAGCAAAATACTAGCGTAGAAAATTAAACAACACATTTAAAAAATTAGAAACCATGATCAAATAGAATTTATCTCTGGGATGCAAGAATAATTTAACATATGCAAATCTAAAAATGTGATGTATTAGATTAACAGAATGAAGGACAGAAATCATATGATCATCTCAATAGATGCAGAAAAAGCATTTGATGAAATTCAACATACTTTCATGATAATTTTTCTCAACAAATTAGGTATAGAAGAAATGTACCTCAATACAATAGACCATATTTGACAAACCCACAGCTAATATACTCAATAATGAAAAGCTGAAATATTTTCCTCTAAATCACAACAAGACAAGGATGCCCACTCTCATCACTTCTTTTCCATGTGATACTGGAAGTCCTAGCCAGAACAGTTAGGCAAGAGAAAAATAAAAGACATCCAAATTAGAAAGGAAAAAGTTACATTGTCTCTGCTTTCAGAAGACATAATCTTATATATAAAAAGCCCGAAAACTACATCAAAAAACTGTTGGAACTAAAACAAATTCAGTAAATTTCACACATAAAACCAATATACAAAACCCATAATTTCTATATACTAACAAAAAGCTAGCTGAAAAATCAAAACAATCCCATTTATAATAGCTATAAAAATTAAAACTAGGAATAAATTTAACCAAGAAGATGAAAAATATAAAGCTGAAAACTATAAAATACTGATGAAAGATATTGAAGAAGACACAAATTTATGAAGAGATAGTCTATGTTCAATGGATCAGAAAAATTAATGTTGTTTAAATGTCTATGCTGCCCAAAGCAATCTAGAGACTTAATGAACCTCCTATTAAAGTTCCAGTGAAATTCTTCACAGAAATAAAAATAAAATTATAAAATTCGCATGGAACCACAAAAGACTCTGAATAGCCAAAGCAATCTTAAGCAAAGTGAACAAAGCCAGAGGCATCATGCTACCTGACTTCAAAATATACCACAAAGCTAGTTATCAGAAAGCCATAAGAATACCAAAAATAGTTATAATTTTTTAGTACCTACTGTGAAATAGACACTGTACAATATTCTAAATTTCAGCCTAATTTATTGCTCACAAAAACTCAATATAGAATATATTACTATTCTCATTTTTCACTAGAGACCTGCAAGTTATAGAATTCTTTCTGGTAATCATTATTTAACATATATAGGATTTTTCCACATACATATATGTTGTATTCAATCCTTTTACTATTTTGATGTTGTTTTAAACAATTTTTTTATTATACTTTAAGTTTTAGGGTACATGTGCACAAAGTGCAGGTTTGTTACATATGTATACATGTTCCATGTTGGTGTGCTGCACCCATTAACCCGTCATTTAACATTAGGTATATCTCCTAATGCTATCTCACACCCCTCCCCACCCCACAACAGGCCCTGGTGTGTGATGTTCCCCTTCCTGTGTCCATGTGTTATCATTGTTCATTTCCAACCTATGAATGAGAACATGCGGTGTTTGGTTTTTATGTGCAGAGTTCTTATAAAATACAATATCAATCTGTTTAAACAATGAAAACAATTTGTTAAGAAAAAAACTGATAGTAATCAAAACAGCATGATACTGGCATAAAAACAGACACACAGACCAATGGTACAGAATAGAGAGCTCAGAAATAAATGTATGCATTTATGGGCTATTTATTTTCAACAAAGTTGACAAGAACACACAATGGGGAAAAGATAGTCTCTTCAACAAATGGCATTGTTAAAACTGGATACCCACATGCAGAAGAATAAAATTGGACTCTTATCTCTCTACTAATTATACAAAAATTGTCTCAAAATGGATTAAAGATTTAAATGTAAGACCTGAGACTGTCAAACTCCTAGCAGAACACATAAAGAAAAATCTCCCTGACACTGGTCTTGGTAAAGAGATTATGAATATGACTTCAAAAACACAGGCAACAAATGCAAAAATAAACAAGTGGAACTATGTATCAAACTAAAAATTCCTACACAGCAGAGGGAGGAGGAATCAACAAAGTGAAATGAAACCTGTGAAATTGGGGAATGGATTTGCAAACCTTATGTCCAATAGGGGGCCAATATCACCTTAGAAATATTTGTTAGGCAGACTATTATGTCCTTAAAATTCAGTTTTTGAAATATTGTTTACTATTATATCTTAATCTGTACATGAAAAATAATAGGTGATAGAATATTTGACAAATGTATAAGAAAGATGAGATTATTAATCAACTTGTAAAACTAATGCTAATATACAAACTTGTTTATTCATTCATTAATGGAAAGAAGAGGAAACAGCACTATCAACAAGAAATGTTTTGTGGAAAGTTGTGTACTACGCTAGACGCTATTAAGAAAACATATTATAAAAAGTGCTTTACATAATTTAAGGAAACTGAAAGAAATTAGCAAATATATTGTATTCTGGATATCAATATTGTTTTAATAGGAATGGGCTCTATTGCCTACATTTTTGATGGGGGATATATTTGAGTGAAAAAATGAATCAGAATATTTTTGGTACTATATTTCAAATGGGATTATTAAACTAGAAGCTATCGAAGCATATGTGTGTGTGTGTCTGCACACATACAATTGTACATATATATGATGTACACATATACATGTGTAATTGTACGTATATACATCTATACGATGACACTGACTAAATTTGTAAGGAACTACTTATATCTCTGCTTACTTGATATTTCAAAATGACTGCTGAGCAGCTTAAAATATAGATGAGCCTGTATAGCTATAGATTATTTCCTGAGAAAATTAATCAGATGTTTCAGGTATCACAAGTATTATCTCATGTAAAATCTCATTTATGAAATATTTGATATGACATCATAAAATAGTATTTTCAGAATTGACTTATGATATTTGAGAAGAACAATTTCATAGATTAAAAAGGGCTCAAAATTCCTAAAGAGTAATGACACATGTCATTGAATGGGATGTGAATATTTCCAAAGAGCAAATTCTATAGGATTTGGTGTGAGTTTTAATCTTCTTTAACATTAGATTAAAATCTAAAAGAAAGGCAAACTACATGTTTGTGGAACACGTGAATTATAGTATATTGGTAGGTGGACAAAAGACTATAATAAACATAGAAATAAATTACCTACAGAGGTCATAAATGTAGTAAGAAACAAGAAAATGAAATTCAGCTTGAAAATATTAGACTAATATGTCAGAGAGATAATCATTCCAAACAGAAATATTTACAGTTTTGAAAAAAATTACCATTCAATTGCTTTATAGAAAAATCAGTAAACAGAGAAGAGAATTCTGTATTTGTGTGTTTTTAGATTTAATCTTAAACAAAAAACCTACATCTATTCAGCTTCTATTCTGGAGCATTCTAGATCCATAATGGATCATTAATAAATCTGTGCTTGTTGACAAACATATTAGCAAGAATTAGAAGCTCGGGTTTCAGTATGCCAAGGTCGTGCCATTGCTCTCCAGCCTGGGTAGCAAGTGAAACTCCGTCTAAAAAACAAAACAAAACCAAACAAAAACAAAACAAAACCTTAATAAACTCATACACACACATACACACACACACACACACACACACACACACACACATACCATTAGTTCTGTCCCTCTAGAGAACCCTAATATAATCACATTTTTGTATTTATGTAACTGTCACCATATTTACGATATAAAACAGTTCCAACTTCACAAGGATCTTCCTGCTTTGATATCCCTTTGATGGCTACATCCACCTGCACAGCATTCTCTCCCACCATCCCACCCCTATCTTTAGCCCCTGGAATTACTAATTTATTTGCTATTGCCACAGTTTTGTCACTTCAAGAATGTTAAATAAATGTAATCAAATAGTATGGGACTTTTAAAATTTGCTTATTTCACTAAGTATATTTGCCTTGAGCTTCATCCTAGTTATTTCATATATTTATAATATGTTCCTTTGTATTGCTAAGTAGTATTCCATGGTATGGATGTAGCACAGTGTTTAAAAATTCACCATTGAAGGACATTTGAGATGTTTTCAATGTTGAGTTATTATGAATAGTGGTGCTCTGAACATTCATGTATATGTTTTTGTATAAACATAAGTTTTTATTTCTCTGGGATTATTGAGCGGAAATGTAATTTCTGGCTGATATGTAAATATATGCTTAATATTTTTCAAGAAATTGCCAATCTATTTTCCAGAGTGGCTGTACTATTTTACATTCCCACCATCAATGTATCAGCAAATCGTTTCTCCGCATTCTTGCTGTCATTTGGTGTTTTCACAGTTTTTTAAAAAATTTTGCCATTGTAATAGCTATCTCATTCATTGTGCTTTTATTTTTTCAGTGGCTAATAGTGTTAAAAATAATTTATGTTCTTGTTGCCATCTGTATATATTCTTAAGTAAAAGGTCTATTTATGTCTTTTGCCCATTTTTTCTACTTGGTTTATTTCTTAATGTTACGAGAGTTATTTATTTTGAGACATAGTTCTTTATATAATCTAGATATAAAAACTTTTTGTGAGATATATATTTTGCCAATACTTTTTTCTCAGCGTGTAGCTTGATTTTCATTTTTTTCACAGATTCTTCACAGAGCAAAAGTTATTTTTATTTTGGCGAGGTATAATTAATTTATAATTTTGCCATTTATGGACCATGCCTTTAGCATCAAGGCTAATAACTCCTTGTCTTGTCTAGCCCTACATTTTTTTTTACATTTTTATAATTTAATAGAATAATTTATATTCCTTTGGGTATATACCTAATAATGGGATTGCTGAGTCAAATGGCATTTCTGGTTCTAAATACTTGAGGAATTGCCACACTGTCTTCCACAATGGTTGAACTAATTTACATTCCCACCAACAGTGTAAAAACATTCCTATTTCTCCACAGCCTCACTAGCATCTGCTGTTTCTTGACTTTAATCATTGCCATTTTGACTGGCATGAGACAGTATCTCATTGCTGTTTTGATATGCATTTCTCTAATGATCAGTGACGTTGAGCTTTTTTTTCATGTTTGTTGGCCACATAAATGTCTTCTTTTGAGAAGTGTCTGTTCATGTCTTTTGCCCACTTTTTGATTTTTTTTTTTTTTTTGGTAAATTTGTTTAAATTCCATGTAAATTCTAGATATTAGCCCTTTGTCAGATGGGTAGATTGCAAAAACTTTCTCCCATTCTGTAAGTTGCCTGTTCTGTCTGTTGATAGTTTCTTTTGCTGTGCAGTAGCTCTTTAGTTTAATTAGATCGCATTTGTCAATTTTCGCTTTTGTTGCAATTGCTTTTGGTGATTTAATCATAAAATCTTTGCCCATACCTATGTCCTGAATAGTATTGCCTCGATTTTCTTATAGGGTTTTTATGGTTTTGGGTTTTACATTTAAGTCCTTAATTAATCTTCAGTTAATTATTGTATAAGGTGTAAGGAAGGGGTCCAGTTTTAGTTTTCTGAATGTTAGTCCTACATTTTGTCGTGTATACCAAACACAAACACACACACACACACACACACCAAAAAGTGATGGTATTTTAATAGAAAGTGTATAAAACCTATTGCTTAATTTTGATAGAATTTGCATCTTTACTGTGTTAACTTTTTCAATTCATGCATATGATATGTCTCTCCATTTATTTAGGTCTTTCAAAAAACTATTTCATCAGCATTTTCAAATTGTCAGCATATAGGTACTATACATATTTTTGAAGTTTTTAATCTCAGTATATTATTTTCTTTAGAACAATTACAAATGGTATTGTGTTTGTAATTTCTGTTTCCAAAGGTTCATTATTAGTTTAGGTAAATTGAAATTTGATTTGTCTGTTGATTTTTATGCTATGACCTGGAAGAATTCATTTTTTTTTTCTGATAGGGCTTTTTATGGCCGGGGTGGGGGGTTGGGGTGGATTGAAGGGTAAGCTTCCTTGGCATTTTCCATGTTTATTATCATGCTATCTACAAATAAGGACAGTTTATTTCTTTTTTTTTTCTGTGTATCTTATATTTCCTTTATTTATTGTGCTGGCTAGACGTTTCTGTATTATACTTAATAAAAGTGATAAGAACAGGCATTCCTTAACACTCTTACAGAAAATGCATGCAGTCTCTCACTGTGAAGTGTGATACTAGCTGTAGATTCTTTGTATATGTTGTTTATCAAGTTGAGGTATTTATTCTGTTCTTAAGGTTGGTGAGAATTTTAGCAGGAATGGATGTTAGATTTTCTAGGCCAATTAGTATGATCAAGTAATTTTTCTTCTTTAGTTGGCTGATATAGTAGATTACATTGAATAATTTTTGAATATCAAACCAGCATTGCATACCAGAAATAAGTACAACTTGGCTGTGGTGTGTAAATTTTTTTATACATTGGTAGATTCCACTTGATCATATTTTGTTGAAAATTTTTGTGTCTAAGTTCATGAGAGACATTGGTCATTTCTTTTTTTTTTTTTTTTTCCTTTTGAGACCGAGTCTCACTCTTTCACCAGGCTGCAGTGCATTGGTGTGATCTCGGCTCACTGAAATCTCTGCCTCCTAGGTTGAAACAATTCTCCTGCCTCAGCCTCCCAAGTAGCTGGTACTACAGGTGCACACCACCATGCCCAGCTAATTTTTGTATTTTTAGTAGAGACGAGGTTTCATCATGTTGGCCAGGATAGTCTCAATCTGTTGACCTCATGATCTACCTGCCTCAGCCTCCCAAAGTGTGGGATTACAGGCATGAGCCACCGTGCCCAGCCGGCCATTTCCTTTTTTATACTTATTTGTTCAGTTTTTGTATGAGAGTACTACTGGCTTCACATGACCTGTAAAGGACATAGCATAATTTATCCATTCTAAGAATTATAGACATTTGTATATTTGACAGTTTTTAACTACTACAAAAAAAGTTGCTATATACTTTGGCAAATATATAAATAAATTTCTGTTGGAAATAATTCCCAGGCTAAAATTGCTGAATTATAGGTAATATGCATGCTTAGCTTAAATAGATATTACCAAAATTTTAGCTAAACTGGTCATAACAATTTACCAGTATTGAAAATGGCCAGGTGCTGTGACTCACAACTGTAATCCCAGCACTTTGGGAGGCCGAGGCGGGTGGATCACCTAAGGTTAGGAGTTTGAGACCAACCTGACCAACATGCTGAAACCCCATCTCTACTAAAAATACAAAAATTAGCTCAGTGTGGTGGTGGGCACCTGTAATCCTAGCTACTTGGGAGGCTGAAGCAACAGAATTGCTTGAACCCAGGAGGTAGAGGTTGCAGTGAGCCAAGATCTTGCCATTGCACTTCAGCCTGGGTGACAGAGCAAGACTCCGTCTCCAAATAAAAAAGAAAGAAAATTAATGACACTTTTTACATATTTCCCGGTAGTTAATATTAACTATCTATCTTTTTCATGTTAGTCATGCTAGTGGGGTTTCAGTGGCATAATATGTTGGATTGGAAGGAATTCATGCATACACACATAGATGTATACTGGATAAGAGTCTTTTGTCAAATGTATATATTGCAAATGCTTTCTTCCCATATATAGTCTTTAAAAATTCTATAAATACTACATTTATATGAACACAGTTTCTTAATTTTAGTATATTCCAATTTATAAATTTACATTGCATTAAGATTTTTTGTGTGAGTATATGAAATCTTGGTCTACGCAAGGCAATGGTTCTTTTACAGTCTTTTTTTCTTGGATGTTTTATAATTTTATTACATATCCCGTTTCCAAAGAAATATTTTTACAAACAAAATAGTTTGAGAAATGTTACTTTAAATGTCTGAATTCCTTCTATCTAATATGTATGTATTCTTACCTTACTAATTCTTCCAAGACAGATGGATTTATGGGTTTCTCTAATCCTTCAGTTAGCATTGTTTCAGATGACTACAATATCCAAATAGTTCTCTTTGTAGTAAACCAATATCTGTGCAGAGAGTAATCCCAGAGCTTCAGGGAATGATTCCAATTTAATATATTAATTGAATCAGAATTTTGGTTCAGTATACTCCCCAACTTGGACTGCTTCTTTTCAGAGATATAAATATAAATATATATATATTTATTATTTATTTTATATATATATATATTTGCTTCCTGTGATTTTGCACTAAATTTAGACCAGATTATCACATATGAAAGCAGTTACAAATAATATACATGCACTCAAAGCTGTAAGACATAGTTATATACCAGCTACAAAAGCTCTTGCACTGGGTCTCTAGCCTCTGGATACAGGCCCTGCCTCGAGCTTCTCTTCTCTCTTCTGTCATGAACTACCAAACAATAAAATCAATTATCATAAAAAATAGCACAGCACAAGTTTTCCTGTAAGTGAATCCCTATAAGTGAATCTGATTTGGAGACACATTGGGAAAAATGAGACCTTCTGGATTTAAAAAAGAGGCAGACAATATTTGCATATTTTGGTGATTAAAGTTAATATACATAAAACAGTTGAGTTTTGTATATTGAGTGAATATATTATTTGTAAAAAAATTGTAGGCTATGCATTCAAACCTCTGATCATCAAACACACATTACTTCAGCTGTCTTATCAAAGGTATTTTTTATTTTACAAATATAATTTTGACTAAGTTTGAAGTAAGTTTGAAAAATGTATTTTTTATACCTGCATTCTATGAAAGTAATAAAACATAAGATTAATACATTAATCAGAAATAAATTTTAGCTATTATTACAATTTAGTACTTGCAATAAATCTGAAAACAAGGCTAAATGCATTATAATTACTTTGATATACAACATAATGTGTTTGAAATAAATGCTAATTACAATATTAGTCATTATTGAACATTTGATAATACATAATAGCCTTGTGAATAGCAACAATATTTAAAAGCCTTGGAATGATGCATATTTGATGTCTCTACTTACTATTAATTGATGCTAGAAGTTTCTTATTTTTGAAGAGTCACAGACTAATGGAATATGTTTCTATATTTTATGTATGTTACATTTTTGAAAATAAAGCTGTATAGTATTAAATTCATTCAATTCAATACAAATAATTATAAGATTCTATGGCCCTTTATTGTTTTAAATGTATTTTTAGAGACCCACATACTTATCTGAACAATTTCTTCTAGCTCAGACTAAAAAGACTTGTGTCTATTCACAAGAATGGTGTATTAGTTCTCATGTTGCTA
The DNA here is from genome assembly GCF_000001405.40 of Homo sapiens. Classification (NCBI taxonomy): domain Eukaryota; kingdom Metazoa; phylum Chordata; class Mammalia; order Primates; family Hominidae; genus Homo; species Homo sapiens. The sequence goes on along the minus strand of NC_000005.10, from coordinate 121,332,204 downwards.
ATTAAGATATACCCAAGATTGGGTAATTTATAAAAGTAAAAGGTTTAATTGACTCACACTTAAGCATGGCTGACCTTGCACCCTCTGAAGCAATGGCCTAAGCTGTACCTTGGCCTCTTTTAGCCATGGCTGGAGTGACTGGAATTCAGGGCACCAAGTCCTGAAGCTGCACACAGCAGGTGGGACCTGGACCAAGCCCAGGAAACATTTTTTCCTCCTAGGCCTCTGGGTCTATGATGGGAGAGGCTGCTGCAAAGGTCTCCCACATGTTCTGGAGACAATTTCCCCCATTCTCATGGAGATTAGCACTTGGCTTCTCATTACTTATGAAAATTTTTGCAGTTGGCTTGGATTTCTCTCCAGAAAATGCGTTTTTCTTTTCTACACCATCATGAGGCTGCACATTTTCCAAAATTTTATGCTCTGTCACCTTTTGAATGCTTTACTGCTTAAAAATTTCTTCTTTCAGATACCCTAAATCATTTCTCAATTTCAAGTTCCACAGATCTCTAAGGCAGGGGCAAAATGCCACGAGTCTCTTTGCTAAAGCACAGTTAAGAATCACCTTTGCTCCAGTTTCCAACAAGTTCCTCATCTCCATCTGAGACCACCTCAGCCTGGACTTCATTGTCCATATCAGTGTCATCATTTTGGGTCAAAGCCATTCAACAAGTCTCTAGAAAGTTCCAAAATTTCCCATATATTCCTGTCTTCTGAGCCCTCCAAGTCTCTAGGAAGTTCCAAACTTTCCCACATTTTCTTGTCATCATCTGAATCCTCTAAACTGTTCCAACCTCTGCCTGTTACCCAGTTCCAAATTAGCTTTTACATGCTCAGGTATCCTTACAGCAGCACCCCACTCTACCCATATCAGTTTCCTGTATTTGTCCATTCTCATTCTGCTAATAAAGACATACTCAAGACTGGGTAATTTATAAAGGAAAGAGTTTTTTATAAAGGAAAGAGTTTTAATTGACTCAGTTTTGCATAGCTGGGGAGGTCTCAGGAAACATAAACATGGCAGAAAGTGAGGCAAGCACGTCCTTCTTCACATGATGGCAGCAAGGAGAAGTGCTGAGTAAAAGAGGGAAAAACCCCTTATAAAATCATCAGATCTCATGAGAACTCACTCACTATCATGAGAACAGCATGATAATCGCCCTCATGATTAAATTACCTCCCACTGTGTCTCTCTCATGACACGTGGTGATTATGGGAACTATAAATCAAGATGAGATTTGGGTAGGGACACAGCCAAACCATATCAGATTGCTAAAATTATGTTTCCTAATACTGAAAGATCTGTTATTTTTAAACCTACCTGTAACAATAAAAAGTGAGACAGTTTAAAATTTTTACAATATTTACTTTGTTTAGTATTAGTGTACATCAAGCATGAAACATGCTATATGAGACTCTGGGATGGATATATGTAGTGTAAAATTTAGAAAAAATACTTAGTATAAAGTTTAATTAAATTAAGACATTAAATTCTGTAGCAAAATAGAGGATGATCTAAACAAAGTAAAATTGTTTGGCATAGGGGTATAATTTTAAATTCTATCCTTCTTCCCCCATACACACTTATGCAAAGCAGCCATTTCTCCCATGCCCACCACATCATCAGCAAGCCTGGGATCTAAATGTGTCTTTAACAAGAACTATAAGAGAGTTTCCTAGGAATCTTTCAGTTACTCTATATATGTTAGGAAAGAACAATCCTAAATATACCCCTTACCTGAATTCTCCAACTGTAGTAACAAATGAGAAGGCTTAGATCGGTGGTAACAGAGAACACTTTGCAGAACAAATGATCTAATTGTTTAGAAAATCACTACAAAAGTTGGATGAACCACTTGTCTCCAACTTCTGCAACAAAGAGCAATTCCTATTTCTTTTTTGTCCCACCTAACAAAATATTGGAGGCCTTTATCTTTTTTCTCTCTCTCTTTCTATTATCTGAACACTTTCACCAATTATTTCTAAAAGCAAAAAAATTAGAATTGCTGAGACTTTTAATTCACCAACTTAGCCTCATAGCTTTTGCCAGAATTTTTTTTCATGTGTGTGGAGATTGCATTTGGCTATATACAGTGATCATAATGAATATATGATTGAAGGAATACTTAAATTTAGTAAAGAATAGTACTTAGAAAAATCTGACAATGGATTTATTTGCTGCTTGTTTCAAAGCCACACTTTAATGGTCCATTTAAAAACAAATGCAATGCATTTGCTTGAACAGAATTTTATTATTTATGCCTTTGAGTATAGTTTAATTGTGTACTACAGACAGATGATGTTGCTATTATATTTTATTAATTTAGGAAGAAGTATAACTCTCTTTTGTTTTGAAAAGCTAAAAAGTTGTTGCAAGTGTCATATTATTTATACAGAAATCGCCTAAGAAATATTTCAAGTTGTCCCCTAAGAAAAATGTTTTCCTATTCTTTTGAATTATTGAGAAAAGTTTCAATTATTTAAACATTTTTAGTACCCCCTGCTAAACCTCTGATTATTTCAGTTCCTTGGAATAAATAAAATGATAATCTGCTCATTTAGAGTTAACTACAATGTATTCTCCAAGCAATCCATAAATACTGATTTTTTTTAAGTTTTTACAATTTATTGACTAAAGTTGCACAATCACTTTCTGCATAGTTTATTGTTTGTAATAGGAGAAATAGACATATAAAACAAATGAAAATTAACTTAAATATCTAAGTTTTAACGGAAGCATAAGCAGCACAGAGACAGCTTTGGAAGGAATTTAATAAGAAAGAGTTGATTGAGAAACTGTGATCTGATCAGCATTTTAGAAATAGTGTAGAGTGGTCAGCAGTTCCTAGGGCAGTGCAAAGGCAAAGCAATTTCTGTAGTTTCACCTTGAGGATGAAGTGAGTAACTCTCTCACTGGACAGGCTGAATGAAGCTTCCCTAAAAGGGCCTCCTCTGTCATATCCCATAACTTCCAAATAAATAGAAAGAAGATTCAGCAAATTGTAAAATTGTGTGCCCTTATTTGTGGCTTCTGAGTTGGCAGGGCATTGTTTAGACATGTTACAACTCTGCAGCAAAATAAAAAATTAGCATAGCTACAGCTCTATGCCACATAAGTTCTCCTTGTCATCCTATCACAAACAAAACCCCATTCTAGGGTGCCCTGATATCCCTCCTAACATAGAATGCACCCCAGAATCTCATAAAATTGATAAAATGCTACTTTACAAAATTGCTCTTGCTTAATTAATCACTGCTTGCATGCCAAGCACTGTCTCAAGTGCTTTATATTTATTGCCTCTCTAAACTTCATAACTGTAGGAGTTAAATGCTAGGAGCAAAATGGGATTTAAAGATAGATCTGGTGCTGGAGAGGATGTGGAGAAATAGGAATGCTTTCACACTGTTGGTGCGAGGGTAAATTAGTTCATCCATTGTGGAAGACAGTGTGGCAATTCCTCAAGGATCTAGAACCAAAATTACCATTGACCCAGCAATCCCATTACTTGGTATATACCCAAAGGATTATAAATCTTTCTACTATAAAGACACAGGCACACATATGTTTATTGCAGCACTGTTCACAATAGCAAACACTTGGAACCAATCCAAATGCCCATCAGTGATAGAATGGATAAAGAAAATGTAGTACATATGCACCACGGAATACTATGCAGTCATAAAAAGGATGAGTTCATGTCCTTTGCAGGGACATGGATGAAGCTGGAAACCATCGTTCTCAGCAAACTAACACTGAAACAGAAAACCAAACACCACATGTTCTCACTCATAAGTGGGAGTTGAGCAATGAGAACACATGGACACAGGGAGGGGAACATCACACACTAGGGCCTGTTTGTGGGTTGGGGGCTAGGGGAGGGATAGTATTAGGACAAATACCTAATGTAGATGATAGGTTGATGGGTGCAGCAAACCACCATGGCACATGTATACCTATGTAACAAACCTGCATGTTCTGCACATGTATCCCAGAACTTAAAGTATAATAAATAACATAAAGATAGATCTCCTTTATACTTTAAACTATTATTCTCAGTTCCCATATTTTGAGACAAAAGAGGGATAATTTAACCACACTTTGGTATTTGTAGTAACAGTTGTTCTTAAAAAATAATATGTATCAAAATAATCTGTAGGCATTGTAGAAAATTTAAAAAACACAGATTAGCATGAAGGAGAAACTAAAGATTACCTGTAATCACACCTCCATGAGAAAAATCGCTAACACATTCTGGTTTCATGGTGAAAATCTTGTGATTCCTTTTTCTCTTTTTTACATAACACATATACAACATAATACATAACAGAAATTGTATCATATAAACCCCTTCAGCTTCTTCTTCTTATTACTACTATTATTATCATTATTATTTTGAGACAGTCTTGCTCTGTTTCCCAGGGTGGAGTGCAGTGGTGCGATCATGGCTCACTGCAGCCTCAACCTCTGGGGCTCAAGAGATCCTCCCACTTCAGCCATTCAAGTAGCTGGGACTACAGGCGTACCACACTCAGCTTTTTGTTTTGTTTTGTTTTGTTTCGTTTGTGTAGAGAAGGGATTTCACTATGTTTCCCATTCAGGTCTTGAACTCCTGACTTCAAACTATCTGCCTGTGTAGGCCTTTAACTTATAAAACACTATTCACTCTTTCAGTAACTTGTCATGTTACTGAAAATTTAAATAATAAGGAATACATAGAAAACAAACCCCAATAGCAAAACTGTAAATGATGAAACAGAAAAACTGCAAAAGTGCTACAGTCAGATCTTTAATTTTTTGACTCTTCCACAGGCAACCTCATATACTAGAACAAAGAGAAACCTTGGCTTAATAAATGAGTTCCAATTTTGATTCCATTGCTCAGTAACTAGCTGGTTGTGCTAAGTATCAGGTTGGTGCAAAAGTAATTGTGGTTTTTAGAGTTGAAAGTAATGGCAAAAACTGCAATTACTTTTGCACCAAGCTAATAGCTAAGCATATTACCTAGCCTCTCTGAGCTTCAGTTTTTACATGTCTTTGGATAGCTTACTAATAACCATCTTAAATACTGAGACTGGCCACAAGGCAAATAAAGGGATTGGCATAGAGTGTTTTGCATCGTAAAGAACAGAAAATATGATTTTTAAAATAGTTCCTCATCCTCAAGAAAAAAAATTTTCCCAGGAGTTATGTGAGTGGAGATAAAATAAAGGCACATTAAAAATATATTTTTTGTTGATATTGGGAACAAACTTAAAAGAAAAAATATAAAAATAAGGAAGAAAACATTGTTCCAATATAATTCAACATGAAAAAAGTTAGTTTTTAATTTTTAAATATGTTACAGGAATTACAGTCAGAAAATGATAAACTATTTCGACTCCATAGGCAAAAACCCTAAAGTATAAATTTGTTTAGAGTATAAACACAAAATAAAATTTAGAGACAATTTATAAAATCTAATGAAGTCAAATATAGAGTTGAGGCATAGAGTAGAAAAATACAGTGAAATATTTCTAGTATTACAGACAAATGGAAAGCATGGTTGCCCTTAAGAAAAGAAAGAGAAAAACTTACCCATAGTAACCCAGATGTTTATCTCCTTTGTTTGACAAAAGTTGCTATATTGATATATTAGATGGGAAAAAATGAAAGACCACTTTTCATTTCTTATGAACAAAAGAAAATACATGAATTTTTTATTTTCAGACTTTCTGACCCCCAAAAGGCATTGAACTTTCTTTGAATTTTGATGTCTTCATAATTTTAACCTTATCCAAGACAAATATTTGTATAGCTTTAAAATGATGAAGCCCTTTGAAAGTAGTAGCCAATTTCTTATACAGTCAACTCCACTAACTACCTCAATATTGTAATGACTTACATTTTTTACTTTGATTTAAAATTTAATTTCTTTTAAATGAAATCAAATGCCCTTGCTCTGTTTTTCTTGTGCTGGTTTAGAGTTGGACCTTGTTTGTTTTAGCTACATCCATTATACTTTTACCATTTTAGCCCAGACCCATTAAATCCATCTTACCACACAGTTTCCTCTCATATGGAGATTATGGATTCTTGTTTTTTCAGCTTGTTGTTGGCTCCTGGTCATTATTTTTCCACCAGTGATTCATTCAGCCTACTTTTAAAGCTTTGAGCATATTTACTTAGGCAGAATGTAGTTAGTAGAGTAGTAAGAATGTAAAAATAAAATGCAAATAAAACTCAAATTCTATTTCAGAGCTTCTAGAGATTTTGCTGTAAGTAACATCCCTTTGGCAATGAACTAGTTTTTTCATAAAGTTTATGGGATAAACAAAACATTTTTAACTGTCAAATGACTTGATAGGCAGGCTTGACTTTGATATAGTAATGAATTTAATTTTACAGTTAGTATTTTTCCTCTTTTCACTCCAAAATGAAAAGCATGGATATTTCAAACAATGTTTGTGACCCTCTACATTCTTACATTTATATTCTTCTTTATTGTACTTTTTATATAGATAATTCCTTTATAATCTAAGCAACAAGCGTATAAGGTAAATGCTTTCTTTCTGTTTTAAAATGATGAAATTGAAGCACAAAAATTGTAAATGGCTCGGTAAAGTTCTTGTATCTAGAATCAGCTGTAGTAAATCCAATCAAATTGCTCTGATTCTAATTCTGGGTGTTTCGTATAACTCCAGTGTTGTTCCTCTAGTTCTTTGAGGTCGACATTTTTCCTTGTCTTCCTTCTTGTGTCCTTCTCGTCTTCCCTTCTTCTACTTAGATTCATTCTGGACACTATGCTAGAAGGAAATATTATTTTCCTCAGTGTAGTTGAGCCAGTAGTTTCGACTAGGACTAGAATATTTTGCATATAATCAGTGGTAGGCCAGAAGGAAAGAATTTTAAGAATAGAGAACTCTGGAAAGAGTGATCAAAATATAGAGAGCATTAAGTTCAATATGAGGTTTGATATATTGCGTAGCATATTCACGTAAATATTTTCTGTTTTTCTCTCTTTGAGGTATTTCTTCCACCCTAATTTTAACAAATTATGGCGCTAATCAGATACAGTAAGCTATACTCTGTCTCACCTCAAATTTATTCTTAACCTATTAAGGCTTGTTCTTCAGTTTAACATTTCACTAATGACTCTCTTTAAAAACAAATTGACTCTTAAATATTCTTTCTCAAAGACATATGTTATAAATAACATATATGTTTATCAAAAGATAAATAAAACTCAGATATAATGAAAGTATAAAAAACTATTACATTAAATCTTCAGAATATCAAAAATAAATAATCATTAATATGGAATTATCAAAATTTACTATCAATAGAAAGACCTCTTTCTAAAAGGAGGTCTTTACACAGACGGAACATTATCTCTGACATTGATCCAGTATTGCAGAAAAAAAAAAAAAACCTCAAAAAATGAATGTTGTCTGTTTAAAATAATAAATTAATGAAATGCTGAGGTTTAAAATATATGAGGAATTAGAACATATGACAACAATAGCTCAAAATATAAAAAGGGAATAAGTGTGGTCATAGCATTATAATATCCAAATTCTAATATTGCATGGTTTAAATTAGACTCTAATATGCCAAGGAATATTAAGGAATACACTGCTATCAGATAAATAGAACAAAATATAACAATAAAATTATATTGATGTAAGCAAATGAAGTCAAATAAGGAGAAGAACTATAAAAACAAAGGAATTATAGAATTGTAGATATAAACTGAAATTCATCACTAAACACATGAAATAGATATTGAGCATATTCTCCTGTTTAGAAAAAAACTATCAGATTCTGGTTTAAAACAATAAAAATAGCATCATTAACAACTATTTAAAAATTACAGATATAGAGACAGAACAGTTGAAAGTAAAAAGATTGAGAAATATATGAAATCATCAGGAAAACTAATTTACTTCTAACAACAAAGATTTTAAATCATACGCATAACAAGACATAAAAAGGGCATTTCTTTATGAAATAAAGCATGGATTCTGCAGGAAGATATAACAATCCTAAAGGTATCTAAGTATCAAAATTTAGCTTTAAAGTGTATAAATTACAAAGTTGATAAAATGTGTATAAGAAATAAATAAATCAATAATAATATGAAAATATTTAACATACCTTTTAGTTACTGGTGAGAATATAGGGGAACTAAGGATACAGAAGATTGAAAACTTATTTTACAAACTTTACATAATAGGCATATATAGACTTCTGCACTCAATGACTGCACATTATCCCTGCTTTTAAAATTACAAATGATAATCATAGACATCGACCACATATTGAAAAATAGAGAAGACCTTAATACATTTCAAATGATTGAATCATAAAGAGCATTTTCTCTAGCCTCAGTGGTATGAAGTGAAAAAATCAATCAAAAAATTCTAACTTTAAAAGAAAACACATCTAAATAACCCATGTTTTTTTAATGATATCACAGTGGAAATTAGAAATTATTTTAAATGGAATGGAAATAAAATTGTGGCACATAAAAACTTGTAAGAATTAAGTAAGACATGACTTAGGGACAAATATATATATATATACTTAATATATACCTTGCCTGTATATTTTATAAAAGAAAGACTGAATATCATGTCTTTAAGCATTCATTTCAAGGGGCTAGAAGATAACGTGACAAATTAAACTCACATAGAATTAAAAGAAATATGATAGAAATAGATGAATTAGAAAACAAGTATAGAATATAGAAATATCAATGAAGCCAAACACTAGTTCATTAACACACTAATAAATTTGATAAATCAATATCAAAATTTAAAAATGAAAATTATAAATTGCAAACATCAGAAATAAAAAAAGTTTACTTCTATACCAATACTACAAATATGAATAATTTCTATGGCAGCTTTATGTAAAAACATTTGAAAATTTTGATAGAAGTAAAAAATTCTATAAAAGCCCAAGCTTACCAATTCTGATTCAAGAATAAATAGAAAATGTGTAGAGCTTTATGTCTATTAAAGAAATTGAATCTGCAAGTGAAAATCTTCAAAAAGGATAGATTTAGCAATATCTTTTTCTATTATAAGTAACAACTAACATCAATCTTACAAAACAGTCTTTCAGGGGATAGTAAAAGGGCATACCTCTCACTCTTTTTTGTGCCAGCATAAGCTCTATACCAAAATCTGACAACAGCATTAAAAAGATATTAGATATAGGGCAATAAAAATCATAAACAGATATGCAGAAAATAGAAAAAACAGCATATCCAATTGCTCAGTAATGTATAGAAAGTACTATAGATCACGGCTAAGTTTCATTTCAGGAATACAAAATTGCTTTAATAATCAAAAAGCAAATAAACAATTTATTACATTAACAAAAGATAAGCTCACACGATAGACGCAACAAAAGGATCTCACATATTTTAACACCCAGGATTTTTAAAAATTATTAGCAAAATGGCAATGATAGAAAATTTATTTTCTTTTTTAAACATAGGAGTGACCAAATTTTTATTTTTAATTACTTACTGAGATATTACTGACATACAAAAAGCTTTACATATTTAAAATATACAAATTGATCAGCTTGGAGATAAACAGTATACTTACAATCATGGCAGAAGGAGAAGCAAACATGTCCTTTTTCACATGGTGGCAGGAAGGAGAAGTGCCAAGCAAAAGGGGAAAAGTCCCTTATAAAACCATCAGATCTCATGAGAACTCACTCGCTATCACGAGAACAGCATGAGGGTAACTGCCCTCATGATTTGATTACCAGGCCCCTCCCACAACACGTGAGGAATATGGGAATTACAATTCAAGATGAGTTTTGGATGGGGACACAGCCAAACCATATCATCTTATAAGTAAAGTAATACATTTTCTGGTACTTTCATTCAATATTCATTTCATCTTAAATAAATCCAGAGAAATTCAACAAAAATTCACAATTCAGTCACTGGCTTAAGCCACATATCTTATTTATGTGGAATAAGCCAGATTTACATAAGCAAATCCAAATTTCTAGCTTAGTATTATATTCTATTACATGGAACACTGCATATTTGGAATGAGCAATTTTTAAATAGATTTTAGCCAATCTATTAATACTCTGTCACTAATGGTTTTTACTGTATCAGTCCCATTGGTTACTGAGTTAACTTGGTTTTATTTTTTCTTGTTTTAATTCATTTTCAATTTAGTCCCATTGGAGACCATACAAAAACACAAAAATGTTAATGTTTTTATGCTGAAAACTACATTGATGAGAATGCTAGAAGGTGTATGTTATTCTTCATCCAGTGCCTGATGTTAGGTCACTTATAAAATAAAACATAACATCTTGGAATACTAAAGGATGTTTGAAGAATATAGGTAATCCATTTATACATTTTCATTGAAAACTTAAAAAAATAGAAATAAAACGAATACTTCTTGAGCTCTACAAAAACTTCAAGCCCCTACCATGGCTAACTTATGTTCAGCTTTTTAATACTTCCATACCTTACTTTATGTTTTTAAATACAATTATAAATATCTAACAGATACACTGTCCAGTACATATCTGATACAGTAATATGTGTCAATCTGCTATGAATGTGAACTGATAATTATTTCAATTTTGTCCTATTTTTAAGGCTGCTTCAAATATATTTTCTGCTTTTTCCATCTATTCAGATAGTCCATCTAAAATAGTAACATATGAAGTAGATACAGAAAGCTAGAACATGTCTCAGCCCTGCATTTTGTGGGTCTAAAATTAAGTTTATTAATTCAGATTAATTTTACAAAATAGTAATATCAATATGAAATATCATGTTCCTTAATGCATACTTGTGTTTTGTGACAACAGGTATCATTTCTGTTCAATGTATACACAGCACCTAGTATGTTAACTGGCACATTAGTTTGTATTCAAAAATTGGTGTAAACTTGAATGAATGCATTGAGAAAAATTGTTATAAATTGAATGATATGGAAATCTAGATAGCATATCTTAAAAGCCAAGTTTGTCTTGGTGAATTAAGGCCAAAAGTGCATCAGTGGGCAAACATCTATTGATCCTAAGGCTCAAAATAGATTGAAAACTCTGGCATTCTCATGAAGTATAATTTTCTTCACCTAGGCAAAGCCTGCCATTGTGCCAGAATCATCTCTGGCACATTGGATATTCTATTTACAGTATTATTATAATTACCACTATTTTTATTCTTATCTGCTCTTGCATTACCTTGGTTTAGGGTGATACTCAAGCCAGTCATACTTGCTTAGGAACTTGGTTTCCTATCCCATGTACAAGTTCCACTATATTAATTATCTGAAGAGCCATTTGGGAAACTGAAATATACCAAAAGTAGGAACAATTAACTTGTATTATTCTTCCACAAATATGGATAGCAACTGATTTAATAAACCCATATACCAAAAATGATTAGTCTAATGTAGGATATATTAATGTACTTTTCTTTTTTGCATTGTGTGTATGACTTTTTTATGCTCAGCCACAATGACAGATGAAACTATCTAGTAATTCAATCACAATACATTCAGCACTGAAAATGCAGCTTCTTTATTTTTCTATCCTTTCTCACAAACCACTATCTCGTAATTTTTCTTATTTGTAGAGCTGCACTTGCATTCAATTATTGTTGACATCTGCATGCCCAGTCATGGGCAAAGATGGGATACTTTGCTCCTAAGTGCCAGGGTACTCAGATATAATTCAGTCACAGTTCCTTAAAGGCTATTGTATTAGTCCATTTTCATGATGCTGATAAAGACATACCCAAGACTGGAAAGAAAAAGAGGCTTAATTGGATTTACAGTTCCACATGGCTGGGGAAGGCTCAGAATCATGACAGGAGGTGAAAGTCACTTTTTACATGGTGGCAGCAAAAGAAAAATGAGAAGGAAGCAAAAGTAGAAACCCTGATAAACCCATCAGATCTCGTGACACTTATTCACTACTACATGGATAGCACGGGAAAGACTGGCCCCGATGATTCAATTACCTCTCTCTGGGTCCCTCCAACAACACGTGGGAATTCTGGGAGGTACAATTCAAGTTGAGATTTGGGTGGGGATACAGTCAAACCATATCAGCTATACACAACATTCTCATATGTCATCAACATATTCAAGTTTAATGAATTGTTTTGGTTAGATCATATGGGCCAATTGTGAGAATTGCTTGTATTGCATTCAAGACAAACTACAAAGATTCTTTTGTTCTTGACTTTTTTCAAAGCTGTTTTGTATTTTCATTTCATTTCCTAGTTATGGATACTTTTATTTGGTATATACAAAATAGTATTTTGTATTTTCATTTAGGCAGAAATGAAGTTACTGGTCTGAATTGGTGAGCCCTGGGTCAACACACAGGCAACAGAAGCTCCTACAGAGTAAAGGGTAGAAGGAATTGCCAAGGAGGGGAAGTGGTAGATTCAGCTTTCTAGTTTGAAGCCAGTGACAGCAGTGTGATTGGCCCTGCTAAAGAAAGAGGCCAAAAAAAAAAAAAAAACAAACACAAATGCTGAAAAAAAAAATCACTATGAAATTGATGCAGGAGTTTTCTCAGCCCCTTCACTGGACTCATGGCAGGGGCACCCCATCTACTCAACACTCTGTGCTCAGCCCCTTGTGGGAGGGAACACATGAGTGAGCTAGTGCGAGATCAAGATGGCCACTCCAGGCACTGACACAGGAGCAAGCTCCACATGGGGGCCCATGGCCAGACCAGGTGTGTTGCCCTGAGGGGAACACAGTGGCACCCAAGTGAGGGTGCCTGCAACCCCAAAGCCTCAGAGGGGGTGTTACAGTGGTCTTTTAGTTCTGCTGTCTGCAGTATGATAGACAGCAGTGTGTTAGCAGCTCAGTTGGCTCCTTGCCTCATTGCATGGTGTGGCTGCTCTCCACCAATGAGGGCAAAGCACCAGTGTGACAGCCTTTTCTGGGTACCCTCACTTGGTGGGTCCCAAGCTCTTGTCCAGTGGCCAAGAAGAATGAGGTCACAAGGACAATTGAAGGATGGTGAAGGTGGAGAATGTTATTGATAGATGAAAACAGGTCTCAGCAGAGAGGGGAGTTAGAGAGGGGAAAAGAAGGGCAGGTAATCTTCCCTGAAGTCAGGTTGTCTCTTCTCCAAAGTCAGGCCATATTCCTCTCTACCAACTGAGTCTGGGGCCTTTACAGGCACAGGATGGAGTGTGCATGATGATTGTTTTGTGAGTATGCAAAAAAGCTTAAAGTGAAAGCACCATTTAAAGGTGGGTAGGGCAGTGTAGAAAGCCAATTAGAAAAGGTTAGGTGTATGTAAAATAGGTGAAGAGTGGGGATCAGAGGAAAGCAAGCCAAATAGGAGGACAAGTTCTCAATCCGGTGCTTGTAGTTTAGCTTTCAGGCTTTAAACTGTCTTTGGCTTGGAGGTGGGTTTTCAAAGGGTACCTGCCCCTACCTACCTAGGCACTTGGCTTCCTTCTGTCCCTATCAAATTGACACTGGATAAACTTAAGGGTATGGATGGAAGAGCCAGGCATTTGATCAGGATCAAGACATAAACTAAAATTTCTAGTGGCCATGTTACTGGATCTGTGAAAGTCCTCAAATAGCAACAGACTATCTTTAAATCACCATTGAGAGGGAGAGAGGAGGAGGAGGAAGGACAAGTACGAAGAGAAAGAAGAAGAGAGAGAGTTTATGAAGGGGAATGAAATGTGTGCAAACCATGTATTGTTGTTGTTGTTAAAAGTAAATGCAATAATTGTAAAGCCTTCACTGCACTAGAAATAAAAGCCTTTTGTAAAGGCTTTATTTAATTGGGTCCAAAAATACCCCAATTAAAATGTGCAGTTGGCAAGTTGGATAAACAAGCAATGTTTAAAACAGGTTGTCAAGATACTATATTCATTTTATGAATTTGACCAAAAAGACAAAAGGAACAAGAAACCTCTGATAGATTATTAGGAGACTTCAAGAGGAATTGTAACACTCAATTTACAATTACACCAGTAAAACTGCAAGGATAACTAGCAAGAACTATCTTAAATAATTAAGCCCAGAATCAAAGGTTTCAGAGTAGAAGCCATATTTCTCAAAAATAATTCCTTCCACCATCCCTTTACTTTTTCAGAATTTTAGAGTTGCACCCATAGTAGGATTTCTAACTCCCCTCAGACTTGCCCTCTGATTGAACATCTAATTGTAGCATTTTCCGTATGTAGCCAGAGGCAGTCCTCATTCATATTTCTCTTTGTCCCTTTACTTTTTATTTCCTTATCTCTTAGAAAACTTTGGAGATTACTTCACCATAATCTTTTTCTCTTATTATGTGTGTTTTCAAGGTATATTTTGTCCAGAAAAACAGATCTAATAATGCAACAGAACATTTGGTAAGTTCCAGTAGGAACAGCAAAAGTTAAATTTCAGTAATTAGCATCTGTTGATATCTTTATTCTTGCTAAAAACTACAGCTTAAAGAAACAAAAATTACCAAGTGTCATAATGTCTTTAATTACCAGCTTTAAAATATAGGATGAGCCTGCCTACCCACAAAGCCTCTGCCACCAATGTGAATGCACACGCTGAGGTCTGAAACCCTGCCCCACCTGTGCCACCACTGCTGCCCATGTGAATGCACATGTGGACACTGACAACACCACCACTCCACCCCTAGCACAACCACCATCACTGCTACAAATGTGTGCATGGAGGTTGGCAGCCCACACCCAGTAACACTCTGCCCCACCTCTGCTGCCAGCATGAGTGCATGCAGGAACACTGCAGCCCCACTCCTATGGGTACCCTGCACCCAGTCAATGTGCAAGCACCCTGCCACCTTGCTGCTGCTGCTAGCACATGTGAATGAGCATAGATCCCATTGCTGCCGATCTAACAAAGCACTTTCACCAGCATCAGTCATCAGAGTGCTCTGGCCAGGATCTGGAAACACCTCACCCCTTCCAGCACAGCCTCCAGGGGCCAGAGAACAAAGCTGGGGGCCTGACACCAGGCCCCAGGGTTAGAGTACCCAGGCCAGGAGTCCTAAGCTGAGTCTTTTCCCTTGAAAATCTTCCAGAAATGAAGCTAGTTTATTGAACCCAGTGTTTACCACAATCAAACCCTGAAAGTTTAAAAAAAAAAATGTAACAGCAAAAACACCTATACGAAGGACAGCAACTTCAAAAAATGAAGGAACAGCAGTCTACACAGATGATAAAGAACAAGTACAAGAACTCTGGCCACTCAAAAACCAGAATGGCCAAATGACCACACTAGTTCTCCAGTAGTGGTTCTCAACCAGGCTGAAATGACTGAAATGACAGACAGAATTAAGAATATGGACAGAAATGAAGATCATCAAGATTCAGGGGAGTCCAAGCATTCTAAGGAATACAATAAAATGATTTAGGAGATGAGAGATGAAATGGCCATCTTAGGAAGGAACCAAAGTGATCTGATAGAGCTGAAAAACTGACTTCAAGAATTTCAGAGAACAATCACGAGTATTAACAGCATGATCAACCAAGCTGAGGATGGACTGTCAGACCTCGAAGAGCAGTTCTACATAATAATTCAGTCAGACAAAAATAAAGAAAAAAGATGAAGAATGAACAAAACCTCCAAGAAATATGGGATTATGTAAAGAGACCAAATTTATATCCCACTGGCAACTCTGAAGGAATGGGAGAGAAAGCAAACAACTTGGAAAACATATTTCAGGACATTGTCCATGGAAATTTCCCTAACCTTCCTAAAGAGGCCAACATTCAAATACAGGAAGTGCAAAGAACCCCTATGAAATACTACACAAGATGACCATCCCATGGACATATAGTCCTCAGATTTTCCAAGGTTAAAATGAAAGAAAAAATGTTAAAGGCAGCTAGGGAGAAGGGGCAGGTCACCTACAAAGGGAACCCAACTGGGCTAACAGTAGAACTTTCAGCAGAAACCCCACAAGCCAGAAGAGATAGGATGCTTATAATCAGAATTCTTATAGAAAATAAATTGCAATCAATAATTTAATATCCAGCCAAGTTAAGTTTCATAAGGAAGGAGAAATAAGGTCCTATTCAGAAAAGCAAATGCAAAGGGGATACATTACCACTTGTGATGGTTAATACTAGTGTCAACTTGGTTAGATTGAAGGATACAAAGTGTTAATCCTGGGTGTGTCTGTGAATGTGTTGGCAAAGCTGATTAACATTTGAGTCACTGGGCTGGGGAAGGCAGACCCACCCTTAATCTAGTGGGCACAATCTAATCAGCTGCCATCGAAGATAAAGCAGGCAGAAAAACATGAAAGAGGATACTGGCCTACCCTTCCTGCCTACATCTTTCTCCTGTGCTGGATACTTCCTGCCCTTGAACACTGGACTCCAACTTCTTCAGTTTTGAGACTCAGACTGGTCTTCCTTTTCCTTAAACTTGCAGACAGCCTATTGTGTGAACTTGTGATCCTATAAGTTAATACTTAATAAACTCCCACATATACACACACACACACACACACACACACACACACATATATATATATATTATTCTGTCCCTCTAGAGAACCCTAATATACTGCCAGACCTGTCTAATTGAAAGGAGTGCTAAATATAGAAAAGAAACACCATTTCCAGCCACCATAAAAGACACACTTGAATACATAGATCATTGACACTACAAAAGCAACCACACTAACAAGTCTACGTAATAACCGGCAAACAAGATGATAATAGGGCCAAATCCACACATATCACTATAAACCTTGAATGTAAATGCACAAAATGCCCCAATTAAAATGTGCAGTTGGCAGGTTGGATAAAGAAGCAATACCCAGTGGAATGCTGTCTTCAAGAGACCCACCTAATAGGCAATGGCATCCATAGGCTCAAAGTAAAGCGATGGAGAAAAATCTACAAAGCAAAAGAAAAATAGAAAAAAGCAGGTGTTGCTATTCTAATTTCAGACAAAACAGGCAGTTAAAAAGACAAAGAATGGTATTACGTAATGTTAAAGGGTTTAATTCAACAAAAAGTTCTAAGTATCATAAATATGTCTGCATCAAACACAGGAGGACCTAGATTCATAAGGCAATTTCTTAGAGTCCTGCAAAGAGACTTAGATAACTACACAATAATAGTAAGAGACTTCAACACCTCACTGACACTATTAGATGGATCATCAAGACAGAAAATAAACAAAAATATCCAAGGCCTTAAATTGATTCTTGACCAAATGGACCTACTAGACATCTGCGGAACTCTCCCCAACAAAAACAATAGAATATACATTCTTCTCATATGTACAGAGCACATAGTCTAAAACTGACCACAAAATCAGCTGTAAAACAATCCTTAGAAAATTCAAAACTGAAGTCATACCAACGATACTCTTAGACCATAGTGCAATAAAAAGAGAAATCAAAACCAAGAAAAATGCTCAAAACTATACAAATACATGTAAATTAAACAACATTGTGTACCTTTTGTGTAAACAATGAAATTAAGGCAGCAATCAAGAAATTCTTTGAAACAAATTTGAAGAGAGATATAAGATACAGGAATTTCTGGAAACAGTTAAAGCTGTGTTAAAAAAGATATTTATAGAGCTAAATGCCTGCATCAGAAAGTTAGAAACATCTCAAATTAACAACATAACATCATCCCTAGAGGAACTGGGGAAAGGAGAGCAAACTACCCCACAGTTAGCAGAAGACAAAAAATAATCAAAATTAGAGCAGAACTGAAAGAAACTCAGACACGAAAACCACACAAAAGATTAACGAGTTCAGCAGTTTGGTCTTTGAAAGAACAAATGAGATAAACTGCTAGATAGAGTAACCTGTATTCGAACATAAATTAGAAAGTAAGCCCCTGTAAATATTTCTGAAAAATAGATGACTTTAGACAAATTAGAATAGAGTAATAACTAATTTTAAAATCACACAAATAAAGAAGTAGGCTAGTATCAGAGCAACCCTGTATTGTAGACAGATGTAAACTCTGGACAGAATATAGAAAGTACCTTCTAAATTCCTTGAAAAGAGACCAGAAGCCGGAAATTCTGGAAGGAGACTGATACTTGGAGAAGGAGAGTTCCAGTGGGTGAATTTCACATTTTTTGTTTCTCTGGACTGAGGCCAGTCTTCTTCTGGAGTGAGGCCAGGAAGGACTCATTGGGTCCAAAAGATACTGATAAAACTTGAGCTGGCCTAAGGAACTGGAGAGAATATGAGACAACCAAACTTGTTGTAGAGGTCAGGGGAATCCTGAAAAAACAGAACCAGAGAGGGAGTGATCAACATTGTATATATACTCTTCCATAGTTTTTGAACAATCCACAGTCTTTATTAGGTATTGTTAAGTGATTTAATAATCAGCATTATTAGGTGATTTGAATTGATACCCAAATGCTGGTGTTTAATGTTTAAGTCCGTCTAATTTAATGCCTGTCTGCTGAAACAAAGAAGTTGATACTCTTCCAAGGAAGATAGCAGATTCCAGAGTCTTCACAGTGTGAGGTTTACATTTTTCATCTATATTACTAAATATATTTTCTTACATTAGGCTTCTGATTTTGGTTAATCAATACACAGTCATGTCAACTTACTAATATATCCTAATTATGTACACTCATAAGGCTTTAGCTCAAGGGAAGATTTTATTATTTAAACAAAAGACATTTCAGAGGATGATAGGAGACATTAATTTGGAGGTAAGCAGAAACATTTTTCTTTTAAAATGTCTTTCAAAAACAACATAAAGTTAGTTTTGTCTATGCAGATATTAGCCTATCCTTATTTTTTATAAAGTGTATGATGTTCTTTTTCACAAATATGTATATCTCTTAATGGACTGGAATTCCATGGGGTTTTAATATTATTATTATCAATTTGACCTCCCAAAAGGAACTATAAATTGTTTTCCTTTTGATATCAGTTTATATCATTTATCTCAGATTTAAAAAAAATCCCACAGGAAAAACTACCAACAAGTGGAAAGTTTTGGTAATGGTATGAAAGATTACTTTCTCTCTTTTCTGCCTGACACAAGTTATTAAAGTTATAATTAACTCTAAGTAATAACACTGGAAATTACAAGTTCTTTGTGCAAAGGAAAAGTACATTCAATTAAAATTATTAGGTTAGTGCAAAAGCAATTGCGATTTTTGTCATTACTTTCAATGGCATAAACCGTAATTACTTTTGCACCAACCTAATATTTTCTTGTTTAGAATATTCCTGAGGTAAAACATATTTTATCTTTCTAATGTTAGAATTTCAGTATATTGAATGACTAAAAATAAAATATAATTTTAAAATACAGACAGAGTCATATATTATAATTACTGTTAAATTTGCAAATAGAACTTAGAAAAACTAACTAGTAACAAGACCATTGTATGTTTCAGGGTTGGAGAAAGCTAAAGTTAAAAAATGAGCAAGAAAAGCATTCAGAATATATTTGTGATAGAGATATAAAAAAAGATGAAGTAGGAAATACTTATTATGAGGCAACTTTGAAGGTCAATAAAGGGAAAAATTTATGAATTTTTGAAGATAATATTTAAACTTGCTGAAGAGCCAAAAGAATAAGAAGCACGTTATTAAGTAACATACCTAATAGTTCCATAATACAAATTATTACTCTAAAATTTTGTGTTGAGTAAAATCAACACAAAGGGACCTGAAAAAGTGATTTAGTTATTTAAGGATCTGATAAAAATATAAACATAATATTTAACTAACACAGCTGAAGTTTCAATTATTTTTTAAATTTCCTATTTCTTCATCCAGTAAGAAATTATTGAGCTCCTCCTTTTGGTCAGGTCAGGCATTCTGTTAGGTGCCGGGATACAAGGGTGAACAAAAGACATATTCCATGCATTCGTTCTGATGGGGAGGGAAGTCCAGTGAAAAGCAAGCAAATAATTTCACTAATGAATACATTATTACAATGTAAAGAAATGAATACCATTGATAGGAGGTGAACATATAGCAAAGGGACATCCATCAGCCAGAGGTGCATGGGAAGAAATCCCTAAGAAAATGACAAGAGCAAGACCTGGTAGATGACAGGCAATTAGCTAAGAAAAAAGAGAGTGAGATGGCAGACATTTAAACATCCTAGACGTTCTTCCAGAAATACAATTGCTAATACCGAGAATGATGATTTCCAATTTCATCCATGTCCGTAAACTGTCACAAGAACAAAAAACCAAACACCGCATATTCTCACTCATAGGTGGGAATTGAACAATGAGATCACATGGACACAGGAAGGGGAATATCACACTCTGGGGACTGTGGTGGGGTGGGGGGAGGGGGGAGGGATAGCATTGGGAGATATACCTAATGCTAGATGATGAGTTAGTGGGTGCAGCGCACCAGCATGGCACATGTATACATATGTAACTAACCTGCACAATGTGCACATGTACCCTAAAACTTAAAGTATAATTTAAAAAAAAAATTGCTAATACCATATGGAAACCTTCTCTGTTACACCTTTTCAGGTTAGTGATTCCCTTTAGCTGTGTGACAGCAGATCTATTTCTACTATTTTGCTTCTCACGTTGTATCATAATGACATTCGGCATGTTTTTTACCTCATTAAACTGTGAACACCTTAGAATCCGTAACAAGAGAAACTTGCACATTGACAGAAATAAGTCACTGCATTTTAAAACTTTGCAAGAAGTAAACTAGCATTTTGGGAAATAGTACTGTGCTTTTTTGCATAATTGTTGCTTCCCTTGATACGTGGCTTATAACAAATGATCCATACATAATAATTTTAGTTTGACTTACATGTATTCATGTCTATTATAGAAAGATTATGAAAAACAATAAATCATAAAAATGTGCTCATGAAAAAACACATACCCCACATACATACACACACATAGATATGCACTCACACCACCACAGACACAGACACACACGTACCTGGATGCCTTAGTTTTCATGATAATCCTTGACTAAGAGCAAACTGATTTATGAATACAAGTTTTTGTTAAATTTGGGTAAATGCTAAAGTAGGATGTCAGTCAAGAACGCCCAAAACAAATTGTTTCACAATATAATTTACATTTTCCTAACATAATAGAAGATAACAGAAAATATAGTCTTACAGCTGGAGTGTATTTCCTAGGATGAACCTTTGTACTTCTCCTGAAACAGTAGTTAAATAAATGATACGTATATATTAATTTGAAATACATACTTAATGGAAAGTAATTAAGAAGTGAAATTAATCAAAAGAAATATCAACCCAAACTTTTCAATAAAAATAATGAAATAACTAAAGAATACATGAAAGAAAAGATAATATAATAAAAATAACAAAGCACATATCCAACTTTAAATGTAATTTTAAGGTTTCATTAATTAAAATGGCAATTTTGAAAATTATTTCTTATCTGCACATGTTCTCTCAAGAATATAAAAGTTATTTTCTAAAATTACAAAGTTCTCATTTATCTATTATAAAGTCAATAAAATATTTTGAAAGTATTATAAATCATCAAACTGCATAGTTCTTGCTCTCCAGAGGTGAAAATTTATAACCAATTACAAAATATTATTATAAAAAAAATGAATGCTTCCATTTAGAGTCCCATTGGTTATTATTCAAAATCGTTTCTCTTTCTCTTCCTTTATTCATTTTGGAGTAAATAATTGATACAGTTATTTAGTTCAAATATGCTTTATTTTGATTCTAATGGACTGCTTCCTATTGGAGTGTCCCAAAATTCATATATCTGTCCTTTGCTTTATTTAAACTTATTTCCTACATTGTCCATCTATATGAGGACTTCTAAACATGTATAACTCTAGTAGACATCTTTCTGATGAGCTCTTGACTTATATGCATATCTGCCATATCTCTCAACATCTCCACTTGAACACCGACCAGATACTTAACGTTTAACTTGTCCAGAACCATTCTACTCTCAGAAAATGGTGGCTCCTCTCTTCCATTTGCTAACAACAAAAACTGTGAATTTATCCTTACCTTTTTCTTTCTCTCACCTCGTATCTAATGAGAGAGAAAATCCAGTTGACGCTGGCTTCAAAATATAGATAGAATTTGACCACGTCTCTGACCATACTGTGATACCATCTGGGTCTGAAAAACCCTAATTTCTCTTACTGCAATTGCCTCTTTACTATTCTTCCTATCTGTACCATTTCCCTAATACACGCTATTCTCAACAACTGTATAGAAACTATAGAAGTGCATTTTAGCTGGATAGTCAACATATTAGGAGGGCTGACTTTTCCACCCAGTTTGGAGAACAGTGTCCTGAGGAACAGGGCAATGTATTGGTGAGTTTTTATGGATGTGGGCATATTTAGAGCATGAAGTTGTGTGCAGGTTGATAGACTTAGGAACATTGCTAACTGAAGAGCAGCCTCAGCAAAAATCTAGGTCTACATGTGTTTTAAAATGGAGAAAACTATGGTAGCAGATTTTAAAAACACTGAGTGAATCCAAATGTATGATGTCATTTAATACAATATGGATTTCTACCATTGCAGCACTTTTAGTCCTCTGGGTCATAAAAATGTCCCTAAAATAAGGTCCTACCTTTCTGCATCCAGAAACATTAGGTGCTTTATAATCACTTTAGTAACAACATCATTTCATTGCAATCATAAAACAACCCAAGGATAGGGAGTAATAGAAAAGAGAACATTTTATATTACTTAACTGTATACATAGTGAATTCTGAAAAAGTACTTGTCAAAGAAATAGAGGTAATATAATGAAATCCACCCCAACTAAAGTAGCTATCAATAAAGCAATATATAACAGAAATATTAGACTCTATAAAAAGATATGTTCACATTATATATGATATGATTAGCAAAATATTGAAAACTGAATAGCTTTATGTCAGGTGCGACCAGGGAAGAGAAGTGTTACCAGTGCCCTGAGGTCTTTGTGTATATTCAAGTAGCCCAAAGGGTATCGTGTTGGTTAGAGGATGATGTTTTTATCCTGTTGGTTTTTTTAAAATCTACCTGTTCCATTTTGTGCTGTCCCTATAATCATGAGTATTTGCCCCAGTTGATTAGGGAGCTTTAAAAATCAATGCTCAGAATTGTCTCTCACTCCTCTTTTAACTAAGAGACCTCTATTTATATTCCAACATTTTAATTATCCTCCAATTCCAGAAAAATCTTAATGAATCAGTTGGTATATTTGAACAAAATGGGAACTAACTGCTGTATAGGTAGTTTCTTGCAACCAATTATTCAACTGGACTGCTGATTAAAATGTATGGAACAACCATGAGTTGTGCACTGAGTCCAGACTGCCCAAAGCAATCTGACTCTTCCTCTGATTATTCCTGTACTGAGGGGAGCATGGACACTCCTGAAGTGAGAAAACCATAAAATAATATGGAGGCCTCAAAAGCCGGCATTTGTCACTCCCCTGCTCAAAGCTATCCTTGTCTTTTTACTTTATTTAGAAATTAATTTTCCACTCCTTTCTAAGTTAGAAGGCCTCATGTGATATCAACTCTAGCCTCACCAGCCTTCTTGGTTTTCTTCACATAAGAAATTGCCAAACTCGTTCTCTCCCCAGAACTTTGGTCTTGTTCTTCCCTTGCCTAGAAGGCTGTTCACTCAGATCTTTGTATGGCTCTCATTTCATTAATGAACAGAGTGAAACCCTACTTTCTCTGAGAAGCCTTCTCTGACTATCGTCTCTAAAGTAGCCTTTCCCCCTGCTGCTGCCACTTTCTACTGCCTATTGCTTGTCCTGGTTTAAGTTTTGTCAATGTGATTATTACTTCTTAATATTACATTCAGTGTACAGTTTTCTATTGCCTGACCTTGACACAGAATATAAATCTAGGGCTGGGGTTCCAGTTGATGCCATATCCCAGGCACCAAAAATAGTGTTTGGCACATATTTAATAATATTTCTAAATTAACTAGTAGATTAGGGATATGCTCTGTTGACTTTACTCTCTACTTATATTTAGAAGTTGCCTATTTTAAATTCATATATGTGTCTCCTTCCTGAAATTTCCATTTGTTTACAATACATTATAACACTATGTTATTTATATGTAATATATATATCTTATAAAAATAATATATTTTTTAAAATATAAACATGTGTATTTGGGGAACAGATAAAGCTGTCAATTATTACTCTATCTCCATCTTGCTCTGGATATGATTTCCTGTTAAGAAATGAGTTCTAAATAAAAGATACTATAACATCCCAAATTGCTTTTTGATAGTTTTACAAAATTGAAATGTCAAAAATGACAGAAAGCAATAATTATTACGCAAATGCAGATAAAAAATTGAAACTACAAAAATTCTTAACAGAAATATACGTATAATTTAACTTCTGAAAATCAATCAGTGTTACATACCATATTAACAAATAATAAAGTAAAATTATGTGGTCATCTCAATAGATTCAGAAATAGCATTAGATAAAATCTAATATCCATTCCTGATTTAAAAAAAACTCTCAGCAAACTACAAATAGAAAGGGACTTCCTTCACTGCAAAAATGGCACCTACAACCAACTTACAGTTATCATTATACTTACTTGTGAAAGAAAATAGTTTTTCACGTAAGATTAGGATGAGAACAAGGGTGTTTGCTCTCAAGAATTCTAATCAGCATTGTTCTGGAGGTTTTATGTAGTACAACAGGCAAGCAAAATATGTAAATCATCCACATTAGAAAGTAAGAAGCAAACCCTCTTTACTGACAGATGACATGACTAACCTGTGTAGAAAATTTTATGAAATCTTCAAGAAGCAACTAGAATAAGCTTAGCAAGTTTGCAGAATATAAGAGGCAATATGCAAAAATCAATGTATTTTTATATGCAACCAATGAAAACTCAGAAGTTGAAATTAAATACCACTTACAATAGCATCAAAATGTGAAATCTATCATTTTTAGCATAGTTAAAATTCTTAATCTGAAGACTTTGTTCAGTTAAACAGAAAGGAGGCTATGAGATACTTTGATTGTTTCCAGAATTCCCATATAAAATTTCCAGTTGACTTAAATGCTCAGTATCCTGTACCAGCCTTAAAGCTCTTATTTTTAATTTCTATTTTTTAAATTTGAGTCATATTATTTTCACATACTTTTATAGAGCTTTGTTTCTAAGTCTACCCAACTAGTTATTAGTAACAATCAGAGTTGAAATTTGCTTTGCAAATGAATGAAAACGGGCAAGGGAGAAGACCCATTTCCTATGTTACTTATACTAAGAGAATGAAGAGGGCAAAACCTAGAGTTAAATATCTGTATTTAGCTGTGGAAAGGTGACTATCTGAAGTAGAAAGAGCCGAATTATATAGCAAGAAGAAAATGTGGATCAGAAATCCAAGGATTGCCCTGCAGATAGTCCCAATGCATGAGGCTGGCTTAGGTATTATCTGCAGCAAAACTGAGAGCAAGCCATGGGGAAATAGACAGTGCTCAATCAATCATTGCTATGTATGTGGTATCTCCAGACTATTCACAATTCAGGTAGTAGCTGACTTGTAATTATTTTATATTTTAAGGCTCATTTATATTTACCAAGACCCTTTGTCTTAACAACGAAGTTAAGAAAAACAAATGATAAATTTTAACGGGTATTTATTTTTACCTTTACGAAACAGGTAATTTCACATAATGAATTATAAAATCTTAATGAATGTCATGGAAGTCCCAAATTTTTATGCTTTTCTATAATTACTAAAGTTAATATTGCTAAAATGGCATTATCTAAAGTACAGCATATATCTGACTGTGTTAGTGATTTCTTTTAACATTGATTCTGAAGCTAAAGGTGTATTCTAAAGTTTCACCTGTGTAAGTCAGCTTAAAATGTGTATTATTTTAAGAACAAATTGTAACATTTTTATAAAATTAAGTTTAAAATAAAATTGTTTTATAAATGCATAGAAATAATATGTGATAATTGTGTTCATGAAACATAAGCAAACTCAGTATTCTTAGTTTCTTTGATTAGTAACATTTTGCTGTTTAAAGTCAAATAATTTGCTCCATAAATAGGGCTTAAAATTTAGTCATAAACAACTACCTTCCACTTCTATCATGCATACTGCTTAAATTAATTTGAAAGAACACCAATTGCTTTAAGTTGCATGACACGGATATATTGAATGTTCAACTTTTATTGCCACTATAAGAATAAGAACTGTTTATACTTTCATACTTCAAAAGTCATAAAGTATTTATGCTACTTCTAAATGTGTTTAATATTGTTCCCTTCTGGAGATACACTGATTATGAGGCACAAATAAGAGTAATTATCTCTGGCACGTAGAATATTCTCCTTTCTTTTGTTGTTGTTGTTGTTTTTTTTTTGTTTGTTTGTTTTTTTTTTTTTTTTTTAGGGGTATAGAGAAAGGAGGAAGTTGTATATCACCGCTATGCCTACATTATCAGTAAAATATCTTTTATGAAGGTATGATAAAATATTGGTTTTAAAAGTTGGCCTAGCAGGAATTATTTTATTTCTTCTTACAATGACACTGATTTTTATTCGAAAAGACAATTTCCTATTTCAGCTCCTTTTTAGCAATTATAATTTGATATCACTCTTTTCCTTATTTAAATTATGCTATATGTATATATTTTAAAAACAGTCAAGTTTATCTTATACTAACTTCTACAGTATTATTTTAAGAATAAATTGTGGTAACATTTAATGTTAACTTAATGTAATAACATTTAATGGTAAATATAATTCCTCTAGATGACTGAAGCCAATAGGGTTTTCAGCTAATCTTTAAAACAGAGCAGATTATGTTCCTGTGTCCCTAACCTACAAGTAAATGATATTACTGATTAGAGTGGATGTTACTCTCCAGAGTATCTGTTTTTATTTAGTAAATAACTTGCCCATTTCCATCCATGCCCAGTATCTAATAGGAGACAGTATAGATCATTTTCCCTTTCTGGCCACCACTCATCCCCCATCTTGTCAAACTGTGCATTATAAACACAGAAGAGAAGAGAAGAAACAGCTATCATGGAAATGTACCCATAGTTCCATTAACATGTTTTTTACAAAATATTATATCCTAGCTGTTTTGAATTTGCCTTATAGATATTAAGAAATGGGATAGAAAGAGAAGGGGTAGAATGTGACTGAGTAGCACACTATTTAACATATATAAGAATTACGCAATATACTATGGAGAAGTTTCCATATTCCTCTGTGCTTTGATTTTTATAACAATAAAGAGATAACATGTAAATATTTTCTAAAAATAACACCTGAATTCAGAATTTGTCCACACAAAATATTGACATTTTAATAATCATCATCTGTCTAGTAATTCTTTATACATTTTCCTCCTCTTGGAATGCCTTTCCTTGTGCGTTCTCATGCAAAACTCCTATTAATTGTTTGAGAATCAAGTCAAACCTTTTTTTACTCCAGGATGCTGTTCTTGCTTTTTTTTTTTTTATCCTCTGAGGCAAAGTTGATCAAATTTTCTATTGTACCACCATAGTAGCTCAGCTACATTTGCCAAACTTTATTTTGTTTCATAGCCCAAATAACTGCTCTGCTTTGTATCCCATAAGCAACAGCTGGGCAGGGAATGTTTATTATACATCTTCACCTCACTAGCCCCCAACAGGAGCCCAGCATATGCTGGAAGCTTCATTTTTTGATGAATGAATGAATGAATAAATGTATGAACAAATTGAGCATTATTCTAAGCTGAGTGGACACTAGTCAAAATTCCATAAACCTCATGAATACTCATAAATTATGCATTATAAGCTGGAGGAGTTTCACTCAAAGTAATAATCAATCATCATCGTAATAATCATTGAATCCTATTAAGGTAAGTGTTAATTTCCATTTCAGAAATGAAGTAATTGAGGCTGAGAGGTTAAATAACTTACCTTTATGTATAATTATATAAAGTCTATCTAATCTATCTATCTCCAAATTGAGCCCAGGCAGTCTGACTCCAAAGCCATTACATAAACATAGCAAACTGGAGTATGTGGAAGATGAACAGGGTTGTCCCTTTAAATGGATTTGGACTTGTAACTTGTTGTGCATAGTACCATAATCTCAAATCAACAACTACTGGTAGTTATATTTTCTTAAGTTAACATATAAATATAACTGTCAAATAATTAGAGATATAGAAAGCTATAGTGTTGCATTCATATGAATAAGTCATGTTTTAATTATTGATTAGTAATTAATCTGTAGCCCTGGACCTAGGGGTGGATGAAATATGGAAGAAAATTAGGGACATTATTGCTACATTATAGGTGAGTGAGATATGATCCCATTGGTTAATTGCAACCTATGCAGATGAAACAATTAGTGAATAATACAGTATTTTCACATGCCCTGGGCTTGCTTTTTATTCACTTACCCCCAACCCTTAATTTCTACACCTTCTTATCTGCTTGCCTCTTATCTAATTATCTCTTTTTCTCTTTCAGACTTTATATTAAGTGTAGCTTCTTGTCAAAATGTCTTCTTTGATCCCTAACCTAGATTATTAAATATTAATATGTTTTTGGGTTTTTTTTTTTTTTTTATACAGGGTCTCACTCTGTCACTCTGGCTGGAGTGCAGCAGCATGACCATGGCTCACTACAGCGTTGACATCCGGGTCTTAAGCAATCCTCCCACTTCAGCCTCTCCAGTAGCTTGGACTACAGGCATGGGCCACCACACCCAGCTATTTTTTGTATTTTTAGTAGAGGTGGGGTTATGCCATGTTGTAAGATGTTTTTTTCCATAGCAGCAATGGCTATAACCTAATGGGTATGTATCATGCTACATTGTAATTCCCCCTTAATTGTTCTGTTTCCCCCTTTTAATCAGTCATTCTTTAAGTACAGGCATCGACTTGTTCAACATTGTGTCCATAATTCTGAGAAAACTACATTAGTTAGTGAGGCTTGCATTATAGACTCAATGTAGAAAGTAAAAACTATAAAAAAGAGTACAGGAGAATATAATTCAATGAAAATCTGGATCTTTGTCCAGTTAAAGCCAAGAGTCTGTTTGGTACCTGGGAAGTAAAAGACTAGATTATAAAGGGCAGTGAAAGTTGGAGTTTCGATGTAGTGAGGAATAAAATCATTGTAAAGGGCAGCATAATATGGAGATACACAATAAATGTAGTGTCTAAATAAAAATCTGGGAGCCTCATAGAAGGATTGATTGGAGCAGAGGATGCTGGAGGGTAGCTAGAGCAGTATTGACTACATTGGGAGAAATTCAAGCAATGGATGCCATTCTCATGACCATGGATGACATTTATTGAGAGGTTGCTGTGAGCCATTATGTTTCACAATTATCAATTTATTTTCCATGAGACTAACATTATTAGTCTAATTCTAGAAGCAAGGAAACATGACACATATGAAGTGTGGTAGGGATCCTCTAAAACAATTCTCAATGGTCCTGCCATTTTAATATCCATACCCTTATGTAATCTCTCTCCTTGAGTTTTGGTTAGATTTACTGACTGTTCTAATAACAAAGACCATGGCAGAAATGATTGAATGTCATTCCCAAGATTAGACTATAAAAGACTGCAATTTCCGTTCTGAAAGCTTTCTCTCATTCTCTCTTTGGATCACTTGCTCTAGGAAAATTAGCTGCCATAGTATGTAGAAGCAGACCTCACAGAGAGCCATGTGAGTGAGCTTGGAAACAAGACCTACCATTCCCCAGTCACCTCTTCTTCAAATCTTAGAATAGCTACAAGCAAGCCCCAATCAATACCTTGTTGCAGTCTTAAGAGATTATCTTAAGCCGAAACCACTCAGCTCAGCTGCCCTAAGATGTCTGATTTACAGGAAAAAAAAGTAAATGATAAATGCTTTTGTGTTTTAAGCAGCTAAATATTGGGGTGAATTGTTACAAAGTAATGAAAAACTAATATAGTAAGTGACATAGAGGGGATTTAAACCCAGGCTGATTAGTGTATACGAGAATCAGTGGTTTTAAGTTCACAGCAAAATTGAGAAGAAGGTACAAGGAGTCCCTGCAGCAATACATGCATAGCCTCCCCCATTATCAGAGTGGTACATTTGTCACAATCAATGAATTTACATGGACAAACTATTGTCACTCCAAGTTCATAGTTTATATTAGGGCTCACTCTTGATGTTGTACATTTTATGGGTTTAGAAAAATGTGTAATTATATGTATTCATCATTAGAGTATATTTTCTTCCCTAAAAATCTTGTGTGTTCCACAGGACATCTTGGTTGGTTCCAAGTTTCGGCAATGATTAATAAAGCTGTGATAACTATTGTTTGCAGATTTTTCTGTAGGCATAAGTTTTAAACTCCTTTGGTCAAACACCAAAGAGTGTGACTGCTAAATCACATGATAAGAGTATGTTTCCTTTTCTAAGAAACCACCAAACTGTCTTTTAAAGTAGTATGTAGTGATATCTCATTTTTTAAATTTGTATTTCCCTGATGACATATGATGAGCAGCATGTTTTTATATGCTTATTTGCCATCTGTATATTTTATTTTATGATATGTCTATTAAGGCCTGTAACCCATTTTAAAGTCAGATTGTATAATTTCCTATTGTTGACTTTTAAGAGTTTTTTGTATATTTCGGATAATAGTATTTTATCAGATGTTATTAGATGTGTCTTTGCAAATATTTTCTCCCAGTCAGCGGCTTGTCTTTTCATTCTCTTGACAGTTATTTTCACAGAGCAGGCACTTTCTGCTATGTCTATTTATTTCCATTGTGTTCTATTTTCTACACCTGCTAACTGAACATACAAAAAAGTAGTTTTAAGACACAAGTACAAGTAAAAATAAGGCATTTATCACCTTGCTGTGTCTATTGATCTTCATATTCTCTGTTTCTCCAAATTCTATTACCAACTGGACAATAACAGAAAAAAAGTGACCAAAGTGTCAGCAGCTTGTTACCCTTTCTAAAGAAAGAATTATGGAAAAGTCTAAAGTCATTTGTTTTCTTTAGTATATTAAAGCACATAAGTATAAAATGAGTTACAGAAGAATGACAATTTGAAATACTGTCTGCTGAGAACTGAATTTTGTCCCCCTGAAAATCTTATGTTAAAACTCAAACCCCAAAAGCGATTGTACTTGAAGACAGGACCTTTGGGATAATTTATTTTATATGAGTTCATGAAGGTAGGGCTCTCATGATGGGATTAGTGCCTTTGGAAGAAAAAAAAAAGGTATCAGACGTCTTGCACTCTCTCCACCATGTGAGAAGGCATACTGCAAGTCAGAAAGCCCTCATCAGGAACTAAATTGGCCAGCACCTTGACCTTGAACTTCCTATTCTCCAGAACCATGAGAAATAAATCTGTTGTTTATACTACCTAGTCTACGATATATTTTTATAGAAGCTCCAGCTGACTTTGACAGATATTGGTACTAAGAAGTGGAATGCTGCTGTAAGAAATATTAAAAAATGCGGCAGCAGCTTTAGAACTGGGTAATGGGTCAAAGCTGGAGGAGTTTGAGGTGCCTGATATAAATATGGATGTTAAAATCAATTTTGGTGAGGAATCAGACCAAAATAAGAACATGTTATTGCAAACTGGAGGAAAGGTAATGCTTGATATAAAGTGTCAAAGAACTTAGCTGGACTGTGTTCTAATCTTTCACGGAAGGCAGAACTTAGGAGTGATGAAATTAGATATTTAATTCAGGAGATTTCTAATAAAAGTGTTGAAGGAGTAGCTTGATTTCTCTTGAATGCTTATAGTAAAATACAAAAAAAAAGATAAAGTAATAATAGTTAAGTTAAACTGAATGAGAACTTGAAAATATTGGCAAATTCTCAGCCTATCTATACTGCAAAAACTGAGAACACTGTTCTTAAGAGAACACTTGGGGATAGCTGAATAACCATTTCATAAAGAGGTCATGGGTGCAACTAATGAACTTAATCAACTTTTTAGATTTTGTTAGTATGGACCATAGTGATATTCAGCTGCAAAGGAACATCATTATCCAATAAACTAGAATAAGGAGACTGAAAGCATATCAGAGGTCATCAGAGACATGGACTAGGTTTCAAAAGGCCAGGGGGCCTCCTCCCAAAGCTTTCAGGGTGAAATTGTGCTGATGAACTTTAAGAGAGTGGAGACCCAGGTTCTTGGGTGTGGGATCTCTTTCTGAAAGAGCCACAGAGAGCAGCTCCTACACTGGTAGGTCCAAAAGGTAGAGCATTGAACCAAAGAGGATTACTCTTAAATGTTAAGATATAATAGAATTTCTCTTGCTAAATTTTACACTTGCTTAGGACTTATCACCACTTCCTTCTTTATGTTTTCTCTCCTTTGGAGTGAAAATGTCTTTCCAGGCTATTCCACCATTAAATTTTGAAAGCACATTACTTGTCTACAAGTTTTTACAGGTTCACAGGTAGAGGAGAATTTAGGCTCAGGATGAATTATTAACTTCAATCTCAGTAATATGTGATTTAGATGATATTAGGTAAAACATTGGATTTTAGAATAGATGTTAGAATAAGTTTTTTGGAGCAAGTAGGATGAAATGCATGTATTTTGCATGTGAGGACATGAGTTTGGAGAGGGTGGTGGGCAAATGCTATGGACCGAATTGTGTACTCCTAAAATTCATATATGGAGGCCCTAACCCCTAACGTGACGGTATTTAAGTTGGAGCTTTTGCAGATAATTATCTTTGGATAAAGTCATCAGAGTGGAGCCCTGGGTTTAGTGCCCTTATATGAAGAAAAAGAGACACAAGAAAACATCCTCTCTTTCTCTTTCTCTCTCCCTGCCAAGGGAGGATACAGAAAGAAGGTGGCTGTCTGCAAGCCAGGAAGAGAGACTTCACCAGCAATACAGTCAGCTGGCACTTTGATCTTATACTTGCTAGCTACCAGAACTGCGTGTAATAAATGTCTGTTTACACCACCTGGTTTGTAGCATTTGGTTATATGAGCCCAAACTGAAAGAAACTGTTACATACCTTAGTGAGCAAAGTGAATTACAGCATCACCCCAAAGTAACTCTTGTATCCCTTTATCCGGTGGTAAATATTAATTTTAGTGCATTAAGTGAGAAAACAAAAGCACCTATGATAATTTGGTGTATGTACTGTAGGTTCAATAGTTTCATTGTTAAAATTGCTTGAATAGTAAAATTAAATTTTAAAAACTAATTAAAAGGTAGCATTCTCTATTTTCCTTATTCACTTATACTTAATTTCCTGATAAAAATAATTTAGAAAGATAAGTGCAGAAACAATTACATAAAAATTTTTAAAATATTTTCTGATTTTTTATTTAAAAATAACTTTGTTCAACTTCTTTAACAATCTCCAATGATATTGCTAATAGTTACTCAAAATTGAACATTAATACCATAACAAAGAGTGTGATTTAACACATTAAATTGATATCTGGAAAATAGAAATAATGCCAACTTACTTTTTTTGGAAAATAATTCATAACATATCTTTTACATGATTATATTGATAGCTAACTATATTTTACTACATTATGAATTTGTGATTTCTCCGAATCTAAACTTTAATTCTTTTTAGTTTTTCAAGTAATATTTATTATGCTTATCCATACTTTTTATACTGTTGTGTGACATTTAATTCCTATCATTTTATGTCTGTTTATTTGCCAAATGCAAAAATAGTAAAATCAAATAAATTTTAATTTCTCATATATATTTTTCTGTAAATTGATTGATTGAATTATTATGATACCATGAAAATAATTCAAAAAATTTATCAAAAGACATAATATAGATAGTATTGATATAAGTTCAAACAAGGATAGTTGAAACTTCCAATAATACCAATATTCATTGCTATTTCCTCCAATCTTACTGCTTTTTGTTTTCCCCTGTACATTTTTTTTGTTCTTTTTAACTTGCCTAAGAAAGAAAGACCATATTAATCTTAGCAGAAGGTCCTGACAAATCTATCCACCAAGTCATTAGTTCAACTACAGCATAGTCAGGGTAAATGATGGCTTCAAAGAAGAATTTGTTATAAACTCAGCCACATTTGATTAGGAGGCCAAGCAGATACAATCTCATAAATGCCCACAGCAAAAAGTGGAATAAAAGAAGGATCTGGTAGGATATCATTTAAAATTTGATTCTCTGTTGGTACCATGACAGCACTTTAAAGATTCGTCCAGTGATTTGAGCCATTAATGTTAATCATGGATGATGGTAAATGAACTTGAGCTTGAGTAATATTTATTCTATTGTAAACATATATAATTATATGGACATATTGCATATAGGTTAAAAGATGCAACATTTTCTGTCTAAAATTACTTTCCACTGATGTCTATTAGAGACATAATAAATTAATATTACTTTAAAATATAAAACATAGATAATATTTGGCAGAAGGAGAAATCCTTAAGAGAAAACACTTTTCTGTATGGATTCATTATCAAAATATTGACCAAGCTGAAATATACATTAACTTCACATTATTTGACAATTTCTACCTGCTCTGCCCAAATACTTCTTATGTATTACTTATTTTCTTGATTCTGACTCTGGGGGCTACATCAAAGTCAGGAAGCAATAATTTTTGAGATTTAAGCACTAAATGGCATGCCTATGTATGTATCTAAGATAGAATGTCATGTGGAAAGCAATACGGAATGAGGCAGGATGTAAATTGAACTACTTGCCAGTCTTCTGAACAAAATGTTCACATTTTGGCTATTAGATTGGGTTTAAATCGATTTTCCAAGAAGCAAATGTTTATCTAAAAATAACCTTATAAACATTCACGAGGCATTTTTAGATTGCTTGGAGACAATAATAGCTATAGTCTTTTAAAATGAGTAAATTTTGGTAGATCTCCACTTTATGCAAGTATGAGTTATTGAAAGTATATTCCAAGATGTAATTAAATGTGCAAAAGATGTATTGGGTCTGGGAGCAGGAGAGTCAGGCAAGACCCCTAAGACCACGATGCGGGTCTGACAAATGTAGAAAGGGAGAGGGCAGAAAAAGGACTGGGTAAGAAGACTTTCAGACTGAAGTCCCTCAGTTGCAAGAAAATTTCAGCTGGTACAAGAAGTCTTTTTTCCAGAGTCAGATTTTGGAAAATGCACATCTTGCCAGAATGAGCCTGCTTAATACCCCTGCCATGCTCAGTCATTGGCTGGGAGCTGCCTGGGGGAAGTGTGCCCATAGTGTGAAGGCAGTAGTGGTTCCAGAGCTATAAAACTGGGATCAGTCAATTATGTTTCCCACATAAGATCTGAGTAACACATTTTCATGGTAGCCATAAGGTCCAAGATATTATTAATCATCTATTGTTTTAAAATATTCTATATAATATTTTCTAAGAGGCAAGAAAGAAGTGGCCTTCAGAAACAAAAATCTAGTTCATAGTCTATTTGTTAAAAATTATTATTTACTTCCTCTTTTTTTAATTTTGCAGAGTGAATGTAGTAAGATTCTGAAGTCTGTTATATTTTAGCTTGATTTCAAACAGAATCACAGGGCTTAGCTTTGGGAATACTAGCTAGGAAAAGAAATAGCCAAAATGTTTCTGTCATTATGACTGCAGAAAAGTTAATACATTTCCACAAGAAAGTGTGGTAAGTTAATTGGTGAATTACAAACAGTCATGAAAACAACACTTCCTCTCTTGTGCAGGGTGGAGAATTTTTGACAGTGAGTAACTCGTTCTGTTGTCTGGATATCAGAGTTTAACACTAAGTATTATAGGATTAAACTGGTCAACTACAAGAAGTGTTAGATCTCCACTTTATGCAAACCATATTATTGGTTTGCTACATGATATTTTATGAAAATAATTAAATGACATATTTATCGGCTGAAAGGGATAGACATTTTTGCTTTTGTTTGTTGAGGTTCACTTATGAAATGTAAGTGCCTTACAATTTCTTGCCCTTCTCTAAATATAAACACTGAAAAAATATATTCTATACAATATACTAAGCATATTTCAATATTTTTGCTCTTTTGCTTATTCTCTATAACTGAGAAAATATTCCAAACAAAATGTGAGATGAATGTAACAGATGAGAAGCCAAAACTCTTTCTTTTATTTTACTTATATTTCAATTCTTATTTAAATGCAGAAACAATATGATAAACACATTTTGAGTGAAATTATTTTGTAGTATTACTATAATTGTAGTCAAGATTTACCAAGATGTTTTAATGATAACAACCAATTATTCTAAAGTTTTTTAGGGGAAAAATTATAAAAAGAAAATTATGGAAAAATATATAAAGTATATAAAAATATATAAAAAACAAAAAAGTAAATAAGAAAATTTGCTGTCAGATGTAAAGCCATGTAATCAATAGGTTAGTGACAAATAATATAGTGTTGCTAAGTATTAAACAAATATGCCTCCCTTATTTATTTATTTATTGAGATGGAGTCTCGCTCTGTCGCCCGGGCTGGAGTGCAGTGGCATGATCTCGGCTCACTGCAACCTCTGCCTCCCAGGTTCAAGCAATTCTCCTGCCTCTATCTTCCCAGTACCTGGGATTATAGGCACCCACCACCATGCCTGGCTAATTTCTGTATTTTTAGTAGACACGAGGTTTCACCATGTTGGCCAGGCTGGTCCCAAACTCCTGACCTCAGGTAATCCACCTGCTTCAGCCTCCCAAAGTGCTGGGATTACAGATGTGAGGCACCACGCCTGGCCATAATTTTTGAACTCTTTTTTTAAAACAGGTATTTTGTTATTGTATATTGTGCTACACCCCAGAATTTAATAAATCACCATGTAAAAACAAAAACAAAGACAAAAACCAAATATGCTGATACAAAATTTTAAAGCACAATATTTGTATTTGGAAATAAATACAAGAGAAGTTTACATTTCAAATTTCTGCAAAAAGAATGTGCCAAATAACAAGTCTTATCGTATGATATCACAATACACCTGTAAGAAAGTTGACATATGTTTTTGCATCTGAAATCAATTTATAACCTATTAATGCATTTAATATAATTAGCTATAAATACAATTTAAAAAATTTTATATCTAAATAAGTAGTTGCAAAAGCTTCCTTGTTCTCAAAAACTAAAAGTAGAGCTACCATATTATCCATCTACCCCACTGCTAGGTTTGTACCCAAAAGGAAGGAAATCAGTTTATCAAAGCAATATCATGGGAGTGTAGCTCCCATGTTTATTGCTGCACTATTCATAATAGACAAGATTTGTAAGCAAACCATGTGTCCATCAACAGATTAATAGATAAAGAAAAAATGTGATACATATACACAATAGAGTACTATTCAGCTATAAAAAATAAATGAGAATTGGAGGATACTATGTTAATTTAAATAAGCCAAGCACAGAGAGACAAACTTCTCATGTTCTCACTCATCTGTGGGAACTAAAAATTAAAACAATTGAACATGATATATTAAAAACCTCTATTTTTTCCTGTGATAAATATTACTACATAAAAATTGGTAGCTTATTTGAAATAAATATGTACTTCACTATATATATATATATATATATATATATATATATATATATATATATGAGGCTTAAATATCTTTTCCCTACCATTACCGTTCTTCCCTATAGAAGTAGCACACACACACACACACACACACACACACACACACACCACACACACACAAAACAGATGACTTAACCTGTAGCTAATCAGTAATATGAGAAAAAAGTATACTTTTGTTGTTTTAAGCCACCCATTTTGTGTTTGTTCCACACATTACCCAGCAAAAGAATTCTGGGACATGTGATATGGAGGAGATAATTCTATATTTCTTCCACATTATATATGTCCCAGAATTATTTTGCTCAACAGGTGGTTGATAAAATTCCTGAATACAAAAATCTTTTATAAAGCAAAGAAAGAAACAAACACAGACACCCTGATGGTCTGGCAACTCCATTGCCCCGGATATTGAGAAAATAAAATGGTGAGATTATACAGCAAGCACATTTATTTCTATTTTAAAAGGCAGAATAGATCTCCTTGATTGTATCCGGTAAGTGAAGGAGCTGGAATATAACCTACTTAACAATGCAAAGCATTGATATTTTGGCCTAAAACCATGAATTTGTTGTGATTTAGCACTTAGGGAGAAATCAAAATGGATGTGTGAAAGTTATAAAATTCAAAATAAAATCACTTGTGTCAAATCCTGGCAATGGAGCCAGGGAAGGCCACAAAGCAAAGTCTCTCGTGCATGATTTGCCTAATAACAGGAACTGTCACAAGGCATTTTTCCAAACAGCAGCTCACTACATGAACTATGCAAGAACAGATAGCAGCACAAAGATAGCTAGTGGGTATATAAGAACACTTGCCTGACATCACTGTCTCACACACCCAATCCAAAACTGCAAGGGCCTACCTATAACTCAAAGATTACAAATCCTACCAAGATTAGAAATCCTGTTCACGTTTGTGAATCAGAATTTACCAGCTCTTATAAGACACTGCCAGCACTAATGTGCTTTCTTTCAACTTTCACAACCTCCTCTTTCCCCAATAAACACCTGCTTTGTTCTTCTCCAGATTTCTCTGAAGCCTATATGTATGTCCTAGATCATAATTCTACTTCTTGCATATCATTTCCAAATAAAATATTTTTCTTTCGTATTTGAAAGAAAATGTTTATGTTGACAAAATCTGGTGTCAGAAGTAGGGGCTGAGGGACCAGTGGTTCTGGGAACTACATAAGGCATGCCGTACCCAAACTCGGGACCCTTGACATTCCTGCTTCCACAGGTTGACTATTTACCCATGGAGAGTACTGCATAGATTAAACTTCCAGTGTTTTGTTTTGGTTGAGTTTTTTGGTTTTCTTTGGGATTTGCTTATGAGGGATCTTTTGCCCTTCTGTTTGTGAGAACTTATGAGGAACTTCTTTCTTCTGTTTATGTAGCATCCTATTCAAATGAGGCTTTTCGCTGCTGGTTTATGAAGGTTTTTGAACTCTTATTTTAAAACACATAGGTAAAGAACACATTTTAAATATTTGTTGAGAATTCATTCCTGTTGAGAATGCTTTGTTGTCCTTCCTGGGGTGAATATGTACTTTACTTTTTGGTTTTGTTTTGCATGTCTGATATTTCACCCTAGCACGAATTAAGGTGTGAAGATGTGTCCAGCCTTAGCACCAAGTCTTCTAGATAAATTTATTTACAACATGTACTCTCAAAGTTCAAAGGCATGACAAGATAGTACCCCTCTTTGGGATTTCAGCTGGCGACATGTTCAAACATGATGGGGATCAAACAGCTTGTTTTGCTTTGAACTAAACTAAAAAACTGTGGCTATAAAAGTATACAGTCCAAGTAGGAACCATATCTCAACTGATATCTCGAGGTTGCCAAACACATTCAGGACTCAGACTTCCTCATTACAAAATGCTGCCTCAAAGCTAGCTGAAACTTTCCCCTCTAGAGCCTTCCACTCCCCTTCCTATGCCTCTTCCTTTTTATTCTTCTCTAAGCTAAACTCTCCTTTTTCCAAAATTCCTCAGCTATTCTGGCATATTGAATTTTTCAGGAAAAACACTTGAAAAACAGCAGGTACAAAAAAAATCATTTGGACCTTATTGCTGCATCTAAAGAGCAAAAGATAAAAATTTCATGTAACAGACACCCTCCTTATACTAGAAGGAAACACAGCACTCTTATCTTCAAGGACAAAGAATTGAAATCAAGAACATACTGTACAGATCTTATAAAAATAATTATTTTATCTTTTAAGCTTCCTTACATAATTTGGTACATTTTCACAGTTAACTATGTTTTGTTCAATCCAGCATATTAGTAACTGACTCTAACGGCTTTACCCAAAATTTGGTTCACAGCCTTCATAAGGTTACTTCTCAAGACAATTTTAAAAAATCTTAAATTTAGCCTTAACCCACTTTGTCTGAAATATAATTTGGATCCAACTCTCTTCTTACAAACCAGTCAATTTATAATATTATGTTTTAGTCATGATTTTTAAAATAAAAACTATAAAGATTTTCTGTAAGATATTCTGTTCATCCGTAATTTTTATGTCTGTTATATGTATATGATATTTTTTCCATCAAAACATATAAAGACCTGTAACATGAAACTAACCCAGAACCATATTGAGTGAGAAAAGGGCAGCCATGCTTCCCATGTTTCTGGAGAGGGCTCCAGACAAACATCTTGTTTTGCCTCTGAGCTAAGATGGTTCCTATAACCCTAGGTGAGACACTGTGTCAGAAAACTCCTCCCACCAGCTGCCTGCAAGGGGCTTTCAACAGAGATTTCTGCTTTGGACTTGGAAACTGCCCAGTTGGGACTCAGCTGTTTTCTACTAATCAGGATGCTTGGTCTCCTCTGATCTGCAGATTACTTTTTTCAAAAAAAATGTAACTTGCCTTTATTTTTCCTCCACAGACTTCATGGCCTTTTGTTAACAGACCTTGACTGGCTTAAAGAAAAAATTAAGTGCTTATCAAGTAATTTATCAAAAATATAGTAATTAACCCAAATGCCTTTGACAGGCATGATCCTCTGCACCCAGAAAAAGGTTTTGGTTTTAATTCTGATTTTTTTAATATTAAACTATCTTTTGAATCGCAGCTTTTTCCTGTGTTATAGTTCCTACCAAATTTTAAGTTGGAAGTGATGTCTTGTGCTTTTAAAATAATTTTACTTCTCAAGATAGAGTTTTTCAAGTTTTTTAGATTCATATCTCAATAATTCAGTGTTTTACTGCATCTCACTACATCATTGCTTTCTGCTTTCCTTCCTTCTCTCCTTGAGATGCTACACCATTTTGCTTAACTAAACTGGTGACTCTTTCCAACTTGTTTTTTGTTAATTCCTGTACCTTTTTTTTTTTTCCAGTTCTGACTGCTATTGTGGCCTGATGCTGAGAATGCTTGTCTTAAAGACCTAGGAGAACAATCTTTCCTTCAGTATAAGTTGATTCTGTATTCTTCACTTTTCTTGATGTGCCTAAATTGTTTCATGTATCCGGGAAGTTTCACATGCTTTTGCTTTTTCTAAAAGCCATGCATGCCCTTGCTCAAAGTATTGATTT
The DNA here is from genome assembly GCF_000001405.40 of Homo sapiens. Taxonomy (NCBI): domain Eukaryota; kingdom Metazoa; phylum Chordata; class Mammalia; order Primates; family Hominidae; genus Homo; species Homo sapiens. The sequence goes on along the minus strand of NC_000005.10, from coordinate 121,291,133 downwards.
TCTTGTTTACATTATTCTTCTATAATATGGCGTATACTGATAACCTTAGACGTACACTTTTTCAATGTCTACTTGAATTCAAGTACCTTCTCATTAAGTTCAACTTCCAACTTATCTAAATGTGCTTTCTGTAAGGAAAAAATCATACTGCAGCAGGTTTTTCTTTAGCTTTTAATTAATCCGCCTACGAAATGGAGATTTTGTGTTTTATTAAGATGATTTCTTGTGCTTTTTACTGTCTTTATTAGGTTTCGGATTTCTTGGAAAAACAGTCATCTCTAATAAGTGACGCTAAATCTTCTTTAACTTACATGTATGTGAATGTGTTCTTGATGTGAATATTCTAAAACCCATGTAAAGTTTATAAAGTTCTGATGATCCTGGTGTAATGCTGTCAGTCATTACTCTGGTTGTTATTTTAAAATACTGAATAAAATAGAAGTAACTAAATGTTCTTGTTAATTGTTAGTTACAATGAATTCTCATCAGATATTTAACCATGGCTATTCTAATTTTTTTCACCTACAGTTTTGATTCTTCTAGAAGGGCATCAACAATAGATGCATGAAAAAGACTAACAAGTCCTCTTAAATACAGGTTTCTGATAATTGTAAAAATCAATAGATAGATAGGCTAAAAAATTCTAGAACTATATTAAAAATAACAGACAAATTCATACAAGATTAAACAGAACAATAATTATGAAGGATTAAACTGCTGAACAATTGAATTTTATGACTTATTTAAAATATTGCTGGTTGTTAAATATTGTATATTTCACATTTAAGGAAACTTTTTTCTTTTAAGGTACCTATAGCTTACAGAAACTTGGTAAATTATACTGTTATGAATAAAATGGAAATGTTTGTCTTTTCTCCATATCTGATCTCCCCAAACTATGAAAGCTGTAGATTTTATCTATGGTACCTATAAGCAATTTTAAATATGATATGTAAGTAAACAAAAGAGAGTAGAAAAATTAGTTTTTAAAAAAGAGAATGGAATCTTTTTTAAAATTAGAATTCTTGGTTTTATCATGGCAGTTCACCACAATTGAACATTAGACCAGGGAATAAGAAAGAGAGAAGAAACTATGTATTTTCTGGTTTAGAGAATTCTGGGAACATTCATCTCTCTCTATATTTTTTTTATGTTGACAAGATCATGAGCCTAGATTTCTGGGGCTCTGTCACAGTATTAAATTAGGTCTTTACTTTTCAAAGCAAATTTCCAAAAGATCCTCCAAGATAAATGTATGTACGGTAAAATGATCTTGAGAAATGCTGCCGACCATAATTACCTCCTGAAAATTTAAGTATCCACTGTCACAACTTAAGATCTGATTACCCTGAAGTAAATAAAGCTATTTAATTTCACTCACAATTTCCAAGCTTATTTATCATGGGATGCTTTTTATCTAATAACCCCTGTTATAATCCTGCCAACCCAGTTTTTCTATAGCATATTCTAAGAAATGTGGATCTAGATGATCTAAGGAAATAAGATGAGGTTATGTGATTGTAAATTCCCTAGAACTGGCTTTCCTGATTTAAAATATATTTTGAAGTCTTTATTGTTACAAATATACAAAAATACATGTACATTTTAATAATATATCTTCTGACATAATTATAATATGATTCCCTTTTTGTTATACATCTGGTGTCTCTTATATAAAGAGTAAAACAACAACAAATATTACTCCTTCTTTAATATTAGGAGGAAATATATCTTTGTGTGAGTTGTATATTTTCTTTTAACACACTGAAGTGTTTGTTAGCAATTAGAAAACTGAGAAACTAAATGATTTAATTTACTAATACTTTATTTTTTGAGATACATTACTTTTTTATTAGTTCGCCTATTTTAAAAAATATGCATCTTTTATATGTTTAATTTGGGTAGACTGGCTCACATTCTCTCACAAAAGCATCCAGTTAGCATATGTAATACATATATTTTGTGATATTTTCTTAATAATAACCTTTTAGAGTGTTATCTTTGTATACTCAATGAATTTTTTTAAATGGTATTATATACATTTAGAAAAAACTCATACTGTGCTATCAAGTAAACTGAATTCTAGATATTAAACAATGTGGTATAACTGCCGAATGTGTTCATCTTGACAGCTGTTCAGACAGAGCCCATTTATCAAGACAGGGAAATTGCAACAGAGAAAGTGTAACACAGGCAGAGCTAGCTAAATGGGAGGCAAAGTTATATTATTACTCAAGTCACTCTGTTCAAAAATGAGGAGACTAGGGTATTTTAAAGGTAGTTTAGGGATAACTGGCTAGCCATATGCAGAAGATTGAAACTGGACCCCTTCCTTACACCATATACAAAAATCAATGCAAGATGGATTAAACAGTTAAATGTAAAACCTCAAACTATAAAAACTCTGGAAGACAACCTAGTTAATACCGCTCAGGACATGGGCAAAGATTTCATGACAAAGACAGCAAAAGCAATTGCAACAAAAGCAAAAATTAACAAATGGGATCTAATTATAAAGAAATTCTGCACAGCAAAAGAAACTATCAACAGAGTAAAGAGACAACATGCAGAATGGGAGAAAATTTTGCAAACTATGCTTCTGACAAAGGCCTAATATCCAGCATCTAGAAGGATCTTAAGCAAATTTACAAGAAAAAACAACCTCATTAAAAAGTGGGCAAAGGATATGAATAGACACTTTTCAAAAGAAGACACACATGCGGCCAAACAATCGTATGAAAAAAAAGCTCAACATCATCGATCATTAGAGAAATGCAAATCAAAACCACAGTAAGATACCATCACACACCAGTCAGAATGGCTATTATTGAAAGGTCAAAATATACAAGATGCTGGCAAGGATGTGGAGGAAAAGGAGTGCTTATACACAGTTGGTGGGAGTGTAATTAGTTCAACCATTGCGGAAGACAGTGTGGTGATTCCTCAAAGATCTGAAGACAAAACTACCATTGAACCCAGCGATTTCACTACTGGGTATATACCCAAAGTAATATAAATCATTCTATTATAAATAAACGTATGCACATTTGTTCATTGGAGCACTATTCACCATAGCAAAGACATGGAATCAACCTAACTGTTCATCAGTGATAGACTAGATAGAGAAAATGTGGTAAATATACACCATGGAATATTATGCAGCCATAAAAAGAATAAGATCATGTTCTTTGCAGGGACATGGATGGAGCTGGAAACCATTATCTTTAGCAAACTAACATAGGATCAGAAAACCAAATACCACTTGTTCGCACTTATGAGTGGGGGCTAAATGATGAGAACACATGGACACAAGAGAGGGGAACAACACACACTGGAGCCTATTGGAGGATGGGAGGACGAAGAGGATCAGGAAAAACAACTAATGAGTACTAGGCTTAATGTACCTGGATGATTAAATAATCTGTACAAAAAAAACCCATGACACAAGTTTACCTATGTAACAAGCCTGCACATGTACTCCTGAACTTAAATAAAAAATATCATTACTTTTTACAATAATCATCATTTTATTATTATTTTTGTAACAATACTAGCTTAATTTTAAAGAACAGCAGAAATTTTGATCATATAGGATTACTATTCTCTGTAGTGCAGTATTGCCATTTTAGAAATTTGTGTAAAACATAACATTAACTATCTAGTATTTAAAAATAAAAACTAAAAAAATAAAGATAGTTTGTTGGGCAGCTGGCAAGGGAATAAGGACTGCTGATTAGTCAGGTCACAGATGAAATCACAGGGGGTCAAAGTGGGTTTTTCTTGCTGCCTTCTGTTCTTGGGTAGGATCACAGAACTAGTTGAGCCACATTATTGTTCTGGGTGATGCCAGCTGGTCCATCAGAATGTAGACTGAAAAATGTCTTGAGCCCAATCTTAGGTTTTACAATAGTGATGTTATCTATAGGAGCATTTGAGAAGGTAAGGAAACTTGTGGCCTCTGTGTGCATGACTCCTAAACCCTAATTTCTAATATTGTGGCCAATTGGTTAGCTCTCCAAATGTGGTCTGGTTCCCAGGCAAGGAGTGGGGGTTGTTTCGGGAAAGTGCTGTCATCATCTTTGTTTCAAAGTCAAACTGTAAACTAAATTCCCCCTCCAGTTAGCTCAAACTAAGCTCAGGAATTAACAAGGGCTGTTTGGAGGTTAAAGGCAAGTTGGAGTTGGTTGGGTCAGATCTCTTTCACTGTCATAATTTTCTCATTGTTAGAATTTTTACAAAGACTGTTTCAATGGTGTGTGACTTAAAAACATTTCTTTTACCTTTTCTGAGACTTTAATTCTTCATCGGTAGAACTGGGATAATAAGGAAACTTACTTCATGGTTATTGAGGATTAACACACACAATGATATCAATGTATAAATTTTAGTTACTTCTGAATTAGTCCTGTCTTTGTGGTTTCCCTTGAAAAAGCAGTAGCTCAAGCAACGGCAAGAACATTTTCTCAGAGCTGATACCATAGCATTCCCTTAAACCTCAGTTCCCAGAGTTCTCTAAATTAGGAAATAAATACTTTCTATTTTCTTTTGTATACCCACTGTCGTGATGAAACTAATAAATCTAATTTTAAAAAGCCTCCATTCTCCCCTTTTTAAAAACAATTATTCTGTCCCCTTTTGCTGTTGTTGCTATTGTTGGAAGACTGGTTGGGTATGTTCAATATATGAAAAGAATTAAAAATTATAGAAAACCTCTCAGGCAATCAATTGTGCCAAACTTAGCAAGCATTTCTTTGCCGATGCATTTTCAGATACCACTTACTCATGTGTTGAACGTGCCGCAATTCTCAGTTCTTTAGATGACAGTCTAAGAGATCTAAATTTACATACTGTTCATCTTACTGTCAGCTGTTGACTTTTTCAGTCAGTAACTTTTTACATGGGAAACTAAAACCTACTTTATTTTTTCTTCATTGTTTTTCTGTCCATTTAATGAAAGATTTCTATTTCTCAATCCTGACTTTCTGGAAGGAATAAAAAGGGAAGAGAATCTTCAAATAACTTGCTCAAATTACGTTATGAGTCAGAAGGAAGATCAAGGGTAGAATCCAAGACTCTTAATACTCATAGCTTTCTAGATATGCTTGCCTGTTTTCCAAGGAAAGGTTTCTAATTTGGCTAACTTGAAGTTTAATGGGGCTTAAGGGAGTCATTGCTTATGATTTCTCCTAACTGTTCTAATATGCATATGGCATATTTGGAAACTTTTTAGAATTTCTCTCCTGTGAGTGCTATTACTTACTGAAGTGAAAATCTTGCCAAGTTGATCTCCTTGGTGGTTTCTTTACTCCTGAGACAGATCATTAATGAGGCTGCATGCAGCAAATCCTGTGCTCTGCTTAAAAAAGGATAGTGAATTTATATAGTTGGGATACATAACTCTTTCTGAATGTATAAATTCCCATAAGCTCATAAAAGACATGTAAAAATCGAGTGAATAGGGCCCAATGGTACTCTGTTGCTCTGTCTTGCATAATAATATCCTATAATTTATCTTGGTTGTCCCATACAACAGAAGTAATATATTTAAAAGACACCTGGAGATACAAAAATAAATGAGATTTATGTTTGCATGCATTTGGAAATACTGATGACTAAAATTAAATTGAACAAAATACAACAAAACAAGAATATTTTTTAAGGTGAATATGATCAATTCTTCCTGACAAAGTGCTGCTAAAATGAGGTATGCTTTATTGTTTTAAAAACTAAATTATTGAGAAAAATTGGTAAATTTAAAGGGCTACATTCACAAATTAAAAACACAAAAAATACTTATTAAGCATGTATTTTGAGCAAAGCTCTTTACAAGAGCATTCTTCAGAACATAGAGATATTTTTATTTATTTGTGACCATTAGGAATTTCATAATATATCAGGAGATATGAGATAAGATTAAAACTATAATTCAAGGCAGAATGTGATAAGTGGTTTATTCAAAATGTAACTGTGGGGGAGGGGGGTAAATAGAAGAAAATAATCTAAATTTGGTAAAGTCATTTTTATCTAAATTTTACTAGTTGTCTTAAGTTTGACATGAGTCTGATTTGCAAATAGTCTTAATTTTGAGAGAATAATAGGAGAACATAATCAATGCAGTAAATGCTCACTATGTCCCAGGTATAACATCAAACATACTCATATTGTTCAATTCCTGCAACTAATTTTTCAAGAACCTATTACTAGCTGTATTTTACAGATGATGGAACAGACTCACAGCAATCAAGTAGTTTTCTATGGTTACTAGGTGACACAATAAAAAATAGAAGCTGGGATTCTTAGATGTGAAAACTTCACTATCTTACCTCCTTAAGAATTTCTATTAAAAAATTGTATGTTTTTTCTAAAGTTTCTGTATAAGGAGCCACATTTAAACTGAAGAAACTGTCACAGTTAATTATAAAGAAATAAAATATTTTATTATATTTATTTTTTAAATTATGAAAACCATAGTTCAAAAGAAGCAATAGAATGTTAACTGGTATATACGTGGAAGACAGATTCTTAATTTTAATTTTTTCATGTGGAAACCATGTGTGTATATATATGCACAATATACTATATATATGTATAATACATATATGCATAATATACTATATATTATATATAGCATATATATACCATACATATATATATATGAATATATATATTTTTTCTGTCCACGGGAGGATTTTAATCTATTTAATTTTTGTATTTAAGTTCCTAGACTGACACATGATAGATGCTTGCTTGAATGAAATACTAGTTTGTTAATTCACGTGAGTAATTAGGCCATGCCTTTTTTATAAATTGTATAATAAATTGGTGTTTTAATTATTTCTGAAAATGGTGTGTAAGATTTATATAAAGTAAAACTTAAACTTATATATTTATTTTAAATGAACACATTTTTGAGACCACAGTTTGACACTCTTGAATTAATATAAGACAGAAAGAGCACATGAGTAAAGGAGTCTATACCTGCCCAAACTGAATATGACAGACTCTTGATTAAGCCTAAACTGAAAATCGAATGTGTTGGAGAATGGTCAAAAAATGTATAGTGTTGTTTAATTTGAAATCTTTGTATATGGATATCTAAACAGATTCTTGGTGTATTAGTCAGTTTTCATGCTGCAGATAAAGACATACCTGAGACTTGGAAGAAAAAGAGGTTTAATTGGACTTACAGTTTCAGATTGCTTGGGAAGCCTCAGAATCATGGCAGGAGGCAAAAGGCAATTTTTACAAGGTGGTGGCAAGAGAAACTGAAGAAGATGCAAAAGCATAAACCCCTGATAAAACCATCAGATCTCTTGAGACTGATTCACTACAACGAGAACAGTATGGGGGAAACCGCCCCCATGATTCAAATTACCTCCCACGGGGTCCCTTCCACAATGCATGGAAATTATGGGAGTACAATTCAAGATGAGATTTGGTTGAGGGCCCAGAGCCAAACCATATCATTCTGCTCCTGGCCCCTCCAAATCTTGTGTCCTCACATTTGAAAAACCAACCTCATGCCTTCTCAACAGTCCCCCAAAGTCTTAATTCACTTCAGCATTAACCCAAAAGTCCACAGTCCCAAGTCTCATCTGAGACAAGGCAAGTCCCTTTCACCTATGAGCCTGTAAAATCAAAAGCAAGGTAGTTACTTTCCAGATACAATGGAGGTACCGGTATTGGGTAAATGCAGCCATTACAAATTGGAGAAATTGGCCACAACAAAGGGGTTACAAGGTCCATGCAAGTCTGATACCCAGTGGGACAGTCAGATCTTAAAGTTCCAAAATGATCTCCTTTGTCTTCATGTCTCACATCCAGGTCACGCTGATGTAAGAGGTGGCTGTGCAGGGTACACCCTCCCTCCCAGCTGCCTTCAAGGACTGGCATTGAGTGTCTGCAGCTTTTCTAGTTGTATGGTGCAAGCTGTCGGTGGATCTACCATTCTGAGGTCTACAGGACAGTGGACCTCTTCTCACAGCTTCACTAGGTGATGACCCAGTAGGGACTCCGTGTAGGAGCTCTGACCCCACATTTCCCTTCCACACTGCCCTAGGAAAGGTTCTCCATGAGAGCCCCACCCCTGCAGCAAACTTCCGCCTGCACATTCAGGCATTTCCATACATCTTCTGAAATCTAGGCAGAGGTTCGCAACCTCAATTCTTGACTTCTGTGCACTGGCAGACTCAACACCAAGTGGAAGCTACCAAGGGTTGGGGCTTGCATCATCTGAAGCCATGGCCCGAGCTCTACCTTGACCTCTTTCAGCCAGAGCTGGAGTGGCTGGGACACAGGGTTACCAAGTCCCTAGGCTTCACACAGCTCAGGGACCCTGAGCCCTGCCTAGGAAACCACTTTTTCCTCACAGGCCTCCAGACCTGTGATGAGAGGGGCTGCTGTGAAGACCTCTGAAATGTCCTGGAGACATTTTCCCCATTGTCTAGGGGATTAACATTTGGCTCCTTGTTGCTTATGCAAATTTCTGCAGCCAGCTGGAATGTCTCCTCAGAAAATAGGATTTTCTTTTCTATCACATTTTCAGGCTGCAAATTTTTCAAACTATAATGCTCTGTTTCCCTTTTAAAACTGAATGCCTTTAACAGCACCCAAGTCAACTCTTGAATGCTTTGCTGCTTAGAAATTTCTCCCACCAGATACCCTAAATCATCTTCCTCAAGTTCAAAGTTCCACAAATCTCCAGGGCAGGGTCAAAATGCTGCTAGTCTCTTTGCTAAAACATAACAAGAGTCATCTTTGCTCCAGCTCCCAACAGCTTCCTCATTTCCATCTGAGACCACTTCAGCCTGGACCTTATTGTCCATGTCACTATCAGCATTTTTGTCAAAGCCATTCAGCAGATCTCTAGGAGGTACTAAATTTTCCCACATTTTCCTGTGTTCTTCTGAGCACTCCAAAGCTGTTCCAGCCTCTGACTGTTACCCAGTTCCAAAGTCACTTCCACATTTTCGGGTATCTTTTCAGCAATGCCTCACTCTACTGGTACTAATTTACCATATTAATTCATTTTCGTGCTACTTATAAAGAGATACCTGAGACTGTGAAGGAAAAGAGACTTAATTGGACTTACAGTTCCACATGGCTGCGGAGGCCTCAGAATCATACTGGGAGGTGAAATTCTTACATGACAGCGGGAAGAGAAAATGAGGAAGATGTAAAAGTGGAAACCCCTGATAAAACCATAAGTTCTCTTGAGACTTATTCACTACCATGAGAACAGTATGGGTGAAACCACCCCCATGATTCAAATTATCTCCCACTGGGTCCCTCCTACTACATGTGGGAATTATGGGAGTACAAGTCACGATGAGATTTGGGTGTGGACACAGAGCCAAACCATATCACATGGAAAGAAATTATCTTCAATAAAGAGTTGGCCAGATGCCACAAGCATTAACACACTTACAAAGCTTCAAGGACAGACAAAAGATAGGATGCTGAGAATGTTGGTCAATATAATATCCTTTCTATCATGGACTTCTCTCTGGGTCCTAAAGAGAACTAAGTATTAAAAAAAAATCAATCAAAACAACTACCTCACAACTCTGTAATACATAAATAACACAGTCATAATTTTCTAAAACACTTTTATGGAAAAAGAATCACAAATCCCATTTCATCAGAGCCATCACATTGAGAACACCAGTGCATTATTATCAAGAGTCCTGGCTGTTCAAAGGACCACCAGGATGGCTAAATAGTATAAAGGAGAGATTTATTGGTGATATCAGTTTGCAAACTGAGAAAAGATAAGGCTCTGGTGTGAATCAAAGCTACTCTCACTTCAAAGAAGGAAATGACAGCTTCGGTTTTATGGCCTATATGGCTGTGTTACACAGTAGAGTTGTACGTATTAGTATGTGACAATTTCTCATTTGTAATGGGGATTTTGGGATTAAGATGTTTCTTAACATTTAAAAAACTGTTTTTCAGAGAATGATTTCAAAGGAAGGATATAAAAATCTTCCCCTTCTTGCTCTGTTTTTTAGTAAACAGATTGTTTTGGAAACAAAGAGATAGTAAACTGGTTACTTTAGTCCCTGATATGTTCTTCTACCTATCTGTGTATCTAGCAATGCATATCTTTTGGCTTAATATTGAGAAAATGTCCAAAAAATGTCACATCCATCCCCTCTGGTTATCTGTTCCCAAGATAGATTTAATGTTCTACTCAGCTTGACTAAAGCTTAGACAGACAGGTGTATTCCCGACTTTAGGTCCTTGACTTCCCTCTTTATAGAGCATTTACTAAAAAAAACAAAAACAGTACCAAAAAACAAACACTCATAATTGTAAATCCCTTTTCTGCTCCTTTGATATGTAATTTTTTTTTTTTAGAGATACAGCAAATTTAATGAGTGGCTAGAGAAACATTTCAGACATATTGTGAATACAGTCATAAATGTGAGAACTTGTAGGTTTGTTTTTTTTTTTTTTTTTTTTTTGAGACAGAGTCTTGCTCTGTTGCCCAGGCTAGAGTGCAGTGGCATAATCTCTGCTCACCGCAACCTCCACCTTCCAGGCACAAGCGATTCTCCCGCTTCAGCCTCCCTAGCAGCTGGGACCACAGGCATGGGCACCACACTCTGCCAATTCTTTTATTTCCAGTAGAGATGGGGTTTCTGCATGTTGGCCATGGCTGGTCTGGAACTCCTGACCTGAAGTGATCCACCTGACAGGAACATGCAGGAGCAAATGGCTAATTTCTTTTCTTTTTTTTTTTTTTTTTTTGAGATGGAGTTTCGCTCTTGTTGGTCAGGCTGGAGTGCAATGGGAGGATCTTGGCTCACCGCAACCTCCACCTCCCGGGTTCAAGCAATTCTCCTGCCTCAGCCTCCTGAGTAGCTGGGACTATAGGTGCCTGCCACCACTCCTGGCTAATCTTTGTATCTTTAGTAGAGACGGAGTTTCGCCATGTTGGCCAGGCTGGTCTTGAACTCCTGACCTCAGGTGATCCGTCCGCCTTGGCCTCCGAAGAGATATAAATCTTTGTAAAGGGTTCTTACAAGTTTTACAAGCCAGGGCTGTTCCTCAAGGATCTGAAAGTCATCTCTTCAAAATGTAATCATAGGGAGATAGCATGAACACCTTCCAGCATCTGGGAAGGGATAACTTATGCAGAATGCCTTGCTCCAAGTTGTGAAACAACCTCGTGTCATAAAAATATGAGAAAGCTTACTTTGTTTGGAAGGGGGTAGGAGGCAAAGCCAGTTATCAAAAGGAACAGCCCATGATCTTCTCTATGCAGCTGTTTAAAACCTCCAGTCTTTTCTTTGAATTGAAGGTGAGCTCAGACTGACTTCTGGCCTCCACTCTACTGCAATAGCCTTGAGTAAAATCTCCCTGATTGTCTACTGCAAATTTTCTTCTGATATCTGCTAAAATACCAATTCTACATCTTTTAAAAATAAGTTAGTATTCCTAATAATTTGAAATCATTAGGATCAAGTCTCACCTATTTGTTTTCAAAAATTTGTTTCATTTATTTAATTTTTGTAGCTTGCAGCCATTTACAACTTTCTCTTAAACTCTTTTTTTTTTATCCTATTAGGTAACAGTAAGACGGGAAAGGAAATTTTGCCAATTTTATAAATTTTTACTATTTCTTAGCAAAAGATAAACATCTTTGTTGTGGGGAGGTGTTACATGAATGGATAAAAGATGTTTGAAAAATAATCTACAAATGTAATTGTCCATGCTATCTTTCCCTTCCAGCTGCCACCTTAAATTAAGAATGGCCTAGTTTTGTAAATGTGTAAGAAAAGTACATTAAAAATGAAATAAAATATCCAAAGATAAATTAAATGGTGACCTAACCCAAATTTTTAATACATTTTTTCAAGGAGTCTGGAAATAATTGAGAAAATCAATGACTTAGGTCAGTATATCCAAAAGTCTGTTTCATGAAACACTAGCCCCCAGAATGCTATAAGGAAATATAACTCTCTGGGTAGATAATTGTGAAAAATGCTGCATATTATATTATCAACATGAAGATTCAAATTGCACAGTTTATAAAATCTAAGCATTTTGCTGTAAACCATGAGAACGTGTATAACTCAATAATTCCAAATTCATTTTTCTAAGGAAGTTTTCAAACTGGCTTATGATTCTTTTCAATGATTCTCATTGATTATATATACACATACTATATTGAGTAAACCGACAAGTTAGGAAGAATATTAAAATTTACTAAAATTATTTTGATATTTCATATCATCCTAATTGAGTTTTTATAGCAGGATTTGGCACATTTTTATTTTTTAATTTTAAATACTTTTATAGGCTTCTTATTTCTCCTAAAACAAAACCAAACTACTATAAAGTAGCATTCCAAATTGGTGCGACGCCCCAGCTATCATTGACCCAATCTGTTTATGCTTCTGCAAAAGAAGCTACGTATAATTTTTATGCCTTTTCTTTTTTTTACTTTTGTAAACATGGTTTCTTCTGTCTATGATCCCCTCCCAGTGTCACCCTCCTGAAATATATTGGTCTTTAAGGCCCAGTGCAAACACTGCGGTGTCCATGATAAAATGGACATGTCAGCCCACTTTTACAGGAAATGCCTCCTGTACAAAGACTGGAAAGCTAAAAACTGTAGTTTTTAGATTATTTTGCAGCCTGGGGTTATACCTAGAAGCTAGAAGGAATTTGGGATATATTGTATATCATTCAGATATGCTCTAAATTTGTAAGCCAGCAGAAGACACAGATTTTACTTCTGCTGCTGTTTTCACTGACAAATAAGATCTGGATGTATTATTTTTTTTTCTTATGGAAATAATAGCAGCAGTTGTGGTTCATAGTCTGGCTTCACGGCTGTCTCATGTATGATACATTGGATTTGCTGGTGTGTATTACAGCATGTATGCAATACTTCTAATGCAGGCTGCTGTAATAGCCAATTCATGTCTGCATCCTAACTCAGAAGTGGCAACTGAGTTAGAGTTCCAGCAGCTATTGCTGAAACTTCCTAATTACTCAGTCAGATTCCTTATCATAGAAGGGGATGAAGTTCCTCAATGGACAAGATCTGTTGTTTGGTTTTGGAGGCCATTCCATAAAGTCCAACTTAGTATGTTTCTTTATCTCTCCTAAAGATTTAAAATGAAACCTAGGTTAACAGTAATCAAAGCTCTTTCTATTTAAACTAGTCAGAGTAGACTCTGTTCTCTGCAACTAAATCCTGACCTTTAAAAATGTCATATCTTCTGATAATTCTCTCATTTTGGGGGCATTTCACTGTTTTCTTATGGCAATTTGTATACATTAATAGTGATTGTTAATTTTTATTTTATGCTTATTCCCTATAGTGAAATCTTACCACACTTTATAATTGCCACTTCATTCTTCTGTGTGTTCCAAAAGGAAAACCTTTCTTGTGTCCTTTTTATAAAATTATATTTGAGAAGCTTACCTTCTTTGGAATTCAACTGATTGCCTTGGTACTCAGCCCTGTGGTGGGTCTTTCTTATTTTGTTAGGCTGGGAACAACCTTCTCTTGTCAATTTCTAAAATTTAAGTGAAATCATAAACTACTCTTGTTTTTATGATTAATTTCCCAACAATAATTAGGTAAACATTTCCAATATGCTATGTATATTATTTATATTTTATGATTATAATTTACCTGAAATTTAATGTGTAATGTGACAGATAAACACATTTTTATTGAATGATGCTTTCTCACTGATGTGAGCTGCCAACTTTATCATGTCCCACAAATGAGCATCTACTCTGGACATTCTTTCCTGCTCTAATGAGCATCTATTCTTCAGATATCACCACCTTGTTCTTCTTGTTGTAACTTGTTAATGGATTTAATATCTGATAGCATATGTTTTCCTATCTATTCTTCTTTCAAAAAGTTCATGTTATGTTCATTTTTATTTTTCAGATAGAATTTATAATTCATTTAATTTTTAACAATAAGCTCATTGCAATTATGTAAAATTGATAGATTAAGTAAAGGAAGTATTTGTATTTTTGAGAATCATCTTCCTGTCTGGGAAGAAAAGGTAACATTCTATTTATTCAGTTTTTCTTTGATTTTCTAATACAATTTTACATTTTTATTCATGTAATTTTTGAATATTTATTCTGATTTTTATATTTGTTACTTTGAAAAGATATTTTGTTAAATTTTTAACTATTATTGCTAAATGCCAGTTGCACATACTTATGGGGCACATATGATATTTTTATATAAGCATATAACATGTAATGATTAAATCAGAATTATTGGGATATCCATTACCTCAAGCATTTATCATTTTTTTTGTTAGGATGATTCCAAATCAACTCTTCGAGTTGTTTTGAAATATACAATAAATTATTGTTAACTATAGTGGCTCTATTGTGCTACCACACACCAGATCTTATTTCTTCTACCAAACTCTATATTTTTGTATCCATTAACCATACACTGTTTATCCTGCCCTCCCCTCTATCCTTTTCACCCTCTGGTAACCATCATTCTATTCTCTATCTCCAAAAATTCATTTTTGGTTCCCACATAAGTGAGAACATGTGATATTTGTCTTTCTGTGCCTCACTTATTTCACTTAACATGTTCCCTAGTTTTACCCATGGTGTTGCAAATGGCGGGATTCCATTGTAATAATATTTCATTGTGTATATATGCCATATTTTCTTTCTTTATCTGTTGATGGAGACTTTGGTTGATTCTATATCATGGCTATCGTGAATAGTGCTGCAATAAACTTGGGAATGCAGCTAACTCTTCAACATACTGATTTCCCTTATACACTACTAGTGCAGATTTAAAACAGTACAGTCACTATAGAGAACAGTATAGATTATCCTCAAAAAACTAAAAATAGAGCTACCGTATGATCTAGCAATCCTACTGCTGGGCAGGTAGCTGAAAGAACATTTTAAAAAGCATTTCTCCTAGGGTTTTTATGGTTTTAGGTCTAACGTTTAAGTCTTTAATCAATCTTGAATTAATTTTTGTACAAGGTGTAAGGAAGGGATCCAGTTTCAGCTTTCTACATATGGCTAGCCAGTTTTCCCAGCACCATTTATTAAATAAGGAATCCTTTCCCCATTGCTTGTTTTTCTCAGGTTTGTCAAAGATCAGATAGTTGCAGATATGCGGCGTTATTTCTGAGGGCTCTGTTCTGTTCCATTGATCTATATCTCTGTTTTGGTACCAGTACCATGCTGTTTTGGTTACTGTAGCCTTGTAGTATAGTTTGAAGTCAGGTAGCGTGATGCCTCCAGCTTTGTTCTTTTGGCTTAGGATTGACTTGGCGATGCGGGCTCTTTTTTGGTTCCATATGAACTTTAAAGAAGTTTTTTCCAATTCTGTGAAGAAAGTGATTGGTAGCTTGATGGGGATGGCATTGAATCTATAAATTACCTTGGGCAGTATGGCCATTTTCATGATATTGATTCTTCCTACTCATGAGCATGGAATGTTGTTCCATTTGTTTGTGTCCTCTTTTATTTCATTGAGCAGTGGTTTGTAGTTCTCCTTGAAGACGTCCTTCATGTCCCTTGTAAGTTGGATTCCTAAGTATTTTATTCTCTTTGAAGCAATTGTGAATGGGAGTTCACTCATGATTTGGCTCTCTGTCTGCTATTGGTGTATAAGAATGCTTGTGATTTTTGTACATTGATTTTGTATCCTGAGACTTTGCTGAAGTTGCTTATCAGCTTAAGGAGATTTTGGGCTGAGACAATGGGGATTTCTAGATATACAGTCATGTCATCTGCAAACAGCGACAATTTGACTTCCTCTTTTCCTAATTGAATACCCTTTATTTCCTTCTCCTGCCTCATTGCCCTGGCCAGAACTTCCAACACTATGTTGAATAGGAGTGGTGAGAGAGGGCATCCCTGTCTTGTGCCAGTTTTCAAAGGGAATGCTTCCAGTTTTTGTCCATTCAGTATGATATTGGCTGTGGGTTTGTCATAGATAGCTCTTATTATTTTGAGATACGTCCCATCAATACCTAATTTATTGAGAGTTTTTAGCGTGAAGGGTTGTTGAATTTTGTCAAAGGCATTTTCTGCATCTATTGAGATAATCATGTGGTTTTTGTCTTTGGTTCTGTTTATATGCTGGATTGCATTCATTGATTTGCATATATGTGCTTGTGTTTTGTCTCTTCATGTATTAAAAAGTATAATGTAAATAAACAATGCTCTTATGATTTCCTGAGGAAACAAAACACATAATGAGGTTTTAAAGTAATTATCATATTAAATACAAGAGAAATAAGGCAACAAAAGAGAGATTATCTTGATAAGCTACTTAATGTTATTTTTATAACAGTAAAAACTAAAAGAGATAAATTAACATAATTTTAAAATTAAAATAGTTTTTAAGTTGAGATGTGGAACTGAGAAAATTGCAATTTAAATTACCTAGGATAAGAAACAATTAATGTAAATGTATATATTAGGACATGCTCACCCTGTTTTTAAATAAATACCTACATACAGTTTAATATTTAAAATTGACTTATTAAAATATTCTAATAGCAGAATTTCAGTATTTAATTTCTGAATTATGCTAAAATAGCTCCATCAGTGCTACAATAAGATAAGCAGATATAGTTTACATGAGTGCCAAAGTTTGAGATGCTTGATTTGTTAACCCCCAAAAAACGGGGTTTATTTGCCTGGTAACAAAGAACTCTTCCTGAGAAGGCAGGTTTTGATCAAGAGAAGTTTTATTACTTGGTACAAGTAAGGAAGGCACAGGAACTATTCTCCAAAGCAGTGTCTTTCTGAGGGAAAGTGACAAGGCAGTTTTATGAGAGGGAAGAAAGAAGAGAGAGTGAATCATTACATGTAAAGGAGGGGTTCCAGTAGTGCAAACACAGTGAGTCATTATGCCAACTCATAGGTCGCATGTCACGGTATTGAAGCTGTAGCATTTCTGGGGGTGGAGACATTAGCATGGTAATGAGGAAAGTTCACTTGGCTTCATCTATAAGTTGCCAGGATCTGTCAGAAGATGATTCCAACCAATAAAGTGATCATATTCCACACAGTGTTTGGGGAAAAACAGCCTGCAGGGCATAGGCTCTAAAACAGGCTGATTGCTCTGGTTGACTAATTGCCTATAATCTCTGGAGACCCTCCCTGTCTGCTTACAGACTGACTGTATAGTTTGCAATGACTCCTCTGAGGAAATGTTGCATAAAAATAATCTTGTCACTTGGATTTTTTTCTAAAAAAATGAATACATTAGAATACTGTGTAAATACAATTTAATAAAACTGCATTTTTGAATGATTTAGGTAATCTCTCAGCAGTTTCATGTTTTATTTTAATACATATTTTTAAATAATAAGGTCTATGTCAAACAGGAAGATGGAACTACTTGTCTGTTTGAGATTTATTTTTTAATCATAAAATTCATGTAAGAAATGACTTCTTAGAAAGACAAAACATTCTTTGAAATTAGTATTCTTAATTCATTTTAATTTAAATGCATCTACCAGGTAACCAAGAATACCTTACATATAAAAAAATGATGAAGGAAAAATTTGATAATTAAATATACCATAGTGAGTTACAATTTTTTACTTCAGCAAATATGGTGCCTTACCGGATGGGTGTGATGTCTTACACCTGTAATCCCAGCACTTTGGGAGGCTGAGGTGGGTGGATCACGAGGTCAGGAGATGGAGACCATGCTGGCTAACACGGTGAAACCCCATCTCTACTAAAAATACAAAAAATTAGCCGGGTGTGGTGGCACGTGCCTGTAGTCCCAGCTACTCGGGAGGCTGAGGCAGGAGAATTGCTTGTATCCGGGAGGCGGAGGTTGCAGTGAGCCAAGATAGCACCACTGCACTCCAGCCTGGGTGACAGAGTGAGACTCTGTCTCAAAAAAAGAAAAAAAAAAAAGTGCCTTACCTAACTTGTACAAATTAATTCTTATTTTCAACCTATCTCAGTTAACAAAAATAAAGTACATTGATTACAAATTAATAAATTGCACCACAAGAGAAAATCCAGATCCTGCAGAACAGTTATGATTAATAAGATTAAGAATGCAATTATATAGACTCAAAAAATATTATAAAAAATGTTGACGTGAACATATAAAATGAAAAACTACTGAAGATCATAATTGATATTGAAATGTTTTCAGTCAGATATTTTAACAAACAATGTATTAGTTAATATAATTACTTTTCTTTTAACAATGTAGGTGAATAAAATTGGGAGAAAAGAGACAAGGTGATCCACACTGAGAAATACCGAATGATGGGTTCAGACAGAAAATCGTCTACCTTGTAATTCGTCTACTTCATTTGTTCATCTGTTGGAGTAAGAGGAAAAGAAAAACATACCAAAGTAGGGGTTTTGGAAAATTTGTCTTTTTTTTAAATCATTTTATGAAGTTTAAATCTCTTTTTTTATAATGTAAATGATTTCATTATTCCATTCCTGCATTGATATGGTTTGGCTCTATGTCCCCACCCAAATCTCATCTTGAATTGTATTCCCATGTGTTGTGGGAGGGACCTGATGGGAGGTAATTCGAATCATGGGGTTGGTTTTCCCCATACTGTTCTCATGGTAGTAAATAAGTCTCACAAGATCTAATGGTTTTATCAAGGGTTTCTGCTTATGCATCTTCTTTATTCTTCTCTTGCTGCTGCCATGTAAGAAGTGTCTTTCACCGCCTGACATGATTCTGAGGCCTCCCCAGCCATGTGGAAATGTAAGTCCAATTAAACTTCTTTTTCTTCCCAGTCTCAGGTATGTCTTTATCAGCAGCATGAAAATGAATTAATAGAGTAAATCGGTACCAGTAGAGTGGTACATTGCTGAAAAGATACACAAAAATTTGGAAGCGACTTTGAAACTGAGTAACAGGCAGAGGTTGGAACAGTATGGAGGGATCAGAGGAAGACACGAAAATGTGGGAAAGTTTGGAACCTCCTAGAGATTTGTTGAATGGCTTTGACAAAAATGCTGATAGTGATATGAATAATAAGGTCCAGGCTGAGGTGGTCTCAGATGAAGATGAGAACCTTGTTGGCCACTGGAGCAAAGGTGATTTTTGCTCTGTTTTAGCAAAGAGACTGTAGCAAAGAGACTGTTGGCATTTTTACCCTGCCCTAGAGATTTGTGGAACTTTGAACTTAAGGGAGATGATTTAGGGTATCTGGCAGAAGAAATTTCTTAGCAGCAAAGCATTCAAGTGGTGACTTGGGTGCCGTTAAAGGCATTCAGTTTTAAAAGGGAAACAGAGCATGAAAGTTCAGAAAATTTGCAACCTGACAATGCAAAAGGAAAGGAAAACACATTTTTTGAGAAGAAATTTAAGCTGGCTGCATAAATTTGCATAAGTAACAAGGAGTGGAATGTTAATCCTCAAGACAGTGGGAAAAATGTCTTCAGGGAATGTCATAGATCTTCGTGGCAGCCCCTCCCATCACAGGCCTGGAAGCCTAGGAGGAAAAATGGTTTCCTGGACTGTGCCCAGAGTCCCCCAGCTGTGTGCAGCCTATGGAACTTGGTGCCCTGTGTTCCAGCTGTTGCTAAAAGGGGCCAAGGTATAGCTCAGTCCATGGTTTCAGAGGGTATAAACCCCATACCTTGGCAGATTTCACATTATGTTGAGCTTCCAGGTGCACAGAAGTCAAGAATTGAGGATTGGGAACATCTGCCTTGATTTCAGATGATGTATGGAAATGCCTAGATGCCCACGCAAAAGTTTGCTGCGGGGGCAGGACCCTCATAGAGAACCTCTGCTAGGGCAGTGCAGAAGTGAAATGTGGAGTTGGAGCCCCCAAACAGAATTCCTACTGGGACACTGCCCAGTGGATCTGTGAGAAGAATGGTAGATGCCAGAATGGTAGATCCACCAACAGCTTGCACCGTAGGCCTGGAAAAGCCACAGACACTCAATGTCAGCCTGTGAAAGCAGCCAGGAGGAGGGTGATACCCTGCAAAGCCACAGGGGCAAAGCTGTCCAATACTGTGGGAATCTACCTCTTCCATCAACGTTACCTGGATATGAGACGTGGAGTCAAAGGAGATCATTTCGGAGCTTTAAAATTTGACTACCCCTCTGGATTTCAGACTTACATGGCCCCTGTAACCCCTTTGTTTTGTCCAATTTCTCCCATTTGGAATGGTTGTATTGACCCAATAGCTGTACCTCCATTGTATCTATGAAGTAACTAGCTTGCTTTTAATTTTACTGGCTCATAGGTGGTAGGGACTTGCCTCATTTCAGATGAGACTTTGGACTGTGGACTTTTGGGTTAATGCTGAAATGAGTTAAGACTTTGGGGGAGTGTTGGGAAGGCATGATTGGTTTTGAAATGGCAGGACAAGATTTGGAAGGGCTAGGAGTGGAATGATAAGGTTTGGCTCTGTGGCCCCACCCAAATATCATCTTGAATTGTACTCCCATAATGCCCATGTGTTGTGGGAGTGACCCAGTGGGAGATAATTTGAATCATGGGGCAGTTTCCCCCATACAGTTCTCATGGTAGTGAATAAGTCTCACTAGATCTGATGGTTTTATCAGGGGTTTCCGCTTTTGCATCTTCCTCATTTTTCTCTTGCTGCTGCCAAGTAAGAATTGCTTTTCACCTCCTGCTATGATTCTGAGTCCTCCCCAGCCATGTGGAACTGTAAGTCCAATTAAATCTCTTTTTCTTTCCAGTCTCAGGTATGTCTTTAACAGCAGCATTAAAATAGAATAATACATGCATTCTCAACAGTTTTTTAAAAAATTCTGAGTTATCCTTTCATCAAAACTTGAAGGTAAAAGTGTTCTCCCCAGTGCTATGACACCAGGTTTTTTTTAACAGTTATTTCTCATACATTAAGAAATGACTGAGACTGCCTGAATCTGGCTTTCTGAAGTTGTAGCATGTAAGTTTATTTTTCTTCTTTTTGCTCAGTTCTAGCCAAATAACTCTGTACTGTAGCTTTGGATTTAGTGATCCTATGCCTCGACTATAACATCTAAAGTGTTTAGATGCAACCTAATAAATTCATTTATGCAATACCTAAACTTGAATAGTTATTAAACAATGGCAATACTCACCTCACAAAATAAACTTAAATAATTTGTGTAAAAGCTTTAGCATAGTGCTTGGAAAATAGTAAGCCTTAAATTCATGATTGCAAGTTATTATTTCCAAGATGTTTTCTGTTTTCTCTTTCTGGAACCAAGGATATGTTATTTGATTCACTGGCTGTACTGCTTGCTTGTATTTTGTCTTTTAATTGCACAAATAACATGAATTGGTTATCAGAATTTTTAAACTTATAATAAAATACAGTCAATATTAAGTGCAACTTGACATGTCACCTGTAATCAAATGCATCTCTCCAGAGACTGTATCTATTAATTACACATTTGCACAACATGTATTTTATATGTGTATAAGAATATACAATATAATTCCTCAACAAAAATGTACAACTACACTTATGTGTTCATAATTTCATATACATATGAATGTTTCTCTTAGATTAATTTGTAAAAATTGAATTAATTATTTAAAAGATATGCTGAGAAAAAATGTACAATTAAATTTAACTCTCTTAAACCAAAAGTTTGTTGTTTCATAGTAATCCCTGTGAAAATTCTGGGGCTAGCAACCGACTGCATTTACTGTCTTTGGACTTTTAGGAAATAGAGCCTTTAAAACCTGTCCATCCTGTGCATTATCAACCTTTTAAATTTTTAACAATATTAATAGGTAAGTATTTATTTCATCATTGCTTTTTGAAATTCTTCACAGATTTCTTTCTACTTCAAATTATATTCAAGTCTTTTGATTATGTTTACTTTTTCCATTTGGTTGTCATTTCTAGTTGTTTAATTTATAGAAATTATGTTACATAAAATTTTAATTTGTAATATATTTCCTATCCATTATTTGCATTGCAAATATTTTCTTTCAGCAGGTTTGATTTAAACTTTGTGTATGGTGCATACACACACACACCTATCCTATTTGTTCTGTTTTTCTGAGAACCCTATTGCAATTGCAACAGTATAAATAATGGTGTGGTCAATATGTTTTGTTTAAATGATAAGTAATTTTTGATACACACTCTAATGATACTCATCTGGTTGTAATTAATCTGGTTGGTATATTAGATAATGAAATTATATTTTAAAATATTCAGATATAAACTTTGTGTTTTATCTGTTGTACATATTTTATATGTAGTACATGTATTCAAATTGTTTTACCATAGAGATTCTTGTGAAGGGAGAGAAGTGATCATGATACACTTACACAATATACATATTTAGATATATGGCTTTCAAATATTTTTATCAGCAAGTCTTTCCTTCAAGTAAGCCTATGTCATTGTCCTGGAAGAAAACAGTAAATCAGTTCATAGGTAGACATTTCTTTGCTGTTTAGCAAACAGTTTTAACAGCCAAGCCTTTTTCTCCCTGTCATACACGAAAAGCCATAGTTTCCTATTTGTTTAGAACCAATAAAATGACATTATTTAAAAATTTTAAAAAGAGAAGCACACTATTAGTTGTACTAATGGTAGAATCAATGTTTTTAGAAAAGAGACGGTCTTAAATTGTAATGAAGAGTAGGAATTTGAGAGTTGCACTGATTGATTTTTAATCTTGTCATGACTTTTGCTAAGTTGGTTAGCCTAGCCTCACATCAATGCTATCATCTGCATTGATAGCACATCAATGCCATCATCTACTTACCTCATGTAGTTGTGAGCATCAAGTTAGTTATTCTCCTCAGAGTGCTTAAAACCATGCATGGCACGTAACTGCTCAATGCATGTTAGCTAATATCATTTTTATTATTATGATTGCTATTATGATTAGCAGTAGTAGTAATAATGGTATTCATAAAATAACAAGTCCTTAAACATACTAGGAGGGGGACAACCCAAGACAGACAAACAAGACTGCAGCAAGAGAACTGGAATGTGCTTGACTAAACAATACACAAATTAAGAATGTAAAAAAAATGTCTAATGAGCACCTTCTATGACATTTTAAGGCAAAAGAGGGTCATTCGATAAATGTTTACTGAGAATTGAACATGTAATATGTCATTTCCTAGATGTAATTTGGCATTTTCTAGGTTGGCTCTAAGTATAAAAAGTAAGCTTTGAACTCAGATAACACTTGAAGAACACACGAAAGCTGACAGGATGTCTTTGGGAGAAGACTAAACATGTACTGTATGTAACGACCAGTGCCGAAAAGCACAGAAGCTCAAAAGCCAAACGGTTACTGTGTTTGGCTAGAGTTCAGAAAATGAGATGACTACTGGGACAGAGAATCTAATAGTGAGGTGGATCACATCAGACAGTGTGAACCTTGTCCAGTAGGTTCACCTAGCTTAAAGGTACCATCTAGCTTATAAGTACCATTGAAGGAAGCACTTTAAGCCAGGGAGGGACAAAATCAGATTCTTAAAGATTTATTTAGAAGAGTAATGAGTCTGCAGATTATGTGTAAGAGAGACTAAGGAACACATTTTTATACTTTAGGTTGGTACAAGCATGATGGTTATAGAAATAGGAAAAAGAAAAAAATTGTGGATTCTAGGCATATTTGGGAGATTAATAACATGGTATAGCAATTGACTAGATTTGAGATGATTAGAGCCTGTCTGAAAAGCAGTTATGGGAGATGACCATGATTCTCATTTGGCTTGCTATTTGAATGACAGTGCCATTTACTAAAATAGGAAACCCAAAAGTAGAAGCAGATTTGGGAGGGAGGAGGAGTATTTAAAATACTCCAATTGTCATGCTTCTTTAATATCCAAATGAAAATTTCACCTGACAATAAAATATATCCATATAACTTGGAAGATGTGGATGGGTTGGATTGTGAGAATGTATTGGCACAAAGGTATATTGGAAATAAAGCAGTTGAGAAAACTCCCCTAGGGCAATGGGTAGAAAAGGGAGGAAGCCCTGGAATTGATCCCTGACAGCATTTAAGAGCTGTAAAATAAGAAGAAAGTGAAAAGAAAATTGAATAATGGCCAGCATAGCAGGTGGAAAATTTGAGGAAGTGTGTTGCAATCTACAGTGAACATGGACTATTTCTAGAGCGAAGAAGTATATTGGGATAAATGTTAGTGAGTGGTAAAGTGAGCACAGAGTTCTATTATTAAGTAATTTTTGCAAGACTTATCAGGGCAAAATGTCAGATTGCAATGGGTATTCTGAACTGAAAGTGAAAAAGTTAAACTGGGAGTCATAGTCTAAATATCTATTTTAATATATTTATCTGAAAATGTATAAAGGATGGATATTAGACTCCCATGTTACATGTTACTTATTTTGTGTTAATATAAAGAAGTAAATCTTAAGCATGTATGAATATTGAGAGTAAGGAGACACATAAAGAGGCTGACAGAGAGCATTAAGACTGATGATATAGAATAGATGGAATGAGACCTCTAAGAAGACAGGTAGAGATTAGGATCCAGAAGAAAGGTTGTTATTAGACCTCATATAGGAAGAGATGCATTTCTTCCACTAAATTAGAAGGAAAGTAAATACAGAAATGTTTAAGTTTCTAAATTTGGTGGCAAGTAGAGAAAATTTTTGTATGATACCTTCTATTTTCCTTTTGAAATGGGCATTTATGTCATCCAGTTAGGATGAAGGGGCAGACTAGGTGTCCAAAGTCTAAGACAGTGTAAATTATTATTGAAAAGAATAAAAAATACAATAGGATTACCCAGATGAGGTGTGATAAGCAATGAGACTGATGACCATGAATATTTAGTGATTGATTTTTGATGCTTAATGAATGTCCCCAGCAGAAATCATAAATTTGGTTAAAGGAGAGAAGGCATGTATTTATATTAAATTTTGTTGGGAGAGTTTTCATGAGAAAACATGGAATAAAAATGTAAGCAGATTATTTAGAAGGTTGGTAAGAGGGTGTTTGAAATGTAAGGCCAAGACATCTAAAGAAAACACAAAGAGAAATGAAAGAAGGAGAGTGCTAATAGAGAAATGAGAGGGAGCAGTGGACAGGAATTCTGATGAAGTGGAAAATAGCTGTATTGGGAGTTACTGGATAAGTGAGTCGCATTTAAAGAAGGTTGTGATCAGAAATGCTTAGTTTCATATATCCCTACTCATCTGAGATACAGCTTATTCTGCAGAGCTGTTTCTAGAACAACATGTGGGCCCTTGTTATTTATAGATTTAGTTATTCCCTTCAAGAAATTTTCTTTTATTTTACCTTTGCATATATTTTTCTGTTCCATTTCTTAGGTTGTGTAATCCAGGTGCATTATTTTTCCTTATAGCAGATTGGCTTTTTCTGTCCTCTGTATCTATTAGTAATGATGAGTAGAGTGAGATATCCCAAGCCTTTCTCTTCGTAAGTAATTTACATTCCTTTCACATCTCTTCTTTTCTTTACAGTCCCAAATCTCCATTTTACTTCTGTTGTTTTGGTTACTTGTGAACTCAGTTAATTTCTACTCTGTTTTAATTATCCTTTCATCTCCTTCTGTTACTTCACCGTCTTATCTACGAGCCTTAGAAGAGCTGCATCCTACTTCTTGGTATAGACTCCTCCTGTACCATGCTCCCTGCTCATTATACAAAGCCACATATATCTTTTTCTTTCCCTTAAAGATGCAAAACGTAGCTCCCTCCCCACAGAACGTAGGTTAGTATAACTTCTTCAGAGGTTTTC
This sequence comes from Homo sapiens, assembly GCF_000001405.40. Lineage (NCBI taxonomy): Eukaryota > Metazoa > Chordata > Mammalia > Primates > Hominidae > Homo > Homo sapiens. The sequence continues at coordinate 121,265,419 of NC_000005.10, read as the reverse complement.
CTTGGCTGTCACATTTAAAGCAGTTGCAGCACCACCAACATACTCTAGAAGTTTTGTTTGACTGTCTCCATAACACTTGTTATGATCCTAAGTGTTAATGTATTATTTTTACTTGTGACTTGTAGATCTCTGTTTTTCTAGAATGTAAGGTCCATTTGAGCAGGGTCCTGATATGATAACTAGTATAATTCCTAGCACGAGAAATAGTGACTGAAATTTGTTAAATGCTCAACAAATATTTGTTGACTAAGAGACAAACTCAGTGACCAAGGTGCCCATGAGTCATTTTTAGAGAAGCAAAAACATCACAGTGATATTGAGCCAACCAAGAAATAATTTAATTTTTTTTTTAGGCAAGGCTTTGCTCTTTTGCCCAGACTGAAGCACAGTGGCATGATCATGGTTCACTTTAGCCTCTACCTCCTTGGGTCAGGCTATCCTCCTACCTCGGCCCTCCAAGTAGCTGGGACTACAGGCACGAACCAACATTCCTAGCTTATTTATTTTTTTATTTTTTATTTTTTGTAGACACAGAGTCTCACTATGTTGCCTAGGCTGGTCTCAAACTCCTTAGGCTCAAGTTACTCTCCTGATTTGGCCTCCCAAAGTATTGAGATTACAGGCATGAGTCACCATGCACAGCCAAGAAATAAATGAATATTAAGAACTTAGCTTTGGGAGGCCAAGGGGGGCGGATCACCTGAGGTCAGGAGTTCAACACCAGCCTGACCATCATGGTGAAACTCTGCCTCTATTGAAATACAAAAATTAGCCAGGCATGATGTTGGGTGCCTATAAACCCAGCTACTTGGGAGGCTGAGGCAGAAGAATCACTTGAACCCGGGAGACGGTGGTTGCAGTGAGCCGAGATCACGATCACGCCACTGCACTCCAGCCTGGGCAGCTGAGCAAGACTCCGTCTCAAAAAATAAATGAATAAATAAAAGTAACTTAGGAAAGAAAAACTCTCTTTTTGAAACTGTTTGTTGAGCCTAAAATTGGAATATAGTAAAAAGCTAAACAATTGTGATAATTGGAGTTAAGAACAGAAACTACAAGTTGGCATGCAATACAGCTGACTAGATGCAGCCAGGATGAACATCTGCCACCAAAGGACAGGGACACTGAAAAGACTAGCACACTCTGAGCAGATCTTCAGAGGGAAAGTATTGAGAATGGATGGAGGGATGACACAGACACTGGGCTGAAGGGGTAGAAAGTTAGGAACCCTGCACAGGACTACCATGCACAAGGACTCATTCCTGGCTTCCAAGGACTCCTGGTGAAGGGGTAAGCTGAGCAGGCAGGGAGCAACCCTCTCTCACCATTGGCCTCTGGAATCCTGGCAGAAGGGGTCCCCACAACCCCTACAGACACTTGAGTTGACCGGGAGAGATGTGGTAGAAGCAGGATTCTTGCCTGTGCAGATTCCGGAGGTTTTGGTGCGGGAATTCTGTAGTGTAGCACAGCCAGAGACACGCATTCTCCAAGGCTTACCATGCTTTCATAGACGATTTTAGCCTTTGGGGAACTATTAGACCCAAACAGAGAAGGGCAATCTTGCTCATGAAAAGGGATCAATTCATCCTGAGTGCCCCTCTGTCAGCTGGCCTCTACCAGGGACACAGCCTGTCTATGCCTGCTTGCAGTGCAGCCATGCACAACCAGTGTGCCTCTTAGTAACCTGCATCATAGCTCCTGCACTGGCAGACTGTGCTTGACCATTGGAGACATCCACCAGACCAGCCTCCGCCCACACACACCACCCCACCCGCACTCTCCTCCAACTGCAGCCTCTCCAGTGCCACTTTACAGGTAGGCAGTCACCCACAGCCGCTCCTCACATTGCTTTACCTGTGCACATGTGCTTGGATAAACCTTACCTCTCCTACCCTGCTGGCATGAGAGTCACTGCACATGTGACTCTACTGTGTCACTGCTGCTGGCATGAGTAACCCACTGACCCCTCCAACCTCCCTTCTGCATAACCATTGCCAATGTCAGTGCAAGCCCAGAGGCCAACAGCCCCATTCTTCCACCCTGCCATAGCCATTGTTGCCAGCACAAATGCACATGTAAAGGCCAGCGGCCCTGTGCCATCATTGCCACTGGCATGAATGTGCTCATGGAGGCAGCCAGACCCATGCAGGCAGGCACCCCATTCCTGTGCCAAGAGGGCCGCCAGTGTGAATGCACACACAAATTTCAATGGCCTTACCCCTCCACCCCTCCGCAACCCCATCTTTGCACCAAAACTACTGCAGCTGAGAATGACTGGATGGAGACCAGCATCCACACACTCACCAGCACCCCATCCCAGCTGAAAAGCATGCACCCCACCATGCTCACACTGCTGCTGGCATGGGCAAATGAGCATGGATCCTACTGCCATTACCCTATGAAGTGCTTTGGCTGGCCCCACCCATTGGAATGCTCTGGCCAGCAGTCTGGGAAAACCTTGGCCTTTCTAGTGCAGCAGGTTCCTAACACAAGGGGCAGAGATCAAAGCTGAGAACCCAATACAAACCCATAAGATTTAGAGTATGCAGCCCAAGAGTGCTAAGCTGAGCCTTAGCCCCTACAATCTTCCAGAATAAAGCTGATTGACAGAACCCAGCTTATACCACAATCAAACCCACAGGAACATCAAAGAAAATTAAGGAAAAGAAGAAAAAAAGGACAGCAACTCAAAGATGGAAGGAACATGAGCCCACACAGATGAGAAGGAACCAGTACAAGAACGCTGGTGACCCAAAATGCCAGAGTGTCTTCTTACACCCAATCAACTGCACGAGTTCCCCAGCAATGGTTTCTAACTAAGCTAAAATGGCTGAAATGACAGACATAGAATTCAGAATACAGATAAGAATGCAGATTATTGAAATTCAGGAGAGAATCAAAACCCAATTCAAATAATCAAAGTAATACAATTAAATGACACAGGAGATGAAAGGCAAAATGACCATTTTAAGAAATAACCAAACTGATCTGATAGAGCCAAAAGTTCACTTCAAAATTTCTGAACACAATTGAAATTTTAACAGCAGAATCTAACAAGCTGAGGAAAGGATCTCAGAGGTTGAAGGCTGGTTTCCAAAATAGACAAAAATAAAGAAAAAAGAATAAAGAATAAAACCTTTAAGAAATATATGATTATATAAAAAGACCAAACTATATGTCTATTGGTATCCCTGAAAGAGTGGGAGAGAAACCAAGCAAAAATTTCATCAACTTTGCTAGAGAGGCCAATATTCAAATTCAGGAAATGCAGAAAACATGTGAAAAATGTTACACAAGATGACCATCCCCAAGACACATAGTCATCAAATTCTCCAAGGTCAAAATGAAAAAAAATATTAAAGGCAGCCAGAAAAAAGGGCAGGTCACTTAAAAATGGCATCCAATCAGGCTAACAGTGGAACTTACAGCAGAAACACAAACCAGAAGAGATTTGGGGCCTATATTTAGCATTTTTAAAGAAAATGATTTCCACACAAAATTTCATATAAGCCAAATTAAGCTGCATATGTGAAGGAGAAATATAATCCTTTCCACACAAGAAAATGCTAAGGGAATTTCTTACCACAAGATTTGCCTAACAAGAGGTCCTGAAGGGAGTGCTAAATATGGAAAGGAAAGACCATTACTGGCCACTACAAAAATACACTTAAATACATAGACCAGTGACACCATAAAACAATCCTACAAACATGTCTGCGCAATATTCAGCTAACAACACAATGACAGGATTAGATCTGTACATATCAATACTAACCTTGGATGTGAATGAGCTAAATGCTCCAACTAAGGGGCACACAGTGGCAAGTTGGATAAAAAATGAAGACCCAATGTTATAAGGTCTTCAGGAGACCCAACTCACATGCAATGACACATATAGGCTCAAAGTAAAGGAATGAAGAAAAATATACCAAGCAAACAGAAAACAGAAAAAAGTAGGGGTTGCTATTCTAATTTCAGACAAAACAGATTTTTAAACCAACAAAAACTAAAAGGACAAAGAAGGGCATTAAATTATGGTAAAGGGTTCAGTTCAACAAGAAGACATAACCATGCTAAATATATATATGCACTCAACACAGGAGCACATAGATTAATAAAGCAGGATTTTAGAGATGCATAAAGAGGCTTCTATAACCACACAATAGTTGGAGACTTCAGCACCCCACAAGCAGTATTAGATCATCAGAGCAGAAAACTAACAAAGATATTCAGGACCTGAACTAAACATTTGACAAAATGGACCTAATGGACATCTACAGAACTCTGTACCCCAAAACAACAGAATATACAGTTTTTTCATCTGCAAAAGGAACAAACTCTAAAATAAAGCACACGATTGGCCATAAAACAATCCTTAACAAATTCAAAACAAGTGAAATCATAGCAACCACACTCTTGGACCACAGCACAATAAAAATAGGAATCAATACAAAGTAAACAGCTCAAAACCACATAGAAATTTATAAAGCTTCCCTAAATGACTTTTGGGTAAATAATGAAATTAAGGCAGAAATCAATAAATTCTCTGAAACTAATGAGAAGATAAAACATAGCAGAATCTTTGGGACACAGCTATAGCAGTGTTAAGTGAGGTTTATAGTCTTAACACCCATATAAAAAGTTAGAAATATCTCAAAGTAACAACCTAACATTACATCTATAGCAACTAGAGAAACAAGAGCTAGCCAATCCCAAAGGCAGCAGAAGACAAAAAATAACCAAAATCAAATCTAAACTGAAGGAAAATGACACACCAAAAATTACACAAAACTTTAACAAATTCAGTTGTTGGTTTGTTGAAAGAATGAACAAGATTGATTAGAGCTAGCAAAACTAATAATGAAAAAAAGACAGAAGATTCAAATAAACACAATTAGAAATGACAAAGAGGATGTTACCAACAACTCCACAGAAATACAAGAAACTCTCAGAGACTACTGTGAACACCTGTACGCATACAATTTAGAAAACCTAGAAGAAATGGATAAATTCCTGGAAACCTTCAATAATCGGACCAGGAAGAAATTGAATTCCTGAGCATATCAATAACAAGTTCCTAAACTGAATCAGTAATATAAAGCCTACCAAAGAGAAAAAGCCCAGGAGTAGATGGATTCACAGCTGAATTCTATCAGATGTATAAGGAAGAGATGGTACCATTCTTACTAAAATGATTCCAAAAAAATTGAGGAGGAGATACTCCTCTGTAACTAATTTTATGAGGTCAGCATTATACTGATACCAAAACCTGGCAGGGACACAACCCAAAAAAGAAAATTTCAAGCCAATATTCTTCATAAAGATAGATGAAAAAATCATCAACAAAATAGTAGCAAACCAAATCCAGTAGCATATCAAAAAGGTAATTGATCACAATCAAGTATGTTTCATTTCTGGGATTCAAGCTAGATTCAACATATACAAATTAATAAATGTGAATCATCACATAAACAGAACTAAAAACAAAACCCACATGATTATCTTAATAGATGTAGAAAAGGCTTTTGATAAAACTCAAAATCTCTTCATAGTAAAAACTCTCAACAAACCAGGCATTGAAGGAACATACTTCAATAAGAGCCATCTATGACAAACCCACAACCAAATTCATACTGAATAGGCAAACACTGGAAGTATCCCTCTTGACAACCAGAACAAGACAAGGATGCCTTCTCTCACCAATCCTATTCAACATAGTACTGGCAGTCCTGGCCAGAGCCATCAAGCAAGGGAAAGAAATCAAAGGCATCCAACTAGGAAGAGAGGAAGTCAAATATTTGTAGAGGATAAGATAGATTTTATACCTAGAAAAGCCTACAATATTTGCCCAAAAGTTCCTTGATCTGATAAACTACTTCAGCAAAATTTCAGGATACAAACTCAAGGTACAAAAATCAGCAGCATTCCTATACACCAAAAACTTCCAAGGTGAGAGCTAAATCAGGAATACAATTCCATTCATTATAGCCACAAAAAGAAAAAATTATTCAGGAATACAGCTAACCATGGAGGTGAAATATCTCTATAACATGAATGACAAAACACTACTCAAATAAATCACTAATAACACAAACAAATGGAAAAACATTCCATGCTCAGGTATAGAAAGAATTAATATTGTTGAAACAGACAAATTCCCCATAGCAATTTACAAATTCAATGCTATTCTTATCAAACTACCAATAACGTTCTTCACAGAATTAGACAAATCTATTTAAAAATTCACAAGGAACCAAGAAAGAACCCAAATAGCCAAGATAATTCTAGGCAAAAATAACAAAGCTGGAGGCATCATATTACCCTACTTGAAACTATACTGCAAAACTACAGTAACCAAAACAGCATGCTACTGGTACAAAAGCAGACACCTAGGCCAATGAAATAGAATAGAGACTCTAGAAATAATGCTGCACACCACGAACTATTTGCTGTTTAACAAAGTTGACAAAAACAAGAAATGGGGAAAGGACAACAAATGGTGCTGGAATAATTGGCTAGCAATATGTAGAAGACAAAAACTGGACCCTTTCCTTATACCATATACAAAAATCAACTCCAGGTGGATCAAAGACATAAATATAAAACCTAAAGCTATAAAAACCCTGGAAGCTAACCTAGGGAATGCCATTCTCGGCTTAGAACCTGGCAAAGATTTTATGAGAAAAAATGCCAAAAGCAATTGCAGCAAAGAGAAAAATAGACAAGTGGGAACTTCCTACTTAAACTAAAGAGCTTCTGTAGAGCAAAAGGAACTACCAACAAAATAAACAGACAACCCACAGAATCGGAGAAAATATTTGCAAATTATTCACCTGACACAGGACTAATATACAGATTCTATAAGGAACTTAAATTCATAAAAAAAAAAACCATTATAAACTGGACAAAGGGCATGAACAGACACTTTTCAAAAGACATACACACATCCAACAATTATTTCAAAAAATGCTCTACGTCACTAATCATTAGAGAAATGCAAATGAAAACCCCAATGAGAAATCATCTCACACCAGTCAGAAGTGCTATTATACCCTGAACCTAAAATTAGTGTTAAAAAAAGAGAAGCTAGATATTATAATGCTTTACAAAACATATCTCATAATAAGTAATAATATACTTGTAAAAAGACTAATATTCTCAAATTTCTCTGCTAGCAAGTAATGGAATGTGGAAAGTGAAATATTGAATTAGGAAATACCACATATTTGTTGTTACTTTTTAACTCTTTTCCCCTAATATTAGAGGTATCATTTCAGAATGTTTAACACTCAAGGTGAAGAAACAGTTGTCTAAATGTTTGCAATTCCTTCCTATTCATTTAATTTTATTTTTTCTTTATTGAATTCAATTAAAATTAACATTGGTATCTTTATTAAAACATCATAATGACTACATCATGATTTAAATGTATACATACTTATAGCATCTCTTTTATTTCTTAGAGACCCTTTTAGTATCCTGGTCATATAATTTGGGCCTTACTATTTTATTGGATATAGTTTTATGACCAGCTGCCAGTAACTTCCTTTTTTTCTAAAGGCTTTCCCTCCTAGAAGAGCATTACTTCCTGTATGCTATGCAGGAAGTATTGGAGAATATCTCTCAGGGCAGACCTCAACAAATGCTTGATAGGACCTGACATGTAAACATACTAGATATCTCACTCCCAAGTCTGATAAACTTGAAACTTTTTCTACTTTTTATTCCCAGAGTTAGCCAAGGGACTGAACTCCATTAATTCAGAGGGTTGGCTGCATAATATTCCTTTATTAGCTTCCTTCCTTTCCCTGCCTCATATCCCCATTCCCTTGCTGGTGTTTTCTGCATCTCCCTAATTAACCACTTGCATTTCTCTTCTTATCTCACTGCCTCCTTCCTGGAAACCTCATGCTAAGACTTATTTGAGTAAATCTTTATATAAAATGAACTGTCTGTGATAATTTTCACTGATAGTCATGCAACTAATTTGTGGACTCTGTTTTAGAAATTTTTCTGCTTTCTTCTCTGTGTTTTGCATTTAAAAAAAAACTAAACTAAACATATAGCCTAAGTATTTTTAGTTAACATGCAGTTAATCACAATCTTCAACTTATGGCATTCTATTTACCTCTTTTGTGTTTTATGCATTCATTTATCTACCCATTCACTTTCATGCCTATTCTGCATTCTAATTTCTACTGTTCATAATCCACCTTTCTAATCAATTTGTGTTTCTTCTTAACATGTTTTGTACCTTTTTAAAATTTAAGAATCATATGCACATAGAAAAAATCAATGAATACTCAGAAATGAAACACATCACGTAACCAGCACTCAGGTCAAGAAACGAAATATTACTAGACCCTCAGAACGACCCCTCATGCTCTCATCCACTTACTCTACTACCACACCCCCAAATTATAACTATTATATTGACTTTTAATAACTTCCACTAGTTTTATGTAATTTTGAACTTTATATAAATTAAATCATATTTTACATACTCAATTGTGTCGGGCTCCTTTTGTCTATATTAGATTGTGAAACTCATCCATATAGTTCTAGAGACTGTTCTTTCTCATTAATTCTTTTATTGTGTGACTATAATATGTTACTGTTTAAAATATTGATGATAATGTGGGGCTATTATATATAGCACTGATCTGGACATTCATGCATAAATCAAGTAATAAATATACTGATGTATTTCTGTTGGGTTTATATCCAGAAATTGAACTGTTGGCTCAAAGGTATGCTTTCAGTGAGTGTACACAGTATAGGTAAGGGAAACTCAGGCATGCTTCAGAGGATTTCTTGGTTTAAAAGACAGAGATGAGAACTTGAAGAAGTCAAGGTGGCTAGAGTTAACGGGAGAATGTACCAACATGGAGAGAGATACACAGAAAAATAACACAAAAGACGGGCAGGGTTTTCCCCCTCCGACATTTAGTGGAATACCAAATAGGGCATGTATGTAAAGAAACCACCAAAAGCTGGCATAAGAACCACCTGAAAATATTACAGGGAACAGTTTTGGATCACACACAAGTCTGGGAATATTGTCTTTTCCCACCAACCACACTGAGAAAGCTCATAATTCATAGGACATTGGGTGCAAAACTCAAAAGGGCATTGACATTATAGTGAAAAACAGCAAGCCCTGGTGTGAAGGGGAAATGATTTTTTTTTTTTAATCTGCATCCCAGTAAAAGGCTAGAGGATATTTACAGGAAGACAAAAATATCCAGTGCCCAAATAGTTAACATTTTTGAATTGCCTGGAGGTCAGGAATCTGGAAGCAGCTTTGGTGGGTAGTTCTAGTTCAGGAGGTTGCAGCCAAGATGTTAGCTTAGGTTCTGTCATTACAAAGCTTGACTAGGGTTGAATGACTTGCTTCCAAGGTGGCTCACTTATATACCTGGCAAGTGCTGTCTTTTAGTATTATTAGAAGGCCTTATTTCTTCACCATCAGTACCTTGCCATTGGGCTAATTTTAGTGTCTCTATGAGAAGGTAGCTAGTTTCCCTCAGAGAAAGTGACAGATGAATGAGAGCAATGAAGAAATCATAATGCCTTTTATGTTCTAATCTTGGAAATCATGCGCCATAAATTCTGCCACATGCTAACCATTAGGGGCAAGTCATTGAAAATACAGCCCACACTCAAGGGGAGGAGAATTAAGTGCCACCATTTGAAAGGAGTAGAATCAAATTAGTTGTGCTCATACATACAGCCATACTCTGCTTATATTTTTCAGTTTTTCCCCTCTCAGTGTTTATTTCTGGATATTTTCAGTTGCTTTGTCTTCAAGTTCATTAATCTTTTCTTCTTCAGCATGTCATCTGTTCTTAAACCTAGCCAGTGTATTTTTTCACAGTCTATACATTTTCATCTCTATAATTTCAAGTTGGATCACTTTATATCTTACATGTCTCTTTAATATGCTCAAGCTTTCTTCTACATTTTTAGAAAATGTAGTAATATAGTAATTATAATGACTTTTTAGAGACTTTGTCTAACTCTACATCTACCAATTAGTCCTCTAATTATTCCACTATCTGAGTTACTTTTGGGGTCAGTTTCTGTTTATCAAATGTTCTCCTCATTATGGGTTGTATTTTACAGTCCTTTTCATGTGTGGTTATTTTTCTTGGATAATAGATACTGTAAATTTACTAAGTTTGTTTGAGCTGTCATAACAAAATGCCATACACTGTGTAACCTATACAGATTTTTTTTTCTCACAGTTCTGAGAGTGGGAAGTTTAAGATAAAGGTGCCAGCAGATTTAGTGTCTAGTGAGGGCCCACCTCCAGAGTAATAGATGTTGCTTCCGATGTGTCTTCACATGGTAGAAGAGAGCAACAGAGCTCTCTGTGGTCTCTTTTACAGGAACACTATTCCTGTTCATGTCCCAAAGTCCCCACCTTCAAATACCATCACATTGGATGTTAGGTTTCAACATATGAATTTTGCAGGGGAACATTCTCTAGTATTTACCTTACTGAGATTTCGATGTATATAATTCTTCAAAATGTTCCTGAGCTTTGGTTTAGAATGAAATTAACTTATTTGAAAAAAGTTGTATCCTTTTAAGGCTTAATTTCAAAGGTAGATTAAAGCAACTTTTTATATAGAGCTAATTCTCTCCTATTGGTGAAACAATGGCCTTCTGAATGTGCTACCCCAAATATTTAGGAAGTTTTTTTTTTTCACTCTGGCTGATGGAAAAAAAGAAAATATAATTAGCCTTCTATGAGCTTTGTGGATTGTTCCACCAACTCTTTCTAGTGGTTCTCTTCTCTGCTTCATGGAATTAACTTATGCAAATACACTGATCATCACTATGTTGAAGACACAAGTGGAACCTTTCGCATATCTCACAGTTCTCTCTCCCTATTCTGTGCATTTGTGTTTTTGTCTGGTGCTCCATCCTGCAAATTGCAGCTGCCTCGTACACCCTGATTTTCACCTCCATGACTTCAGCTCAAGAAGACTACTAGGCACTATTTGAGTCCCCTCTCTCTGAGCTGTATCCTGAACCTCTCCACAGAAGGTCAGCTGGGGCAACTATGGAGTTCACCTCATGTTTAATTTCTCTCAGTGACCGATGTCTCACAAAGTCTCTTGTTCAAAATCTGAAAAAAATTGTTCCATATATTTTATCTGGTTTGTTAACCGTATATGACAGAAACATAAAATGGTTTCTATTACCACAAATTTATCTTGACACTCATTCTCAACTCTTAGCAGAGTTTAGAAATTTTTGATAAATACAATTCCAGCCACACTAGTTTGACATAGTATAAAACCACAGCGTGGTTGAAAAATAATGAAATCACATTAAGCCTGTTTAATCACTTGTAAAATAAGTTGCAAAATGGCCTAGTAATGTAACTATACCTAGTGGTGGCTCTGCAAGTATTAGTCTGGAAACATATTAGCCTTGAGTAAAAATAATTATTTGAAAAACTTTCAGAGGAGTGGGGATTTCCTTTTATCTTGTAAAGTCAATTATGATATCATGAAAATATATGAGATGTGGAGATTACAGAAAGAGAAAAACATGAGAAACCACATACAAGCTAGAAGACAGCAGGTTCTTCATGAAGTTGTGAGTAGCTCCATTCAGTTGGAGGCTGGTAAGCAAAATGGAAAATAATCGTTCCTAAGAGAGTGTTTGTATGGGGAGATGGAGATGTGTGCATCGAGTACCCAGCGAAGGACATAATATTTTATTCAGGAACCAATGGAAAGCAAAACAGGTATTCAAGCAGGAAAATAACTCAATTAGGAGAGAATCCACCATTTTATTTATAAGTACTATTAACTCTTGGTTATATTGTGCCTTGTTAATATAATTAAGCTTTTAAACCTGGGTTGAACAGTGCCAGAAAAAAAATACATAATTGTTAGAATTAATGGCACAAAAAATTATGTTCTTCAACTTCAGCAGTTATTATTAGGAGTAGCATCAGCACTGCTTGGCAAATCCTTACATTTCTCTGTTCTGCAGCTGTTTCTCCCCCAAGGGCTCTACAAAACCCTTACCATCAAGCTGCATTCCCTTACAGAGAAATTATGAAGTTCCATTTTTACTTCTCAAAGAACTGGGTTTAGGTAAAATATTTTTAAATAACACATATGCAGCATCAATTGTACCTTAACAAGCCAGCAATCATGATGATTTTATTACCTCAAACACACTAATTTTGAAGAAAAATTATTCTAGTTAATAAGTAATATATGAACAAAGCTATTGCTTGACCGTTTTGACTATTTTTTCCTGTGTAAAACCTGTTTCTACCTATCAAAGATCATAAAAAGCAATGTAAGCTCAGTGTAAGCATTGAACTATTACCAATTGATATCAATTATGCAACCAGCAAATGAATGATGAAGATTTGCTCTACACTATACAATGAGTGGCACATTATAGCATTTTGTTGAAGACTATTACATTAAGCACCCTACAAAACCACAATGTATTTTGGAAAACACCAAACATTGCAATTATCTAAATATATTTCAAACCTATGAAATTCCTTTTTTTAATCTCTCCAGGATGAAGAAGAGGCAGGTGAGATTTCAACTGTAGATTTGTAGTTTTATTACTGGGCAATATCTAAGTGGTAAGTCATCACAGAGCAATGACTAAAGGAATATTTGATAGTTGTGAAAGACGTGAATTGTAATCATTAAATACTAAAATATTACCATCTATGAAAATAATAAAAGAAGCTACAATTCTCTGTGGAAATGTAATGTGCTTTTTTTTTGTTCCTCAGTATCACCTCAGTCATTCAGAGTGGCTAATGTATTATATGGTATGATATGATGGGGCCAATTAACACCAGAATATCATTTGCCCCTGCTGCAATCAAGTTTATCCTGTTTACAAGAAAGCTATTCATTTGGACTAAAGTGTCCCTTCAGAAGCCGTCACTCAAAATATATAACTTGAAAATAGTAACTGTAAAACTAAGCTTCTATTAGTTTACATAATTTAGGAGTTTTCTAGTTTAGTAACTTCTAACATGAGCAATAAAAGATACAACTTTTATTAGAAGCTACGACATATAATGTGGTTGATATCTTGCCAGAACTCTCTAAATTAATATTATTAATGGACGCGGGAAGTGTCTCCCAGTCTTCTTGCCCTTCTCTATGATACAACTACAGCAATCTTTCGTAATAAACACCAACGTGATTATTCCTCTTCTTAGGATAAAGTGCCCCTTTGTTCTTTTGTATTCTTACTGAGTCAAGACAGATAACAAGACAAAGTTAATGTAACTCTGCCTGTGAAAGTGAGTAAACAAGAAGTGACTAATGGGGCAAAATTCTCAACCTTAAAATCTCTATTATTCATCCCTTACATTTTGGTATAGGAAAAAACAATATGTATGGAACCAGAATAAATCCTAGTCCCCACAGGAGGCAGCTTGGATTCTAATAAAGAAAACCTAGAGATACTGCATTTTGAACAGCTCTGATTTATTAGGTAATATATTGAAAAAAATAAAATGATTAAAAAGGTAGAGCATTTCATTATGGGTAATCATGATACTAATTTATTATACTCCCCAAATAAGCAGTTGTTGAATGTGAAATATAGGAAGTGATGAATATTAACCACTCAAGAAAAAGTAAACAATCATTACTAAGTTGATTATTTTATTCCAAGGTAATATTTAATCTTCACTGCAGTTTTCCACTAATCTGTCAGAAAGTGTTTAAATTCAGTATTTTATAGTTACAAGAATGTTCTTTTACCATGGAAGCTTTGACATTCACTCCAATAAATTGCAAGATGTTCTTTTTGAAAAATTCTATACTAATTATTTATGTAAATGGTCTCACAATAATTTGGGGATCACCGTGACCACATAGAATAGTGTATGAATAATAATATTTAATAGTAATCTATTAATATTAGTGTTTAAGACTATTCTAGATTAACAATGAATATTTTCATATGCAATAAGGACCCTATCTATCTACCAAAATGACTTTATAAATTGTTTGAGGGTTGCAATGAATAACTAGATGCTAGAAGATGGACAATATTGTCTATGTTTAAGAAAAAATAACAACTTAAACTCCGCTTAGGCAAGCTTTTTTGTGTATATGTAATTTGCAATATTTTGAAACCTATTAAGAATTACATAGCGGTCATTAGTTTTAAAATGTATGAAGAAAAATATCTACTGAGCATATGTTGTAAAATACACCTGGAGCCAAGAAATCTTCCAAGTCAAATGCAAAATTTATGTACTAATTTTTGTTTCAATTATTTGAACTTATATTTTAAATTAGAACTAATACTCAAGTAATTATCTGAATTTTACACATAGCAATTATTGAATACCATTCTTTTTATTGGGTAACAACTATACAGAAACATGTTTGATTCATAATTTACTAAAAAATTAATTTGTTCTTAACTTATTAAATGATTAATGGATTTTAAGATTTTATAACCAGACTTTCTTCTAAAAGACATAGATGTTTGCTAATATTCATTCTTCCTTTTCTCTATGCCTTTCATTTTAGTCTAGATCAATTTGGTGGTAATAAAAAATCTCATTATTCTAATAAATTATTTCTAAAAAATCAATATCTGAGCTCAAGATACCTGGGAATCTAGAACTGCAAATTTGCATATACAATGCTAGTTGTGATTTGTTTTTCCTATTTTTTGCCCAGCTTTATTGAGCTATTCTTGACATACAACATTTTTATGCATTTATGGTATACAATGTGATGTGATATATGTGTACATAATGGAATGATTACCACAAACAAGCCAATTAACATATTCATTACACACATAGTTACAATTCTTGTGTGTGTGCAGAGAACACTTAAGAGCAATTGTCTTCACAAATTTCGTGAATATAATACAGTGTTAACTATAGTCACCATGGTCCATGTTAGAGCTCCAGAACTTACTCATCTTGTAAAAATGAACTTTTGCTTATCAGCTTAAGATTTCTCAGGATACAAAATTAATGTGCAAAAATCACAAGCAGTCCTATACACCAATAAAAGACAGACAGCCAAATCATAAGTGAACTCTCATTCACAATTGCGACAAACAGAATATAATACCTAGGAATACAACTTACAAGGGATGTGAAGGACCCCTTCAAGGAGAACTACAAACCTCTGCTCAAGGAAATAAGAGAGGACTTCAAACAAATGGAAAGACATTCCATGCTCATGAATAGGAAGAATCAATATTGTGAAAATGGCCATAATGCCCAAAGTAATTTATAGATCCAATGCTATCCCCATCAAGCTACCACTGACTTTCTTCACAGAATTGGAAAAAAACTACTTTAAATTTCATATGGAACCAAAAAAGAGCCCATATAGCCAAGACAATCCGAAGCAAAAAGAACAAAGCTGGAGGCATCATGCCACCTGACTTTAAGCTATACTACTAGGCTACAGTAACCAAAACAGCATGGTACTGGTAGCAAAACAGATATATAGACCAACGGAACAGAAAAGAGACCTCATAAATAGCACCACACATCTACAGCCATATGATCTTTGACAAACCTGACAAAAACAAGCAATGAGGAAAGGACTCTCTATTTAATAAATGTTGCTGGGAAAACTGGCTAGCCATAGGAAGAAAACAGAAATTGGACCATTTCCTTACACCTTATACAAAAATTAGTTCAAGATGGATTAAAGACTTAATTGTAAAACCTATAACCATAAAAACCATAGAAGAAAACCTAGGCAATACCATTCAGAACACAGGCATGGGCAAAGACTTCAAGACTAAAACACCAAAAGCAATGGCAACAAAAGCCAAAATAGACAAATGGGACCTAATTAAACTAAAGAGCTTCTGCACAGCAAAAGAAACTATCCTCAGAATAAGCAGGCAACCTACACAATGGGAGAAAATTTTTGCAGTCCATCCATCTGACAAAGGTCTAATATCCAGAATCTTCAAAGAACTTAAACAAATTTACAAGAAAAAAAACAAACAACCCCATCAAAAAGTGGGCAAAGGATATAAACAGACACTTCTCAAGAGAAGACATTTATGTGGCCAACAAACATGAAAAAAAAAGCTCATCATCACTGGTTATTAGAGAAATGCAAATCAAAACCACAATGAGATACCATCTCACACCAGTTAGAATGGTGATCATTAAAAAGTGAGGAAACAACAGATACTGGAGAGGATGTGGAGAAACAGAAATGCTTTTACACTGTTGTTGGGAGTGTAAATTAGTTCAACCATTGTGGAAGACAGTGTGGCAATTCCTCAAGGATCTAGAACTAGAAATACCATTTGACCCAGCCATCCCATTACTGGGTATACACCCAAAGGATTATACATCATTCTACTATAAAGATGCATGCACACATATGTTTATTGCAGCACTGTTCACAATAGCAAAGACTTGGAACTAACCCAAATGCCCATCAGTGATAGGCTGGATAAAGAAAATGTGGCACATATACACCACGGAATACTATGCAGCCATAAAAAAGACTGAGTTCATATCATTTGCAGGCACATGGATGAAGCTGGAAACCATCATTCCCAGCAAACTAAAACAAGAACAGAAAAGTAAACACCGCGTGTTCTCACTCATAAGTGGGAGTTGAACAATGAGAACACACAGACACAGGGAGGGGATCATCACACACTGGGGCTTGTCAGGGGGTGGTGGGCTAAGGGAGGGATAGCATTAGGAGAAATACTTAATGTAGATGACGAGTTGATGGATGCAGCAAACCACCATGGCACATGCACACCTATGTAACAAACCGGCGCATTCTGCACATGTACCCCAGAACTTAAAGCATGATAATAAAAATAAATAAATAATTAAAGTAAAATGAGATCAACTATTTGTTGTAAACTACTACAGAAAAAAAATAAGTAAAAAAGATGGAGGGTGGGGGAGAAGCACTGATGAAACAAACAAAATAGTGATGGTTATTGTAACTCTGATGGTTATTGATTGCACTCAGATTTTCTGTATGCTTGAAAATTTTTGTAATGAAATGTCTAAAGATCAGAGTGGCGGAGAGAACAAAACAAAAAAAATGAACTTTTACACCCTTTGACTAACATCTCCCCATTTCCTCCAAGCTTCAGCCCAGACAACCACCTTTTTACCCTCTACTTTTGTGTAAGTTCTAGTTTTTTAGATTCCATATACAAGTGAGATAATATTAATACAATATTTGTCTTTTTGTGCCTGGCTCAATAAATTTAGCATAATATCCTCCAGGTTCATCCATCTTGGGGATAATGGCAGGATTTTCTTATTTTTATGGCTGAATAATATCTACTTATATATAAAAAGACATATATGTATAATAAATATATATGTGGCAAAAACACAACTACTTTTGCACCAACATAATATATATATAAATAAGAAAATCCTGTCATTAGCAACAACCTGAATGAACCTGGGAGACTATATACATGCATGGTCACAGTTTTTTTTCCATCATCAATAGACATTTAGCTTGTTTTCATACCTTGTTTATTGTGAATAATGCTGCAATGGCATGAGGATTCAGACATCTCTTTGAGATACTAATTTTTATATTCTTTAGATACATAACCAGAAGTTGGATTGATGGATAATATGATAGCTCTATATATCACAGTTTCTTTTTTCATCCATCCGTCAATAGATATTTAGCTTGTTTTCATACCTTGCTTATTGTGAATAATGCTGCAATGGACATGAGCATGCAGATATTTCTTTGAGATACTGATTTTATATTCTTTAGATACATAACCAGAAGCTGGATTGCTGGATGATATGATAGTTCTATTTTTAATATTTTGAGAAAACTCCATACTGTTTTCATAGTGGCTGTCTCAATTTACATTTCTATCAAGTGTACAAGGGTTCTCTGTTCTCCACATCCTAGTCAATACTTGTTACATTTTGTCTTTTTAACAAATGCCACTGTAACAGGTGTGAGGTGATATCACACTGTGATATTATTTGCATTTCTCTGATAATTAGTGACTTTGAGCATTTTTGAATATACCTGTTGACGATTTTTGTTTTATTGTGAGAAATGCTGATGCAGGTCCTTCAGCTCACTTTGAAAAAGAATTTAGTTATGTTTTAATTGGTGGGAGCCACACTCATCCTTGCCCCTGGTGAGAGGTCCTCCATCTGCTGCCTGACTGCAGACCTTGAAACAGCCCTGTGATCTGGTTCCAGCCCTGCTAGACTTTGGCCTCAGAGGCAGTCCCACTCACCCGGGGATCTAGCAAAAACCACATTCACCCACGTGCCTACTAACTGCACCATCAACCACACAACTACTGGTGATTCTTCAGGACATTTTAAGTCCAATAGATCATCTGCTTTTGTACAAAGACTTGGCTATAAGGATAGAAAAAGCTCTATTTTAAAATAATTTAGATAACCATTTATGCAATCCAGTATATGTACACTATTTTATACATAATAGCCACCTATCAAATCATCTGTATCTACTTATTTATCTATATCAATTTTTAAAATTGTTTCTGGTGTAGTTAACCTATGCAAAATTTCAAATCAAATATTTCATTAAGAAATATTCTCTGAATGTCCTCGGAAATACAGATTTTAATATATGGGAAGTGACATTGGTTTTAGTTACTGTCTTTACTGCATACTTCTTTTCTTTTTGAAACTAATATCAGTGTCTGAAAATCTTTCCTGAATTCTCATACAATCTTTTTAAGTAATAGATTATGAATGTCATATAACATAACAGTGTACTTGAATAATGTCATCATTCTTGGCCTTAATATTTGCATACCAAATCCTTTTGGTTCTTTTCCCCATTATCCTGACACACAAACTGATGCCATGTCCTTAGCATTAAAAAGGAGTTAATACGTGCGTGTGTTTCTTAAAATGTATTTATTTTTACCACATACTGTGGTGTGCTGTGATCAAGTAAGTCCTTTAGATTATTTATCTCAATTACTTTGCAAGTCAGTTTTCCAGTAAGACCTCATCCAGCACACATACACAGGTAGCTCTGCATGCTTCATTTATAATATCTAATAACATTTGCAAGACATAGTTAATGAGTTTGTCCACATAATAAAAATACAAGCATTTTACATTAGGTTTAAAGTATATCCAGATCTTATTGACAATTCAAATAAATAAGAAATTGAAAGCTCTAAAAGTGACTATGTTTTAGAAGTTGTGTGTTAAAAGGGAGATTAAGTCAGATGACCCATCCCAAGACTTCAAGTGATAGAATGTTCTCAGTAAACTAAAAATTTCTTATCACTATGGAAAAAACATATAAATTATATGTCCAGAACTACCTCTCAGGTGACAAGTTACTTCTTATAATCTTGATGAATTAATCATTGTCTATACAACTATGGACATAAAAGGAGCATTCAAAAATATGTAAATTTTATTTTTGCTCCAAGTATTTTATTAAATATTTATTGTGTGCTCAAAATGGACTAAGTTCCTCATCAAATTACAATCTATGAAAAAATTTTTACAGTGCAAAATGAACACACACAAAAAAAGGGGAGTATTTGATAAAAAGAAGCACTTCCAATAAACCAAAAAATAATAATATTTAAACCACAAGCCCATACACAGGCAGACACACACACACACACACACACACACACACCCCAATAGCATGTATGGTTCAGGATTGTATTATTCAGACTTCTCCAGAGAAATAGAACCAACAGGATATATACAGAGGGAGGGAGAGAATGAGAGAGAGATCCAGATAGATAAAGGAGTGTGTGGTGTGTATGTGTGTGTGTGTGAGAGAGAGAGAGATTGATTGATTTATTAAGAGAAATTGTCTCACATAATTATGGAGGCTAAGTCCCACAGTCTGTGGTATGCAAACTGGAGACCCAGGAAAGCCAGTTGTGTTAATTCAGTCTTATTTTTAATGCCTGAGATCCAAGAGAGTCCATGATAGTAAATCCCATTTAAGAGCAGGAGAGATGAGATGTTTCAACTCAAAGAGTGAGAAAGAAAAAATGGGGTGAATTAATCTTTCTCTACTTTTTGTCTATTCAGGCCCTATGTGAGTTTGTTGATACCCAACCACACTGGGAAGGGCAACCTACTTTACTGAATCCACTGATTCAAATGTTAATCTCATCTAGAAACACTCTTGCAGACACATTCAGAAACAGTATTTAATCGGGGCACCCCATGATCCATTCATGTTGACAAAATTAACTGCCAAAAGTTATATTGTTGATATTACTTTGTTTTTCCCAATGATACTGATGTGAGAATAATGCCTGGCCTCATATTCAGCTAGCCAAATTTTTTAACCCAGTCCTTTCATTAAAACCAAAAGCCTATTTTCTTTTGTGAAAAGATTCATGATTGGCTAGGACCCGGGGTTTATGGATTTTTGTATATACCTGTTAAAAAGCAGAATTTACTGATACAAGATTTAAAGTTGAAGACTTTTTTTTCTCTTCTGCTTTTCTAAAAGTAGCTAATAAAATAGTATTTTTTAACTTATAGAATTCATCCTTTTAAAAATAAATTTTATTGTTTATAGTTGAGGTTTACAACATAATGTTATGGGATACATATAGATAGTACAGTTGTTACTATAGTAAAACAGATTAACAAATTTTCATCTCGAATTTTTGGGGTATGTGACGAGCAGCTAAAATATACTTACTTAACAAAAGCCTCTAATACAAAATAATTTTGTTATCTTTGGTCTTCATGTTATTAATTGAGTCTCTAAACTTTTTCATTCTATTTATTTGCTATTTTGTATCCTTTTACCTAAATGTCCCAGTTTCCTCCCACCACACCCAACTCATGGTAACTAGTGTTTCATTGTCTGTCTCTGTGTATTTGAGTTCTTTTTTAAAAAATCCCACATATAAATGAAATTATGCAATATTTTTATATGTTTGGTTTATTTAACTTAGCAAACGTCCTTCAGGTCCATCCATGCCGGGGCAAATGGAAGGCTATCCTTTGTTTTTAAGGCTGAATGATATTCCATACAAACATGTATGTATACCACATTTTAAAATCTATCAATGGAAATTAAGGTTGTTTCCATATCTTGGCTATTGTAAATAACACTGCAAGGAACATGGTAGCACAGACATTTTTACAAGATGGTGATCTCATCTCCTCTGGTTACGTATCCAGAAGAGGGATTACTGGGTTGTACGGTAGTTCTATTTCCAATTTCTTTAGAAACCTCCATATTATTTTCCATAATGGCTGTATTAATTTAAATTGCCACTGACAGTATACAAGGAAGGATTCCCTTTTCTTGAAATCCGGGCCAACACCTGTTATGCTTTATCTTTTTGAAAATAGCCATTCTAATGGTTGTAAAGTGATATCTCATTGCGGTTTTAATTTGCATTTTCCTGATGATTAGTTATACTAACTTTTAACATTCCTGTTGGGCATTTTTATGTCTTGCTTGAAGAAATATTTTGTCAGATCTGTTCAGAGATCTTTATAAATCTTGAATAATAACCCTTTATCAGATATGTGGTTTGCAATTTAATTTTTTCCCAGTTCGCTGATTGTGTTTGTATTTTGTTGATTGTTTCCTTTGATGTAGGTAAGCTTTTTAGTTTGGTGTAGTCCCGTTTATTTATTTTTGCTTTTGTAGACTGAGCTTTTGGTATGTTATCCGAAAAATTATTGCCAAGGCCAATGCTGAGGAGCTTTTTCCTTATGTTCCCTTATAGGAGTTTTATGATTTTGGTCCTTACATTTAATATTTTATCAATTTTCTTGTTGATTTTTTTCTATCATATAAGAAAAGGATCTGGTTTCATTCTTTTGCATGTGGAAATCCAGTTTTCCCAGTATCATTTATTGAAGAAAAAGAATCATTGTCCATTATACCCTCTTGGTAGGCAAGTTAAAAATTAGTTGAGTACATATGTTTAGATTTATTTCTGGAATGTATATTCTGTTCCATTGGTTGATGTTTCTGTTTTTATGCCAGTGCAATATTGTTTTGATTACTATAGTTTGTAATATGATTTTAAATCAGGAAGTGTGATGTCTCCAATTTTGTTTTGCTTTTTTAGTATTGCTTTGCTATTCAGTTTTTTTAATGGTTTCATACAAATTTTAGGATTTATAGACTGTTTTATATATTTTTGCAAAAAATGACATTGGAATTTTGATAAAGATTGTTGTTCAATCAGTATATTTCTTTGGGAAATATGAACATTTTAACAATATTAATTGTTCCCATCCATGAACACAAGATAGCTTTCCTCTAATTTGTGTCTCCTTCAATTTCTTTCATCAATGTTTCATAGGTTTAGGTGTACAAATATTTTACCTCCTTGACTAAATGTATTTTTTAGTTATTTTATTTTTTGTAATGGTATTGTAAATATAATTTTTCTTAATTTCTTTTTCAGCTAGGTTGTTTACTTGTGTATAGAAATGCTATTGATTTTTGATGTTGACTTTGTATCCCTGCAACTTTACTGAATTCATTTATTAGTTCTAATAGTTTTTTAAAAGAAGCTTTATGTTTTTCTACATATAAGATTACATAATCTACAAATAGATATAATTCTTCTTTATATCTCTTTCAGATGCCTTTTATTTTTCTTCTTTACTTGCTCTTGCTAATATTTCCAGTACTATGTTGAATAGAAGTCGCAAGAATGAGCATCTCTGTCGTGTACCATATCTTAGCAGAAAACCTAATTTAACAGTTTTATTTAAAGAAAGGATGCTGAACCTTGTCAAATGATTTTTCTGCATCAAAATGATCATGTGGCTTTTATGTTTTATTCTGTTGATGTATTATATAAATTGATTTGCATGTGTTAAACCAGCCTTGCATGACTGGGATAAATCCCACTTGGTTATGACATACAATCATTTTTAATGTTAAATCTTTTGTTAAATTTGGTTTGCTAATATTTTATTGAGGATTTTTGCATGAATGTTCATCAGAGATGTTGGCCTATAGTTTTAATTTCTTGGCCTGTAATGGCTTGTAATGGCTTTGCCTGGCACAGGTATTAAGGTGATGCTGGCCTCATAAAATACATTTGGAGAATTCTCTGTAGTATATTTTTGAAATAATTATTTTAGAAAGTATTTTTGGAAGAGTTAAGAAGTTTAAAGAATAATTCTTCATTGAATGTGTTGTAGAATTCAGCCATGAATCCATATTGTCCTGGGCTTCTCATGGTTGGTAGCTTTTTAATTATATCTTCAATCCCTTTATTTATTTTAATGTGTTCAAGCTTTCTATTTCTTTCTGATTCAGTCTTGGTAGGTTATATTTTTCTAGCAATTTGGTTTATCCAATTTGTTGGCATATAAAGGGTCACAGTAGTCTCTTATGTTCCTTATTATTTCGGAGGCATCTGCTATAATGTGTCCACTTTAATTTCTGATTTTATTTGAGACTTTTCTCTTTTTTCCCTAGTTTGTTTAGCTAGGGGATTGCTGATTTTATTTTTTGAAAGAACCAACTCTCAGATTTTTTTTTCTGTTTCTTTATTTTCTCTATTTGGTTACATATGTTGACTTTAATTATTTTCTTCCCTTTGCTATTTTTGAGTTTACACTGTTCTTCTCTGTCTAGCTCCTCGAGGCATTATACTATTTACTTGTGACATATCTTCTTATTAATGTAGGCATTTGTTGCTATAAACTTTTCTTTTAGAACCACTTTTGTTGCATTCCATAGATTTTCATGGCATGTTTCCATTGCTGTTTGCCTCAATAAATTTTTAAATTTTCCTGTTGATTTTTTTGATCCATTGGTTGTTTATGAACATGTTGTTTAATTTTCCATATTTGTAAATTTTATAAACTCTTGCTGTTATCGATTTCTAGCTTCATACCATTGTGATCAGAGACAATACTAGATATAATTTCAATCTTCTTGAATTTATTGACTTGTTTTGTAACAGGTGGCTCACGCCTGTAATCCCAGCACTTTGGGAGGCCGAGGCGGGCGGATCACGAGGTCAGGAGATCGAGACCATCCTGGCTAACACGGTGAAACCCCGTCTCTACTAAAAACACAAAAAATTAGCCGGGCGTGGTAGCGGGCGCCTGTAGTCCCAGCTACTCGGGAGGCTGAGGCAGGAGAATGGCGTGAACCCGGGAGGCGGAGCTTGCAGTGAGCCGAGATCACGCCACTGCACTCCAGCCTGGGCGACAGAGCGAGACTCCGTCTCAAAAAAAAAAAAAAAAAAAAAAAAAAGATCAAACCAGCCACGGCAATCTCTTAAGCCAAAGCCTAATGGAGAGCAAGGCCCTAACCCTCTACAGTTATATGAGGGTTGAGAGAGGTGAGGAAGTTACAGAAGAAAAGTTTGAGGCTAATGGAGGTTAGTTCGTTTTTCTTTTTCTTTCAATACCTTGAGTATATCCTCCCATTCTCTGCTGGGATATCCACCTATAGTCTAATGAAGATTCCCTTGCATTCACTTGGTGATTTTTTTCTTGCTGCTTTTAAAATTCTTTCTTGTTTTTGAGTTTTGAAAGTTTGATCATACTTCAAACAATTTGATTTTTCTTAGGTTAGCTATTGCAATAAAAATTTTCAACTAAAATGTTTTATCTTTTCCAGAGAGAGGGATAAGGGAAAGGACCCCAGGATAGCAACTGAAGGCAAAAGGGAACCTAGTGGTCATGATCAGTTTTTGGTGATTTAAATTAAAGTATAATTGGCTTCAGAGTCTATTTGGGAAGATAGCTAATCCAATAATCCAATAAGTGAATAATCTTGGACTATGTAAAATTTAAATCATGTGGCATAGAGTATAAGTTATATAGATATATAAAGAAAGGGAACAATATGAGGAAAACCATGTCAGCTTTTTTTAGCCATACCTATGTATGTGTTTGTATGTGTGTGTGTATGTATTTATATATGAGTGTGTGTGTGTAAATTTATATATAATTATATACATGTTATTCAAAGACATTTAAAGCATAAACCATAAGTCATAAGAAATAGATGGCATATAATCCTCAACCATAGCAAGAGAATTAAAAGTAATTTATTTGGCAATCTTTAAATTTGATTTATATTAGATAATAAAAATAACTTATAGTCTGATATTACATTAACAAAATTGACTTTACTCATCACTCTGCCCAGAAACACTATATTCTCACAAGAATCCAATTCTGGGCACCACATTTCCTCATGAAAATATTTCTGACATGTGGTTGGAAAGACATTGACTACAACATCTATGTGCCAAATAAACAGCAACCCAGAACTAATCTGCTATTCCATCATATGTGCTTACTAAGGACTCTCAAGCAGATGTGGGAGAGTATTCCAACTCCCCAATGAAAACAGTATGATACATGGGCTAGAGGCTTCAGTTTTATTCACTCTTCACTTACTTACCCTGTTAACATTGCCCCCAAATAAGCATGCAACATCAAAACAGACAGCATTCACCAAATTCACTACAATTTAAATTTAACACAATAGAACGCTTGAAAGTATTAGTAGAGTTAGATGCATATTAATAAAATGTGATCACCTTTTGCTATTAACAAGTGTAATTCTATCACTTGTCTCATTTAGAAAGTTATAATTCAGTCATATAAGGAGAAATGTAGAGACACTGAATAACCAAAAATAACCATATTTTATAGTGTGATTGTCTGTTTTATGAATAAAAGCCCAGACTTCAGACGTCTACAGAAACATTTGAATCATTCTTTATAATAATGCTTTCATTACCTAAATTATATATATAATGTCTGAGAGAGTGGATCAGATACAGGTGGTCTTAATTTTTGTTAATCTAATCCCATGAAGAAGGAGTTTTAGAAAAGGCAGTGCTTTTAATTAGGTAGCTTTATAAGATAAAAATAGTTTTAATTTCTCAAAATATTGTGTATTTAAAGCAGTGCATGTGGATAAAAGATGGAATGAGAACAAGTATTTGCTAACTTCAGGCAAATATTTCTTAGAACTTATTAGCTTTAACCATGAACTAAAAAAATGATAAATTTTCATCAAAATTAGAAACATGTGGTATTTTTGAGAGACTATGTCAAGAAAATAAAATCCAAGACAGACTGGGAGGAACTATTTTCAATACATATATGTGACAAAATATTTATATCCAGAATATATGAAGAATTCTGGTAACTCAATAACAAGAAAATAAATAAACTATTTAAAAATGGTAGAGTGATTTAAACTAACTTTTTAGTTATAAATTACAAAAGAAGAAATGTGAAAGTAAACAGACACATGAAATGTACTCAAAAGAAGAAGAAATGTAAAAGTAAATAGACACATGAAAAAGTAATATCATTAGCTATACAAAAAAGTAAATTAAAACTACAATGGGATGCTACTATACATTCCTTGAAAGATTAACTCTTAAAAGTTTGACAGTATTAAATGTTGCCAAGGATGTGGAACAACGAATTCCTGTGCATTGTTAGTGAAATGTAAAATGTTATAACTATCTCCAAAATGAATTCGGCAGCTTTCTTATATTTACCAAATAACTAGGCAATTTAATTCTTATTTATCCAAGACTAATGAAAACATATGACCCCCACAAAGACATATACAATATATTTATAACAGCTTTATTCATAATGGTCCCAAACTGGACACAACTCAAAAGTATATTTTAAAAAGCATGAAAAGGTGATATACCCAACAGTATACTCATGCTGTGTAAAAGAGGCCAGACACAAAATGCTACATCATGTATTATTTCATTTATGTAAAATTCTATTAATGGAATAGGCAAAACTAATCAATAGTAACTGAAAGCATATCCACAGCTTCCTGGGTTTAGGAGCGGTGAGGAAGTTGCCTTGTGAATTTAATATACAGTGTTAAAAGAGAAAGCAGAAATATTCTATATCCATGTTGGGGTGATTAATATTCATTCAACAGTACATTTAAAATAGTTGCATTTTATTTTATGTAATCTGTATCTCAAAGTTGATGTTTAATGTTGAAACAAAAGATATTGATAGTCTATATTTTAAAACTACCCCAAAATGTTAATGTGCTGTCAAGCATCTAAGGCTGAATATAATTTTCAAAAGAGCAGCACACTCAAGGCAGTCACAGGATTCACACAAGCAGTAACACTGCATTGGTAATGAAGAATGATACTTATTCTCACCAAATATTTAATGGTAATTATTTTATTTAGAGTATTAACAATTATTGTTTAAAACCAGGGATGCCCTCTCTCCCCACTCCTATTCAACATAGTGTTGGAAGTTCTGGCCAGGGCAATCAGGCAGGAGAAGGAAATAAAGGGTATTCAATTAGGAAAAGAGGAAGTCAAATTGTCTCTGATTGCAGATAACATGATTGTATATCTAGAAAACCCCATCATCTCAGCCCAAAATCTCATTAAGCTGATAGGCAACTTCAGCAAATTCTCAGCATACAAAATCAATGTGCAAAAATCACAAGCATTCTTATACACCAATAACAGACAAACAGAGAGCCAAATCATGAGTGAACTCCCATTCACAATTGCTTCAAAGAGAATAAAATACCTAGGAATCCAACTTACAAGGGACATGAAGGACCTCTTCCAGGAGAACTACAAACCACTGCTCAATGAAATAAAAGAGGATACAAACAAATGGAAAAACATTCCATGCTCATAAGTAGGAAGAATCTATATCATGAAAATGGCCATGCTGCCCAAGATAATTTATAGATTCAAAGTCATCCCCATCAAGCTACCAATGACTTTCTTCACAGAATTGGAAAAAACTACTTTAAAGTTCATATGGAACCAAAAATGAGCCCACATCGCCAAGTCAATCCTAAGCCAAAAGAACAAAGCTGGAGGCATCCTGCTATCTGACTCCAAACTATACTACAAGGCTACAGTAACCAAAACAGCATGGTACTGGTACCAAAACAGAGATATAGACCAATGGAACAGAACAGAGACCTCAGAAATAATGCCACATATCTACAACCATCTGATCTTTGACAAACCTGAGAAAAACAAGCAATGGGGAAAGGATTCCCTATTTAATAAATGGTGCTGGGAAAACTGGCTAGCCATATGTAGAAAGCTGAAACTGGATCCCTTCCTTACACCCTATACAAAAATTAATTCAAGATGGATTAAAGACTTAAATGTTAGACCTGAAACCATAAAAACCCTAGAAGAAAACCTAGGCAATACCATTCAGGACATAGGCATGGGGAAGGACTTCATGTCTAAAACACCAAAAGCAATGGCAACGCAAGCCAAAATTGACAAATGGGATCTAATTAAACTAAAGAGCTTCTGCACAGCAAAAGAAACTACCATCAGAGTGAACAGGCAACCTAAGAATGGGAAAGATTTTGCAATCTACTCATCTGACAAAGGGCTAATATCCAGAATCTACAATGAACTCAATCAAATTTACAAGAAAAAAAACAAACAACCCCATCAAAAAGTGGGCAAAGGATATGAACAGACACTTCTCTAAAGAAGACATTTATGCAGTCAAAAAACACATGAAAAAAATGCTCATCATCACTGGCCATCAGAGAAATGCAAATCAAAACCACAGTGAGATACCATCTCACACCAGTTAGAATGGCAATCATTAAAAGGTCAGGAAACAACAGGTGCTGGAGAGGATGTGGAGAAATACGAACACTTTTACACTGTTGGTGGGACTGTAAACTAGCTCAACCATTGTGGAAGTCAGTGTGGCGATTCCTCAGGGATCTAGAACTAGAAATACCATTTGACCCAGCCATCCCATTACTGGGTATATACCCAAAGGATTATAAATCATGCTGCTATAAAGACACATGCACACGTATGTTTACTGCGGCACTATTCACAATAGCAAAGACCTGGAACCAACCGAAATGTCCAACAATGATAGACTGGATTAAGAAAATGTGGCACATATACACCATGGAATACTATGCAGCCATAAAAAAGGATGAGTTCATGTCCTTTGTAGGGACATGGATGAAGCTGGAAACTGTCATTCTCAGCAAACCATTGCAAGGACAAAAAAACCGAACACCGCATGTTCTCACTCATAGGTGGGAACTGAACAATGAGAACACATGGACACAGGAAGGGGAACATCACACACTGGGGCCTGTTGTGGGGTGGGGGGAGTGGGGAGGGATAGCATTTGGAGATATACCTAATGTTAAATGAGGAGTTACTGGGTGCAGCACACCAACATGGCACATGTATACATATGTAATTAACCTGCACGTTGTGCACATGTACCCTAAAACTTAAAGTATAATAAAAAAATAAAAATAAAACTATGGAGATGAAAAAAAAAAAAAACTTTGTTCATATTTGTTTCTAAAATACCAACTTTAAAAAATTTAAACCTACACATTCTTTCTAAGGCCTATACTTAAACCAATTGAATTGAAAATATTCAGTAGAAGAAATGAGAATTGATTTTTTTATTTCAGTAGTTTAACTTTTAAATGATTTTAAATTTACAGAAAAGTTGCAAACCTAGTACAGAGAGTTCATATATAACATCTTATGTAGCAATGCTCATACATCAAAACCAGCAAGTTAACACTGATTTAATATTTCTTTTTCTTTTTTTTTTTTTTTTTTTTTTTTTGAGACGGAGTCTTGCTCTGTCGCCCAGGCTGGAGTGCAGTGGCAGGATCTTGGCTCACTGCAAGCCCCGCCTCCCGGGTTCACGGCGTTCTCCTGCCTCAGCCTCCTGAGTAGCTGGGACTACAGGCGCCTGCAACCACGCCCAGCTAACTTTTTGTATTTTTAGTAGAGACGGGGTTTCACCATGTTAGCCAGGACGGTCTTGATCTCCTGACCTCGTGATCCGCCCGCCTCGGCCTCCCAAAGTGCTGGGATTACAGGCGTGATTTAATATTTCTAACTAAACTAGATACTTTATTGAGATTCCACTAGTTTTTCCACTAACGCTCTTTGTCTATTCCAGGATCTAATCCAGTATATCAAGTTGCATTTAGTCTTCTTACTTCTTAGCCTCTTCTGATCTGGGAGGTTTCTCAGTCTTTCCTTGTTTTTACCATGTGGACCCTTTTTTGAAGTGTTCTGGTTAGAATCGCCATGTTTCCTCATAATTAACTTGAGGTCATAATTTTTTTTGGAAAGAACATCACTGATGTACCCTTTTCACTGTATCATATCATGGGATATATGATGTCAACATGACTCATTACTAATGGTATTAACCTTGATTACTTGGTGATGCCTGATGAATTTATCCTTGGTGATGCCTGATTAATTAACGTTGATTACTTGGTGATGCATGATGAACTATTTTTCCCTTATCATACACCGTTAAGTAGAAGTGATTAACTTTTTTCTATTGATTTTAAGTAACAGGGAATTAAAATTCACCACCTGGAGTCAGTATCTAAAAACTGTGGAAATAAACTAAAACCACACACTAATTAATAAATATCTTGGGAGAGACACTTAGAAACTGCAAGTGTCCTGTTTCTCCTTAAAGTTTCAGCCACTAACTTTAGCAGCAAGTTTTAGCATTCATCAGAAATTTTCTCGGTGGTGTTTGAATGGTGATTTTCTATTTCCTTACTCTCTTTATATGCTTTATTTGGGATCCTTCTCTCTTTTCACTTACTTATTCAATTGTTTACTTATATATGTGTATAGATTAATCTATACTTATATATATGTATAGATTAATCTATACTTATATATATGTATAGATTAATAGATATTTATTTCATTCTTTGATTATAATCCAATTAGTGTTTTGTTTTGTTCATTCAAGTTGTTTCATCTTTGGCCATTGGGGGCTTTTTCCCATTGTCTCCTACCTCCTTTTGAAGTTTTCCATTTATGGTTTTTTTTTTTTTCTACACAGATAAATGGATAAAGAAAATATGGCATATGTATATGTGTGTGTGTGTTATATATATATATATTTATATATATTTATATATATATATATTAGATTACTATTTGTCCATAAAACATGAGTTCCAGTCATTTGCAACAAAATGGATGGAATTATAGGTCATTATGCTAAGTGAAATAAGCTAGGCACAGAAAGACAAATATTGCATGTTCTAACTTATTTCAGGGATCTAAAAACCAAAACAATTGAACACGGAGATAGACAGTGGAAGAATGGTGAACAGAGGCTGGGAAGGACAGTGGGAGGAGCTGGAGATGGTTAATGGGTTAAAAATTGAAAGAATTAATAGGACTTAGTATTTGATAGCATAACAGGGGGACTATAGTCAATAGTAACTTAATTGTACATTTTAAAATAACTAAAATAGTATTATCAGATTGTTTGTAAAACAAAGGGTAGGTGCTTTATTACAAAAGACACATGCTTGTATCAAGACATCTCAGGTACCCCATAAATATATACACCTACTATGTACCCACTAAAATTAAAAATTAAAAAAAAGATGTTCTAGTTTTATTTTACAGTTTCCCTGACTCACCCTTTAATACAGATATTTCTCCAAGGACTGGTTCCTTTTATGAAAGCATGGTGTTTAGAAACCAAGAGCTAAGTAAGCTCATTGCTATTGGACTATCACTGCTTCTAGGCCTGCTCCAAGAATATATGCCTGTGTTTACTAATCCATGTATACATAGATAGCTGCATTTATTGCTAATCTATTTATAAGTGTGCTAAGATAAATATGAGTTCATAGTAAGATGTCTGACTTGAATCCAGTACCAGAGGTTTCATTATATCCTTCCACTTCATATTTGTCAATTCTTTACCTGACATGTGAAAACCTGGCTCCCCTTATCTATAATTTATTCACTTATTTGTTCAGCTCTTGTATGCATATAAAATAGTTTCCAGATTGCTAAATAATACCCTTGTGAAAAACAAATTAACCAACCAGAGTACAGAGTTTATGTACAATTATTTTTATATTTAGCTTTACAGTATTTAGAAAAGACACTCTTTCCCAGAGTTTATTTCTCCTTTCTTCCTCATCCCCTTCAGTGAGATTATTCCACACATTTGTGGTACAAATATTAGTAGATTGACTTTTACATTCTACTCTCCATTCTATATTTTACTTATATCCTGTTGATATTCCTTTAAATGGGCCTATATTAAAATTTCATCTTTGTGGTATACCTTTCTCTGAGTGTTTGACAAATGCACAGTCATACATCCACCATCACAGTACCATACAGAATAGCTCTATTATCCTAAAAATTTTTTTGTTCACCATGATTGTAGTAAGCACCTCACCCCAAAGATACCACTGGCAATAACTGATTTGTTTTCCATATACCCATAGACTTGCATTTTCACAAAATGTCACATAAATGAAATCAAACATTGTATATTCCTGAGGCTTGGTTTTGTTCACTTAGAAAAATGCATTTAAGATTCAGCCATGTAGTTAGTGACTCATTAATTCATTTCTTTTGATTGTTCCAAAGTATCTATTGAATGGATGCACAATATTTTGCTTAGTCATTTACCTACTGATGAACATACAGAGGCAGGAGAATAGGGTCTAGAGGCAGGGAACCTAAGGCCAATTTGCACAGACTTCTTAGACCTGAATCAAAAGGAAAACCCCAACTTTCCACATCCAAGGGACAAAAGGATCAGAGGCTACTCCCTTTGCAACACACCCTTTCTGCCTGCGTCACAGATGGAAAATGGAAAGTATCTCTGACTGGTCCCCTCCTGTAACCAATCAGACTGGTCAGGGGTCTAGTCTTCATTTGCATAGGGGTATAACTTTGTAACTTCACTTCAGGCTCTGATTGGTCCCCTTCCACAACCAATCAGACTGCTCGTGGGCCACTACTTCATTTAGGTAGGGTGTAACCAAGTAACCAATGAAAACCCTCTAGAGGGCATTTAAACCCCAGAAAATTCTGTAACCAGCATTTTTGAGGCACTCGCTCAAGCCTGCTCCCACTCTGTGGACTGTACTTTCATTTCAATATATTTGTGGTTTCATTGCTTCATTCTTTGTTGCTTTCTTTGTTCATTTTGTCCAATTCTTTGTTCAAAACACCAAGAACCTGGATAGCTCACAGTTAACACTCTTCACTGGTAAAAAAAAAAAAAAAATTTGCCCATTTTTATTCCTACTTCTGAGTTTTAATATTTCTTTATAGATTCTGGATTAAATCCATGATCAAATATAAGATTTGAAAATAGTATTTTTCATTCTATGGCTTGACTTTTCATTCCCTTAACAGTGTCTGTCAAAACAGTAAAAGTTTATAACTGATAAAGTCAATCTTACCAAGTTATTCTTTTTATGTATCATTGTCATGCTTTTTATGTCATACCTGAAACTCATCATCAAATACAAGGTCACATAAATTTTTGCCCTAGACGTTTTATAATTTTAAACTTTGCATTTAAGTCTATGGTACATTTTGAGCTAACAGTTCTCTAAAGTGTGAAGCAAGTGTCAAGGTTAATTTATTATCATATGATTATCCAAGTATTTTAATGCTTTTAAAAAAAAGCTATCATTTCTCCAAGAAAATGGCTTTGAATCTTTGTCAAAAAATAATTGACTATATTTGTGTGGGTCTATAAATGTCAATTAGGTGAAGCTGGTTGATAGTGTTATTCAGGTCATCTATATGTTTACTCATTTTCAATCAATTACTGAGAGAGATATGTTCAAATATTCAATTACAAAGCAATTACAAATGAGGAAAAAAGAAATTTTTTAAAATTTTATTTCCAGTGCTTTTCATTTCTTTGAGTAAACTGACATCTGATCAATAGCACATTCTATTTGCCTGAATAATTTCCTTTAACATTTCTTGTAGAGTTGGTCTGCTGGAAATACATTTTTTCAATTTTTATCTGGCTAAGGAAGTATTTCTTTTTTATTGTAATTTTTATTTAAAATATTGTTTGACTTATTGAATTACAAAGGTAGTAAAAAAGTTTTGATATGCACATTACAATTTATTTTTAAGGATATTTTCAGTGGATGTAGAATTCTGGGTTGTTGGGTTTTTTTTGGTTTTGATTTGTCTTTGTCAGCACTAGTAAGGTGTCTCTCAATTGTCTTCTTATTTACATAATTACTGACAATATGTCTATTGTCATTCTTATTTTTGTTCTTCTGTAAGTCATGTATTTTCCTTTTCTTTGGGTGCTTTCCAGAGTTTCCAGTTTTTTTACAGTTTGAAAAAAAAAATGCTTAGATTTTTATTTTCTTGCTCTTTTCTCTCCCTTACATAATGTTCCCTGAGCTTCTTGAATGTATGGTTCGACGTCTTCAAGTGTTGCTCTGCCCTATTCTCTCTCTGTTCTCCTTCTGGGATTCTCATTAAGCATGTTAAACCATATGATATTGTCTTACAATTTTTGAATGCTCTGTTTGGTATTTTTATTCATTTATTTGCTGGTTTGTTTTTCATACTTTGTATTCTTTCTACTTCAGTGGCATGATTTCTATTGACTTATCCTCAAGTTCATTTGCTTTTCTCTCATCTCTGTCAAATCTGCTGAGCCCATGAAAACCATTCTTTTATTACTTTTTAATTTCTAACCCTTTTGATTATTTCTTTTAGTTCTCATTACTCTGCTGAAATTACTTATCCAATTGTTCATATTATCCACCTCTGTCACTATAGCTTTTAGCATAGTAATTACACTCATGTTAAATTCTTTGTCTGATGGTTTCAACTTCTGTGTTATATCTGAGTCTGGTTTTGATGAATGCTTTCTCTTCAGACTGTGTTCTCCTTCCTTTTCTTATGCCAGTTATTTATTGAAGTCTGGAAAATTGTATAGAGCAGTGAATAATAAGGAAAATATTTTTTAGAATTGCAAGTGAGCACATCTTTCCTCATGTTAAGATGATGTTTGTGTTAATCTAGTTAGGAATGGAATAAGAATAAACTTTCTTGTTATAGTTACACTCAGTACACCACAGATGTGAAATTGCTTTACTGATATCTTTGTTTTATGGCATGGCTTTCTCTTTCAGATCGTTTCTCTCTATATCTACTCCACTCTTTAATCTGAGTTCTCTCCCTGCAGGGTTCACCAGAGAATATTTATCTCCCACAGGTCACTCAGGAATACTTTAGTGCTATTGTTAATCAAAGTGTTTTAATGTGCTGGTGGGGAATGAGATAATAGGGGCATTCTCTAACACTCTGCTTAAATCTCAATTTAGACACCCTTTGCCTGGGTCCTGAGGGTCTGACCTTTACATGGGTCTCTGTCTCATACAGCTGCAATGCTGGATCTAATTGTCATTCTATTCCTCACCAGTTTTAGAATATTTAAAATTTCTTGTTATCTTCCCTCATCAATAATCCACCAGTGCCCCCAAAAGCAATTACTTTTTTTTTCAATTTACCTACTATTGTAAATGTTCTATAGACATTTTTTTGTATGGCAAAAAAAAAAAAAAAAAATGGAGTTGGGTTGGGATGGGATTTTAATGGTGGGTACCATTCCCTTCCAGCAATAATCACAAAGGAAGGCTTCTCAGAATTCTACCTGTGTGCATCTGGTGGGATTTGTAGAGGCAAAGCATGGAAGAGGGTTCAACCTATCTTATGTCCGTGGCTCCCAGGGGCTTCATGCTCCCGTGTTTGCCAACACTCAGCATATAGCAATTTGTTAAAAACAATTTTAGCGAAATCTTCTCCATAGCTTACATTTATCTAGTGGCATGTGCCTCACATTTACACAAGTCCTTGTGTCTCATTTCTCTTGGAAGGCTTCTTTCTCTCCCCATATTTCAGGTTAGTTGTTTGTTTTATTCCCTCTGTTCTCTTGTGAGTTAAAGAAAAGTCTCACGCCTGTAATCCCAGCACTTTGGGAGGCCGAGGCGGGCGGATCACGAGGTCAGGAGATCGAGACCATCCTGGCTAACACGGTGAAACCCCGTCTCTACTGAAAATACAAAAAATTAGCCGGGCGAGGTGGCGGGCGCCTGTAGTCCCAGCTACTCGGGAGGCTGAGGCAGGAGAATGGCGTGAACCCCAGGGGGCGGAGCCTGCAGTGAGCCGAGATTGCGCCACTGCACTCCAGCCTGGGCGACAGCGAGACTCCGTCACAAAAAAAAAAAAAAAAAGAAAAGTCATTTAAGTTTTCCCAGCTTTTTTTTTTCTTGTTGTAAGGGTGGAGGTGACACCCTTTCCAGCTCTCTATATTTCTGAACTGAACCTGGACATAGATAATTTTTGGAACTACTCAGGTGCAATCTGAACTGAGAAACAAAACACTAGAATGTGCATTTTAGTCAGAAAATAGGAAAACGCTATACTGTGACCTAGATATTATAATACTATGTCATCTGGCCCCAAGCCATATTTCTCTCAATTTATCTTTCTGTGTTTATTCTAGTTTTGAATTGTCTAGTGACATTGACCTCTTTGTTTCTTGGGACACAATGTTTTTGTTTGTTTGTTTTGTTTTTCTTTTTTACTTATGTTGTTATTTTATTTTTCTTGGTTCATGTGCATGTTTGTTACATAAGTATATTATGTGATGCTGAGGTTTGGGGTATGACTGAGCCTGTCGCCCACATAGTAAGCATAATACACAATAGTTTGCTGTTCAGCCCTTCCCCATTCCATCTCTTCCTCCCATCTTTATATCCATGTTTACCTCATATTTAGCTTCCACTTGTAAATGAGAACATGCAGCATTTGTTTTTCTCTTTGTGCCTTAATTCACTTAGGATAATGGTCACCAGTAGCATCCATGTTTTTGCAAAGAAAATAATTTCATTCTTTTTAATGGCTATATAGTATTCCATAGTGTATATGTACCATGTTTTCCTTATCTAAACCACCACTGATGACAGCCTAAATTTATTGCATGTTTTTCGTATTGTGAACAGTGCTGTGATGAACATATAGGTGCTTCTGTATTTACAATAGAATAATTTATTATTTTCCTTTGGGTATATACCCAGTAATGGGGATTGCTGGGTTGAATGGTAATTCAACACTTATTTCTTTGAGGAATCTCCAAATTGTTCTCCATAGTGGCTGGACTAATTTACATTCCCACCAGTAGTAGATATATCCATTTTTCTCCACAGCCTCACCAACATCTGTTATTTTTTTTACTTTTTAACAAAAGTCATTCTTACTGATAAGAGATTCTATCACATTGTGATTTTGATTTGCATCTCTAATAATTACCAATGATAAGCATTTTTAATATGTTTGTTGGCTGCTTATATGTGCATATCTTCTTTTGAGAAATGTTTGTTCCTGTCCTTTGCCCACTTTTTAACGAGGTTATTACTATTATTATTATTGCTTGTGGAATTAAATTCTTTATAGATTCTGGATATTACACCTTTGTCAGATGCATAGTTCGCAAATATTTTCTCCCTTTCTGTAGGTTGTCTGTTTACTTCCTTGATAATTTGTCTTGTACAGAAGCTATTTAATTAGGACTCACTTACTAATTTCTGTTTTTGTTGCTGTGTTAGTTTGTTTTCATGCTGCTGATAAAGAAATACCTGTGACTGGGAAGAAAAAGAGGTTTAAAAAACTTACAATTCCACATGGCTGGGGAGGCCTCACAATCATGGTGGAAGGCAAGGAGGAGCAAGTCACGTCTTACATGGATGGCAGGAGACAAAGAGAGAACTTGTACAGGGAAACGCCCATTTTTTTTTTTTTTTTAAATCAGGTCTTATGAGATTTATTTACTATAATGAGAACAGCACGGGAAAGAGCAACCTCTGTGATTCAATCACCTCCCACCAGGTTTCTCTCATGACACGTGGGAATTGTGGAAGTTACAATTCAAGATGAGATTTGGGTGGGGACACAGCCAAACCATATCATTCTATCCCTGGTCCCTCACAAATATCATGTCCTCATATTTGAAAACCAGGCATGCCTTCCCAACACTCCCCAAAAGTCTTAACTCATTTTAGCACCATTTCAAAATTCCACAGTCCAAAGTCTCTTCTGAGACAAGGCAAGTCCCTTCCACCTATGAGCCTGTAAAATCAAAAGCAAGTTAATTACTTTCTAGATACAATGGGGATACTGGTTTTGGGTAAATATAGCCATTCCAAATGGGAGACATTGGCCAAAACAAAGGGGCTATAGGCCCCATGCGATTCTTAAATCCAGCAGGGCAGTCAAATCTTAAAGCTCCAAAATGATCACCTTTGACTCCTCACATTCAGGTCACACTGATGCAAAAGGTGGTCTGGGGTAGTTTTGTCTCTGTGGCTTTGCAGGGGACAGCCTCCCTTCCAGCTGCTTTCACAGGCTGACATTGAGTGTCTGCAGCTTTTCTGGGTACACATTGCAAGGTGTCAGTTGGTCTACTATTCTGGGGTCTGGAGGATAGTGGCCCTCTTCTCAGAACTCCAGTAGGCAGTGCCCCAGTAGGGACTCAGTGTGGGGGCCTCAAACCCACATTTCCCTTCTGCATTGCACTAGCAAATGTTCTCTATGAGCACCCCACCCCTGCAGCAAACTTCTGACTCCACATTCCTGCATTTCCATAAATCCTCTGAAATCTAAGCAAAGGTTTCCAAACCTCAATTCTTGACTTCTGTGCACTCGCAGGCCCGGTGCCACACAGAAGATGTCAAGGCTTGGGGCTTGTACCCTCTGAAGCCACAGCCTAAGCTGTACCTTGGTCCCTTTTAGTCATGGCTAGAGCAGCTGGAATGCAGGACACCAAGTCCCTAGCCTGCACACAGCGCAGGGACCCTGGGCCCAGCCAATGAAACCACTTTTTCCTCATAGGCCTCGGGGCCTGTGATGAAAGGGGCTGCCATGAAGATCTCTGATATGTCCTGGATACATTTTTCCCATTGTCTTGGGGATTAACATATGGCTCCTTGTTATGTATGCAAATGTCTGAAGCCAGCTTGAATTTCTCCTCAAAAAATGGGATTTTATTTTGTATTGCATTGTCAGGGTGTAAATTTTCCAAACTTTTATTCCCTGCTTCCCTTATAAAACTGAATGCCTTTAACTGCACCCAAGTCACCACTTGAATGCTTTGCTACTTATAAATTTTTTCCGCCAGATACCCTAAATCATCTCTCTCAAGTTCAAAGTTCCACAAATCTCTAAGATAGGAGAAAAATACCACCACTCTCTTTGCTAGAACATAACAAGAGTCACCTTTACTCCAGTTCCCAACAAGTTCCTCATCTCCATTTGAGACTACCCCAGGCTGGACCTTATTGTTCATATCACTATCAGCATGTTTGTCAAAGTCACTAAACAAGTCTCTAGGAAGTTCCAAACTTTTCCTGTCTTCTGAGCCCTTCAAACTGTTTCAACCTCTTCCTGTCACACAGTTCTGAAGTCACTTCTACATTTTTAGGTATCTTTCCAGCAATGCCCCACTCTGTTGGTACCAATTTACTGTATTAGTCTGTTTTCACACTGCTGCATTTCCTTACTCAGATATACCTGAGACTGGGAAGAAAAAGAGGTTTAATGGACTTACAGTTCCACATGGTTGGGGAGGCCTCACAATCATGGCAGAAGGCAAAGAGGAGCATTTTACATGGATGGCGGCAGGCAAAGAGAGCACTTGTTTAGGGAAACCCATTCTTTTTTTTCATTTTAAGTTCTAGGATATATGTGCAGAATGTGCAGGTTTGTTACATAGGCATACATGTACCATGGTGGTTTTCTGCACCTATCAACCTGTCATCTAGGTTTTAATCCTTGCACATATTATGTATTTGTCCAAATACTCTGCAACCCCTTGGCCCCTAACCCCTGACAGGCACCAGTGTGTGATGTTCCCCTCCCTGTGTCCATGTGTTCTCATTGTTCAATCCCACTTATGAGTGAGAACATACAGTGTTGGTTTTCTGTTCTTGTGTTAGTTTGCTGAGAAAGTTGGCTTCCAGCTTCATCCATGTCCCTGCTAAGGACATGAACTCATTCATTTTTACAGCTGCATAGTATTCTATGGTGTATATATGCCACATTTTCTTTATCCAGTCTATCATTGATAGGCATTTGGGTTGGCTCCAAGTCATTGCTATTGTAAATAGTGTTGCAATAAACATAAATGTGCATGTATCTTTATAGTAGAAGCATTTATAATCCTTTGGGGATATACCCAGTTATGGAAATGTTGGGTAAAGTGGTATTTTTAGTTCTAAATCTTTGAGGAATTGCCACACAGTCTCCCACAATGGTTCAACTAATTTATACTTCCACCAACAGTGTAAGTGTTTCTATTTCTTCACAGCCTCACTAGCATCTGTTGTTTCCTCATTTTTAAATAATCACCATTCTAAATGGTGTGAGATGGTTTCTCATTGTGGTTTTGATTTGCATTTCTCTAATGAACAGTGATGATGAGCTTTTTTTTTCGTATGTTTGATGGCTGCATAAATGTCTTCATTTTGGAAGTGTCTGTTCATATCTTTCACCCACTTTTTGATGAGGTGTTTGTTTTTTTGGTTGCTGTAAATTTGTTTAAGTTACTCGTAGATTCTGAATATTAGACCTTCGTCAGATGAGTAGATTGCAAAAAATTTTTCCCATCGTGTAGGTTGCCTGTTCACTCTGATGATAGATTGTTTTGCTGTGCAGAAGCTCTTTAGTTTAGTTAGATCCCATTTGTCAATTTTGGCTTTTGTTGCAATTGCTTTTGGTGTTTTAGACATGCTTTGCTAATGCCTATGTGCTGAATGGTATTGCCTAGGTTTTCTTCTAGGTTGTTATGGCTTTAGGTTTTATGTTTAAGTCTTTAATACATTTTCAGTTAATTTTTGTGTAAGGTGTAAGGAAAGGGTCCAGTTTTAGTTTTCTGTATACAGCTAGCCAGTTTTCCTGGCACCATTTATTAAATATGGAATCCTTTCCCCATTGCTTGTTTTTGTCAGGTTTGTCAAAGATCAGAGGGCTGTAGATGTGTAGTATTATTTCAGAGGCCTCTGTTCTGTTCCATTGGTCTATATATCTGTTTTGTCTCTTTGTTCTCATTGGTTTCAAAGAACTTCTTTATTTCTGCCTTAATTTCGTTATTTCCCAGTAGTCATTCAGGAGCAAGTTGTTCAATTTCCACGTAGTTTTGTGGTTTTGAGTGAGTTTCTTGATCTTGAGCTCTAATTTGATTGCAGTGTGATCTGAGAGTCTGTTATGATTTCCATTCTTTTGCATTTGCTGGGGAGTGTTTTACTTCCAATTATGTTGCTGATTTTAGAATAAGTGCTATGTGGCACTGAAAAGAATATATATTGTGTTGATTTGGGGTGGAGACTTCTGTAGATGTCTATTAGGTCTACTTGGTCCAGAGCTGAGTTCAAGTCCTCAATATATTTGTTAATTTTCTGTCTCTTCTGTCTACTATTAACAGTGGGGTGTTAAATTTTCCCACTATTATTGTGTGGGTATCTAAGTCTCTTTGTAGGTCTCTAAGAACTTTTTTAATGAATCTGAGTGCTCCTGTATAGGGTGCGTATATATTTAGGATAGTTACCTCTTTTTGTTTCATTGACTCCTTTACCATTATCCAATGCCCTTGTCTTTTTTATTTTTGTTGGTTTGAAGTCTGTTTTATCAGAGACTAGGATTGCAACCCCTGCTTTTTTTCCTTTCCATTTTTGGTAAATATTCCTCCACCCATTTATTTTGAGCCTGTGTGTGTCTTTGCAAGTAAGATGGGTCTCCTGAATACAGCACACTGATGGTTCTTGACTCTTTATACAATTTGCCAGTCTGTGTCATTTAGTTGAGGCATTTAGCCCATTTACATTTAAGGTTAATATTGTTATGTGTGGCTTTAATCCTGTCATCATGATGATAGCTGGTTATTTTGTACATTATTTGAGGCACTTTTTTTGTGTGTGTGACAGAGTCCTACTCTGTCACCCAAGCTGGAGTGCAGTGGCATGATCTCGGCTCACTGCAACCTCCACCTCCCGGGTTCAAGAGATTCTTCTGCCTCAGCCTCCTGAGTAGCTGAGAGTATAGGCGAGTGCCACCATGCCCAGCTAATTTTTTGTATTTTTAGTAGAGACAGGTTTCACCATTGTTAGCCCGGACTGTCTTGATCTCCTGACCTCGTGATCCGCTCACCAAGGCCTCCCAAAGTGTTGGGATTACAGGCGTGAGCCACCACGCCTGGCCAGATGCAGTTTCTTTATAGTGTTATTGGACTTTATATTTTGGTGTGGTTTTGCAGTGGCTAATACCAGTTTTTCCTTTCCATATTTAGGGCTTCCTTCAGGAGCTCTTGTAAGGCAGGGATGGTGTTGACAAAATCCCTCAGCATTTGCTTGTCTGGAAAAGATTTTATTTCATTTGTGCTTATCAGGCTTAATTTGGCAGTATATGAAATTCTGGGTGGCAATTTTTTTTTTTTTTTTTTTTTTTTTTTTTTTTTTGAGATGGAGTCTCACTCTGTAGCCCAGGCTGGAGTGCAGTGGTGTGATCTCGGCTCACTGCCAGCACCACCTCCCAGGTTCACTCCATTCTCCTGCCTCAGCCTCCCGAGTAGCTGGGACTACAGGCGCCTGCCACCACGCCCGGCTAATTTTTTGTATTTTTAGTAGAGACAGGGTTTCACCGTGTTAGCCAGGATGGTCTTGATCTCCTGACCTCATCATCCACCTGCCTTGGCCTCCCAAAGTGGCAAATTCTTTTA
This sequence comes from Homo sapiens, assembly GCF_000001405.40. NCBI lineage: Eukaryota > Metazoa > Chordata > Mammalia > Primates > Hominidae > Homo > Homo sapiens. Next base: position 121,222,806 of record NC_000005.10, on the reverse strand, counting down.
AGAATGTTGAATATTGGCCACCATTGTCTTCTGGCTTGTAGGGTTTCTGAAGAGAGATCCACTGTTAGTCTGATGGGCTTCCCTTTGTAGGCAACCTGACCTTTCTCTCTGGCTGCCCTTAACATTTTTTCCTTTGTTTTAACCTTGCAGAATCTGATGATTGGGTTACTCAGATTGAGAATCTGCCTTGAGGTTACTCTTCTTGAGGAGTGTGTTAGTGGTGTTCTCTGTATTTTCTGAATTTGAATGTTGGCCTGTCTTGGTATGTTGGGGAAGTTCTCCTGGATAATATCCTGAAGTGTGTTTTCCAACTTGTTTCCATTCACCCCATCACTTTCAGGTACACCAATCAATTGTAGGTTTGGTCTTTTCACATAGTCCCATATTTCTTGGAGGCTTTGTTCATTCCTTTTCATTATTTTTCTCTCTAATCTTGTTTTCACACCTATTTCAGTAAGGTGATTGTCAATCTCTGATATCCTTTCTTCCACTTGATTTATTCAGCTATTGATACTTATGTATGCTTCACAAAGTTCACATGCTGTGTTTTTCTGCTCCATCAGGTCATTTATGTTTGTCTCTAAATTGGTTATTCTAGTTAGCAGTTCCTGTAACCTTTTATTAAGGTTCTTAGCTTCCTTCCATTGGGTTAGAACATGCTCCTTTAGCTCAGAGGAGTTTGTTATTACTCACCTTCTGAAGCCTACTTCTGTCAATTCTTCAATCTCATTATCCATCCAGTTTTGTGCCATTGCTGGAGAGGAGCTGTGATCATTTGGAGAAGAAGAGGCATTCTAGTTTTTGGAATTTTCAGTGTTTTTATATGGGTTCTTCCTCATCTTCATGGATTTTTCTACTTTTTATCTTTGAGGCTGATGACCTTTGGATGGAATTTTTGTGTGGGCGTCTTCTTTGCTGATGCTGATGTTGTTGCTCTCTGTTAGTTTTTCTTTTAACAATCAGGCCCCTCTTCTGCAGGTCTGCTGCACTTTGCTGGAGGTCCACTCCAGACCCTGTTCACATGGGTATTTCCAGTGGCAGCTTCAGAACAGCAGAGATTGCTGCTTGCTCCTTCCTCTGGAAGCTTCAACCCAGAGGGGCACTGGCCTGATGCCAGCCAGAGCTCTCCTGTATAAGGTGTCTGTCGACCTCTATTGGGAGGTCTCTCCCAGTCAGGAGGCACGGGGGTCAGGGACCCACTTGAGGAAGCAGTCTGTCCCTTAGCAGAGCTGCTGCATTGTGCTGGGAGATTCCTCCTTGTCAGGATCAGCTGCTCTCTTTGGAGCCGGCAGACAGGAAAGATTAAATCCACAGAACCTGTGCCCATAGCCGCCTCTTCTCCCAGGTGTTCTGTCCTAGGCAGATGAGTTTTTTTATCTGTAAGACCCTGACTGGAGCTGCTGCCTTTCCTTCAGAGATGCCCTGCCCAGTGAGGAGGAACCTAGAGAAGCAGTCTGGTCATAGCCACTTTGTCGCACTGTGGTGAATTCCGCCCAGTCCAAACCTTCCAGCCTCCTTATCACTGTAAGGGGAAAACTGCCTACTAAAGCCTCAGTAATGGTGGGTGCCCCCCGCCCCACCAAGCTCAATTGTCCCAGGTCGACTTCAGATTGCTGTGCTGGCAGTGAGAATTTCAAGCCAGTGGTTCTTAGCTTGCTGGATTCCATGGGAGTGGGACCCACTGATCCAGAACCACTTGGCTCCCTGGCTTCAGCCCCCTTTCCAGGGGAGTAAACAGTTTTGTCTCACTGGGGTTCCAGGAGCCACCGGGATATAAAACAAACTCCTGCAGCTACCTTGCTGTCTGCCCAAAGAGCTGACCATCTTTCTTCTTGAAACCCAGGGCCCTGGTGGTATAGGCACAAGAGGGAATCTCCTGATCAAAAACTGGGAAAAGCATAGTAACCCAGCCGGGTAGCACAGCTCTTCATGGCTTCCCTTAGCTTGAGGAGGGAGGTCACTGGCTTCTTGCTCTTCCTGGGGCAAGTGACACCGCACCCTGTTTCTGCTCGCTTTCCGTGGATTGCACTCACTGGCTAACCAGTGACCTGAGTATCTCAGTTGGTAACACAAAAATCACCTGCCTTCTGCGTTGGTCTCCCTGGGAACTACAGACCAGAGCTGTTCCTATTCGGTCATCTTGGCCCCTCCCTGGGAAATCCATTTTTCAAAATCATTAGATCTCATGAGATTTATTCTCTATCATGAGAGCAGCACAAGAAAGACCCGCCCCAATGATTCAATCACCTCCCACCAGGTTCCTCCCACAACACATGGAAATTGTGGGAGTTACAATTCAAGATGAGATTTGGGTGGGGGCACAGCCAAACCATATCAGTTGCAATTACTTTTGAGTACTTATCCATACATTCCTTGCCAAGGTCAAGGTCCAGAATGGTATTTCCTAGGTTTTCTTCTAGGACTTTTATATTTTGAAGTCTTACATTAAGTTTTTAATCCATCTTGGGTTAATTTTTGTATATTGTAATAGGTGGAGGTCCAGTTTCATTCTTCTGCTGTGTTTAGCCATATATTCCAGCACTATTTATTAAATAAGAAGACTTTTTCCCATTTATTATTTTTGTCAAGTTTGTCAAAGATCAGATGATTGTAGCTCTGCGGCTTTATTTCTGGATTCTGGATTCTATTTCATTGATCTTTGTCTCTGTTTATTGTAACAGTAAGTACCATGCTGTTTTGTTTTCTGTAGCCCTACAGTATAGTTTGAAGTTTGGTAATGAGATGCCTCTGGCTTTCTTCTTTTTGCTTAAGATTATTTTGGCTATTCAGCCTCTCTACAAGGAGCACTACAAAACATTGCTAAAAGAAATCAGAGATGACACAAATAAATAGACAATAATTTCATGCTCATGAATTAGAAGAATCAATATTAAAATGGCCACTCTGCCCAAAGCAATTTATAAATTCAATGTCTTTTCTGTCTAACTACCAATGTCACTTTTCACAGAATTAGAAGAAAACTCTTCTAAAATTCATATAAAACCAAAAAAGAGCTCAAATAGCCAAAGAGACACACTATTTGGGCTCCAGCCCCGGAGCCTTTATACTATGTACTGTGCCTATAGTGCTGGTCCTAAGTTTTCTTATCACTTATTCCCATACTTCCTAAGGTATCTGCCCATCACCTCATTCAAGAAGTTTTAATCAACTCTTTAATCTGAAGAAAAATGCCATACTGATCATTCCTTATGTCCTTATTCTTTTATTTCTTCAGAAGTTAATGAGAGAGAAAGAACTCCAAGATTTCTAGGTTGTGAGACTGGAGAATAAAAATACCAATACCAAAGTGCAGAAATACATGAGTGATGCATTTTCCATGGTTTTTTTAATATCTATTTATTATTGCCACTAGACATATTTTATCTTTATTTATTTATTAACTCATTCTACTCATATAAATGAAAACTCTATGAAGCCAACAACTTTAGTTTATTAGTTTATTGATTACCTGCTTTATCCTTAGTTCTTGGAACAACATCAAATACATAGTTGGAAGTCAATATTCCCTAAATATATGAATGATACACTTTATCGTTTTGGGGTATGCTTCCGGTAATGCCAAACACTATGCCTGGTAGGCACTAATGGTTAAAATTCAAGGGATATCCTGTAATCTCAAGAGTTTAATGTCTAATTTATTTCACATCTAAAATGCAATTGAGTGCACAATACTAGGATGGGAGAAATTTGGGTAGAATTGTTGAAGGTTTCCCTGGAAAAAAAATCCTAAGATGAAACTTGATGTGCTAATTGACATACAACAGGATTTTTTTTTCCTGTGGTGTTTCTGCACAGGCAAATTAGTTTCAAATAATTATTTTAGCAAGATTATAAATCTAGAACTATAGGATTTTACCCTGTGATAATGTCACTTTCAAAGCACACTAGAAAAGAAAATTTAGGTTTTACTGGTTTACTAAAAAACAGTGAGGCTGATCTAATGCAAATTTGATCTCACCAAAGCTAACTAAAATCCCTCATAGAATCCTTCAAAATCCAGAAGAATCACACTACTAAATCAAGAAATTTCTCACTCAAACCTTTTGTCCCTCCTGTGCTGCTTCCTTAATCATCTCTTCACTTATGCCCTGAATGCTTCAGAATATAACAGTCTTCCCAGTGGCACCCTCTGCCTCAGAACTACCAAAGCACAGGCCCCTGGCAATAGCATTCCTCTTCCAATGTCACTACTTTGTCAAATGAATTCCCAGGTTTAATATTTCTTTTGTTTTTGTTTCTTCTCTTTTTAAAAAAGAATGTTCCTTTTTCTACTCTCTCTCTTCTTTTAATTCTCCTTGCCCTATACCCTCTTTCTGTTTCAAAAATGAATCCAGACAATAGTTGTCTGAAAATTTATCAGAGGAGCTAGAGCAAAAGTAAAATACATGTTTTTGAGTTATTTGATAAGACAAGGCATAAGAACATGAACTCAATGTGTCAGGCCATTAGGGGATTTTGGAGGTTTATGAGAAAGATTAGCACAGTGGAAGTAGTGTTTTAAGAGGATTAGTCTGGCATCAGAGTGTCATGTGTATTAGAAGAGGTAAAGCTCTGCTCATAGATAACTGGTAGCCAGCTGCTGTGGAATCCCCTGGTAGGGAATGAGGATAGTAACATAATTTTATAAGAAAGAATGAACTCCAAAGTTTCTAGGATTCTACGGAAAATGAAAACACTATTTTAAAAAATGGGTTTTAGAATCAGGAAGCACAGAACTACATGAGTAATACATTTTCCACTGTTCTTTTAATTACATCCATTTATCCTGTCCTTTGTGACAGCAGAGGTTCCTATAATAACTTAGTATTTTCTTTATGTTATTTTTAATAAAGCACAATGATAATCATCATTTTGGTAATTATAAATTTCTATAGTATCATCGCTATTAATTTATGTCATCTGTAGGCTTATAAAGTTTAAATAATTTAATAGTTGGCTTGAAGAACACAAAAGTAGTTCATTTAATGTACTACTTTGCTATACTTCTGAGATCTACAAGGCCTAATATAAATTTGTTAGTCTAGAAAATAAAATCCAACTTGAGAAAATTAAATATTTATTAAGAAAAATTTTATGGAATACGATGAAGTCTATCTGTACTAGTGATACACCACATGCAATTAAATGAGTTAATGGTAGGTTAGATGGCAGCAAGATATGAACACAATTCTGTGAATTACATGTTGGTAAAATTTGCCAAGAAAGCAGATATGTTTATTTTTCCCCACCCCCATAAAAATACTTAAACCTCAAAGTTAACCCATTTGCATTATCCAAATAACAATTTTAGGTGTCACATTTAAAAATTCCCAAAGTAAACTGAGATGTTTTAGTCTTGTGTTAAGTTAGAAATATTTTCTAAAAATCTTTAATATAATTTAGATTTTGGAATAATGAAAGACTGAAGTAATTAATGATCTGTACATCTCAAAATATCACAAGAAGTTAAAATTCAAATAAATAGAAGAATAAGCTATATGGCCAACATACAATTCCATGTGCTTTTCAATTATGTATTCTTTTCTATGTATAAATGCATTTTTCTTTTTAACATCAAATTAATAAGAAGACTCAATTAATGCAAATATTATTTCCTAATGGGTATGATAAAATTGTATTTTAAAAGCTATTTCAACCTTTAATATGTGCTTAAACATATCACTTGGTAATATTGTATATGTGTATGTATGTTTGTGTAGGTGAATATCAAAATGTATTAATAAGTGAAATGTGTGAATTAGAGAAGACAGCAGTACAGCTCAGAAAAAGAAAATTGGTCTCAAGTATATGAGTCTGGTTTCAATATGAGGTAGCAAAAATATTTTTCTTTGTTTTGTGCATGGGTATAAGAATTTGTTGCTCTCACTTGGCCAAGTGTTCAGATTTGCCCATTTCCTATTCTCTGCCTTGCCTTGATCAATCTTCAGTCAGACTTTTCTCTCTTCTTCACAGACCCCTAAATTTTGGCTTGCCCCAAGTATAAGTGAGAACTAAAATGCAGAGCATGCTTTCTTAACAGCTCATCCCCAAATTAGCTGATTTCAGCAAGAAACATTTCCTGTCAAACCCTCCTGATCATGCCCTCTGCTCATATCCTTGCTTGGACAATTTTCTTTAAAAAAATCCTGCTAACTCTGCTTACCCTTCCTTATAACAGAAAATATTTTTGTTTGATTTTTATGTGCTGCAGATCTTGAGATTAAATTGTCTTCTCCATTACAATCATCTTTTGAATAGTCTCTCTTTAAGTCTAGGTTTGTTTTTATTTGATACTCAAAAGCATGTACTCTTACTTTTCAGTATCTGTTCATGTTCTAGTTTTCATTATGACTTTAGATAATTAATGACTAAGTAATTATAAACATTGTCCTTATGTCACTATATGCTATGAATTTTTAAATTGTGGTTTATGTGACCAAAATCCAGTAAAGACTACAGCCATATCTCATTCTCACTCATTTTTTTTTTCTCACAGTGAGACAGGATAGTTCCCTTGACCCCTTTTGCAGGAATCATGAATGGGTGCCTTGCTTACTCAGCCCACAGTGCTCAAACTCCTTGCGGGAGGGGGAGCATGCAGGAGCCAGGGTGAGTGCCTGTGGGCGCTGGCAGGAATGTACTGGAACAGGCACGTGGCAGCATCTAGGGGTTGTCTGCAACCTCTGGAGCCCCAGAGGGCATATGTTTTAGCCTTGCCATCCATGGATGGCTTAAATGTCAAACAGCTCAGTGGAGAGTTAGTGTGACGGCCTGTTGGACCCGCACCCAGGTTGTTGTCCAGTGCTTAAGAGAAATGAAGTCACGTAGACTGGGAGAGATTTTGAGTGGTAGAAGTGGCTCTTAGCAGGATGGGGAGCTGGGAAGAGAATGGAGTGGGAAATGGGTCTTCCCCTGGAGTTAGGCCAGCCCGGCCAATCTCCTCTTCTACTGTCCCAGGCCAAACTCCTCTCCAACTGTAGTCTATGATGTCCAGCTGCTTCTTCTCCTCTCGACATTCAGACAATTCTCTCTTCTCTGTGTGTGTTTTGAGTCTGGTCTGGGGTTCTTATGGGCACAGGATAGGGGGCATGGTGGGCCAAAAGGCAACATTCAGGCAGGATAACAGAGATGTAAAGTTCTCATGTAGGGCTGTGGGTCCAGGCTTGAGGGTGGAGCCGTCGCCATGACCCTGCCCTCTTCTACCCAGTATTTACCTGCCTCCTGTGTGTATCAATAGTAAAATCACGTAATCAGTCAATGTTTAATATTACCATGTTGGCGGTTAGCCCTCAAAGTTACAGAAAAACCTTTAAAATTGGCAGGATATCTAAGACACCCAGAACACTTTTGTCACCTACCAAAAAAGGCTGCTTGGTAGCAGAAATGTTCTTACTCAGGGAGCATGTTCCTATAATCCAGGATAGGATACACAAGCACAACAAGGTAACCTTGAGGAAGTTTCTGCATGATTGTTTTACTACTAATTTTTCCAGTGTTATAATGAAAGCTACCAGAGTTTTCCTGTTTCATAGTTGAGGTGGGGAGTCATTCTTTTTTTTATTTTGAGACTTATTTGTTAAAGTTGCATTCATTTTATTCAATTGAAGATATTCTAATTTAATCTCAAGATCTGTAGCACATAAAAATCAAACAAAAATATTTTCTGTTATAAGGAAGGGTAAGCAGAGTTAGCAGGAATTGCCCAAGGTAATTTATAGATTCAATGCCATCCCCATCAAGCTACCAATGACTTTCTTCACAGAATTGGAAAAAACTACTTTAAAGTTCATATGGAACCAAGAAAGAGCCCACATCGCCAAGTCAATCCTAAGCCAAAAGAACAAAGCTGGAGGCATCATGCTACCAGACTTCAAACTATACTACAAGGCAACAGTAACCAAAACAGCATGGTACTGGTACCAAAACAGAGATATAGACCAATGGAACAGAACAGAGCCCTCAGAAATAATGCCGCATATCTACAACTATCTGATCTTTGACAAACCTGACAAAAACAAGCAATGGGGAAAGGATTCCCTATTTAATAAATGGTGCTGGGAAAACTAGCTAGCCATATGTAGAAAGCTAAAACTGGATCCCTTCCTTACGCCTTATACAAAAATTAATTCAAGATGGATTAAAGACTTAAACGTTAGACCTAAAACCATAAAAACCCTAGAAGAAAACCTAGGCATTACCATTCAGGACATAGGCATGGGCAAGGACTTCATGTCTAAAACACCAAAAGCAATGGCAACAAAAGCCAAAATTGACAAATGGGATCTAATTTAACTAAAGAGCTTCTGCACAGCAAAAGAAACTACCGTCAGAATGAACAGGCAACCTACAAAATGGGAGACAATTTTCGCAACCCACTCATCTGACAAAGGGCTAATATCCACAATCTACAATGAACTCAAACAAATTTACAAGAAAAAAACAAACAACCCCATCAAAAAGTGGGTGAAGGACATGAACAGACACTTCTCAAAAGAAGACATTTATGCAGCCAAAAAACCCATGAAAAAATGCTCACCATCACTGGCCATCAGAGAAATGCAAATCAAAACCACAATGAGATACCATCTCACACCAGTTAGAATGGCAATCATTAAAAAGTCAGGAAACAACATGTGCTGGAGAGGATGTGGAGAAATAGGAACACTTTTACACTGTTGGTGGGACTGTAATCTAGTTCAACCATTGTGGAAGTCAGTGTGGCGATTCCTCAGGGATCTAGAACTAGAAATACCATTTGGCCCAGCCATCCCATTACTGGGTATATACCCAAAGGACTATAAATCATGCTGCTATAAAGACACATGCACACATATGTTTATTGCGGCACTATTCACAAGAGCAAAGACTTGTAACCAAGCCAAATGTCCAACAATGATAGACTGGATTAAGAAAATGTGGCACATATACACCATGGAATACTATGCAGCCATAAAAAATGATGAGTTCATGTCCTTTGTAGTGACATGGATGAAATTGGAAAACATCATTCTCAGTAAACTATCGCAAGAACAAAAAACCAAACACCGCATATTCTGACTCATAGGTGGGAATTGAACAATGAGAACACATGGACACAGGAAGGGGAACATCACACTCTGGGGACTGTTGTGGGGTGGGGGGAAGGGGGAGGGATAGCTTTAGGAGATATACCTAACGCTAAATGACGAGTTAATGGGTGCAGCACACCAGCATGGCACATGTATACATATGTAACTAACCTGCACATTGTGCACATGTACCCTAAAACTTAAAGTATAATAAAATAAAAAAATAAAAATAAAAATAAAAATACTTAAATATAACAAAAAAAAGAAAATTGGCCAAGCAAGGATATGAGCAGAGAGCATTTGTATCTCAAGTTGTATAAAAGCTTACTTGATTCTATGACACAATGACTATCAGAAAAAAAACCCAAAATACTATACTTGTTTGATATATCCTTACTGACTGTAAGAGAGACACACCCTTTCTAGAGATGTTGCAAAATCAGTTTGTAAAGCTTTAGTAACATAGGTGTACCTTCCTTGACCACATCATTGGAAATTGGAGGGCCACATAAACTGTCCTAGCTTGTATGGACTTGACCTAAAACATACAAAAGCAGGCGGTTACTCGTCCCTCACAAAATATTAATAGATATTTTAAGATTTCTGTTTATTTTACCAATACTAAAAGGGCTTCTGTTTATTCCTTAGTGGTCCAATGGAGAGCATCTATGTGCTAGCTGACATTGTTGAACTGTTGCACAGGATTATGATGAAGTCATGTGTCACAGAATTCCATTTACCACTCAGCGCCCAAGCAGTGGAGCCCCATCCACAGTGTCACTGGGGCCACTACGAGCACCAGCTCCCAGCTTTATTATGAGTTGAAAGAAAGTCTACTTTTCCTGAGTTAATATGTTAAAGATGATATAGAATTTATTTTTCAGAAATAACAGTTAATCAAGCAAAATAATTCTGTAAATTTATACAAAGTCAAATTTAACATAATTGTTTTCAAATATGTTCAAGTTGAGCATAATTATGCTTGATAAAATTAAACATAAAATTATGTAAAATTCAAAATTTAATCATAATAATTAGAAACTCATAGTTACTCCTATATAATAAAATGAAAATAATTACAACTCACTTTTCCAGAAATTAAGTTCTTCATGATATTTTGGTGCTTACATTTTATGATATCTTATTTTCTATGGAAATTGTAATCATGTTGGGCAGTATTTATTATAACATCATGTTCTTCAAATGGCTATTATTAACCTTTGGTTTTGAGGAGCTGTATTTTCTAGTTGTAATCAATTTTGGAAAATTAAATGCATCTCATATGCCAAAAAAAGCACTTCCAAATATATCCATCTGTGCATGCTGTAAGTATATTATAGTACTTCACTGGGAATTATATCATATTCAAAATAAAGGAAATCAGTATATTGAAGAGATATCTTCACTCCCATGTTTGTTGTACCACTGTTCATAATAGCCACGAGTTGGAAACAACTTAAGAGTCCATCAACAGATGAATGTATAAGGAAAATTTGGTATTTATATACAGTGAAGTATTAGCCATAAAAAAATGAGATCTTGTCATTTGCAACAACATGGATGAAACTGGAGGTCATTATGTTAAGTGGAATAGGCCAGGGACAGAAAGACAAATATCATGTTCTCACTTGTTTGTAGGATCTAAAAATCAAAACAATTGAAAACACAGAGATAGAGAGGTGAAGGATGGTTACCAGATTCTGGGAAGGGTAGTAATGGGTGTGGGAGATTTAGGGATGGTTAATGGAGACAAAAATAGTTAAAGAATGAATAAGATCTACTATTTGATAGCACAACAGGATGATTCTGGTCAGAATAATTTAATTGTACATTTTAAAATAACTAAAAGAGTATAATTGGACTTTTTGTAACACAAAGGATAAATGATTGAGGAGCTTGATACCCCATCCTCCATGATGTGATTATTACACATTACATCCCTGTATCAAAATATATCATGTCCTTCATAAATACATGAATCTACTATGCAGCCACAAAAAATAAAAATTAAAATTAAACTATATTTTTAAAAATGTTAATGTCTTAATACAATATTCATTGCAATATTCTTTAATATCAATTTTAGTTTTTTAAAGAGTTGCAGTAGTTCGTGGCGCTTTGCAATTTATTAAATTAAATATGTTGTCCTTAACACATTATGCCTTACAATAAACTTTTGGTATATAAATTTCATCTTAAATATGACTTTCTTATATTTGATAGATAACAATTATAAATGACTGTTAAATTAGGATTTGAATGATAGATAAGCTAAATAGAGTATGTACAGTAAAATTTTTTAGTCCGCTTGAGTCATTCTAATATTCTACTGTGAAGAATTTGGCAATAATTGCCTGGAGATACTGCAATTTCTTTTGTATCAATGATATAGTTTTCATAGTCACCAGAATTTGTTTTTTTCCAAATAATTTTTAGTCCCTCTGATTTGGCAAGAATATTATGTACATTGAATTTAATTCTGAATCATTTTGCTTATAATATTATTTTTCTTTAAACATTATGCCCAATTAGTATATAAAGTTTGTCAATTTAAAAGTAAATATTATCAAGAGGATATCTTTCATTTCATTATTAGTATTTATAACATTATTAATGTCATCTATAATTTCTAGAAAATCCCTGAATTTTTTTCAGCTGAATTTTTCAAGTTATTAGAAAATTTTGGAAACAAAAATACTGTAAATTTAAAAATGAACACATATGTCTACTATCTTAATTTGGTTATTGGTAGCATTGTGCTCTGTTTAGTCTTTATCTATTCATCTGGATATATTTTCTTTTTGCTAAAAATTTTGAAAATAAGTTTTAGATCTTGTGACACTTTACCCCTAAGCATTTCAGCATTTATATAGTAAAAATAAGAGCAGTATATTCCATAACATTTATTTGTCACATGTAGTAACCCTATTTTTCTAAAGTCATCTCATGCATTGCCCATATTCAAATCTCCACAATTGTTCCCAACCTTTTATGGTTTCATTATTTGGAAGCAGAATCTAAACAAAATTTACATATTAAATTAGATCATCATGTGCTTTTAGAACCTCCAGATATCCATATATTTTATAATGCTATATACATTTTTTATTACTATGGTATAGGTAAGAGAATAGACAAATAGGCCAATAGACCAAAAATAGAAAGTTTAAAAAATGCCTACAAATATTTTATTTATGACCTAAGTAAAACAGTGTAAAATAATGTATTTTTTTAATAAGTCATTCTGGGTCAATTGGAGAGTTATAGGCAAAAATAAATCTTGACCTGTAGCTCACACCATATACACCAATTCAAGATGGATTGTAGATATAAATAGAATGGTGAAAGGTAAACCTTCTGAAATAAAACAAAAAATTCTTTCAGTGTTATACTATCTAAGGTTTTATAGCACAACCCCTAAAACAATAATATTACCATAAATGAAAAATTGATAACATCTACTGCATTAAAATTAAGGACTTTATTTATCAAAAGACACCAAGAAGAGATGGTAAAGTAAGCCATAAAATGACAGTAAATATTTGCAATGCATATATATATGTATGTATGTATGTAGTGGTTTCTGTAGTGTGCTAGCCACCAGTATTCACTTCACTGGTTACTGGAAGTAATAGTTGAGACTAGCTTAGGTTCTTCTATAACAGAAATTGTTCTCAGCTAGATAGCCATCTTGTTTCAGGTCCAGCCTCTCCCATGAATACCATGCATCTAATGACTTGGTACAGTGGCATAAAGTCTTGAATCTCATGTCCAAATTTGGCAATATTCTGTAGACCCATTCAAGCTCCAGAGAGCCTGAGAAATTAGTTGAGGCCTTTGCTGTGACTTTATTATAACACACCCTCTGCCTTTTCTCAGTCTTGCTTCCTTTATTCCTCCAAGGGTTGTAGTCCTGAGATCACTCCACCATAAACTTCCTGCCAGCATATTTTTACCCCAGAGTCTGGTTTATAAGAAATCAGACCTATGACAATCACAAGGAACTCACACAATTTGTAAAGACTTTCAAGTCGATCACACACACAGACACACACACACACACACACACAAAGACACACCACACTCAGGTAGAAAAATGGGCAATAGACTTGTAAAGGCACTTCAAAAAGAGAAATCCAAATGGCTAAAGAAAATGCCCAGGCTTTTTTATCATCAGAAACATGTAAATTAAACCACAATAAGATATCTCTACAAACATACCAACATGGCTATATGAAAAAGGTAGGCAATAGAATGTTGGAGAGTATGTGGAACAAGTAAACCTCTCATACATTGCTGGAGAGAGGGCACAGTGTTGCAACTATTGTAGAAAACTGTTTGGTAGCATCTACTAAAGCTATAACCTAGCAATTCTTTTTTCAAATAAACTCAAGAGAACTACATGCACTGAAAGGAATGTTCAATGAAATCTCGCCCAACCTTATATACAATAGCAATCTCAGTAATACATATCAAGAGAAGAATGGATAAATAATAGAGTTATTTTCATGTAGTGGATTATTATACAGCAAAAAGAAATAACATGCAATAATATAAATGAATTCAGACACAAAATTATAAATTATGTGCATTTCTAATTATATAAAGATTAAAAACAAGCTGAATTAGTCTACAGTATTAGAAGCCAATAGGCAAAATTTTTTCTGTTGGATATGCTTCCACCAACCACATATCCTAAGAGGATAAACAGCAACCTTACGGCCAAAGGAGGTAGAATTAATATGGAAGGGAGGGCAAAGCACAAAACAGCATGGCCAGCATAAAGAAAGAGCAAACTCATTAGGAAAAGAATGGTAAAATCATGCTGCTCTGCCATGAGGTCACCATCCCAATTAGGGCAACTGACACACCATTCAGAAATGTAATGGGGTTTCCAGGTAAAGAGAGAGCCTATGAAGGGCTAAATAACTCTTCTCTGAAGCCTTGCTGGGAAGCTATACCTGTGTACAAGGAAGATCTGACAAGACCCAGCAGAAAGTAAAAGCCAAAAAGGATTGAAATACAAGCTAAATGCTGAGTTCAAACCACTCAAAAATGGAACAGAAGGTTGAATTCTTTTGGGCTTAAGGAGTTTAAACACAACCTACAGCCAAATGATTGGCTTGACCCTGTGATTTGCAGACACAGGAGCAACTTCTGAGAAGCCAAGCAAACAGTAAAACTAAGCATTTAAGAAATTCAGCCACATTTTCTTAATCCAGTCTATCATTGTTGGACATTTGGGTTGGTTCCAAGTCTTTGCTGTTGTGAATAGTGCTACAATAAACACACATGTGCATGTGTCTTTATAGCAGCATGTTTTATAATCCTTTGGGTATATACCCAGTAATGGGATGGCTGGGTCAAATGGTATTTCTAGTTCTAGATCCCTGAGGAATCGCCACACTGACTTCCACAATGGTTGAACTAGTTTACAGTCCCACCAACAGTGTAAAAGTGTTCCTATTTCTCCACATCCTCTCCAGCACCTGTTGTTTCCTGACTTTTTAATGATCGCCATTCTAACTAGTGTGAGATGGTATCTCATTGAATTGAACAATGAAAACACATGGACACAAGAAGGGGAACATCACACACTGGGGCCTGCTGTCGGGTGGGGGGGAGGGGGGAGGGATAGCATTAGGAGATATACCTAATGTTAAATGAAGAGTTAATGGGTGCAGCACACCAACATGGCACATGTATACATATGTAACAAACCTGCACATTGTGCACATGTACCCTAAAACTTAAAGTATAATAAAAAAAGAAAAAGAAATTAAGCATAGACATCAACAGCAATACAGTAGGGAGGAGACAGATTGCAAAAAGTTCAGGAAATGTGCTAAAGGAGACTCAGGAACAAAAAAAAAATACAATATTGTTCCAATGAATTATTAAAAATGTGTAGTTTTTAACCAAATTAAATGGCTTACAGAGAAAAAAAGTGATACCTATAATCAAAAAGTCTCAATAGAGAAATTTAAAAAACCTCCTTCCATAGCACTGAGAACAAGCTGAATTATCTCAGTATTATGCTTACTTTAAGCCCATCAGGAAACTGGGTTGCAAAGTAACCTAATAAACTAAAATCCAGTAGGTAATATCTGCACAGCTGTGGTGAACACACAGTTGCTTTCTTCTTTGGCCGAGGAGGGAAAGAAGTAGAGAACCACCATAGATACAGAAAATATGACAAGAGGCGAGGTTCCAGTGAATTTGGAAATATTTAATATTAGCTCCCTTGATAGTTTAAAATCTCTGGGATCCCAAATAAAAGGAGAATTTGCATTCACTTTCCAACTCTTTTTCATGTCTTTACTGAAGCTCAAAAATTGCAGGAGGGGGAAGAGAACTGAGATGTCCTCTGTGGTCAGGGGTAGCAGGCATTATATAGTCTGAAGGTGGAATAAGAAAAACAAGTGAATTTTTACAGATTTGGGGTATGGAAGGACAATTGAAAGAAAGCTCCTCTGTGATACAGGCAAGCAGCATCTTCTGTGTCATTAGAGGGCAGAGCAAGAACACTGAAGTACTCCACACTCTATGTCTTACAATAAATATAAGGCATCGGCCATCTACAATGAGAATAGTCTACCAGTTTTTTATGTTTAGGTGAAGCTGTTTGACCCAAGACCCTCATGAGCCAGAAATGTTCCACCAAGGTATTTCACTTGCCTCTTCCCAATTTCCCCTATCTTTAACTTAATAACCCAATGCATGTTATGTCAATAGCAGCCCTCATGGCATGTTGTGATCAATTTAAAAAAAGAAGGTTTCTTTTTCACAGCACCTGCAAGAACAGTTAGGGTTCAAATCCAACCAATTTATTTTCAACTTGTATGAAATGTA
This sequence comes from Homo sapiens, assembly GCF_000001405.40. Taxonomy (NCBI): domain Eukaryota; kingdom Metazoa; phylum Chordata; class Mammalia; order Primates; family Hominidae; genus Homo; species Homo sapiens. The sequence continues at coordinate 121,206,886 of NC_000005.10, read as the reverse complement.
ATCCCTTCCTACTTAATATATAAATATTTTTACTTATGTAATCCTGCCTTTTCCCTGATTATCTTGTCACCATCAACCTCTGGCAGGTGAAGCCCCTTCTCCTCTGGTAGTCCCTGTTGGTATGAATACTAATGAATTTTTATTTTTTACAATTGGAGTCTCTTGTGTCATTAACTGCAGCTATCTGGTAAATTTCCAGATTCTCAATGGTGGGGGCATTGGGATGTTACTTTAGGGTGGATCAGAACATCATCTACCACTGGAGAAGGGGAAGGGAAACTGGAAGTGACACTTTTCAGGTGCAGGTAGCTGTGGGCATGTTAAAGTATGAAGCTAGGGCGGAGGACCTGAGACAAACCTTTCAGCTTCAGAGCTCAAACCTTGATAAAACGAAGATTGTATTTCTCCCCGCAAAATAAAATTTGGATTGTGTGTAAACTGAATGAAACTAAAGGAACAACAAAACCAATACCTAGCTAAATTATTGAATAGATTGACTCAAATACAAACTCTTAACAGACTAAAAGAGAAATAGTTATGCTGTTTGGGGTACATAGGTATTATTTACCTCATCCGTACTTTCTTCCACACACAATACTTAATATGCAATAAAAAAGTACAAAACATTTGAAAAAGCAAGAAAATGTGATCCACTATCAAAAAGTAAATAGTCAACACAACCAGATTCAGAGATGGCCTATATTTAGAACTAATAGATCAGATCATTAAATTAGCTGGTGGAAAGGTTGGACAACACATGAGAATGAACGGGAGATTTAGGCAGAGAGACAAATAATTTTTAAAAATCAAAAGGAAATGCTGTATGTGTGAAATTATGATTATCACTAATAATTTTTTTCCTGTGCACATATAAATACATTAGACATGGAAGAGACAATAAGTAAACTTTAGGACATGTCAATAGAAATAATTCAAACTGAAATATAATGAAAACAGTACTGAAAAAAAAGTGTCCAAGATCTTCAAGATAATACCAAACAGTCTAACATGGGTTAGTGAAGTACCAAACAGTGAGACAGAATAAATACTTGAAGAGATAATAAATTAATGAATGGTATCAACCCATATATACATGCAGCTCACAGATCTTGAAGCACAATAATTCAAAGAAAAGCATACCAAATGCAGTATAATAAAATTGCTTAGAAATAAAGTAAAAACCTTGAGAGCAGTGAGAAAAGGAAAAAATATTAGATTCAGTTTTTTAAAAGTACATCAGATTCAGTGAAACAAGCTTTAAAAATTATAGCTAAGGCAAGAAAATGATAGAATCAAACCTTTAAAGTACTGAAAAAAAATTTTAAACATATGTTAGTGAAGAATTCTATACTAGCATCAATTGTTCTAAAAAATGAAGACATTTCAAATAAGCACATTAAATAAATCATTTGAAACTAAAATAGTTCCACTACAAGAAATGCTACAAGATTTCTTATTATTTTGAAGAAGGATAATACTAGTTGGAAATCAATTTCTATGGGAAGAAATGAAGAATGCAATAATGAATAAATATGCTGACTGATACAAAGGACTTATAAAAAAACTCTTACAACATTACTGATTAAAAAAATAAACATAATGACAATGCAGTAGTGGGTTTATAGTGAATGTAGAAATGAATTGTGTGAAGCAATAGCACAAAGGGTGGGAGGGTAATAACTTAAGAACCAATATCAACCAATTTGACCTCTTTGACATTTATAGAATTCTGGACCCAGCATCAGAATATACATACTTTTCAAGTGCTCATGGAACATTTAAAGACGTTTTAGGTCTTTGTCTTCTAACCAGATGTTTTAAATTCTTCTCTTTAAGATATTCTTAAACAATTGTTGATTGTGAAGTATTCTCAAGTTAGCTAGCAAAATAAAGTATTTTTTTTAATATCTTGGTTCCTGAAAGGACTCATGTCATACTGATACATTTTGGAATATTTATCATTTTGAAAATATTAAATCATTTAAATTATTCTTTCTATGAGAAGGTACAAAGGAGCATAGGAACACCTTGAAACACATTATCACAGTAACATATCGCCTTCAATGAATTTCAGAAGAGGAACCTCCTTTTTTGGACACAAGTAATAGAATACATGGCTAGGAAAAACCTCTGGCACGTTTTCTCACTCCTTTCCCCTTCCCCCAGGCATTTCTATCAAGAGCTTGAAAGGAACAGAACGTTAATTGTATCTCAAAGTGATTGTTTCTCTCCTCTTATTTTTTCCTTTGGCTAATGCCATATGGTTGTTTTTCAAGACTACTGAGATCATGAAGGTAAGATAGCTTGAACTTTAGCTTGAAGCCTCATTAGATCACAATTTTTAGAATCAATAAGTTATTTTCTAACTAACACTTCCAGTGTTTACCAACAAAGTTTATAGAATACCATTCTAGAGAATAATATAAAGTAGATCAGTTGTTTTTGATAATGTGTAACTTTTCTGTTCTGAAAATGCAAAGTACATATTATTTTTACATGAAATCACCATTATATATGGAAGATGCTTACCAAATACAAATGTTTTTCAGAGGGCTACATATTTTGTGCTACAAGGCCTATCTTTACTTTCTCTTGCTGAAGTGAAAAACTATGCAACCAATGCCACACCATTCCTAATACCTTGAAGAGTATTCCTACCAGTGAGAGTGAAAAATAGAATCTGATATAAAATAGTGCACACAGAAAATCTGTACATAGCAAAGTGAGAATAACATTCTGGGTCTTAGGTATTGATTTTCCTTTAACGTTCTTAAGTAGGAATGTAGCAGTTTTCTATAATTATGCATTTATTTTTCAGTGCACTCAAAATAATTGGCAAAAGCATATCATCTTTTAAGGAACTTCAATAATTAATCTCAAGATTGCCATAAAAATCACTGCAATTATTTTACTTTGGCTTAGACAGCTCTGAGTTTTCCTCAAAATCATGGAGCAACTTATAACTCAGAGAAAGATAACCTAACTAATTTCTCTTATGTAAGAGCTGACCCAGTGATGATCTTTCTCTGCTGAGGCAGATTGGTACTCAGTCTAGTTCATTTACCAGCTTCCAGAAAATTGAAAAGATATAATTTTAAAATTACTGCTAATTGTTAACAATGTTAAGTTGATAGTATCGACCTTCACTAAATATGACAGTTAAAAACTTTTATTTCCTCAAAGCAAATATATCAGGCTATAATATGTCTTAAGCCATAATCATATTTATTCATAACTTAAGTACATATTTATATATTGATGACATATCTTTAACTCTCAAAAAGGTTAATTCACTTTTGCCCTTTATATATAAGATAGGGCATAAATCAGAATATTGTTAATATATGTAGTTGATATTGAATATTTTCCCAGAATTGTGAAAGTAACTTTTGATTTTATGAGAATTACATAATGTTTAGCCTGCAAAAATGGGCATATACTCTATACTATGCTAAGAGAACTAAATAATGCAAGTGTTATATATTATATAATTTCATAGGTTAATAAAAACAACTCCAAAATACCTGATGATCTTTTGGTGAAAGGTGGGCATCCAACTAAAAGACTGTAACCATCAACTTCTCCCAACTACCTGTGATTCTGAACCGAAAAGTCCCTCAAAATGAATAAATATTTGTTTTAAACTTAGGAACTTAAAAACAGTAATACCAAAAGATAATATAAACAAATGATCTTTTGCCAGAATCTAGAAAGAAGGTCACTTTCTCTGAGCTTGATAGTAATGGTTTAAGAAAATACTAGATAGATAATGAACTCATTGATGCATTTCTGGAACATGAAAGGCAGCCATCCCACCTTCGTGGAAGGATGCCAGCAAACATATCTACCAACCTTTCCATTTCTACTGCAGTGACGGTTTTTGTGACAGATGTGACCATTATGTACTTCTACTCTCTATTCTTTCCCTTAATCTTTCTTTATAAACATAGTAATAAAAAGTCCATAGTAATCAGTATAATTAAATAAGAAAGGAGAAATCATTATTAATAAACATAGTAATAAGTCCATAGCAATAAATTTTTTATTACTTTAAATTATTTATTAGTTGGTATCTTTCTTTGGGTGGCTATGACAAAATACCATACACTAGGTGGTTTAGAAACAACAGAATATTCTTCTCACATTGCTGGAGGCTGGGAAGTCCAAGATCAAGGCTCTGGAAAAATCAATGTCTGATGAGGGCCCACTTTCTCTTTCATAGATATCTACCTTATCACTGATTTCTCCCAACGTGAAAAAGAAAAGGTAGCTCTCTGGGGCTTCTTTTTATAAGGGCACTGATCCCATTTATGAGGGTTCCCCCAACATGACCTAATCACCTCTCAAAGAATCCACTTTCAAATACCATCACACTGGGGGTTATGTTAAAATACATGAATTTTGGGTGGATACCAACATTCAGCGGATAGCAGTTGAGGTAGAAGGCTGAGAGAATGGTTCTAAGTGAAGTTGGAATGATAAACAGAACTCAGATTATGCAGCATCAGATAGACTAAAGTAAGGAGTTTGAAAACAGAGTATTTTGCAGATTACAATGATATACAAGTATAGATAAATTTATTAATATATATAATTTTTAAATCTTCAAAGTTTCTTGATGAAATCTGACTTGTTTTAAAATTCTCTTTTTTGAAATGATGGCAGAAGATTACCACTTCAAAATTTTCTGTTTGATTATTTTGAAACTTATGTTTTATAACTGAAAAATATTCTGAAATAGGCAAAGACTTTAAAAACGTAATAGATACAGATGGTTGGTCAGTTAATCATAAGAGTATTGAATAAGGAGTTATGAAAATAATTTATCTTTTAATTTTATTTTCACAAAACATACTTGTGTTATTGATAAATATTTGAGATCGAAAAAAAGCTTTTCCTTTCAATAAATACATTCTCATTTCATGTCTCATCTTCCTTGCATAAAATACCCTTAATGTGTAATCTAAATTTTTATTTTTTTATTCCTCTGTGGCAAAGCATACATTTAAAATCAAGTATGAAGAAGTATAAGAATACAATCAAAGATTTCCCACAAGTTGTCCATACTTTTTCATTGCTTTTCCAATTTAATAGCAATTTATTTTAAAACAATTTTCTTTTATAAAGTTTTCCTCAGGACATCCCACATGGTTTTCTAGAAATCAACAACTCTATTACATGTAATGATGAATATGATGGTATTGTAAATATATCAGTATAGCTTGATTTATATATTTAATTAAATGCTTCATTTAATTACAAGTCCTACAGACACAAGAGAAAAATGGATAAAAAACACAAGTAAGTCTCAGTAAGCAAATAACTCAGCTGTTGTGATAGAATTGCCTTGTTATGCTGGAGAGTAGCCTATAAGCCATCAGTCATCAGTGTGTTGTAGGCATCAATTAATTAGTACATTTTGTAGAGGAAATGAAGAATGCCATTTAATCTGATTGGCCTTTTAGGAAGAGGCTAGTTTAAAGGGTCTCTCTCTTGAGCACAAACACACAAATACACATACACATTTTTTTGTATATACATGTGTTTTATATTTATGTTGTATTTGTGTGCACACACACTTTTTTATATATACATGTGTTTTATATTTATGTTGTATTTGTGTGTATGTGTATTTGTGACTTAGAGTGGAATGAGAAATGAGAGTTAAGAAGAAAAGAAAGGGGTCAGGAGGACCAGGACTGATGGAACTGAGGAACTCTCACTTGTATTTCGGACATGACCAATGCACTAAATGTTGGGGATCTACAAGTTCTCCCTAAGTCCCTGTGCCAACTGTTATTCTCCCCAGCATTATTCTTCTGATATCTCCTTACACCTCCAGAAAACTTTCTCATAGGTGGGATAAATGTAAGGAAACTCCACAATGGCTCCTGATAGCCTACATGTGGTCCAACTAGATGTATCTTAGGCCAGTGCAGAAACACCCATCCATAGTTTATTGTTGGAAAATAAAATGATTTGTGGCCTCAAGGATGTTCCAAATGGCTCAGCAAAAAATTTGCATAACTTATTACCTCGGGAATCACTGAGTTACTTAAGGTTTCTTTTCAAAGCATATATCATATTTAATCAGTTTGTAATTTTTTTCTGCCCTTAATTACATGAAACACCATTAAGCTATTCCACAGTCTAATATGTCATAGAAAATAGGATAAATTGAAAATCGTAGGATCCTCAAACTGGGTAAATTTTTTGCAGTTTGATACCAGTACATAGGAATTAAATGTAACCCAAAAGTTCCATTAATCAAGGGAAAAAAAAACACACACACATACACAAAAAGCAACTGAATTAAACACAGTTCTTCTTCATTAGTTACACAAATAATGCAGACTATTTGCTATGGTCTGAGTATTTGTCTTCAAAAATAAATATGTTGAAATTCTAACCCCCAAGGTGATGGTATGAGGAGGTGGGACCTTTGTGGCAGTGATTAAGTCATAAAATCTGAACAGGGTTAGTGCCCTTATAAAACATGCCCAAGGGAGCTTATTCTTGTCTACCACATGAGGATACAAGGAGAAGGCATCACCTATGAGAAAGTGGGTCCTCACTAAACATTGAATCTGCCAGTACCTTGCTCTGGCAATTTCCAGCATGCAGAACTGAGAAGAATAAATTTCTGTTATTTAGAACCTACCCAGTTTCTGGTGTTTTGTTGTAGCAGCTCAAACAGACTAAGACAGTGCTTAAAAGAAACCAATACTTATAAAAGATATGCTGACATAAGGAAGATATTGGGTAATGATTTTGTTTGCTGGTTATGGATAGAATACATCAATGAAAAGCATGAAATTTATATATTTGTTCTAGTTAATAAAAGTGTGATCTTATATTTCAATAATAGGTCACTAGCAAGTTTTTTCGCTTAACTGAAACATTTTTTTCTTCTTCTACCAAGTTCTACAAATAGTGTTTGTTACACAGTTGGCCCTAATCCTTCATTACAAACTTCAGTCAACTGTGTAATCCCATTATCTAATAGATTTCATTTTTACTATTCTCAGATTCTGAACCTCAACCCTCTCCCCCACCTATCTCCTCAATGTTTACATACCTTTCATATCCCTCATTCTTATTAAACACTGAATCTGCTGCTGCAAGGATTATATGATATGTTTACACAAATTAAGTGAATCTGCTTTGGTACATTATCAATCTCATTTATTAAGTTCTGCTTTAAAAGCTTATAGTGACTTTTTGCCTTTTAAATTAGAGTGATTCGATATTGTGTGATATATCAAGGTTATAAATATAAAGCTTATTACTCATATCTGTGTTAGAGAATGGTGGGATTTATTTTCTGGAGACATGCATTTTATGACTAGATTACGCCATCTCCATCCCGTGGAACACGGCCCTCAACCCCACAGCTGAGGCTGGCACCAGCCCCAAAAAAGGCAGCAACAGCAGGCAGCTTCTGTGCATTCATTGATTCATCTGGAACCATTCCAGTCCACACTCTACTCTTGAAGTCTGTTGATCTTCAACTGCGGATTCCTGACATCTACTTCATATTTTGATAGTTGCTTCTGCTACTTTCACTTTTATCAAACATTTCCAAATTCCTTTTGGCCTATGAAACTTCAGTTTCTCACTCAGCTCTTTACTCAGCTTTCTCTGACTTTAAAATCTTTTCTCATTACACATTTTCTCTCCAATTTCATTCCTAACTTCTGCTAATTAGAAGCTCACCAGAAAGGCTAAAGGGAAAGGATTCAGAAATGCAACAATATATTTAAAGTATTTCTCAAATAATCCCCTTTTTCTTTTAAAATCTCTCCCAGATAGGCTCTACACACACACACACACACACACACGTTTGCGTGTGTGCGCACTCACATGTGCGCGACAGGGTCTTGCTTTGTCACCCAGACTGAAGTGCAGTGGCATGATCATAGCTTAGTGCAGCCTGGACTTCCTGGGCTCAAGCAGTCCTCCCACTTCAACCTTCAGCCTTCCACTTCAGCTAAGACTACCATGCTTGGCTAATTTTTTTTTTTTTCATTATTTTTTGTAGAGACAGGAGATCTCGCTACGTGGCCCAGGCTGGTCTCAAACTCCTGGGCTCAAACAATCCCCCTGTTTTGGCCTCCCAAAGCGTAGAGACTACAGGCATGAGCCAGTGTTTGGCCTGGTATTTCAAATACTCTGCCACTCTATAATGTAGTTTTTTTGTATATATTTGGGGTTTGGAGGTGGGAGGTGTAGGACTGCTACGTGAGTCTATGAGTTCTTATAGGATAAAACTTCTCCATTTTTGCTGCTCCTACAATTATCATGCGCCTAGGTGTGTTACTTTGCATATGAAGAATTTAAGTGAAAATAAAGTCTGCCCTTTTAGGGAGATGGCAGAATCTATGTTAAGATATACTTTCCCACTCAAGGAGAGCATAAAATGCCAAAGACACAGGTGAATGAATACAGGATTCCAACACAAAACACACATCCTCATGGGCTCAAACATTCATTCCTGGTACACACATCTATTATTCTATAATTGGGATGGCACAAAATCTACCCATGTATTTTTCTACTGATTCTACCCACTGAAAAATCTCTGCCTCACTAAGAGGTGGAAATTTTTACCGCTGCTGCCAATTCTGCAAAGAACAAAAAAATTTCAGAAACCGTTGCTACATGATCCCATTTCCAGTTCACTGCTCTTTATGCTGGTGTCAGACGATGCTATTTGCACTGCATCCGACATGGCCATCCCCCACTGGAAACACTTACCTTTACATGAGAGCTTCAGGAGTGAATTAAATTCTGGTAACTACTGAGTGTGTTTGTCTTCAGGCACCTTTGTGCTGACATTAACCTTTCCTTTTTCTTCTAAGAGTACTGCACATATCTGAGAAATACCATGTCTTCTATGTATTCCTGGAATACACTCTCTGAATTGCATACATCCACTGCAAGGACACACATGTAACCCAGGCAAGTCAATTTGAGTCCTTCCCATAATTTTGTAATTGAATATGGAAGAATTTCAATTCCCTTGGATTTTAAGTAAAAGATGATAGGGTTATTGTTAGTTGCCCTTTTTCATAATATGGAGGAGCCTTATGTACAAAATGAAATCCAGTAAAAAGTTAAAGAGATAAGAAAGTCCTGGTAGCATTCATCCCATAATCACATTGCCAGTATCTGAAGTCTTATTTTTTTTCTTCTTTCTGGTTTTGTGGGCTGCTCCACTATTCTTTCCTGCTACTAAGAAAAAAAAAAATCTTTGGTTTTTCTTCAGGTAATTTGAGTTGTTATTCCATCACTCGTATCTGAAGACAAATAACTAATACTAAGATAATTGACTGGTAATCTCAGAGTTCACACTGTTTGCAGTCTGCTATGCTCTTGAAAAGTTCAGAAAATTAACCTTCTAAATGTAAAAGCATTAGATCAATTCACAAAATGGTGGAAGCTTTCTAAAATATTATAGACCTTTTTAATGAGGTTGTAAGCTAACTTTCTAAATCAAAACTTTAAGTCAAAGGTGTTGTCCTTTCCTTCTTTTTGTAAAGTGTTGTACTCCCGAATGCCAGTTAGCAGTGATATTTACATCTTAATTTCAGCATTTGATTATTTAAAAAAACTACTTTTCCTACTTTAATTCTCATTGGTCTTATAGGTAACTATGCACAGTAAAATATACCTCCAGGCTCTAGGTACTTCCTTTGTCTTAATATTCTTTTTTATTTAATCTGAAAAATCATGCATTTACTATAATACATATAAGATTATCTTAAAATTGTAGTCTGAATTAAGATAACATTGACCAAATAATTTTTTTCTTTACTACACAAAATATAACCTAGTGAAATTTACCTGTGCCACCTATTCTGAAAATTTTATCCATAATTTAGTGTTCTGTTTTCATCATCACTAACAAAATATTTACCCCCAAAAGCAGCAGTCATTTATAGTAATTCTGGTACCAACATCAAAGGAAAAAATTGGCTTAAAAATGGTGCAAAAGCCATTTTGGATTTTAGTACAATGCATCACAGAAAATAACATGAATACAAATTTATAATATAAATAGTCCAAAGAGTCTGTCAGTACCCAGAGTATTTTTATTGCTATATTGGCAATGGGTTTTTTGGATATGTTTTTAAGGGCCATATAAAAATAGATTCAAGGAACAAATTAAATTGAAGTCCTAGATTTAAGTGTTTGGTTTAAAGAATTTTCTACAACAAATTTCATGTTTATGTATGAAAAGTTATATAACCTTATATGAAAATGTCATGAAGTATTTTCTATACTATACTAAATGTGTTCCCCAAGAGAGAAAAAAATAAAATATCTAAAATAGATTAAGATTACAAGACCATCATAGATCTTTTGAACATGCATCTGTTTACAGAATTAACAGTATACAAAATGTTTATTTCATTACGGACCATAAAGAAATGAGTTGGTGTCAACTATCCTTTGAACAATATTATCAACTCACTTTAGCCACAAGCATGTCCTGGGTATGTGTGTAAAAGAAATAGGTTCATTTATCCCTCATCAAATCATCCACAGGTTTACTTGAAAGTAAAGATGAAGGTACATAAATGTGAAATATGTCAAGTGTATTTTTTCTTTCTTTCAAATGACATCCCAAACATAGCCTCAGTAGCCTGAAATTATAAAATACTTAACTGGGCTTTTAGTCTACTACTAAGATTCGTCAATCTGTTGTTGAAACATTCATTCAGCAGTGTCAGTTTTTCTTTTAAAATGGAGAAATTGTAGAAATGACAAATATTGTGGCTCCTCCACCACCTTCACACCCAGGAGAGTTGGTGGAACCAATGGTACCACTTCAGTTGCTGCCACCATTGCAACCTCAGCTGACACAACCACAATTACAAACAGATCCTCTTGGTATTAGATGAGTAGGAAGTGATTGCAAACAGGCTGGATTTGGACAAAAAGCAAATCTAGACATGCATGTTTCAGGGTTCAGTAGTATGCGTCATGTTTCATACAGATAATTCATATTCAAAATTACATTTTCTCTTTGAACTAGATGGTATTCCTTATTCACTTACATTATAAATCTAAGACCATGTGATAAGCATGACTGGAGAGGTTTAATTTTTATAAACAAAAATAGCTATAAAATACAAAGTTGCCGCTGCATGCAACCTTATTGCAATCAGTATATCATTCCTGTGGCAATTTCTGTCACATTAAATTGTGAATAAAATTTTTCTATAGAAATTAAATGATTTAAAAACTCACCTATATGAAACATTTAATGCTTTTCAGCCTGCTTTCTGGCTGATTTTGCTATTCGACGTGCTAATTTGGGCAACCTTGGTCCTAATATTCTTAACATGCAAGTAGAGCAGATCTCTGGCTTGATAAGATTCAAGGTTGAGAAGAGTATAAAAAATGAATTATCCAAGCTGAGAACAAAATACTGGTTGGCACATTAAAACCAATGTGTTAACTACTGGCATTAGGACAGTTTTAACCTACCTTAGCCGTGAGAAGATTGTACGTGGTCTTTTCCTCATAAAAGAACATATGCATTGAGGTTGGTGTGACCCATATCTGAGAAGGAGCATGCTATCCTTTTTTAGTTCTTTCAGGGCTGCATACACCAAGTAACACATCCAACTGTTTGCAGCTGTAATGTGTCCTGATTGGCTGATGCCCATAAAATAACGGTTATTACGTTGTCAAATGTCCTGAAGATTATTCCAGGATTTTAAGAATAAGTAACCCAAACATAGTGGAGGGTATTGCTAAGATGAAATTTTAAAAATTAAACAAATGACAAAGTAATTACAATGAGAACTCTCTAAAATATCTGAAAATCTTGTATCATTTGCACATCTAAGTTTTATTTTTGTTATACTCACTACTTGTTCCTCCACAATAGTATTAGAATTGATAAAATTAAAGAGCTTTCCTATTTCCTTCCTTCTTTTTTTATTCTTTCCTTCCTTCTTTCCTCTTATCTATTTTTTTTAAGTTATCTGAAAGAGAGATCAAGGATGAGCTAGGTGGAAATTTGTTACTCAATATATAATCAAAGAGTAAAACAAACTCCAAAAGTTGGAAGAAAGGCTTAGCTGTACATAGAGAATGAAAAACATAGCTCTGGATTTTTAGAAAGAAAGAATTAGGGTTCAGCCTGAGATATGTGTTTGTGTTGCTCCGAAGTAGACAGTGTGGTATGTCCTTATTTATCTTTCATTCACAAGGAAGGCCTCCCATAATATATACTAATTCTTCTAAATTTCTATCAAGTGATTTTTGAAAATTACTTTATACATTTTATTATTTTTTTCCAACTTTAAAATATCTTCTGAGACCCACACCCCCAAAATACTTAACAATGGAGGGAAGAGTATGGAGGAAACAGTGGTAAATAATACTGTCCCTGGCATATGATGTTTCAACTTAAGATTTTTCAACTTTATGATGGTGTCAATGTGATATACATTCAGTGAAAGTCATACTTTAAATGTTAACTTTCCATCTTTTCCAGGGCTACCAACATGCAGTACAATACTATTGCTGGGCAGCAGCCATGAGCCATAGTTCTGTCAGTTATGTGGTCATGAGGGTAAACAACTGACACCACAGTGACCTGTACTACCAATGTTTTTTCGTTGTGTTGTGTTAAGTTGTGTTTTGTACATTTACCTCCCATCACGTATACAAAATGCCCACGTTGGACTAAAGATATTTTCAATTTACAATGTGTTTATCAAGATCAAGAATCCCATCAGAAGTCAAGGAGAATCTGTGCTCTTTATTTTTTGTATATCCAGAGCCTAAGCTAGAAAGATACTATAATGTTTAATAAACATGCATTGGAATAGCTTGGCAGACATTCCAGATCTTCTTTTTTACTTTAAAAGAAAAAAATATGACCTGTGTTGGTGGATATAGGTAGCATTTTTATAAACTTGCTTTCCTTTGAGAACCATTTGAAATTTGGGAGAAAACAGAATCTGTATAAAAACAATATGTGAGTATTTTTCTGCTTTAAGGCTGAACTCAGGGAACACTGGACAAAACTCATTTTCAAAAGCAGACTGCGTTATAAGCCTAGATTGAATTTAAAGGAGTGAACTGAAGTATGTGGATTTCTTTTTTTTTTCTTACAGATAATGTGGTAGTCGTTTCTGTAAAAAGCAAAACATCAGAAAGAACTAGGTAAGTGATGCACTTGAGTACTCACACTTGCCAATGAATATGGCAGGTCAACATGTCAGCATGCTATGTTAGAAGTGTACTGCTATGAATATTTCCTAATACTTATAGCAAAAGAGCTCAATCTATTTTACTTTAGCTCTAACCCTTACAAGAGCAGACATCGAGAAAATAGAGCACCTTGTCTCATTTTATTAGTTAAAGGAAATGGCTCATTCTACTTTATCCCTATGATTTATTTTTAAATTAGGAATATTGATCCCCTGCCAACATTCATACTTCATTTGGGAATATGTTTTGGTCTCATGTTTGATCAGAGAATAAAGAAATCTTAACATTTAAATAGGTATGGGTACCTGAAAATGAAACAAAACATTAACAAGGAAAACAGCAAAAATATACCAAAATAATTATAATCCTTTCACTGATTGTGTTTTAGTTTCAATATTAATTATAATATATAGTAGACCTATATTTACTATTGATATGTGATGAAATGATTTTACAATATTGATAAGAAAACAAGACGTCTCTAAATTTTATAAATGCTAATATAGTAGTTGAAAACTAATTGAATAGTTTAAAATTAAAAATAAAAAAAACAAACTCAAAAACTATGAAGATACCTCTGTCTAAATATCATCATAAGCTTAGGTTGCTGTTTGGACTTTGGAAGGCTCACCAACAGGCAGTATAATAGTGTGTGTGTGTGTGTGTGTGTGTGTGTGTGTGTGTGTGTTTTCATAAAGGGTTATTTTTATGCTCTATCATTAATTCAACAAATATATATGATTATCTACTTTCTGTGAAGGTATTGTGACATGCTTTAGGCAGTAGAAAAGTTTGGAGTTTAAAAAGGGAGAGATATTGAGTTTTAAAATTATAATTAAAAATGTAGTGTAAGAATTGTGGTATTGGGAATTCAGAGATGGCATAATATGGTGAGGTAATTCAGGCTCTGAATCCAGATCTGGCTTCCAAACTGACTCCATTCCTTGCTATTGTAGTTGGTAAACAATTTATTGTACTTCTCTCAGTTTGCATTTCCATGAAATAGAGATCAAAGCAAATGTATACAGCTAATGTGAGTAGGCCTTCAACGTATGTTGAATGTTTCTTTCAGTTAAGTGGGTGGAAGGCAAAATCAGTAAAAGAGTACAAATATTTTGGCTAATTAAAACAATGTAGAAACACAACATTGAAAACATGTACATAGGCATAAACATTTTTTATCAGTTTTTTAAAAATTTCATACAGGTGCTATCCCATAAAACTAGCTAAATTAAAATTACTTATTTCATAAAATAATACATCTTAAAAAGCAAACAACATTTACTTTGTAAAATCTAAAATTCCTTTAAAAACTTACAGGTTTTATCAGGTTTTACTACAATCATTAGAGTTTTCACAGACACCCTAATTATCATGCTTTCTTTAATAAGATTAACACTGAAAAAAGCTATTATTAGTAGGCCTCATTAATTATCACAAGTGATGTCACTCCTGTGCCTGCTATCTAGATTCAGAAATAGAGAAACTCCTTGCACTCCAGTACTTCTCGTGTCTATTTCTAATCACTTCCTGTTTTCTTGCCCAGAGGTACTACAAATTTAACCTTTAAATGCCTAAATTAATTTTGCTTATTTTTGAATTCTGTATAAAAATCATACAGACACACTCTTTTGCATCTGGTTTCTTTTACTCAACATTTTATTTGAGCAAGTCATCCAAGCTATTGCTTATAGCAATAGTTGGTTCATTTTCATTGGTATATAGTATTCTGTGGTACGATTAATTTACAATGTATTAATCAGTTTTCTTGTTGATGGACATATGTGCTGCTTTAAGTTAGAAAGTATAATAAATAAAGCTGTTATTTAAATTATTGACATGTATTTTGATTAGCACAAGTTCCCATTATTTGAGTATAAATGCTTGTAGACTTATGATGTGGTTATGTCCTGATAAATCCATCACAAGTTGAAAATATTATTAAGTTGAATATGCATTTAATGTACTTAACCTACTTAACATCATAGCCTAGCCTAAATGTCCTCAGAACACTTACATTAGCCAACAGTCAGACAAAGTCAGCTAACTCAAAGCCTATTCTTAATAGAATGTGGACTATCTCATGTAATGTATTGAATACTGTATTGAAAGTGAAAACAGGATGGTTATATAAGTACTCTGTGTAAGGTTTCTACTGAATGCCTATTGCTTTTGCATCATCATAAAGTGGAAAAATCAGATGTTCAACCATCGTAAGTGGGAATCAACTGTATATATCTTGAAGTCGAATTTCTGTATACATGCATTCAACTTAAATCCTTATTGCCAAGATGTTTTTCTTTTCTATAACTTTTAAGTTCAGGGGTACAAATGCAGGTTTATTACCTAGGTAAACTTGTGTCATGCGGGTTTGTTGTATACATTATTTCATCACCCAGGCATCAAGTCTAGTACCCATCAGTTATTTTTTGTGATCCTCTCCCTCCTCATACCCTCCACTCTCCAAAAGGCTCCAGTGTGTGTTGTTCCCCTCTATGTCACCATGTGTTCTTATCATTTAACTCCCACTTATAGGTGAGAACATGCAGTATTTGTGTTTTTTTTTTTGTTCCTGTGTTAGTCTGCTAAAAATAATGGTCTCCAACTCCATCCATGTCCCTGCAAAGAACATGATCTCGTTTTTTTTTTTTTTTTTTTTTGTGTGTGTGTGTGTGTGTGTGTGTGACTGCATAGTATTCCATGGTGTATATGTACCACATTTTCTTCAACTAGTAGATCATTGATAGGCATTTAGGTTGATTCCATGTCTTTGCTATTGTGAATAGCGCTTCAATGAACATATGCATGCGTATGTTTTTATAATAGAAAAATTTATATTCCTTTGGGTATATACCCAGTAACGGAATTATTGGGTTGAATGGTATTTCTCTTTAGGTCTTCATGCTTTTCAAAGAGATTGTACCAAGCTATACTCTCATAAATCAGATATGGAATTCCCTGTTTATTCATATCCTCAAACACTTGATGTTGCCAATCTTTACTAATATTAACTGGCCATTCATTGTGTGTCTCTGTGTGTGTGTGTGTGTGTGTGTGTGTGTGTGTGTGTGTGTGTGTGTGTGTTTTAAACCACTGTATTGAGGTATGATTGACATAAAAAAGATATGAATATTTAATTTAGCAACTTAGTTAGTTTGGAGTATACAAAATAATTATACATCCATGAAAGCCTCACCTCAATCTATGGCATAAGCATATCCATTACCTCTAAAAGTTTCCTCCTACTGTCTGAATATTATGATTATTTACTTGAACTTCCACAATGACTGGACTGTTATAGGTTAAATTATGTTCTACTAAAATTCATATGTTGAAATCCTGACCCCTAGTACCTTAAAATGTGACCTTATTTTAAACAGAGTTATTGTAGATGTTATTAGTTAAATGTAGATGTGGTCATACTACAGTAGAGTGAACCCCTAATCCTATATAGCTGATGTTACAGAAAGAGAAAATTTGGACACAGAGACATAGGGAAAATGCCTTGTGAAGACTGGAGTTATGCTGCCACAAGCGGAGAAATGGCAGATTGCCAAGAAGCCAGCAGAAGCTAGGAAAAAAAAACAGAACAGATTCTCCCACAGAGTGCTTAGAAGAAATTAACTCTGCTGCTTACTTGATTTTGGATATCTAGCCTCTGGATTTAGAAGAAAATGCATTTCTATTGTTGCAGCCACCTAGCTTATAGTACTTTGTTATGGCAATTCTAGGAAACACATATAATAACTAATGTTTAATTTTTATTTGTTTACTAATGTTAGTATTTAGATAGTCTCCTTTATGAAGTCCTTATTCTAAGAGCATTGCCATGAATCATCAGGAGAGGGGAATTTTGAGGTTGATCTGTTCTCCCTAGTTGCTTATGTGATGTAAAATATTCTCAGAAATATTCAAGTAATTGTCCAAAAAATGTGACGGAAGGAATTGCAAAACTGAGGCTGAACTGGCTCTGTGTCTAGTGCTATAGAGAGGACCACCAGAGCTGAGATTGGAAGGGCGTCATCAGAGCACTGGAGCCTAGGGCACTGGGAGAGTTGAACATAGGCTGAGTTGAGAGGAGCCTAGGGCACTGGGAGAGTTGAACATAGGCTGAGTTGAGAGAATGAGGAGGCAGTAAAAGACAGGTTATGAGTTAAACCAGATCAAACGTCAGCCTCAAATGCCAAGAAGAATAGCAGAAACCAGGGCAACAAGTGATACTTCAAGAGATCACAAATGGCAGAAGAGAATCCCAGCTTTTCTTTGCTTTGCTAACATTATATAAAAAGGATCTAAGACAAAGGAGAAGCAAGGATTGGTTTCCCAAGGGACTGAGCATTTTTACCCAAAGCAGACTGAAGGAAGAACACAAACTATTCATTTATATTTTCAAAGTAAGATAAGCATTAAATCAGATTAGACTTTTGTTATTTTTTTTCTGCTAAGCAGAGTATAAGGCTTGGAGAAAGATTGGATGTAGTTGAAATAAAGCAATTGTATTTTCTTTTCTATTCATCAGATTTGAAGGAAAAGGTGTGACCTTCTCAAACGTGTCAAATATCACATAATTTCCATTGTCAGGAAATTGATTATTTCATGACGCACACACAAAAAAGGGATGAATTCCTGATTGATGTCGGTGCTTCTTCCTAAGAACAAAGAAAAAACATTGAGCTTCCCTAAACAGGAATATTCACTGAGGCATTGCTGTGGAATGCTAAAAAAATGAAATTTTCAACCTTTGCAATCCTGAATTTGCACATAATGAGGCCACAGATTAACAATACAATTATATATTTTCTATTATAACTCTCAGTATACTTAGCACCCGTCCCCCAAAAAAACCCGAATGTGTGATGTGGTATTTTTAGCTCTGTGGTCCTGTAATTTTTTTGCATGCATGTAGCATGTTTCTTATTACCAAACATATTCTATGTGGGCTATTTGCTCTTAAGACAAATCTAGTGAATTTTGTACTTGTTTCTACTTTGTAAGAGGAAGGATCACCTTTTCAATTTTGGGGAACAGAGCTTCTTCTTCAAATCATTTGAATGAGCAAGAAAATCTACAAACTCATTTTTTAAGGGCATTTAGCAACGTAGTTGGTTGTCAGCTTAATGTGAGAAAAAACATTTTATGCAGCAGTAAACAAATAGAGGAGTAAATGAGTTAAAGAGAAAACACCATTTACAATGCTATCAGAAAAAAATGTTATCTAGGAATGAATCAAAATGCTAAGCCTTCCACAGGTAAAATTCTAAATTCTATTTATAACATATACAGATATCTTAAATAAAGTGATACGCTATGCTCACACATGGAAATATATAATATCACAGATATGTTAATTGCCATAAAGTTAATCCACATACTCAATGAAATTCCAATTAAAATCTAAACAGGAATTTACACAGAATGTTTTAATTCCTAACATTTAAGTAAAAGATTAAAAAGTCTAAATCTACCAAAATAATTCGGTAGGAGAAAGATCAGGAAGGGATGTTCACTTACAAATGGCACGACTTATGAAGGAATTGAATTTTAGACAATGTGGTATGAACACAGAATGGCCAAATTAATCATTGTAGTAGAAGAGAAAGTCTAAAATCAGAAGCGGCTACTTAAGGAACATGTGACAAAGGCAGCATAATTTATCGAAAAAATAAGCAACTATTGAATAAATAGAGCTCTGAAGTTGATAATTCACATGGTAAAAAACAGCAACAAAAAAGGGACATACTATATACACAGTTCAACTATAAATCATTTAAGAATGTTAATGTCGGAAATAAAACTTTTTAAACTTCAATTTAAAATTTAAGTTCTTACATTCTGGGTTTTGGTATAGAGTGGACTAGGGAGTTGTTATTTTTTTTTTTAATTTTAAGACCCATTTAGCATTGTCCCCCCCAAATTATTAGATTTTACTATATTAAAGGTAAGAACTTTCTTCATCAGAAAGAAACCTTTAAAAAGAGTGAAAGAACAAATTAAAAATGGAGGAAAATACAATCCCCACAACTAACAAAGAAGTATTATCAATAATACTTTAGAATTACTACAAATCAGTAAGGAAAGTAAAAAATACCCAATTGAATAAAGATGGTAAATATGTGTGAATAGACATTTTACTGAAGAAAAACTAAAAGAATAGAATCATTATAAATCAGAAAAAGGTTTATCAATACCACAGTGAGATACTGCTTTACATTCCATTGACAAAAACTATGTGATGTGAGAGGGATGTAGCTCCACAGAATCTCTTCTACATACGAGTATGAATAAATACAAATATTTTCAACAGTTTAGCATTTTCTCATAAAGAAAACATCACATACTTATAAGAAAATAATTTTACTCCTAAATTTATATTCAAGATAAACTTGCTCATATATAATGACATCTCCAAGAGTGATCAAGGAATATTGTTCACAGTAGAAAACAAAAACACTGGAAATGATCCAAATGTTCAAGATGAGGAAAATGCAAATGAGCTGTGGGATATTTACACAATGGAATATCATAAAGTGGTAAAATGAATACACTATGCTAACATGCAGTAATATATATGAATATTTACAAAATACTATTTACTGAAAAAATTTAACTGCAAGACTCTATGAAGCATGAGGGCTTTTAATAAAATAAATATAACTAAAATAAAAAGTATGCTTTCTTGGGAAAGATTTAGATGCACGTAATATCAAGAGGAAAGCATGTGGATGATGAAAACAGGCTTCTGAAAGATAAAATTACATTAAGTCAAACAAAACAAGTCAAAGAGATGGGCAATAGCATGTTTGGATGAAGGTTAAGTTGTTGTCTGATGGATTCACTTTTACTTACGACATAAATAAAAATAAACTAAACATATAGAGGAAATAAAAAGCTGGCCATATTTAGACCAGCAATTAAAGTGGGTCAAGTTTTCTGATTAATCAAATTCAATGCTTATGAGAGAAGGGAAATCCTAAGGAATTGTAATTAACTATTACAGATGGGAAAATGTGCAACACACCTAAACATTGTTTGATATAAAAATGACTGTATAGACTGTCATTTTTATCTATCTATTTGATTTTACTCCAAAGGTTAATTTGGTAGAACTTCAGAAAACATTCTGATTGTACTGTGCTTCATCTATTTTTCATCTCCACTTGTGTACGCTCTGATTTCATTTTTATTTCTTAGCAGAAACACTAAAAGAGGATCTTGGGCACAAGCACTTGCCTCTATAGACTTAGAAGAGACTCCATCCTCTTGAGCAGGTTCCAACCACTACAGTAATGGTTTCTTCTAGTCATAAGCCCTCTAGGCAACATTAAATATCCATCCATATATCCCCCCCGCCATTATCCAGTTAAGTCAAGTATTAATATATAGAAAATGAACAGATGACATAAGAAGCCATAAGGAAAGAGATTGCAAAACATCCTATAAAATATGATCAGAGCTGTATTGTGACAAACTGTTCACATGTTTGTGTTATTCTTTAAAATAAACTCCTGAATGTAGGGATGGTGTCATTTCAAAAATTGAACCAGTCATGCCTCATAAGTTTCTGGTACTCTGTAGAGGTGAAAGTAAAAGAAAGAAAGAGAATAAAAGAGAAAGAAAGAGAGGAAAGAAAGAAAATAAAGGAAGAAAGGAAGGAAGGAAGGAGAGAGAAAGAGAAAGAAAAGAGAGAAAGAGAAGAGAGAATAGAAAGAAACAGAGAAAAGAGAAAAAGAAAGAGAAGGAGAAAGAAAAAACAGAAACAAAGAAAAAATGTTTATTATATAATATATGCTATACCTTATATCATAGATCAGCTAAAAAACTAAGAAAAATGGGCATTTTGATGAAGGGAAAAAATACAATGCTTCTTAGAAGGGACGTGCAAAGGAATGTTTCTGATGAGAAGATATACTTTTACATGCTATGAAATTCAATGTTCTCACAAATATTTGAGAATATAATAGGCTACTATTCCCAAAAAGTAGCCTAGATAATCATTTCTCTCTTTATACTCTTTGTTTATTAAAGCTCCCCTTAATTAACCTGGTTATTGTTCCCATTCCCTTTCAGAATTGCATTCTCTATCACTCAAACACAGTAACTGCCACATTGCCCTAAATAACTCCCAGCTTGGCCACTCTGCATTGGCAGCATTTTTTTCTAACTGATAAGAAATAGGGCTCTTGGAAAAGATAATTTAGTACAGTAGAATATCAGTGGATGGTCACATACACACTGAAGAGGAAAAGAAAGGGGCTAGAATGAATTGGTAAAAGGATACCAAGAAACCCTCAGATAAAACTATAAAACTATTGGAAGGTAGAATGAAAATTGATGAAAGCAACACCACCACCAGCTTCACAACAATCTAATAGTTGATGAGAACTGAAACTGCATAACCCAGGTAATAACTGTACCATTGGCTCATTTATTTCTTTGCAATGGCTTAAAACTCTGGCCTGATTTTTATAAATAAAATTACTATATAAGCATATCTAATTCTTGTGTCCTCTTTATTGATGGCTAATAATGGGTGATTTAAATTATGGTGTTTACCTTAGATATATGGTTAACAATATGAGATAATCCAAAGGTTTGAATCTGAACCAGGTCACATGAGCCTATGCTCTTTGCTCCTGTTCACGCCTTATTTCTAAAATACATCACAAATTTTCTGGTAACATAAAATATATATCAATTATTTCAAATTTTGTTTTAAAAAAGGACATATGTAAAGCAAAAAGCAAAATTAAAAAAATAAGAGTTCAGTTGATGGAACCCTCTTGAAACAAGAATTTAAGAATGCCTGCTCACAGAATAGTAATGCCAAGATAAAACTGGAAAAATAGTTAAGAGAGGCCAGCTCTAAATAATAAATGAATAACACATCGTCAGGACTAGAAGAGTAGATAAGAAACAAAGTACTCTTTAAACACAATTTCTAAAGACATCTATTTCAAACTTACAATCTGAAAGTGTAGAGGAACCCTGGTCTTTGGTAGAAAATTGCCCTGCCAGCCATGTGGAATAGAATAAGTACCCACACCTAAAAAAATTACAGTGACAGGCAGGTAAGGATTTCAATAAAAATGTAAATTATGACCTTAAAATCAACAAGGACTATATTTCTTCCAAATAGGCATCAGAACCTTACTGAAATAATATTAGCAAACAGAGGAAAAGCCAGAATAAAGTTTGAAATAAAGTATAACAAACATACTTGTTTGCAAAATAGCCTAAACCAGGTGACCATAGAGTGGATAAGTGATAATTATGAAATGTTAATAAAATATCGAAAGTGTAGGGAATGAGCTTTGGACAGAGGTTTGGGAGTAATGGACTGAAGTATGTTACAGAGAAGAAAAATTAGTTAAAAGTAATAATTAATATTCAATAAATAATTGAATTATTGTAATGTCTAAAACACATGAGTGTATAAATAAAGTTACATAAAATATAAAATAACACATGCACCAAGCGATTGAAGATCAGGAAAATAACCTTAGCAAAAACAGCAGTATTAGGCAGCATAATGATTTTTTAGTGTTGTCTTTGAATAGGGAACATTTGAAGATTACTGCACGTAGTCCAATTTGAGAAAAACTTCTCTAATGAGGTGATAGATAAATGGGATTAATGCAAAAAGTATAAAATGAAAATTAAAGAAAATAACTTTAAAATAATATAATGCTTAAAACTAAAATAGCCTGTTAAACATTTGACATATTAATTTTACTAGTCAATGAACACAAGAGAATACGCTAGGACATACATATCCACTTTAAGCAAATTAATAATAATACATAATACAAAATACTGTCTATGTGAAATCCTTCTTAAAGGTAGACTGTGTAACTAAACCAGAACTCTTTTCTAAAATCACAAGTATAAAAAACATAAATATCCAAAACATCTCCATGGTTCATTAACTCTGCTAATGTGTCATGTTTTTCACTACACAATCATTTTTAAGGAAGACTAATCACAGATATCAAAAAGTAACACAGCACTCTCCCAGAGAATAAACCATTTCAGAAACTGATAGAATATTTTGTCTCATCTATGTAAGTCTAAAACTTAGAATTGACATTTCTTGCTTGAAATTTATAAATCTACAACTCAGAACAACTCTTTAATTAATATAAAGAAGCTATATCTATAGAAAAAAATGTGAATGGGCAACTGAATTTCATGAATTATCAAGAACAAATATTATGTATGATGACATAATGGGAAGTTAGGATTTGCCTCACAACTTGGTTATGAGAAATTCTATAACCTGTTAGAAGAGATTAACACAAATCATTAATGGTTTCATTTGTTTCATCATTGTTATACCTGATATACATCTTGCCGGCAGAGTGGAGTGACTAATGTGTGATTAAAACAAATACCATTTCCCTTTGCCTGTCTGACAAACTCATTTTCATCCTAAAAGATAACTCAAATATTTCCTCTGCTGTGAAGACTTCTAGGATGCTTTTATGTTTCTTACATTCTCCTTCATCTGTGCTTCAAGAACACTGTACATATATCTCCTAGGACCCATCGCAATACTGGGGTGGGTTGTTTGCATGTTCCTGTTTCTCAAGGGTATCTCTGCATGCAGAAATTGTTGTGAAATGCTTGTGGAATGGACAGAGAGAGAAATAAACGATAGGGTTTTGCAGCGTTATGATCTGACAAATAAGACGTACAGAAGCCAGAAAGGCTCCCTAGCTTGCTGGTTTTGTGATTACGAAGATTCTTAACTTTATGAACAGTAACAGAAAGTGACTTCTCACTATCTATTTATCAAGTGGCTGGTTCCTACTTATATCATTCAAATTATTCACTATCAGTTCAAATGTATTTTGAAATATTGTCATTTGTCACTGCCTTATAACATCCCTTGCATGGTTTTCAACAACCTTATCTTCTTCATTGAATATTTTAAAACTTTTCTTATGCAAGCTTCTTTTCCTACTAAATTTTGATACCCCAGAAAGCATTGGCGAACACTAGAAGAGACCTGTTTGCAACCAGACTGAGGAGCTCAATTGTTTTTACTTTGAACTCAGTAATTGTTGCTTATTATTTATTTAAATAAATTGGCTATATACTTATTCAGAAAATATCAAAGGAAGCTAGAAAGAAGACATTTGTGCAAAAACTGCCAACTTTCTCGAGTAAATCTTTCTATACATAATATAACCACTACATATATAGTGTGTATAAGTATATATAAATGTTCAAAAATATTCAAAAATTGTTAACTTTCTTCTGTTACTTCAAGAAACGTTTACCTTGAATGAAATTGGGTATGAGATAAGGTTTATAGAAAGAAGTGTTTGTTTCTGGTGGGAGTTATTTCATTGCCTTCTTAGAATCATCCTGTGTTAGTGTACCAGAATAAATCTGTGGTAAGAAACAGCTTGTGTATTGAATATCCACTGGATAATTGAGGTTGTCTTTCTCTAGATAATTCTTACTAAATCCTGTGATTTAGATTTATACTTAGAAGCCATTGAGAATTTACTGTGTAGCATGACAAACATTATTCTCTTTAATATTTTTGCTCTATATCAGATTTTGCAGTTAAAAATCATAAACTCTTCTCAGATCCAAACATATAGTTTACCAGAAATTTCAAAACAGAATGGTGGAAGATGCCTTCTAATAATTGCTTCTACATAACAGATTGCTTTTGCCACCTGATCTATTTTAAATGACACAAAACTGAGGTGAACAAGTAGTATTAGACCCAATAAACTGATGAATAGGGTATGTTATTCTCTAAATCCAGAATACAAAAGTTATTATTTGTTAAGACTTTCAAAAAGTTGACAGAGTAAGACATACGCAAAAACATGAAAAAAAGATTGTTTTATTTCATGCCTAGGCACAGAAGCAGAGGATTAGAACAGAGAAGATTCTTGGAAGGAACGTGATACAACCCCTTGATTTATAGATGAGGACATTTAAGACAGTAGAAATTACGAATTTCCCCCAAAGACATCTGGGCATAAAAGAAAAAAATAAAGAGTTTAAAGTCTTGACATTAGTATCATAGTTAAACACATTACAATGCCTGGCTCAGGCATTGGCACTATGTAGACCTCCAAAATACTTTAATTCTCTTTCCTCTTCCCTTTATTTTTTCACCACCATACAAAGTATCATAACACAGGGTTAAGAACATCATTTCACGACCCATTCTTCCTGGGTACATAATCAATATTCTGTCACCTAGTAGCTGGGTAACCTTGGGCAAATTGTAGACCCTCTCTGTGCCTTGGATTCCTCAAGTATAAATAAGGACTACAGCATAACTTGTATCACAGAGTTATTGGGAAAATTAAGTAAATATATGTGAAACTGCTTAGAGTCATGGTATACAGGACATACTGATGAAAGCTACCTGTTAATATTATGATAATAATGATTATAATTTTCTGCTATCTCATTTCTTGGCATTTGTCTACTTACAAAGCATCCAGTGCCACCCCACTTTTTTTGCTCTCTTATTTCTCACACCAATTATTCAGGATATTCATTAGTCTCCTGTTATCCAAACTGACTAGCCATATAGTCTAAGCTGTCAAACTGTAATAAAAAACTGAAGATATTCCGACAAATTAGTTCATCTAATATTTATAGTGCTGATGGTTTAATATATCACACTTGTCAAATACAGGTTTCATTTTAAGTGTAATTTTTTTCAATTATTGATATTTAAATAGTGAGAGAAATATATAGAGGAATATAAGACTGTGTGGAATCAATAGGGTCTGTGTTTTGGAGTTTGTTAGGGTCTTATCTGGGTGGCTAGCTGGTTTTTCCATCTGCAGGTAAAACCAACCATTACAAGTAGACAGTAAATAATTTTAGCTAAAGATTCTGATAATTACTTCTACATATGGCCAAATTTGAGAAATATCAAAATAATAGAAATTCTATTCAATGTGATCAATGAAGATATTTATAAATTAAAAATAATGTATGAACTGGAGCAAAAAATTGACCCAAAAGTATGTATACTTGGTATGTATTTTGTATGTGTGTGTGTAGTCAAACATGTATACACACTTATATTCATATATAGTCAAACACAGAAGAGACATTTTCTTTCATCTAACACACAAAAGTGAAAATATTAGAGCTAATGGTAATTTATCCTGGAGACTTCACTTTAAAACAAATCAATTGTCCTAGGTACAATAATATGAACATTTATAATGTTTATGTTTTAATAGATTTTTATTGATATTGCTTTTCCATAAGCATTCTCTTATTTTCTCTAAAAGCTTCAGGGAAACAACCGTGTTATAAAATAATAAAAATGTAGGCCAAATTTATGATAACTTTGTAGTCATTTTGATTTTCTGTGTATATCCCGTTAAAAACATTTTCTTCATCTCCAAATAGAAAACAGCAAAATAAATCAAAGTCTTTACTGGTTTTTACCCACTGTAGACTTACCAGCTATGACCAACATTGTTTCTGCATGCAGACTACTAACATCAAGAGTAAAACGCTCTCTGAAATATTGTTAAACTTTAAAAATCACACATAACATCTTAAGGGATAAATTCCAAGTCATATTAAAGTTACTGAGCTGAGAGTTTCTATTAACATTTATAACCTACCTGTATGCATTAACAAATCTTTAAAAGAAGACTTTTTGGCTGGGCACAGTGGCTCACGCCTGTAATCCCAGCACTTTGGGAGGCCGAGGCAGGCAGATCACAAGGTCAAGAGATAGAGACCATCATGGGCAACATGGTGACACCCCGTCTCTACCAAAAATCCAAAAATTAGCTGGGCATGGTGGCATGTGCCTGTCGTCCCAGCTACTCAGGAGGCTGAGGCAGGAGAATCACTTGAACCTGGGAGGCAGAGGTTGCAGTGAGCTGAGATCACACCATTGCACTCCAGCCTGGGCAACAAAGTGAGACTCCATCTCCAAAAAAAAAAAAAAAAAAAAAAAAGAATGCATTATTTAGGGTAGGAAAACAGAGATACTTTATTGCCTAAGGAATATTATAAAGTCTGAATAACTAAAGAAAATAATGGCAGTGTCTACTGAAAATAATGGCAGTGTCTACGATCTGGAAGAAAGGGAACTTTACATAATGGACATTCACTATTTCCAGTTCACTGACAAAATAATTACTATCTTGAATGAGGTGCTGTTTACATTTCGAGTGATAAAACTTCCACATTTCCAGACACAGTTTTCACCAGACTTAGAACTTAATTATATCTGACTTCAATGATCTGATATGACAGTCATGAAAAGGTTGGTATTCCTGCCTGTATGAGAGTTACATTTCTCATTTTAAATTCTAAAGTGGCATTTGCTTTTCTTCATAATTCTTGAGAACTTGGTTAATGTATCTGGTCCTCTTAGAAAATTCTGTTCTCAGTTTGCTGATATACATGTGTTTTGAACCAGAAATAAAACTAAGGCACATTTACCAAAGTGATACCTTAGTGTGAATCTTGTGAGACAGTCAGCTGTTATTTCCCAGGAGACCCAAGATAGCTCCATTGACTGCTTTTTAAAAATATTTATTTTGTAATACTGCATTGCATAATGATTATGTATAATGAGCATCACATACTGAAGTACGAAGGCTAGATGCAAAAAGTCAATGATAACAATAATAGTAATAATACACTTTACCATTTATTAATAAGGCCTTGACCAGGATTATCTCATTTAATAATCATAACAGTCCTATGAGAAGAGTATTAGTATTATTATCTTCATTATTTTGATGGGAACATTGAAAGAAGTGTATACCAATTTGGCCAAAGCCAAACAGCTAAATGGAAGAGGTCAGATTTGAAACCAAGCAGTCTGGCTAGAAAGCTGTGCCCTGAGCCACCATGCTAGACTTATTTGGTTTGCTAAGAAGGAAGAATCATTTAAAGTCCTGACTTATTCATTTTATTTAACACTTGGCACAGTACCTTGTCTCTGGAAGTTTGATAAAGGATTGAGTTGAAAAGCACTCAACATCATTAGGACTATGAACTCTGCACTGGGCTAGCTCACTGAACAAACAACATTGTAATAAAAAATAAGGTCTAGTATGCCTTTCAAAATTAAATTTAAGATTCTAAATCCTGGGTGTCTAATAAGCATTTTCTAACAGGTGTGATATCTTTCCATTCTGCCTATTGAAAATGAGTAATTATATTTGCATAAAACTAGCTTTTAAAAATAATTTTCAATGGTCACAATACTTCTTTTGTTGTGGTTGTTGTTTTTGAGATAGGGTCTCACTGTGTGACCCAGATTGGAGTGCAGTGGTGTGATCACGGCTCACTGCAGCCTTGACCTCATGGGCTCAAGTGATCCTCCCAGCTCAGCCTCCTAAGTAGCTGGGACTACAGAGGCACACTACCAACACCTGGCAAATTTTCAAAACTTTCTGAAGAAACAAGGTTCCCACGGCTGATCTCGAACTCCTAGCCTCAAACAATTCTCCTGCCTCAGTCTGCCAAAATGCTGGGATTATAGGCATGAACTACTGCACCTGGCCTGCTTTAAACACTTCAAAACCCCATTAATGTGACTCTGTATTTTTTATTTTGTCTCTTAAAAATTCAATAGACCTGTTTTAAGATAATCTGGATACACACACTTTACCACCGCCCCATAACCAAAAGAAAAAAATGTAAACATTCATTTATTAATAGATGATATGTTATTTTCTTAAACCAAAAAATGACTGTGTCTGACAATCCTACTAGGTAATTATTTCATAAAACTATTTAAAATTTAATTATTTCCAGTAAATTCTTTCTAAAATTGAATATTAATATTTAACATTAATGTTGTTATTGTTATTGCAGTGTGTATTTTGCATACAATTTATCTGCTAGGTGCAACAAGGATTAGCAGTTTGACAGGCATTCCATGTGAGCTTAAGCTAAGGTAGAGATATAGCTATAATAAACTTAAATTTTTTCCCTATTGAAAATACTCCTGACTATGCTGTATAAAATAGGATTTTATAGCTTTTACCAAAAATTCAACTATGCATTGAAGCAGATTTGAAACCCTATCTAATGGGAATACTGACCCTATCCTTTCCACCTTTTCATGGAGCTGACATGGTCTTCAATTCAGCACAAGCTTTACTTGGCCTCCAAGTGATCATTCACCTCAACTTCAGTCAGAAGACTGTTGAAGCATGTAGATATATGTTCAACAGAAGAGCTGCTCTCCAGTCACTAGCCACCGCATCTTATTCAAGGCTCAGTTGAGGAAAACCATATTGTAAAGTGGGTGGTGTAGAATATTTCCTCTCTTTCTTATTCAGATTAGCATAAGTTCAAGGATGGTATTTTCTCAGCCACTTGAAGCGTTACTTTTACTAATTTCACTTTGATGTTTTGTCACTAGCCCACGCTAAAGGTCAGAGTAAGAAAAGGTCTTATGAAATTAATACTTAAATATACACATGGATGTTGTTCTTAATTCTATTTCAACACATTTTGCTTAAGAAAACTGCTAAACTATGTCCATTCACAGAAAAACAAATAAATTTTTTTGAGCAGTCACTTTATATCACACAGACACTATGGACCCTATCCTTGGAAAGGTTTCTCCTTTTCTGATTTCCTATGTGAATATGAGAACCTAATTTTTGGCTCACCTATCAAAGGGCATGTATGGTGATTATGGCATGATTTTAAGTATTACTCTGGATATCATTTTACACAGTTATCAATTTTTAAATGCTTAACTTTATGCTATCTTGTAGGTTATTTACCTTTTTAAAGTGACATTTTCCTTGAATATATGCATAGACTATAAAGTTAAGTGCCTTAATGATCTTATTTGCAATCCACCAAAGGATTTAAGCAAAAGGTGCTCATTAATCTAAACTCCCTAACCTCATCCTCTGCAATAGCAGCGTATTTTTCTCTAAGGTATCTAGACAGATTTTCCATGATGCTTTCTGGAATTACTACTCTAAGGTGAAAAGATTCATGATGAGAGGTAGAGCTTTACTCTTATTTGGTACATGTTAATTCTGACAGAGAAGTCTACAGAAGGAAGAATAGTCTATCATTTACAGTCCAAAAGACATTTTTGGAGACATCTATGTATGCGAAGCACATAATGCCCAAGTTAAAAACTACATATACTGCAAACAAATTTGAAATATAAGCAAATTTTTTCATGGCATGGCTACCAGTACTCACTGGTGCTGACACACAGGCTTGATGAAATCATGGCAGCACATTCTGACCCCCTTTGCTTTTGCAATTACACATTTTCTCCTTATAGCATTATTAGGATAGTAATGCCAACTTCAAAACTAGTTATTATTAAAAAAAATCAAAGATTTGAAATTTATCTGCCATTTTAAAATTCATAGTCAAAGAAGTGAAGAGTGGGTCACAAGAAGAAATATCTACAGAAGCCAACAGGGTGATGAAATAAGCAAACTTGGCGAGTTTGGTTGTGGTTAAATGGAAAGGGTGCAGACACTATTTCTCTTAGGACGATTGATGTCATCTGGAAATAAGAACCCTAACAGCCTGATTACCATGCCAGAAATATATGAATTTTTTAAAAAGTCAAATAATTTTAAAAGTATTTTAAAAATTAAAATGCTATGCAGGCCAAAGAAAACAGCCTGCCAGTCCGGGAATTTTAGCTAAAAATGTATATAAATACCTCAAAAGACAGCTTGTATTTTTAAAAATGAAACCTGGAACATTTTAAAAATAGTTCTTGGGTTTAAATTGTACATCAAATCATGAGGAGCTTAAAATATTTACATTTGTGTGGCCATACATATATTCAATAAATCATTAGGTTATATAAATATATGCAATTTTGGAGAAAAAACTAAAAATTAAGTACTTCAGCTAACAATGAAGAAATTATTTGATAATTGTGATGAGTTTATATTAGAAAGCATTTAACCTAATTTGGTACATATTAAAGAGTAGATCACAAATATCAGATGATGATTAAAATAAATATCTGGATTGAATTTTGTATCATCAGTTAGTAAAAACAGATAAATAATTTATTGGGATCAAGTGGTGTTATTTGTTGCATCATTTTGGGGCATATTAAATTCCACATAACTAGTAAATCTCTCTCAAAACAACCAGATAAGTATTTCTAGACTACACTGTAAAATTTTTATTTTGTCTGAAATAAAATATTTTAATCATCTCATCCCCCAATCCAGAACCTGCTGTATTCCATGTAATATTAGACAAATCAACTAATATTTAGATGTTATGTATTGAAAAATGTGAATGTTGTGAGAATGGATCTCTATCATTGCTGCTTAATTCATTCGCATTTTTAACCCCACATTGTTTTAAGAATGATTCTTGAAAAAATATAAACAATATATCTTGAAAAGCTTCTGCACAGCAAAAGAAATTATCAAGAGTGAAGAGACAACCTTCAGAACAAGAGAAAATATTTACAAACTATGTTTCCAACAGTAGACTGATATCCAGCATTTACAAGGAACTCAACAACAACAATGAAAATAAATAATGTCATTAAAAAGTGGGCAAAGGACATGAATAGACATTTTTCAAAAAGGGACATACAAATGGCCAACAAGCATATGAAAAAAATTGCTGAACATCACTAATCACCAGGGAAATGCAAATTAAAAACACAAGATGAGATATCATCTTACACCAGCTAGAATGGTTATTATTAAAATGTCAAAAAATAACAGATATTGGTGAGGATGTGGAGAAAAGGGAACTATTATACACTGTCGATAGGACTGTAAATTAGTACAACCTCTGTGAAAAACAGAAAGGCTATTTCTCAAAGAACTAAACATAGAACTACTGTTTAATCCAGAGATCCCACTACTGGTTATCTACCATCCATAAAATAAATCATTATATAAAAAGATACCTGTACTCATGTTTATTTCAGCAATATTCACAATAGCAAAGATATAGACTCAACCTAACTGTCCATCAATGAATGCATGGATAAAGAAAATGTGGTTTATATAAACAATGAAATACTATTTCAGCCATTAAAAAAGGATGAAATCATATCTTCTGAAACCACATGGACAGAACTGGAGGATGTTATCTTAAGTGAAGCAACTCAGAAACAGAAAAATAAATACCACATGTTCTCATTTTTTGAGTGGGAACCAAATAAAGTGTAAACAGAAACATAGAATGCAGAATAAAAACGACATTGGAGATTCAGAAATGTTGGAGGATCTGGGGCTGCAGGATGAGAAGTTACTTACTGGATACAGTGTACATTATTTGGTGGATGGTGACACTAAAAGCCCAGACTTCACCTCTACACAATATATCCATGTACAAAACAGCACTTGTACTTCTTCAATTTATACAAATAAAAATATATACTTAAATGAGTAAGGGAAAAGTGATTTAAAGTGACAAAAATGTTTAGAAAACAATGTGAATTTATGTATGTACAGACTCTCACACATACAAACACACACAAACACACACACACACGAATGCGTGAAAACATTTGGCAATATAAGATCCAGGTAGCAAATGATCCACACATAAAATAATCCCATGCCTTTAACTCCTTTTTTTTTCTTTTTAAGCCAACGCTTGGTTAAATATTTAGCTTTAAACTTTTTAAACTTTCTAATGACCAAATGAAATGGTGAGATATGATTAATTATAGAAATGTCTATAAAGAAAAAATCAGTGTCTTCATTTTATTGTTTATACTAATAGGAGAGACAGCTCCGCTGCAACTCTTCAAAGAATTAACACAGTGTAATATTTATCCCTTATCATAAATATAAGAATGGAATATGTGATTAAGTTTAAAATCAGTGTTGGAATGTTTAGGAAAAATCTTGTTTTACATCTATAAGTTTTTGATGCAATAATTGCATAATGTACTGACAGAATTTTTTTTGTTTAAAGATCAAGAAATTGATATTAAATAACAAATAATAATAAAAGTGTATCGAAACATGTTAAAGCCTTTAGAAAACTGTCACTAATTTTCATAAAAGGAGCATCATTTCAGTCCCTGCTTTAGGGCTCTTTGGTTTTATGAAATATTTAATTTTACAATGCCATTGGAAAAAGAGAAATAAAAGTGTTGTCACTGTAACAAGTTAATAAAGTTTACCTATTATGACATCTTTCTGTCAACTCCTACATCACTAATGTTCACTATGTTATCCTAAACCCCATAATGTCTCCCCTCTTCCTTAAAATGGGTAATGTATTTAAAACATTTCAGACCCTACCCTTGAAAAGAAAAACAGAATTATTATTTACAATTTAATTCCATTTTGGGCTCAGAAAAAAAACCATGTACTTAACCTGAGTTCAAATATAAACAGCAAACAAAAGAAACATGAAATACCACTCTAATAGGATGACCACTAACATGATCTCAATGATAGCTAACATTTTCTGGACTCATGCCCTCTTCCTATTATTCTTCCTATTATTTGCGAATGATGATAGGCTTTTAGAGGAATCTTGTGAGGCGCATAATATTGTTGTCATTATTTTACCCTAAAGGATGCTTAAATGCAGAACATTTAGATAGCTTATTCGTGTACGTACAGCTAAAAATATGAAAAGATAATTAAACAGGCCACATTACACCAGAGTAAATGTTTGGAACCAATTCTTGAGCTGCTAGCTTATTAAGAAAAATGCTACAGAAGATATAAGAATGCATGCCAGAATCTTTTGCTTTGATATAACAATGATTTTGATAAGATACTATTTAGATATATTCCTATGAAAATAACATAATTATCATAACATGGCAAATTTGAAAACACAGTATAGACATAAATATAGTAAAAGAGGTGTAATTATGTAATATAACATAAAGTTTAATGCCTAAACTATGTTACTACTTTTACACTATATTTGTTAGTGTGTGTGCTCTCTCTTAACAGGTAAACTGGCCTTCATTTGCTATCTTATTGTTAAGGTTTGGATTTGTGTCCTTGCCCAAATCTCACGTTGAATTTCAATCCCCGGAGTTGGAGGTGAGGCCTAGTGGGAGGTGATTGGGTCATGGCAGCAGATTTCCTCTCTTGATGCTGTTCTCCTGAGAGTTCTTATGAGATCTGGTTGTTTACAAGTATATGGCACCTTCCCGTTCACTCTCTCTCTCTTCCTCCTGCTCCAGCCATGTAAGACGTACTTGTTACCCTTTGGCCTGCTGTCATAATTGAAAGTTTCCTGAGGCTTCCCCAGTAATGCTTCTAGTACAGCCTGCAGAACCATAAGCCAATTAAACCTCTCTTCTTTATAAATTACCCGATCTCAGGGATTTCTTTATAGCAATGCGAGAATTGACTAACACAGAAAATTGGTACCTAGGAGTGGAGAATTCCTATAAAGATACCTGAAAATGTGGAAGCGGCTTTGGAACTGGGTAATGGGCAGATATTAAAACAGTTTGGAGAGCTCAGAAGACGACAGGAAGATGAGGGAAAGTTTGGAACTTCTAAGAGACTTGTTGACTGGTTGTGACCAAAATGCTGATAGTGATATGGAAAATGAAGTCCAGACTGAGGTGGTTTAGACGGAAATGAGAAAGTTATTGGGAACTGGAGTAAAGTTCACTCTTGCTGTGCTTTGGCAAAGAGATTGGTGGCACTGTGCCCTTTCTCTAGGGATCTGTGGAATTTTAAACTTAAGGGAGATGATTTAGGGTATCTGGTGGAAGAAATTTCTAAGCAGCAAAGCATTTAAGAAGCAGCCTGTCTGCTTCTAAAAGCCTTTCTCATATGCATGAACAAATGACTTGAACCTGGGATTTATATTTAAAAGGGAAGCAGAGTGTAAGAGCTAGGAGGATTTGCAGCCTGGCTATACAGTATAAAACAAAAGCACATTTTCTCAGGAGGAATTCAAACCAGCTTCAGAAATTTGCATAACTGAAAGGAAGGCAAGTATTAATAGCCAAGAAAATGGGAAAAGGCCTCAAAGGCATTTTAGAGACCTTTGCTACAGCCCCTTCCATCACAGGGCTGGAGGCCTAAAATGGAAGAATGGTTTCATGGGCCAGGCCCCTGCACAGCCTGGGGAAACTGCTCCCTGAATCCTGGCAGCACCAGCTTCAGCAGTGGCTAAAGGGAACCACATACTCAGGCTGCTGCTTCAGAGGGTGCAAGCCATAAGCCTTGGCAGCTTCCACATGGTGTTAAGCCTGCAGTTGTGCAGAGTGAAAGTTTTGAGGCTTGGGAGCCTCTGCCTAGATTTCAGAAGATGTATGGAAAAGCCTCAATGTCTAGGCAGAAGCCTGCTGCAGAGGCAGAGCCCTTATGGAGAACCTCTACTAGTGCAGTGTGGAGGGTAAAGGTGGAGTTGGAGCTGCAACACAGATTCCCTATTACAGCACTGCCTAGTGGAGCTGTAAGAAGAGGACCACTGTCCTCTGGAACCCAGAATAATAGATACACTGGCAGCTTGTACAGTGCACCTAGAAAAGCCACAGGCACTTAATGCCAGTCCTTGAGAATAGCCCTGGGGTATGAGCTCTGCAGAGCCCCAAGGGCAGAGCTACCCAAGGCCTAGTGAGCTTACCCCTTCCATCAGTGTGCCCTGGATGTGAGACATGAAGTCAAAGGACATGATTGTGAAGCTTTAAGTTTTAATGACTTCTCTGCTGGATTTTGGCCTTGCATGGGGCCTGTAGCCCCTTTCTTTTGGCTGATTCCTCCCTTTTGGAACATGAGTATTTATCCAATGCCTGTACCCCATCATATCTTGGAAATAACTAACTTGTTTTTTATTTTACAGGCTCATAGGCTGAAGGGACTTGCCTTGTCTCAGATGAGACTCTGGATTATGGACTTCTGAGTATTAACTGAAATGAGTTAAGACTTTGGGGGACTGTTGAGAAGGGATGATTGTATTTTGCTATGTGAGAAGTTCATAGATTGGTCAGGGGCCAGGGATGGAATGCCATGGTTTGGATTTGTGTCCCTGCCCAAATCTCACGTGGAGTTGTAATCCCCAGTGTTGGAGGTGGGGCTTGGTGGGAGGTAATTGGATCATGGCTGCAGATTTCCCTCTTTGGTGCTATTCTCCTGATAGAGAGATCTGGTTGTTAAACAGTATGTGGCACCTCCCTGCCACTTCCTCCTGCTCTGGCCATATTAAGATCTTCCTATTTTCTTCTTGCCTTCTGCCATGATTGAAAGTTTCCTGAGGCCTCCTCAGCCATGCTTCCTGTACAGCCTGTGGAACTGTGAGCCAATTAAACCTCCTTTCTTTATAAGTTACCTTGCCTCAGGCATTTATTTATAGCAATGTGAGAATGAGCTGATACACTTATAAAACAACTGGGTTTAAAGAAGAAATGCTTTTTAGAGCCAGAGAACTTGCTTCTCTTCTTACCCTGAGTACCTCACCATTCAAATCCTAAAATTGAGATATAAAACTCTAAATGTAAAATTATTCAAAATACTTATTTTAAAACTTTTGCTTCAAAGTTGTATTACAGATGAATGCAGACAACACATTCATCTGTGTTTTCTGTGTAATATTTGGAGTAAATATATTTTAAAAATAACCAAAATTAGTGTTCATGCAACTTCAGACATAATGAATTAAAATTACTTAGGCTCCCAAAGTCGAAGGTGAAAGGAATCTGGCCTTAAATCCAGAACTCACTACATTTTATATATGAGAAATGTTGGTTAGTGGCCACAACTTCCATGGTATCTAAATAGGAAAAAAAATTGTTTCTTATATCTTGCCTTAAATAATTATAGGGTTGAAAGGGATTAACAATATTCAATTTTGAATAATGCTATTGTTAATCTACAAGTTATCAGGACCTCTGTTACCAGGAGGTTAGAAAAGGAGCTGGCCACAAGACTGTCTTTCAGCTGTTGGGACAGAGCACTATCAGTTAATTGAACTCTGGGAAAACAACGCATTTTCCTTGTTCCTGAATGTGATTACCCCAAAACTAGCTGAAGTGAAAAAGAACAATTAGAATGAAAACAGAGAAGCTGGCCCAAGTGTGTGTTTGACAAGAATGAATGTAGGAAGGCCAAATCTAGGATGAAATAAAAAATGCTGAAATAATTAGCTTCATGGGCTCTTAGCATGCCCCAAGGAAAAATAAGCCCCAATTTTCCCAATCTTTTAAATGGAAAGTCCAGTGATACCTTCTGAAACTATAACATGGGCTATGGATAGAACCACAGAAAGCTTAAGGTATGGTGTCTCCTTTACAGAATGCAGGTGCTAACTGGATATGTAAAATTACAATCTCTACTAATGCAAACTATTAATTAAGGTAAAGTTCTTGAAAATTACAGTACAGTCCCACTACCAACCTCACCCTCCCAAATCCAGGGTATTGACATAGTAAAAACCAACGAGTATATTCGGATATTGGAAAGTCATACACTTTCTATGGGGATTTTACTAGACATTATTGGCCAAGTAATCTAGAAAAAAATGCCCTTGTGTTGGGAACAAGGACACACATGTTTAACCTATTAAAATACTGTGAATAATTTTACTGAAAATACTTATAAATGTCTAAACATGCATATGTTATATAGAAACAAACCTCCAAAGATTAGCTAAAAATACCAAAACATCCCTTGTAAAGCTATTAATTAATCACCATTGATAATGCAAATAAAAACTTATCCCTAAAACATGTTATTTAAAATGCTGTAGTGTCTATTGTGATATGGTTCTTGTGGAATTTAGATCAGGAGTCAACAGACATCTGTAAGCAGCTAGATTGTAAATATTTTTGCTTTTGTAGACCAGGGGTTCCCAACCCAGTCTTTGGCCTGTTAGCAACCAAGCCGCACAGCAGGAGGTGAGCAGTGGGTGAGCGAGCATTACAACCTGAGCTCTGCCTCCTGTCAGATCAGTGGCAGCATTAGATTCTCATAGGAGCACAAGCCCTATTGTGAACTGTGCATGTGGTGGATCTATGTTGTATGCTCCTTATGAGAATGTAATGCCTGATGATCTGAGGTGGAACAGTTTCATCCTGAAATCATCCTATTGTTCCCCTTCTACCCTGTCCACGGAAAAATTGTCTTCCATGAAACCAGTCCCTGGTGTCAAAAAGGCTGGGGACCACTTTTGTAGACCATACATTCTCTGTCACAACTACTTCACTCTGTCATTCTAGTGCAAGAGCAGCCATAGACAATAAGTAACAACTGAATGTACCTGTATTCCAATAAAATGTTGTTTATAAAAGCTGGTAGTAGGACAGATTTGGCCCATGGGCTGTACTTTGCCAACACTTATCTAGATCAAGTTGTAAAAATAAACATCCATGAAAATCATTCTTCAGTATGGTGGACTTCTAGGGTTTTAAAATTCTAAAATTCCTTTTGTCTGAATGTTGTTATATTCACTGGTATCTTTAATTTTCTTTTCAATTTTTGGATAACACATTACATAGATAATTACTACAATTACTTAAAATCCATCAAAATTGGAATTTGACTCTAAAGCTAACTGTCTTGAGTAATAAATACCACACTTTTACCAATGAAAAAAAATTGAATGGGTGTTCCAGGCAGTACTTCAAATGTTCACATTCATGTTTTAGGAGACAAGTATCTGTGTATCTCTCACATTTCTGCTCATCTTGCTATCAGAAGCACTGGCAGCTTCCGTTCGTTCTACATTTTTAAAGATGTTGCTATAGTGAACAGCTTCAGAAGATATAGTGTCTCCATCTGGCTCAGAGTGTGTGCCTGTGTGCTGTCCAGTATTACAAAGATAATCTTCCTTTATGAGGTAAAGGATGGGCAGGTTTGCTTACAGCCCATTATAAAATATTCAGGCTCCCTAAGCTCAAGGTTCCTCAGCTTTGACAGAAAAGAATCTCACCCTATGGATCTTGGGGGTTAAGAGGAATCTATGCAAACATAAATCTTATACTTCTTGCTGGGCCATGAATAATAAAGTTATTTGTCTCTGATCCAGGACTCTCATGTATTCTGCCAGCATCTATTTGAAACTATGGCAGGCTAATTTGTTAGCTTACATATAGGATAAAATCTCACACCTTCTACAGTTCTTGATAAATTGAATTGTTCTTTTCATCACCCTTATTTATTTTGGTGTAAATGCAATCTAAACTATTAAGTGCTCTATTTTTTGTATTTTCTCTAATTCTTTTGTAGAAGATTTAATTTTTTTTAATTAAGTGCTACAGTGTAGTTATAACATAAAATGTTCTCATATTTGGATTAAAGTTAAAGCAAAGAATATTTCTCAAAATAAAATATGTTCTCAGGTTTCTTTAGGTAAAGAATAGGCCTACTTTTTTTTTTCTTTTTTTTTTCCAGTGAAGTTCGTTTTCTTAAAACCAAAATGACTTTCCAAATATACTTATTTTGAGATGCAGCAAGTTTATAGGATCTTTCCTGAAATGAAAAATTTAAAGAAGGGCAAAAGTCAAGACCTTTTAAAACCGGATACTCTGTGACAAACACCAAACACCAGA
Organism: Homo sapiens; assembly: GCF_000001405.40. Classification (NCBI taxonomy): domain Eukaryota; kingdom Metazoa; phylum Chordata; class Mammalia; order Primates; family Hominidae; genus Homo; species Homo sapiens. The sequence goes on along the minus strand of NC_000005.10, from coordinate 121,167,168 downwards.
AGGTAGCTTGTCTCTTCAGATTATTCCCATATACCTTTTTTGTTGTTGTTGTTGTTTTTTGCACACTCTGTCTTAAATTAACAAAGGAACACTGATAAGTTAGGGTAAAAAATGCTCACTGTAACAAAATATATGCACACTTCTTTGGATTTTGTCTTGTGTACCTCTGTTAGGCTCAGAATGTAGGTGAAGCAGTTCTTACAGCCAGTGGTGTGCAAGAGCTGCTTTCTATCAGCTTGTGAGCCAGTGGTTCAATGTTCAGGAATTTTGTAAACAGGTTAAAAAACTATCATTAGTTTGAAATCATCAATAATGGATATATACACCACCTAAGTCAGCAAACATTACAAATTATCAACCAGAAGTTTTACTTGTTTTCTGAAGAGCTGATTGTCAGGACATAACTTATGCCATTATTTAATGACAAGTCCTATCCCTTGCATCCTTTCCTAAACTTACAAATGGATTTTGTATAACATCTCGAGATAAATGGATACAAATGTTTTGCATCAAATGTATGTTTAACTTATATGTTAATTAAATGCTTTTCTTGCATAAGAGTTTATTATGTAAGTTACTAAAAACAAAAACCCAAAACAACAAAAAAGGAATTATTTAATTCCTTGCTTAAATACCATGTCTCTACTTCCATATCATTCATATATATGTATATTTTTATATATAAAACAAATTTATGCATTTTAATCATCTCTCAATTCTGGAAGAAGTTAAAAGGAGAAATGAGATGATAAAGAACATAGTGACAAAAAACTGTAAGTACACAAATTTAAAATGCCCTGAAAAAAATAACTTTTGCCCTCAAAAGTATAAGAACCATACCAAAGGGAAAAACTGTATTATATTCTTACAAAATAATCAGAGACAGCTTTAGAAATTACTTGCCTTTCCTCCAGACCTTTAACAAATCACAAGTACATGTTCCAGTAATAAAATAGCTTTATATCGTCAAGATCATTTGCATTGCCTTTGATTTATCATTTATAACTCCAGTCGCTTTCCCTGAAGATCCTACACAATAATATCCTCTTATACAATATGATCTACTTTGTCCTGACCCAGGAATACATATTAAAACCTCTTGACCTTTGCTGAATCAGACCATACCAGATTTTCTTAGAAATTATTCTGATAGTTGCAATCAGAACGTTGGACACATGCCTCCAACTACATAGTATTTTCCACACAAAGAAACAAACAAGCATGGCATCACCTAATTTGGACATCAGAAATAAAATATTAACATCACATATCAAAGGGCACACATACCTAAACTCCTTATCACCACCAGATAAAATGGGAAAAGGAAAGCAACTAATTCCGATTATAATCACACCTATATATTTTGGAAAGGCAGGTGTTAAAAGCTGTACTCTGGCCTGTGCTATTGTTAATGATTGTATACTTCTAGACTGAACTAGTCTTAGAGATTTAATTATTTGTTGGCAAATAAATGATGAATTTACAGTAAATGCTTCAAAAATTCTTCGGTGGCATAGGCCAAATATTTGCTGTGTATGAGGTATGTAAGAACTGTGCTTCTCAAACTGATATACATACATATCACCTGAACAAGTTTTATTCGTCTATTTTATTCAACCACTGAGGTATGGTTTGACATATTTAATGTACATATTTAATGCATACATCTTGATGAGTTTGCATCTGTGAAGCTATCACCACCATCAAAGCCATAAACACATCTCACCTCCCAAAGTTTTCTTCCTTCCTCTTTATCATTTATTATTGGTATTATTTAAAGTTATACTATTTCAGATTCTGATTTAGTAGGTTTGGGGTGGGAACTGAAATTCTGCATTTTTAACAGGCTCCCAGGTGACGGCAATGCTGGTAGTCTTTGGAGTAGCAAGGGATTAATCTTGCTGATAAATTGTAATCATTCTTAATCATATTTTGCTGTGTATGGCTTCGAGAACTAAAATATTTAACACCTGCCCTAGAAGTCGCCTCAGATGCTTCATTATGGAGTATTACCTTGAATTTTATCAGTCCTGCTTGCTTTTTCCATAAATGTATGGCCATTTGGCCCAGAGTGAGCCAGAACAAGTATGCTTACCTTAACATAAGATCTCCAAACTCCCACTAGTGTTATCCTACTCAGCCTCTCATTAGAAGGTGTCTTCTGCTTTACATTATGAAAAGATCGGGCTCCCTAAAACCTTATCAGGATGACCAGTGTATTAGTCCGCTTTCACGCTGCTGATAAAGACCCGAGACTGAGAAGAAAAAGAGGTTTCACTGGACTTACAGTTCCACATGGCTGAGGAGGCCTCACATTCACGGCAGGAGGTGAAATGCACTTCTCACATGGTGGCAGCAAGAGAAAAAATGAGGAAGAAGCAAAAGCGGAAAGCCCTGATAAGCCCCCGATGTTGTGAAACTTATTCACCAACACGAGAATAGCACAGGAAAGACTGGCCCCCGTGATTAAATTACCTACCCCCTGGGTCCCTCCCACAACACGTGGGAATTCTGGGAGATACAATTCAAGTTGAGATTTGAGTGAGGATCCAGCCAAACCATATCAACCAGGAAGACAGAAACCACTTATAGATCTAGGGACCTTGTCTCACTGAAAAACATAAAAAATAACAAAATGCTAAATTAATTGGTATCTCATCACACACATGCAGGTGTGCACACACACACACACACAAAGAAATAAGTACATGAGGTAATACAAATGTTAATTAGCTTGATTTACTTATTCTACAATGCACATATATTTCAAAACATCATGTTGTCTACCACAAAGGTGCATCATGTTTATTGTTAATTAAAAATAAATAATAAAATTAATTAATTGAATATAACAGTATTTTACAGTTAACCATTAAAAACAAAACATAGTCAAACAAATAATTTGAACAAAATTATGTAGTTTCTAGAAACTATATTATGTTTTACTTTGCTCAACCTGACACAAATCATTACCACCTTGGGAAATTATATTCCAGTTACTGGTTCTCTGCCAACAGCAGAGCTGAGCCTCGATGAATCTATCCACACCTGTCCTCAGTGTCTGAGCCAGACTATTTGTCAGAGACCCTACCATCTGGATGATATTAAGATATTGTTCAGACTGGAACTCACTCTTGGAGTGCGATGTGTCTCATCTGAGCACCTGACAATGCCAGAACAGATACAAATGTGTGGAATAAATTTATTAGTTATATATGGAACACAAAGGGAAAAATCATTCAGAACATTTTTCTGGCCAGGTGCTAGGGCTTACATTTATAATCCCAGCACTTTGAGAGGCCAAGGCCGGAGGAATCTCTTGTGGCCAGGAGCTCAAGACCAGCATAGGCCACATAAGGAATCCTCGTCTTTACAAATAATAATTAAAAAATTAGCAGGCATGTTGGCACTCACCTGTGATCCTAGCCATTTAGGAGGCTGACATGAGAGGACTGTCTGAGCCCCGGAGGTCAAGGCTGAAGTGAGCCATGATTGTGCCACTGCACTCCAACGTGGGCAACAGAGTAAGATCCTGTTTCAAAAAAAAAAAAAAAAAAACATAAAAAGAAAAGAGAAAACGTTTCTGCTCTAGTGCATTCTACGTATATATGAATCAAAAATTGCTGAGACTTGTGTATTACCAGAGTTTGGGATGATTTGGATGTTTCTGAATTAAAATGAATTCAGTGAATATTAGTTTTTCTTTTGCCTCAAAGACAAAACTAATATCAGATATTGATTCTGCAGTTGTGAACCCTCAACTCGTAAAATGATTTAATTTTGCATTACTGACTTTTCAATACTTATGTTAAAAGATGTATGTTTGCTACATATCTTGATATGGTCAATAAATAAGAGCATCCTCTTGTCATTCTAAATAAAGATAAGACAATAAATTTACAAGCTGAGTACAGAGTGTTTGTGACTATAAAATAATATTTATACATTTACTTTAATATTCATTTCTGTTATACAACATCATTATCAACTTTATTTGTGTTTGTACCTATTTGTTTTCTATTTACTGGTTTCTTCAAACAAAAAGCTCTTGAATTTACTTTTCATTTTCACTGCTTTTCTGATTTATTAAGTTTGGATTTTATTATCATTATTTTCTCTGTTGGCTTTCCTTGTTTATTTTTCTAAATTTTTCAGTGAAATGATAACATCTTTGCTGAAAATTATTTTTAAAATTTTATTATAGCCATAATACATTTTGATTATAAAAATATGAGAGTATAGAATAATAGAGACTTCCACTGATGTTTCCTTTATACAGTCATTATGTCTCTTATTTTAGCTCATACACTTGAGGTAGCTGTTTCTTGACTTAGCCTTCTGTAAATTTATAGAAATATATAAATATACGCACATGTGAGTACATAAAAATGGCATATTTTATCTTATTTGTTGCAACTATTAATATTTTAAATTAAAGCTTAGAAATATATTCTTATACAGCTCTCTATTCTTTGAGAATATCTAAACTGAATGAAATATCTTTCTGATATATGTGTTTTCTATTTTTCTGTACTTACATTGCTTTCACTATACTTGTATGTAATTCTGCTGTGCTCCAATGTATATATATCTATAATATATATTTCAGTAAAATAGTATGCACATTTAAAAATTTCAAATACATACATAGTAAAATCACACTGTATAATTTTGTGCCAATTTCCATCTTTACAAAATTGTTTGAAAGGTCCTATTTCCCTCTATGTTCCCATTCTTTACTTATCATCAATCCAATAACTGTGAAATTAAATCTTCTAATTTGCATTTATTTTATTATACATGACATTTTATTTCATAATTACTTGTACTTTTGAAATAATTATTAAATCTTGATACTGGATTTCATCTCTGATTCATGTCAGTTTGATTACACAATTCAACCGTACGTGCTATCTCAGCATCTTACAGAATTACCATGAAGAATGAGGGAATATGTGGAGAGAAAAATAATTGCAAATGAAATGAGAAATTAAGAATGGTACATATCTTTTCCATTCAATCTACTTTGTACTTAGCTCTAATGGAAAAGGTTTAAAACTCTTATTTGAATGAGTTTTTATTTTTTTAAAAAAATATAGAGAGTTGAATCGAAAAATTCATTGAGTCCCTCACTTCAGGAAATGTGCTAATAGATTTCTATTCCTCTAATCCTCCTCCCTTGATGAAGATTTAGATATATAGACAAAGCCAACCTAAATCTTCATTGGTCCTCAGCATTAATCAGCCAAATCCAAGAAAAGACATGGAAAAGACTTGCTGAACCCTAACCAATTTTCAGAAAGACTTATCTACTAGGGTTGTCTTTTTTATTAGCCTACACTTGAGGTCTCTTACGGCAGCCATTGAGAGATTAATCAGTAATCCATAGTAAATTTAAACATACGTATGTGTGTATATCCTGTTCTTTGTCTCAATTTCATTGTGTTTATATTTGTTATTATTAATGTTTTTCAAAATTTGTCTGCAAATATTTCCTTTAAATAGGTCTATGTTGTTTTCCTTGAAAACGTATTACCAAAGTCCATGATACAATTGGAGTCATAAATTAACTTATTTCTGAACAACAAATAACACATTGCTGTGTTACTTATTTCCAAATATTCATAGGAAATAAGTGTTTTTAAAGATTCCTACTTGCAGATAGCCATATTTCACATGTCCCTTTTAAATTTATTAAATTAATTACTTGCATTTGAGTGTATGTTCAACCTCAGGGAAGACATTTATAAAGCACATGTTCTCTATTGTAATAGAGAACAGAATTCACACATGTCCATGGAAATATTGCTGCTAATGTATTCCAAATTGTGATAAAATCATTAATCTTGCTTTTGAATTACTATATCTATGGGTTATCTGTGAGATTTGCTATAGTCTTATAAAGAAAGTCTATACCCTTGGCATATTTAAATCTATAGTTTTGTGTATGCCTCTGAGAAGACAAGTGGGTAAAGTGATTTCACATTCTAAATTAGTTTCACAGATAATGACATTGTTCCATTTTAAATGTTTTCACAGTCTACCTGTACTTTCTAGTTGACTGCTAATTCTCTGACAGCCAATAACAAAGACAATCAGGGTACCAAAATAATTGCATAATAATTTTTCCCAATTATTTCAAAGCAAGTCTAAAAAGTAGACAAAATTCATGTTTATCATTTTCTTTCTTCTATTTTATTAATACACATAATTTTATATAGTACTAATACTCATAGAAAAAGCATAATTAATTTTAGGGAGATAGAAGCTTATAAAAAATAAATATTTTTGACATTTGATTAAAATTAGTTTGCAAACAGTATCAAGTTATGTAAGGCTACTTGAGAAGGGAAACTAAAGTAACACAAAAATGATGACACATCTCTTTCTGTTCACAACAGTCATTCAAGTGCAGGTGAATGAGAGCACTGCATTTCAATATATAAAATAAATATATTCTGCTTTCCAATAATTACATTACGTGAAGCCCCTAAAGAACTACCTCTCCTTTATAGAATTCTTTTTTTCCAGTCAGTCTAGTCTTTGTATTTGTCTCTCCAAGGCTTGCTACTTATGTGATTATACAAAAATGGAAGAAAAAGAAAGAATCAAAGATGATTCCAAGATTTTAGGATAAATACCTAGCAGAGTGATTATGTTTCTGTGTAAAATGTTAAAAATGAAATAAAAGTTATATGAAAAAATGAGTTAAATTTTAAAATGAAGAGTTTGAACTCACTATGTCTTCTTATAAATTAATGCATAGCACAGATAGAAGACTGCAATTTCATATGAAAGTTGGTATATCTCACTACAAAGTAAGAACTGAGACTTAACACATGATCTATTCACCTAAGAAAAGTATATAGAAAAAGAACAGATCTAGGTCAAGGGCTCAGGGCTCAGGTTGGTGTTTGCACATAATTAAGGAATGGGAACTGGGGCCAGCAAAAGAAATAAGACTCTCCAAAGAATAAAGAATAAAACAATAATACAACTAATATTAATACAGAATAGTAAACTTTTCTGTCTATAATAATAAAAAATAATGCAGTTGATTCACTACTAATAGAATATATGCTTTCAAGCATTATTTATACACTAGTAGTCACGGGGAATACATACTTATTTTCACTTATGATCCAGAAGCAAGACTTATTACAAAAAAGATGGCCTAAATTAGAAAGGAAGGTGAGGTCCAGAGTAAGAAATAAACCATCTAGCTTTTTTACCTACAAATCGATTTTATTCCGTACTTACTGCATTTTTTTAAAGGACTGTGTAGAACAAAGAAGTAAAATACTCAGTAACTAGTCTTAAAGATATAACAAGCCCAGTGTATTAAGCAGACACAATGGCAAGTTGGTCTTATAAGGGACAAAAGAATGTATTGGAAGGGCTGAAATTAAGGGCGCTAATCTGGTATTTGAGAAGAGAGATGATTGTATCCTCCACTACAGAAAGGAATGTTTCTTTTAAGTGGAAGGAATAGAATTGAACATAAAGGATGGTTGGCCAAATAATGCATGGGAGTTTTAACCACCTACTATTCACACTGTTGGTAAGAAACGGACGCCATAAAAGGGTGATGAGGATGATCAACCACACAACACCCAACACTGGCCAAATGAGATCTACAGCAGTTTGTTAGCCCCATATACTCACAGCCTGGGGTAGGAGGGCACAGAACTCCATAGGCCCCCACATGAATTACATTTGGAAACAAAGTGACCAAGCAGGCAGTGTGGGAAGTAGACTGTTTAATGTGAAGAGGGTGGGATGACCCCTGTTTGCCATGCACGACGTGGTTTACTTGTTTTAATAATTTCGTGGGTGAGCAGAAAACTGAAACCCTTTATTTAGAAATAAGCAGATATTGTACCTTTTTTCTTTAACAAGGAGAGTTGTTTGACTAGAGGCCTTTAGCTGTGGGAACACCATGGAGAGGTAAATATACGGTTAGGCTATTTGAAGGCCTCCTGATTTCACTAGATGTCAAGACAGCATGTAACATCGAGCCTCAGTTTTAGGCCTTACATTGCAACAGGGAGACAAAACATAGCCCAACAGAGAGAGAGGAACATGTATAACATGTGCAGGAAAGAGTGAGACATTCTCTTTCTTCTTTCTCTCTTTCTCTCTCTCACACAAACACACACACACACAGAGTGTTACTACAAATAGTAGTAACACTGCTACTCTCTGACAGCTGTGAAGATGAATAAATCTTTCCTTATGGCTTCCCAATATGTCTCTTCCTGATGAATGCAAGGGTCAGGTGATTTTACTGATGTCTATCAGATGTCCCAGAAAACATGTCTGAGCATTTAAAAAGCCTGATGCAGGCCCATCTGGAGGGCCAGTAGGAAAGATCTACATCAAACCAGGAGAGGACAGTAGAATGTTTAGGAGCCTCAGTGAGCAGGTGGAGACTGGGCTCCACTTATCACTTAGTTACAGCAGCATGTCAGGCTTGCTCAGTCCAGAAGAGTTATCCCAACCCACAGAAGCAGAGTTATAAACTCCCTGTCACTCTCAGTAACAACAGGAGTAAATAGTTGAGAGGCTGCCACATAATCTGTCAATCATCACCACCTGTTATTTACCTAGTGCCAAAGGAACTCTCTAATCCATGTCTTTAAAAGGCTTCTAGAGCTGGTTTTCAGGGATTGGAGTGCCAAATTTATTCTGGACACCTGGAAAGTATATTTGGAAAGGTATGACAGACTCCCACTAGCTAGTATTTTCATTGCAATGATATTATTAGGATAAGTTGAATAATAGATATTTTCTGTTGATATAATGGTGAGCATATGTTGTCTACATTTGATTATTGTACAGTTTTTTCCCTATATTTTTATTAGAAACAAATATTACCCTATATGCAGTGTGTATTTGAACATTGTCCTTTTAGAACATATTAATACGTATGCGCTAGAATCACAAAAAAAGATCTCAAGATCCTTGTTCTTTTAGAGTCCTCATATATTTAATAAAATATGTCCCCATACATTACAAATTATATTTTCAATTCCTTCCCTCAAAAGACCCATAACAAGGCAATGAAATCACTTTGTAGAAGCCAATTCCTTGACGTAACTCTAAACACATCTTAATGCTCACAGATGAAGCCCTTAGATACTCAGGCTTTTATGCTTGGTATTAAAAGCTCTCTTTTGTCTCTTAATAAATAAGAAACATATTTATTTTTACAAAAGGCATACTTCTGCAAGAAACTCATTTTATGTATTCACATTATCACTTTCTGGCCTCATCTTTGACCAATATCAGTTAATTCCATCTACATACTAACCTGAGAAATTGCAGTTAAAAAAAATTCTAATTCATTGGTCACAGAAAATAATGACAACACTTAATAACTTTAATACTATTCACATATAAGATACCACTTCTTTGCGCAGTAGAGATCTCTTGTTTAAAAGTAAAATTTTGCATCTAAAGAAATAGACTAGAGGAATCTATATGTAGGAGAGAGCTCATGGGCTCTGCATCGTAGGTCTTATGTAGTCTTACATATTTTAACCTCCTTGAAACTCAGGTTACTATCTGTTAAATGAACATACAAATTCTATCCTGAAAGGATTTTTGTGAATGTGGCATTGTAAATAGAGGGGTGATTGTGGCACTGTATCCCGGCTGCAACTGACAGATGCCTAATAAATGTTACTTTGTAGTTTAGTGCTTTCTTCTAACTCTCATCCTCCCACGGTAGTTTATGTTTTTAATTTTTTAAGAGTACTTATTTTACATGAGTTATGCATGTTCATTTTACAAAAGGCATCAAATGTGAATAATCAAATTGAAGCAAACAAATGTGCTAACAGCTCTTCCATCCCAAGACAGTAACTGTTAACCCTTTTAGTATAATATTACCAGTCATTTTTGTTCATGAATATGTATCTTTGACAAAATTGTCTTATTTTAAATCAGTTTTATTTTCTTCCAAAATCCTTTGTAACAAAGAAATATTTATAGATTATAATTGTTAAGCACAAATATACTAACTTGACAAATGCATCATAGTAACTGTCTTGTTGCACATTTAACATGCTTTCAATTTAAGTTTAATTAGCAATGCTATAAATGAATATATGTCCAATTAAATTTTACACTCAATTTTATCTTTTCAGAATAAGTTCCAGGAATGGCATTTCTAACTGAAATGGCATGTATACATTTTTATATATACATATACTCATAGGAAAAAAGATTTCCTTGGTCTCTAGTTCAAATAACAAAATCCTAATTGAAGGTAATTTGAATTAATTGAGTCTTTCATTGTTATTATAAAATAGTCTTGAAACAAGAATGCCCTCTGTCATCACTCTTATTCAGCACAGTGTTGGAAGTTCTGGCCAGGGCAATCAGGCAAGAGAAAGAAAGGATTTTAAATAGGAAGAGAGGAAGTCAAGGTGTCTTTGTTGACAGACTACATGATCCTGTATCTAGAAACCCCATTGTTTCAGCCCAAAAGCTCCTTGAGCTGATAAGCAACTTCAGCAAAGTCTCAGAGTACAAAATCAGTGTGCAGATATCACAAACATTTCTATACACCAACAACAGACAAGCAGAGAGCCAAATCGTGAATGAACGCGCATTCACAATTGCCACAAAGATAATAAAATACATAGGAATACCACTAACAAGGGAAATAAAGGACCTCTTCAAGGAGAACTACAAACCACGGCTCAAGGAAATCAGAGAGGACACAAACAAATAGATAAACATTCCATGCTCATGGATAGGAAGAATCAATATTGTGAAAATGGCTACACTACCCAAAGTAATATTTTTTTTTGTTTGTTTTTTGAGATGGAGTCTTGCTGTGTTGCCCAGGCCAGAGAGCAGTGGAGTGATGTGGGCTCACTGCTACCTCCACCTCCCAAGTTCAAACAATTCTCCTCCCTCAGCCTCCCGAGTAGCTGGGACTACAGGCACCCGCCACCATGCGTAGTTAATTTTTGTATTTTTAGTAGAGACGCGGTTTCACTGTGTTAGCCAGGATGGTCTTGATCTTCTGACCTCGTGATCCGCCCGCCTTGGCCTCCCAAAGTGCTGGGAATGCAGGCATGAGCCACCACACCTAGCCAGTTATAAAATATTGTTAAAGGGCAGAATTAGACAGGTTTGAAATTTTTAAAATACAATAGGCAATAATAATGATAATAACATATATTACTTCTGTAGGGTTTACTTTGCACTAAGGACTCTTTGAAGGCAGGAGGCTAAAGTGTATCATCTAAAGGTGATTTAAAGGAAGTAATATAAGCACATTAACTTAGAATCATTTTGTTAAACTTGAAAGAGCTAACAATCTCTGCAGAGGTTTTCATATAAGGGAGTTGAACTTTGGGTGGAAATGGGTAAGGTTAGGAATTGTTATTTATTAAAGGCTTTCTTGTACTATTTGTTTTCATAACTTTATATATGATTTTAAAATAAAGATAAATTAATATATTAACTGCTAGGCTGATTATTGTTAAACTAATTAAAATATATTTATAAAAACATACCTACACATTGTAAATAAGGCCTTGTGCATAGACATTTGGAAAAGCTCTATAGCATTATTTCTACAGAAGGACAGAAAAAATTCATAAACTGATCCAATTGATTCACTTCTGGGATGATTCTATTCTAGGAGCATAATTGTAACTATGACCTTTTTTGGCCTTAAGAAGGTTATATTCAGATTATCTGTATTAATGGAAAATAGAAAATAATCTACATATTCTAAAATTTCAAGTCAGTCATTTTATAAACATTTTGTCTGAAAGTTTTCATAAAATATTAAGATTTCAAAAATATGTTTACTGAAATTAAGAGAGTTTAGATAATAGAATGCTGACATTATTTAAATAGCATTAAAGAACAAGTTTTTTAGCGCATTTTCAAATGAGTAATAACATGGTTCACTGATTCAGTGTTGTTTAATATGCTTTTGTTAAAGACAAATACTTCAAAATGTATACTTCCTTGGGCTTTGCTAGGATAAATATAATAAGTCTTTGTAACTTTTACTATGATTGAATCCCAAAGCTTAGGATTTTGACTTTTATTAAACATAACATTTATTGATCTTTTGACTGTGTAATGTGGTGTAACAAAACTTTACCTTTGTCTATACAGTATATGAAATCTCCAGCAGACTAGAATCATTGTAGAAATGTCTTATCTTTGTACCCTACTAACTAAGCATTGAGAATTACACAACTCTCATAAACTGTGAGTAGCAGAAAATCAGCAATTTCTTCATCAAGAAGCCAATTTCAAGGTGTATGATTTAGGAACTTTATGATTTTAGAACAGGGGAAATGCCCATGTATATATTAAGCTTCTGACTTGATAGAAAAGAACAACACCTGGCACCACAGTCAAAAATATACTTTTGAATTACAATTAGATAGATACAGAGACACTTATTATTGAAAAATTCTATAAATTGAAAAAATTATGGTTGTAAAAATTCAATCATATTCTGTAGGTTTGCTGGATTCACAGAGCATTAATCAAAATAAAAATTATAACAATACTACAAGAAAAATATATTCTAATCTGAATAGATTAAGACATTTTTGGTATAGCAATGTTTCCATAAGGCTAATGACCAAATCCAAAAGATATTTTAAAAACAACATAGCAACAACAACAACAACAACAAAAACACCTTGTAATTTTGATTTTATACCACAAGGGATTTTTCAAAAGTCACAAATGACTCTGGTTTGCTTCTATAGACATTGCATCTTCTAGTGGTCAACTTCAGCAATATGACCATTATAAATTTGTTATAACACTAATTCATTTAAGCTCCTTAAGAATAATGTAAAATGAGATTAACATGCCACACAAATGTTATTAAAGAAATAAAATTTATGAAAAATCCTTAACAGAGAATCTGATACCTAGCAAACTCTTGGTAAATTCTACTTCCATTTCCTTTACTAATTATTCTTGCTTTTAAATGTAATTGTTCTAACATTTGTAAATTTCTTCATGATTTCCCAGAAATCCAAATATCTCTTTTTTCAAATAGCATAAACCTAGATTAGAACAAATTAGCACTGGAAACTTTAGAGTTATCCTAAAGCTACAACTGTATTTAAAATACAATTCTGTATGAACTTCAATCACAATTGAAGTTCATATAGAATTGCTTTCTGAGATTAAAGAAAAAATACACAGTGTAGATATACATATACAGAAACACACATACACAAATACATATATACATTTATGCACATAGTAGAACTAATAAATATGGTATAGAAATATCATTTTTTTTGAGATGGAGTCTCACTCTGTTCTCCAGGCTGGGGTGCAGTGATGCAATACCTGCTCACCACAACTTACGCCTTCTGGTTCAAGCTATTCTCCTGCCTCAGCCTCCTGAGTAGCTGGGATTACAGGTGCCCGCCTCCATGCCTGGCTACTTTTTTTGTATTTGTAGTAGAAACTGGGTTTCACCAAGAAATATCATTTTTTAAATGATAATCCGCTATAGAAAAGACACTTTCTTGAACATATTAGATAATTTGCTGTATGGGCTCCTAATTTCTCATAGGTAATGGTCTAAATATTAGGAACATAACTAGCAAGATGTTTCTCAAGTTCGGGATTTCAGGGTAGAAATTTTAGTGTTAGCGCTCCTCTATTTAATCAAATTCACTTATTTTCTTCTTTGCTATTTGTTATTGTCATTGTTTCTTTGTTTTGGTTTGGTTTTGGATACCACCACTATTCAGTTTCAGCAAATACTGCAGGCTTTCTTATCTATTTAAAGCATCATAGAGTTTTAGTTTTCAGTGGTATTCTAAATACAGAACATCCTGTTTTATTTATGCATTTCCATGTATTCCAATATAATAAAGGAATCCCACTTTTATTTATGGTATTTAGGGGAATAATGATTTCTTTCAACCATCAAGTTAAAAGGCCAATAATTTTGGTTTTGTTCCTTCGGCTCCTTGGAATGCCATCTTCTAGTTAAGAAGCTGATAATACAAGTGTTTTAATTGCGACTACAAGGTGGAAATTCAAAGGACTAGATTTCTACTTCCAAATGAGCTACTGACTAGCTGTGTAGTCCCAGAGAAGCATGAATTATCTCTGGGCCAATATTTTATAATTTATAAAATGAAAGGATTCTACTATAGTATTGATAAACATCTAGTTTCACAAATGGATTTATATTATCAATGATTTTCCAAGTATGTGTTGTAGCAGATCTCTTAAACTCTCCTGGTGTAAATATAAATTGCTAAAACTCTGTACAGAAAAATAAACTATCCACAGAGTAAGCAGACAACATACAGACTGTGCATCCAACAAAGGTCTAGTATCCAGAATCTATAGGGAACTTAAGCAATACAGCAAACAAAAAACAAATAACCCCATTATAAAATAGGCAAAGGATATGAAAAGACACTTCTCAAAAGAGGACATGCATGCAGCCAACAAATACATGTGCAAATGCTCATCATTACTAGTCATTAGAGAAATGCAAATCAAAACCACAATGAGAGATCATCTCACACCTGTCAGAATGGCTATTACTAAAAAGTCAAAAAACAACAGATGTTGGTGGGAATGTAAATTAAGTGGTGTAATTAAGAGAACTCTTATACAACACTGGTGGGAATGTAAATCATTTCAGCCATTGTGAAAAGCAGTGTGGATATTTCTCAAATAACTTAAAATAGAACTGCCATTTGAACCAGCAATCCCACTACTGGTTATATACTCAAAAGAAAGTAAATCATTCTACCAAAAAACACACGTATGTTCATTAGAGCCCTATTCAAAACTGTGGACATAGAATAAACCAGAGGCCCATCAACGGTGGACTGGATTTAAAAAGCATGATACATATACAATATGGGACACTATACAGCCACAAAAAAATTAAATCATGTCCTTTGCAGCAATGTGGATGCAGCTGATGGTCATTATCCTAAGTGAACTAATGCAGGAACAGAAAATCAAATGTCATATATTCTCACTTGTAAGTGGGAGCTAAACATTGAATACACATGGACACAAAGATGGGAACCACAGACACTGAGGACTGCTGAAAGTTGAGAGTGGGAGGGGAGCAGGGGTTGGAAGGCTACCTGTCGGGTACTATGCCCACTACCTGGATGATGGGATCATTTGCACACCAAATTTCAGTGACAGGCATTTATTCACATACAAAACCTGTACCTGTACCTCCCAAACCTAAACATAGAAGAATTTAAAACAATTAATTAAGTAGATAAATAAGTTTCTAAAATTACCTTGGAAATCAATTTGGCATTACCTCATAAAGTTGAAGATCGACCTACACTATGACAGCGTTTCATAGCCTAGGGAAATTCTAAACATGAATAAGGAGATTTGTGTAGCAATGCTCATAGCCACAATCTTTTACATACCAAAGCTAGAAATAACCCAATTTCCTGTAAGAAAAGTAGTGGATAAACTGTTTGCATAGAGGACTAAAAGTGAGTGAGTCACTGTGGGACACATCAACATAGATGTATTTTAAAAGCATAAATTTTTTAAAGTCATGTATAGACTAATCACATTTTTCATTAATATAGCTATATAAGTGTCTATAAT
The DNA here is from genome assembly GCF_000001405.40 of Homo sapiens. NCBI lineage: Eukaryota > Metazoa > Chordata > Mammalia > Primates > Hominidae > Homo > Homo sapiens. The sequence continues at coordinate 121,151,544 of NC_000005.10, read as the reverse complement.
TTAGGGTGTGCCCTTATGTGATAAAATATAACCAATGCTAAAGTATAATTAACACAAAATTCAAAAAAGGATTTTCTGAAATAGAAAAAGATGTCATTGGTGGAAAGTGCTCAGTGGCTTCAACTTCTATTTCTTAAACTAGTTATCAATTATACAAAACGATATTGTATTATCTTTTAAATTATACCTAAATGTTGCAAACACTCTTTTGTATGTAATATGTACATATAATTTTCATGTTTTCAAAATTAATATTTCTAAAATGGTTAAATTATTGCTGTCATTTCTTTAGAGCACAGAGGTCTTCTAAAATCACATGCTGGATGTCTGCAGAATCATCATAATTTCTGTAAATGATAAGGATACCATCATCTCCAGTTTTCATTCTGTTGAGGTGGAAAAAGATTCACAAACCTTTTCCATAGCTTTATTTTTACCTTTGGCCTTGGTGGTGATCAGCATGACACTAAATTTCTTCACCACTGGTTTAATGTGTTTCTAAATCCACATTCATAATAATCATCTTTGCTCATTTACCTAACGTGTTTATCTGCCAGTGTCAGCAATGGCTGCTAGAGTAATTGAAATTCTCACTTAAGTAGCTGAACTGAGAGGGCTCATTCTGGCCTTATATGCTGGAGAGAAACTCTCACTGCTTGTTCTTATTTCCGAAGGTCACTAAGGCTCTTTTAAAAGATTTCTCTATTCATATATTTTGTTACTGAAAAGTTTTGGTTCTAACCCTGAAACAACTTTCATCACTTGGAAGGTAACTTTAAGTCAACCCAGGGATGGAAAGAGCCTTGAAATGCAAGCAAAAGCCTTCAGCCAGAGTGGCATTATGAACACTACTTTTGTTCCATCAGCATTCCTCTGGTGAGGTGCCCAAGGCAATTAGTAACACCTATTCTGTGCTTCCTGAGCAGAGATCACCATAAAAAGCATACAACAGAAACACAAGAGCCAACAATTAATTATGAGTTCAAAAAAAGCCCTGCAGGTAAGAAACCTTGTCTCCCAGACACCATCCGTGTCACACTTACACTCTGTAAAAATTATGCTCCTTAAAGACTAAACAAATCTTGCTCTCATACATAGGTAGAAAACCACCATCGGCAACGATTGTTAGTGGTAGTCTAAAAAATATCACGGGCCATACAGAAAATGGTTAAGGATAAGTAGAAAGCATGAATTACCTCATATTTTCAGACTATAATAAAAAAACTTAATTTAAATATTAAATGTTTATACAAATAGTTATTTCACATGTCAGAGAGGAAAGTTTTGTGCTTTTTATGATTGAGGCATAGATGAATATTGCAAACTACCCAGACCAATATGACTTGAAAGGGCTTAATTGAGCAGTATCAGAACAACATAGTGTCTGGGTTAGGGAAAGCGATGTGGCTGCAGAGATGGGTCAGTATCAGGCAACAGAAATCAGAGAGAGGTCATGGAAAGAGTTTCTTTTAGAAAAAAATGTAGAAAATTGGGTAAATCTATAGATTGGTGAGTCTTTCCTTCCTACTTATTCAAATTTGCAAAGAGTGATTTCAGCTAGAAAATTACCTTCTTTGAGAAAGACAACTAAAGTATAAAAGATGGGAAATATATCTACCTTTTCTGTCAGTCGTTAATGTGTATGGTATGAAAAACGAAATTAAGGAGATGATATATTAAGTCCAATGGAATATGGAGAACATTCATTAATGAAGAACACCTCAAAGAAAAGGAGGGGGTCTGCTTTTTATAGAGGCACGTTAATAAGGGATTCATCTACATGTCTATGAGAGTCACGAAGAAGGGTAGAGTTGTGAGGATGGGTCGTGGGAACATGCAAAGCAGGGTGTTCCTTTGCTGTTAGCCCTGTCCCAGAACATAGGGTAGGGACATACTTAATCATTGCTGCTTTCTGAAGTGCAGGGCTTGAAAAATGTCTTTAGTTAATCTCAAGAACATTTTCATATACGGTGAGAGATAGAGGTCCAGTTTCATTCTCATGCATATGGCATTTAAATTTTTCCAACACCATTTATTGAACAGAATGTCCTTTCCTTGGTATGTTTTTGTCTGCTTTCTTAAAGATCAGTTGGCTGTAGGTATGTGGCTTTATTTCTAGGTTGTCTATTGTGTTCCGTTGACCTATGTGTCTATTTTTATACCAGAACCATGCTGTTTTGGTCATTATATCCTTGTAGTATAATTTGAAGTCAGGCAATGTGACGCCTTTAGTTTTATTCATTGTGCTTAGGGTTGCTTTGACCTTTCAGGCTGTTATATCTATACCAGTCAGAATGGCTATTGCTGGTGAGGAGAAAAGAAAATGCTTAGACACTGTTGATGGGAATGTAAATTAGTATAATCTATATGAAAAACAAATATGGATATTTCTCAAAGAACTAAAAGTAGAACTACCATTTAATCCAGAGATCCCACTACTAGATATCTACCACCCCAAAAATAAATCATTATATTAAAAAATGCCTGCACTCATAGGTTCTTTGCAGCAATAGCCACAATAGCAAAGACATGGACTTAACCTAACTATTCATCAATGGAAGAGTAGATAAAGAAAATGTGGCTTATATATACAAATAAATACTATTTCAGCCATAAAACAAGATGAAATCACAATTTTTCAGCAACATGGATGGATATGGAGGACACTATCTTAAGTGAGGCATCTTGGAAATAGTACATCAAATACCATATGTTCTCACTTATGAGTGAAAGCTAAATAATGTGTACACATGCGCATTGAGTGTGGAATGAGAGAGATTGGAGACTCAGAGAGGTGGGAGGGTGAGATGGGGGAGGGATGAGAAATTATTTCAGGGGTACAATGTTCATTATTTGGGTGATAGCTACACTGAAAGCCCAGACTTCCTCACTACCCAATGTATCTATGTAACAAAACTGCACTTGCATTCACTAAATCTATAATAAAAATTAAAAATAGCAAAAAGAGCGAAGCTGGAGGCATCATGCCACCTGACTTCAAATTATACTACAAGGCTACTGTAACCAAAAGACATGTTGCTGGTACAAAAACAGACACACAGACCAATGCAACATATTAGAGAACCCAGTAATGAAGCTACACAACTACAACCATCTGATCCTCTGTCAACAATGTCAAAAAAATAAGTAATGAGGAAAGGATTCCCAATTCAATAAATGGTGCTGGGATAACTGGCTAGCCATATAAAAGAGGTTGAAACTGGACCCCTACTTTTCATCATTTACAAAAGTTAACTCAAAATGCATTAAAGACTTAAATGTAAAACTTAAACCTATGAACAAAAAGCTCTAGAAGAAAATGTAGGAAATGCCATTCTGGACATAGGTCTGGCAGAGAATTCATGACAACGACTCTAAAAGCAATTGCAAAAAAACCTAAAATTGACAAGTGAGACTAGTTAAACTAAAGAGCTTCTGCATAGCAAAGAAATTATCAATAAACATTCAACCACTTAAACAAAGTAACAAGAAAAAAAAAAAAACAAAAAAACTCAAAACGACAATCCCGTTAGTAAACAGGCCCAAAATATGAACAGACACTTCTCAAAAGAACACATACATGGGGCCAACAAACATAAGAAAAAATGTTCAATATCATTAAGCATTAGGGAAATGCAAATCAAAATCACAATGAGATACTATTTCACACCAGACAGAATGGCTATTACTAAAAAGTCAAAACAGCAGATGCTGGTGTGGTTGTGGACAATAAGGAACACTAATATACTGCTGGTGGGAATGTAAATTAGTTCAGCCATTGTGGAAAGCAGGGTGGAGATTTCTCAAAGAACTTAGAACTAGAATTCGACATAGCAATCCCATTACTGTGTATACACCCAAAGAAATATGAATTATTTTACTATGAAGAGAAATGCATGCATATATTTATCACAGCACTGGTCACAACAGCAAAGACATAAATTCAGCCTAGATGCCCATCAATAGTGGGTTGGATAAGAAAAATAGGGTACATGTATACCATGGAATACTATGCAGGCATAAAAAGAATGAGATCATACCCTTTGCAACAACATGGGTGCAGCTAGAGGACATTATTCTAAGTGAACTAATGTAGGAACAGAAAACCAAATGCCAAGTATTTTCATTTATGAGTGGGAGCTAAACATAGAATATGAATGGACACAAAGAAGGAAACAATAGCTACTGGGGCCTACTTGAAAGTGGAGGGTGGCAGGAGAGTGAGGAGCGAAAAAATACCTGTCAGGTCCTATGCACATTACCTGGATGGTGAAATAATCTGTACACCAAATACCCCCAACACTCAGTTTACCCATGTAACCAATCTGCACAGGTACCACCTGAATCTAAAAGCTGGAATAGATAAAAAGTAAAAAATATTTTAACAAAAAAAGAGTAGCAAATTAATGTTCACCTGATCTTATTTTTTAATATATTTTGAAATTAAAAATTGATAAGCAAAAGCCATAACTCATTTTAGGTTATGCTATAAGTATAGTACTGTATCATTACATCTTTTAGTGGATGGAAGAAGAAAAGAGGGATCTTTCTACTGTCAAACTTATTTATCTCATAGCATAGAACCTACGTAACCAAGATACGAGAGATGGGATAAGGTCGCTTTTGTGATTATCTTCATGATTACATCAGAAAAAAGAATCATTTCTTTTTATGATTGTTCTATGTGTGATTTTTTTTCTGAAGTTTTAAAACAGAGCTCAACTCTGAACAAATTTACTCAAACTTCTGACATATTTATAGGGGTTCTATTTATTTAGAAAGCTTTATTCTGAAAAGAAAAAAGTAAATGCTGAAAAATCACATTGAAACCTTGACCACCAGTGATCAAGTTCTTAATGAGTCCCTGGGTAGTTTTTATCTTAGAGAGTGGTCAAATGGGATGCAAGCCAATGGTTGGCAAAGCACGAAGGAATTTGGAAATACCTATTAAAATATAACCTAATTTAATTACCCTTGGTGTTAGAAAATGTTTTTCATAATATTCTTAAGAAACAGCCCAGCTTATTTAAAATACATGGAAAAGGAAAATACTTTGTTTTATACAAATTTCCGTAGAAAGGTGGAAATATTTGATAAAATGCCGTTAAGCAGTGTTTTATATTTTTATATCTGTAGTGGCTTTCTTGAACCAGTCTGCACATCTTATGATTTCCTTTGACCCCAAATCTTTGTTTTGTGATTTAATTTGAAATATATGTCTTTAAATTTTTTTACACAGTATGATATTCTTTAACTAATACACTTCAGTGAACCCCTAAAATGAAGGAAAAATTCAGAAATGTCTTAAGTTAGAAAACGTAATCATTTCTTAAAACTTATAACTTTTTACCCTTTTGATTTGAAATAATTTTAGACTTCAAGAAAACTGCAAAAAGTGGAAAAACTTCCACATATCGCTTACTTCCATCCCCATTCCTCAAATGATAATATTTTATCACATTTACCACATCTGCTTTTTCATTTTTTTCTCTCTCTCCGGTTAATCATGCCTAATATTAGTCAAATGTATTAATCTTTTCAAAGAATAACCAAATATTGGGATTATTTTATCTCTATAATATTTCTTTGATTTCTATTTCATTAACTGTATCTCGTTTGCTTCTTTGAATTTATTGTGTTGCTCTTTTTCCAATTTCTCAAGGTGAATGTTTAGCTCATGAGTCTGAATCCTCTTTGCTATGTTAATATAAGCAACTAGGGTTATACATTTCTCTCTATGACCTGCTTTCAATAATTTATTATGTTATTTACATTTATTGAGTTTTAAGTGTCTACTTATTTTTAGTATTTGATCCATAGATCACAAAATAGTGTGGTTTTGATTTTACAAGTCTCTTCCCTGTTGCATTATGACTTAGTTTCATTTTGTTTGGAGGTAATGATATGTGTGATATGCAATGTGTGAAGTTTCTTGAGTTATTTTATCCTTGTATATAACTGATAATGATTCTTCCATTAAAAATATGTATTATCTAGTTATTGGATAAAGTGATTAAAAATGGTAATTGTGTTGTTCAAATTGGCTATATTATTACTGACTTTTTTGTTTGCTTTATCTATTGAATACTAACCAACGTTTTAAAATGTGTGTCTATAATGATGTATTTGTCAAATTTCCTTGTAATCTGAACAGTTTCTATTTTGAATATTTTGAAACTATTAAGTAAAAAATAGTTTATAATTTTATATTTTCTTTGAGATTTGATTTTTAAAAACTATATAACAATCTCCTTATTTCTAGTAATCCCTTTTGTCTCATCTTTTTTGATTGGTAATAATATAGCTACAACAGCCTGTCTTTTGTTAGTATTAGGAGAACTGTTTTACATCCATTGACTTTTAATTCTCAAAGTAAATTTCACCAGACAATATCAAACAGGAAAGGGTGATTTTATTCAAGGATTTGCAATGAGAGAGAGGCTAGAATTCAACCTAAAATCAACTCCCATGAATCAAAAACCAGGAGTGTTTTTAAGTGCTAGAGGGAGCTAGTGAAAAAGTATTCCAGGACATTAGGGAAGGTTGATCAATGGGATTGTGTCCAGAAGACTGAGTCATTCCTGAGTTTGTAAATGTTGTACTTGTGATTAGGCTATCTGGTTTTGCTAATTGGTGCTGATAGAAGGTAGACTCCTAACTACTCACAGAAACTTGGAGATAAGGGTTCTGTCTTTTTTGATGATTACATTTCAAAAAGATAGTTCCTAAGTCCTTGACGAAGACACTCTTGAGTAGTAAAATTGGCAAGAGGTTTTAAAATGATTTTAGTTTCAAAAGTGCAGAGAAAGAATTTAAAAGTACAAGTTTCTAAAGTAAATATTGGTCTGAATTTTAGTCAAGCTAAAGGGAACATTGAACTTTCTTGGTCACATTTCTGTGTTCATATGTTTTAAATGAGTTGTTTGTAAACAGTTATCGCATCAGTCTTCAAAAATAGTTTTTTGCATATAAATACTAGGTTGAAATTACTTTTCTTCAACACCTTGAAGAAAACTTTACAACATATTTTGGTTTCCATAATTGCTATTGAGAGATGAGCTCTTATTTTAATTGTCTCTTTATAAGCATTTTTGTTGGTGTTGCCTTCAGTTTCATTATTGTGGGTCTTGATATGAAATGAAATTATTTTTATTTATCCTGCCTGAGGGTTTGTTGCATTTTCTAAATACAATATTATTGTCGTTCATTAATTCTGGAAATTCTCTTCAAATATGGCCTCTTTCCAGTTTTTTTAAATCTTTTTGTTTTGTTTTGTTTGATTTTTTGTTGGCCTGCTTCTGGATCTCTTATTTCTAAAAGTTATCTTTGGTTCTCTTCAAGCCTGTCTATCAAATTTTAATAGGCCCTTGCTTCTTCATCATATTTTAGCTTCCTTTTTTGTTTCTTAAAATATACAGAATGTCACTCTATTTTACCATTCTGTATCTATTAACTTCATTTTCTGTAATTTTTGTGGATATAATTCTGCATGCATGTCTATTCATTCTTACTGTTTGTTTATCGCCATTTATACCTATATATAATGCATAATTATATATTTGTTGTTTACTTTGTATGTGTTTATATATGTATAAATTGTGAACTTGAATCCTTTGCAACTCTGTCTTTGGGAATATGTTGAGACCTGAGTTTAAATGAACTTTTTTCAGAGAGATTTTGCTTTGTTTCTGCCAGATGCCTAATGCCATTGATGACCCAGGAACACTCATACTAAATTTCTGACATGAGAATTTCCAGGATTTCCAAAGAGTTGAATATGAGGTATCACAAATGCTAAGAGTTTGGCTTGTGGTTAAGAATTCTCAAAGGAGAACTTTGCATATTTGTTTTTCTCTTCCATGCTTAAACATAACTATTCAGAAACATACTTTCACAATTATTTTATGAAGGAAGTTTTTGTTTGTTTATTTGTTTACCTACTGCATACACTGAGCATGTTGCTTCTTTGGGTTCCCAGATTTCCTGGGGTCTAAAATCTAAACTTCTCTTCAACCTGTTCAGACCCCCAGGCTTTATTGTTGCAATGTATGGCAGGAGCGAGTAACAGATACCCCTTGAGCAAATGTACAATTCAAATTAACCTACTCTTGTGAAGTCTGTTTTTCTTATTTTTGCCATGGAAGTAATTTTCTTATATTGCCTGTGTCACAGGCAAGCTTCTACAAATGAAACTAACATTGTAACCAGCATTTTCAATGATGCTATAATATGATGAATTTATTTGCCTCTAGACTTTAAGCTGGTTCCAACATATACCTAGTATATGTGAAGACATTCCAATGGGTATATGTACTTATTTAAGATTTTTGTATTCTATTTTCATAATTGAGATTTGCTACATTTTTCCTTTATTAATTTATTTTTGCCTGGTTTCAGTGTCAAGGAAAGTTACTTTATAAAATGATTTAAAATGTCTTCTCCCTTTCCCTTTGCTTTAAAATAGCTTTTAGAATAGAGATATTACCATTCCTTTGAAATTTAAGGTTTTTAGTACATAAAGACATATGTAGCATTGTCTAATGTGATAAAACCTGGGATGACTGTGTGTATATTTATCTGTATTCTCACCTTCCACTTTCTCAATCCTGGAAAAGCATGTAAAAAGGGAATATTCCAAGTAATTATTATTCATTTATGTGTTTTAAAATCCATGATTTTTTCCATTTAATTACAAGTTGTATGGCATTCTTAGGTTGCCATCAGCATTGTTGGCTAGTTTTGTAATTTTAACTTCCTCTTGGATTTTAAGGTTGGGCTGTATCCCCACCCATACCTCATCTTGAATTGTAGCTCTCAAAATTCCCATGTGTTGTGGGAAGGACCCAGTGTGAGGTAACTGAATCATGGGGGCAGGTCTTTCCTGTACTGTTCTCTTGATAATGAATAAGTCTCACAAGATCAGATAGTTTTATAAAGGGGAGTTTCCCTGCACAATCTCTCTTCTCTTGTCTGCTGCCATGTAAGACCTGCCTTTTGCCTTCCATCATGATTGTGAGGCCTCCCAAGCCACATGAAACTGTGAGTCCATTAAAAATTCTTTTTCCTTATAAATTACCCAGTCTTATGCTTGTCTTTATCTGCAGCATTAAAATGGACTGATACAGGAAATTGGTACTGGAAGAGGGGGTCACTGCTGAAAAGATACCTGAAAATGTGAAAGTGACTTTGGAACTGGGTAACAGACAGAGGTTGGAACAGTATGGAGGGCTCAGAAGAAGACAGGAACATGTGGGAAAGTTTGGAACTCTCAATAGATTTATCAAATGGTTTGACGAAAATGCTGATCATGATATGGACAATGAAATCCAGGCTGAGATGATCTCAGATAGAGATGAGGAAATCATTGGGAACTAGCATAAAGGTGACTCCTGTTATGTTTTAGCAATGAGATTGGAAGCATTTTGCCCCTGTCCTAGAGATTTCTGGATCTTTGAACTTCAGAGAGATGATTACGGTATCTGGCAGAAGAAATTTCTAAGCAGCGAAGCATTCAAGAGGTGACTTTGGTGCCATTAAAGGCACACAGCATAAAAGTTTGGAAAAATTGCAACTTGACAATGCAGTAGAAAAGGAAATTCCGTTTTCTGAGGAGAAATTCAAGCTTGCTGTAGAAATTTGCATAAGTAATGAGGAGCCAAATGTTAATCCTGAAGACAATGGGAAAATGTTTCCAGGGCATGTCAGAGATCTTTGCGACAGCCCCTCTCAACACAAGCCCAGTGGCCAAGGAGGAAAAAATGGTTTCATGGGCCAGGCCCAGGGTGACTCTGCTGTGTGCAGTCTAGAAACTTGGTGCCCTACATCTCAGTGCTCCAGCCACGTCTAAAAGGGGCCAAGGTACAGCTTGGGCTGTTGCTTCAGAGGGTGCAAGCCCAAAGCCTTGGCAGTTTCCATGTGGTATTGAGCCTGTGAGTGCACAGAAGTCAAGAATTCAGATTTGGGAACCTTTCCCTAGATTTCAGGGGGTGTATGGAAATGCCTGGATGGCCAGGCAGAAATTTGCTGCTGGGGTGGCTGCTCATGGAGAATATCTGCCAGGGTAGTGCAGAAGGGAAATGTGAAGTGGGCATCCCCACACTGAGTTCCCACTGGGGTGTTGCCTAGTGGAGCTTTGAGAAGAGGTCCACCATCCTCCAGACCCCAGAATGGTAGATCCACTGACAGCTTACACCCTGTGCCTAGAAAAACCGCAGACAATGCCAGCCTGTGAAAGTAGCCAGGAGGGAGACTGTATCCCGCAAAGCGACAGGGGTAGAGCTGCCTAAGACCATGGGAACCCACCATTTGCATCAGAGTGACCTGGATTTGAGACATGGAGTCAAAGGAGATCATTTTGGAGCTTTAAGATTTGACTGCCTCACTGGATTTCAGAATTGCATAGGGACTTCAGCCCCTTCATTTTGACCAATTTCTCACATTTGGAATGGATGTATTTATCCAATGCCTGTATCCCCATTTTATCTTGGAAGTAGCTAACTTGCTTTTGATTTTACTGACACATAGGCAGAAGGGACTTGCCTAGTCTCGGATGAGACTTTGGACTGTGGACTTTTGAGTAAAAGTGGAAATGAGTTAAGACTTTGGGGGACTTTTGGGAAGGCATGATTGGTTTTGAAATGTTGGGACATGAGATTTGGGAGGAGCCAGGGGTGGAATGATATGATTTGCCTGTGTCCCCACACAAATCTCTTCTTAAAGTGTAGCTCCCACAATTCCCATGTGTTGTGAGAGGGACCCGGTAGGAGTTAATTTAATCACAGGGGTGGGTGGGTCTTTCCCATGCTATTCTCATGATAGTGAACAAGTCTCCTGAAACCTGATGGTTTTCTAAAGGGAGGTTTCCCTACACAAACTCTCTCTCTTCCCGTGTCTTCTGCCATGTAAGATGTGCCTTTTGCCTTCCACCATGATTGTGAGACCTCCCCAGTGACGTGAAACTGTGAGTTCATTAAACCTCTTTTTCCTTATGAATTACCTAGTCTTAGGCATGTCTTTATCTGCAGTGTGGAAACAAACTAATACTTGGATCATTTTTCTTTTTAAAAAACTAGAAAACAATAATGATGGCCACCTAAGTATGCCATAAGCCATACAATTGATCATTAAACAGAAAAAAAATGTGGATTTGATTAAATGCAAATATGTTATTTTTTCTTTTTACAATCAACAGTTATTTGCATGTAATGATTTGTATTTAAAATGCAGATGTATTAACTGGAACTAAGTATAGTTTTTCCCATGACTTCTATTTACATTCACTTTTTATTTTGTCATAGTACAATTTCAAAAAATTATTTTAGAAAAGTTCATGGATGGTTAATTGGCTCAGTCTTTAGATATCTGAAAATATATTAGTTCTTTAGTTTACTTTAATGATTGTTTGGCCAGGTTTAGGATACTATGTGCAAATTCTTTTCTCCTAGCTCTGTGAAGTTCACTTAAGTGGTGAAAGCATGAGCCCTGGACCAGCTGGCTGGCTGATTTGATCTCAGCCTTGCCAATTTCTAGAGGTGGGGTCTTGGGCTACTCATTTAACATCTCTTGGCCTCACTTTCTTTATTTCTAATATGGGACTATTCATTGTTTCTCAGTTTAGTTGTGAGCAGTGAACACATTTATTCAAGTTCATGTGTGTAGATTCATCATTTAGCTTATTATGTACTGTTGAACACTATAAACTCGGGCTAGTAACTAGCTTCTGTTTGTTCTTTGGAATACTTTGTAAGTAATAGAACCAGAATATAAGACAAATAATCCAAATCGATGCAAACTAAAGGTACAATCTTTACAGTTAAGTTGTAAAAGGAAAAAATGCATTTATCTCACTGCCCAGTAACAATAAAATATAAGATTTTATATCATATGATACTGTATGATACCACATAATGATTTCATTGAGTACTGTACAATATTCTCTATTGCACTTTTCCTGGATTTCCTATCTATAACATTTAAATTAGAAAGACTTATCAACTATACATGAGTAGTGAAATGCACCCCACCCTTTGGCTTTTGGTAATTACCCTGAGATTGAATGGATTATCAATATACTATTAGGTACTCTGCATATCAGTGCTTCCCCTAACCAGTTTACAGTTGGATTATGATTCCAATTTAAAGAAATTCCCTGAAGATCAGCATTCTTTCAAGGTCTGCTGCTTTTACCATTAGACTTCAACTAACATGAATAAGGTGGCCTTATCTCTTTAAGACTTATTTTTCTAGCTGGATAGCCAATATTCTGAGTAGTAAGAAAATATATAATCTAGTTTATTTCAGCAACTTTTAATATAGAAGGATCATGAAACGAAATGAGTTATGACTTCAAAGTACATGGAGGAATAAACCCAGAGGCTTCAAGGTACACTGGTGTTGGGTAAATTAAATCACTAAAAAAAATTACTCTGTCAATTCAATTTACCTTGCACATTATGTACAGATGGCTTTCCAGTTTTACTAATGAGAAGAAATTTTAGATAATATCTAAAAATATACCCCAAATTATTTGACATTTGCTATATGTTAAGAAATACAGTTAAAATAGTAAACAATTTGAATGATTGAATATGTTACCTGTGCTAGTATTCATTTCCTGTCATTTATGCATGGGAAGGGAGAAAAGGAAAGGTCTATTTGTTTAGCCCTTAAGTGCATTCATTTCCATACAAAGTAGATATCCCAAATGGGGACTCCTTATTTCCAGACTATATTCTGTATGAATTTGGCACACACAGAATCATTGCATTAAACAGCTAATGTCTTTGATATAATCAGTTGCAGTCAGTTTTAAATCCTTAAAATATTTTAAAACAAAAGTAACTTGTGGGGGTGGGGGGGAAATGATTCATCATCTCAATCTTTCCGGAGGCAATAAATCAGTGTAGTTGGCAGACCAATTTTCTAATGTGAGTTTGGCAAAATATTTAAACAAATATGATGTAGAACATGTAAGGGATTATCTCTAAAAGGCCATTTCCCACATTTCTTAAATACTCTGAGACAGAGTAATCTTAATTAATCTTACCTCTCCTGAGCCACTCATGATAGGCCATATGTTGTTATTTATTATATATGTTATGCTTTACCTATTACTAGTTGATAAACTGGCCTTTCACAATTAAAATGGTGCTTTGTAATTTACCTCTGGAGGTTCAGGCATAACACTACATCTGTCTCTTCCCTCTAAAATAAGGTTCTTTATCTTTCACACTGGTGTGTGAATTTCTGTGAATTTTGGGACTCCTTTTGTGTGAAGATGTTTGTCCTACATAGTTGTATGTGAAAGGCTGCACAACACTCAGGGTGTAAATCTTTATTTTTCTGGAGTAAATTAAAATGGAACAGGCTCTCACTAGCCAGATTAGTGGGAAGTCCAGCATATTGTTTATCCTCCTGCCACTACTTCTTTCCTGCGGATGATCTGAGAACCTCAAGACATGCAGGAATTGAGCTCTAAAGCAAAAGTCCATTATTCTCCCTCTCAAGAAGGAAAGATCTCTATAATCTATCATCTGGCTAAAATTGTTATTTCTCTTGCAACATTTGGATGCCAGTGTTGAACTCTAAATCCTCCACCATCTGTAGGAACCCCACAGGTTTCCACTGCAGTCAAGTCTCACTGGCCAAATTTGCAGCAAATGTGCGCTTCCTAGGCTATTTGTATCCTTTTCTAGTTCCAGACAACTTACTGCCTTTAACTCTTCACTTTAAAGAGCTGTTACTTCTTTTTCTGGAAAATAGTTCTTGATTATTCCCTAATAATGTTTCCATTTTGAAACACAATTGGCTAACTTCTTCTTTTCTACAGGAATATTGTTTACTCCCTGTTGATAATTTTCCTCATAAAAGAGGCTAAAATAGACACCACTCACTTTTCACTGCTTACACCAGAAAATAAACAACCCCTCCAGACCCAAACATAAGCATATGTATTGATAGGGTGTGCTAATGTAGGTAACAGATGCAGTGGAGAAATTTTGCATTTTAAGATAAAACAACCTGATTAAATGAAGTAATCAAACTTTTTTTAAAGACTTGAAAAGTGGGTATACAGAAACCTTTTTAGATGTATAATACTCTGATGGAAAGAGTCACAGTTAAGACGCTTTATTTAACTATCTTTCAGCAAAAAGATTTGAAGTCTGTAAAATATTTCAAGAGATTTATTCTAAGCCAAATACAAGTGACCAAGGACCTGTGACACAGCCCCAGGAGAGCCTGAGAATATGTGCCCAAGGTGGTCGGTCTACAACTCGGTTGTATACATTTTAGGGAGACATCATTCAACACATGTAATATATTCATTGGTTTGGTCCTGAAAGGTGAGACAACTGGAAGTCAGGGCTTCCAGGTCCATAGACAGATTTAAAGATTTTCTGATTGGCAATTGGTTGAAAAAGTTTATCTTAAGACCTGGAATCCATAGAAGGGAGTGTCTAGGTTAAGATAAGGGGTTGTAGAGACCAAGATTCTTATGTGGATGAAGCCTCCAGGTAGCAGGCTTTAGAGAGGAAAGATTGTTAATGTTTCTTATCAGACTTATATAGGTGCCAGAATCTCTCCTGGATCAGGGAAAAAGATGTGGGAAGGGACAAGGATTCTCTACAAAATGCAGATTTTTCCCCACAATATACAGCTTTACAGGGCCATTTCAAAATACATCAGAGAAATACATTTTTGGGGAAAATACTTCAGTTTCTTTCAGGGCCTGCTATTTGTCAAGTGATGCTATACTAGAGACAGGCTCAAATTTGGTGTTTTATTGCTACAAAAAGTCTTAAGATCTGTGCTTTAATGTTAATACTGGTAACTTGTGCCCAAATTCCAACAGGAGGAGGACACAGTGAGGCATGGCCAACCCCTACTGCCATCATGGCCTGAACTAGTTTTTCAAGTTAACTTTGGAATGCCAGTGACCAAGAGGAGGGGTCTGCTCAGTCCACTGGGGATGTCTTAGAATTTTATTTTTCGTTTACATGTTCAAAAGTTAATGGCTCACCTGAAAAGTATTCTTATTTTCTAATATAACTATGATGGGCAAAACACAGAGAATTTTCAATGCTATTAGTTCATTCTCTAATTACTAGGAGCTCTGTTCCTATTTGTTAAGTTAGCTACTTTTCTTAACTTTGATTATGACCATTTATTATTATTGTAAATATAACTTAATTGTAATTTATATAAACCTATTAAATATGTGTGTAAAAAGAAAAAACACTGTTAGTATGAAAGTAAATGTAATGCTTTGAAAAGGCTTTAAGGACATAAGTCACTTAAAATATATAATAAAATTGAAACTACCTGTTGAATTAGCTATGTCAAAGTATAAATTTTACAAACATTCACAAAATGACTTTTATAAAAATATAAAATGAACAAAAGTCACAATGTTATTTAACTCATTAATAAAGGACACTGGTAAGTTTATAACACAATTTCCAAAAGCATTAACAATATTATGGATATATAAAAAACAAAGCAAGCTCATTTAAATTGGTAGGTTAGTTATAAAACTTAGCCAATATCTTAAAGAGCATCAAAACTGTAACTTTTTGTCAAAACACTTTAGATTAATATATATCTTTACCATATCTAGATTCTGAGATGGAGCAGGGACCTATCTTAGGGGCCTGTGGGCCCCTGCCAAGTGTGGAAATAAAGGAAAATCTTGAGTTCCTTCATGGGAAATTCCAGGCACCTAGCTAGACCTGAGAAATAAGTAAGTAGCTTGATGAGCAGTCAGGTTAATAGTGGCTTAAAACAATTGTCAAAGAAGCTAGAACTTTGGGATGTTTGTTTCCCCTGTAGAAACTAACAATAGCATCTTATCATAGGTCTCTGAGTCGGTTTTCAGAAACCTGGACCCCCACCAGAGGGATCCTCTGACACCTAGACCTAAGATAAAGGAGAACTAAGGGTTGGACTTTGATCACCATTGTTTGTTCTAAATTTCTTCCTGAGGGACCTGGAGGAAGTTGCACCCCACAAACCACACCTGCTTCAGGATATCCTACCCTTTTAGATTAAAACCAATGTACCTACAAGACACGGGAAAGGTCAGAATGTTAAGGGTTAGCTGCCTGAGCCTCTTTACTTAGTGCCCTGCAAACAAACGCCTCCTCTCTTTCTTCCACTGCAAACCTCAGTGTGGATATCTGGTCTTACTATGTGGTGCAAGTGGACCCAGTACAGTTCAACAAAAATTCAAATCAAATAACGAACAGAAAAGTCAATGTATATTCTCCTAAAAATTAAATACTACTTGGGTAGGACCCATTAAATAGTGTCTCAGTATGAAATTTGAAGAACATGCTACTTCCCACTGATTTTTAAATCTAAATACATTTTCTTAACAAATGCCGGAGAGGTAAGTTTAAATTTGGTGGGGGGATAATATAATAAAACTATAGATGAAATATACAATCAGAATGCTTTGCACCAATTCTTTAAAATCTGGCTTCATTTTAAGAAAACTCAAACTCAAAATTTTAACCTGTGGTTTATACAAGAAAAATATTGCTGAACTCCTTTAAAAGAATGCATACTCGAATGAGAAATCTCAATCTGTACCACAAGACTAGCAAATATATATTTCAAATATTATAATTTAAATTATATTTTTAAATAAATATGCATTAATTTTATGATCATTCATTGGTAGCTAATAACATCTTTGTCCAAACACAGAAAGATAAGTGACCTCCACTCTATTATGACAGTGAACAATTGTAAAATCTAAAATGTGTGACAAATTTTACTTTCTCTTTACTTTTTAATTATCTTGCCTGTTTAATAGTTATGTGGCATTGGAAAGAAAACAAGAGTTTTGACCTAGCCATCAATTAGCTGTGTAGATTTTAAAAAGTTATTTAATTTGAGCAGGTTTCTGAGGTCACTGCTAGATTAAAGGTTCTGTAATCTTGTATTTCTAGGCTCTCTAGCATGTGTGAAGGTAGTGAAGAGGGCCTTTAAATAAGATTTAACATAGTGTATTCAAAAGTGCTAGGTTTTGCAGCAAAATAAATCAGAATTTGCATTTCACTTCTAATACTTTGTAGTTATTGACTTGGTTCCAACATTCAGCTCTTCTAAGCCTCAATTTCCCTCTCTTTAAAATTGAGGTAATAATAATTATATGCCAATGTGTTTTGAAGATTATAAAAATGCATCCTGAATAAATGCTAACTTTGGCAATTACTATTTAAATACTTCAATAACATTATTAACGAATAAAATAAGTGACTAAATGATCATTATTAAGGAACTCTGTCAAATCTGAGAACAGGTACAGCCTACATACTATAAATATATTTCAACCTGCATTTTTGAGATATATTGAGCATCAGTCAGACACTTACAGATCCAGGACAAAGACTTCTTGGGGGCACTAAATATCACTCATTCTTGATGACTCAAGGATGTTAATCTAGAAATTTTCCTTTATGCACATATAATTTTCCCCCACTCTAATGGATTATTCTTGTGGTATTATATAAGATACATTACAGAATAGAGAAATGGATAACAAATATAATCTTCATATGGATTTTAAGTGGATCAGATTAATGAATTCTGACAATAGTGGAGGGTTAAATTGACAGAACATGAAGATTGATTAGATATGAACAATGGGATTGTGAGAGTGATGATGGTCAACTGAATTATGAAATAATAGTCTGAATTCTTCAAAGCATGATCATAAGTATAAGACCTCCTACAGTGAAAAGCATTATCCCCAAGGTATTGTTCTATTTTCTAAAGTATTTCAGAACAATATTCTTCAATCATGTTAAAGGATTTTGTTCAAATGAGTCTACCTCTACCTACAAAATGTTTTCATTACTCACTATTCAAAAACACAAATTATATTAAGAACCTGGATTTATTTCTATGTCCCACTGTGTATTAGTCCACTTGCGCACTTCCCAAGACTGGGTAATTTATAAAGGAAAGAGACTTAATTGACTCGGAGTTCAACATGGATAGGGAGGCCTCAGGAAACTTACAAACAGGGCAGAAGGTGAAGGAGAAGCAAGGATCTTCTTCACATGGTGACAGGAGAGAGGAGAGCGAGGAGCGAAGGGGGAAGAGCCCCTTACAAAACCATCAGATCTCGTGAGAACTCACTCATTATCACGAGAACAGCATGAGGGAAACTGTCACATGATCTAATTAACTCCACCTGGTCTCTTAACCCGTGGGCATTATGGGGATTATAATTCAAGATGAGATTTGGGTGAGAACACAAAACCTAACCATATCACACTGCTTATAAAAATTATCTCTAATATTTATGTAATAAGTGGTTAAACTGTTTGAATGCTATAAGTGACACATTCATCTTTTAGTAAAACAAGATTATTTTTGCTGTAATATTCATCCATTGATATGTGTTTTGTCTTCCAAAGTATATCTATTATCCTGACAATATGAAAGTCCTTGATATGGTTTATGATAGGTAAAATCTCAACACTGTATAAGTTGCTTTCATTTGAAACACATCAGTCTTCTTTTTGGGTGTGTTGATATATGATTACATTTAATTTAGAAATTAAAGCTAAAAGAAGCATTAGTAGTCAATTAAACTAGCTCGTTTCCTGAGAAATGAATACACTGAAATCCAGAGATGTAAAACCACAAATCATTCACTCTTCCAAGCCAGAAGTCAAAAAAAAACCCTCCTTCCTCTCTTTTTAATGTTTACAGTTACCCGTTCTTGCCATGTGTGAGGGAATTTTTAAAAGCTATGGTTGATAAATATATAAAATAGACAGAAAATACACCCTCAAAAATCCCTTCAGGAATTCAGTGGACACTTCTGGCTTATAGGAAACTGTAATTCCTAGGGCTTTTTCACATGGTTATGTCAGATTAATTCTAACTTGAAAATTTGATTTTTACAACCTGAAAGTAGGTCTTTATACTTATTCATCTTAAATTTCAGCTTTTAGTATTTAATCATCATTTTAGCTTGCTTATGTCTGTTTGAATTCTGATTCTGTTTTCTATCATAATTTATTACTCATTTTCTAAAATTAGATCAATATATCTAATGTTTTAATCAAACCTAAGATCAAAGATTTAAGAATTCTTGAAGAATACCACTAAAACCAAAGGTTTCAATAACTAAGGGAATAAAATGGATTGCATATTCAAACAGCACTCAAACAAAACAATGCTTTGGCAAGAAATTGTATTTAAATCAAGCAAGTCCTATTAATAACTTCTCTATTAAATCTACCTGTAAAACTTTTGGAATAATAGAAACTCACATCAATGTAAGTCAAAACACATGCCAGGTATAATTAATAATAGTAGAAAATGATAAAGTGTTTAGAGAAACAGTTATATAAACAGTGACCTACAGACTTATATAGCAGATTATAACATTTAAACGGAGAATACAGCAAAATTGTAATTCTAGAAGTGATAGTTAAAAACATCAGCACACGTTTTTTACTATTATAGAGCCGTATGTTTAGGCCCTCACAGAGGTATATCAAGCTTTATATTTCTTGTTCATCAATGGAAATTGGCCTTTGTTGGGGAGACACAGTGGAGCGTATCTAATATTCAAATCAACTCTATTTTTTTAAAATCTGATATATAAACTTCCATTTCAGTACTCTATTTTAACATATAAAGTATAATTTCAACTTTATGTAAATTTATATTGTTGTTATATTTGGAAATTCCTTGTATCTTTCCTATATGCCTTTTCTCCCAACCACTAACTTTATTTAGCCTTGCCTTGTTATATATAATAAAAAATTATAATAGCAGAATATTTCAGTATATTAGATAACATTTTGCTGAAGAAGTCCATTAATATAGATAGATGAAATATTTGTCTTTGTTCAGAAGCAATAATTTTATTATGACATTATGTTTTCTTTTCTTGGAAGTAGAAATGTTCCTGTTTTGTTTCTTTATGTCTGGATTTTCTCCTAAATGTATAAGGCACTGAAATAATATAACGCATTAAAATATTTCAATAAAATAAAAAGTAATTGTAAAACCTAAATCAAACATTGCATTCTTGTGTTTGAAAGCAAATGTTGGTGTCCTCCATAGTGTAATGGATATTAAGTAGTGTTGGGAGATAAATCGCTGTCTATGAAAATGCAGCTTGTAAATATGCAGGTATCTACCTCCCAGAGGACAAACGACTATTTATGCCAGGCAAGTGCTGGATTAATTTTATTGCTTATGCATCTCCTGGGAGGTAACTGGCAAACTACCACATTTTTTAAAAATTACATTTAAGTTTCCTCTGATCCATAGTCTTTCTTGTTTATAGACTTTTTTGTTTTGTTTTTTCCAGACTGTTGAATTTAAGAGCAAAATAATTAGAATCTGATATATTGAATATCAATTTTTATTTTTCCTTTAGGGCAAGAACTGAACACTAAATTTCTCTTTCTCTTAATAAGAACTTGTTGTAAACAGTGTTCAAATACATCTTGTACATTTCAGATTCCTATCACTTTTCACCTTGACTATTGCAATATCCCTAGATGATATCCTAACCGATTTCATAACATAGACAGAAAGCTTAATACATAATGAAGTGCTTACTATGACATGTTTCTGTTAAATGCCTTCCTTGGATTTCTGTATGTAATTCAAGCTCTATCTCTTGGCCTTGTGCCTCAATCATACTAGTCTTATATTTTTCTACTGCTCATCTAAAAACTTACACTATAATAATAGGATACCAGATGTAGTCATACAATTACACGTGTACACAAACACACACACCACAAGGCATAAATACACGTGTCCACGTTGAAGGTTTATTTTTGAGAAGATTCTATTTATATAGGAAGCTTATCTCAATGTCATGTTACCTTTGACTTATAATTTATATTTAGTAGCAGACCGAAAAAACTTTACTATTCTATATCAAGATTGGTTAATAAAAATAGATTGAGCAAATTGAAAGATGAAAGCTACTCATGTTGTCATGTCAGTAGGACATGATATAAAAAGTACCAGAAGTTGTGACATTTAATTTAAAACTCCAGGTTTGGTTGCATGCATTTTTGTTCATCAAAGGTCTCTTTGCCGTGATACCTTTCAGAATGTGGAAGTGAAAATATAAAGGGTTTTGCCTCCATTTGTAACATTTATATCCATTTTTTCTCAATATGTTACTTTACTTTTGAAACTAAATTTTCTAATCTGTAGAGTGACTTATACTAATATATGACCTTTTAGGTTATGAATATAAGTGATGCTTAATATAAAGAATCCTATACAGTTCTTGACAAATAATATGTAATAAATATTAGACATAATTATTCATCAAAGCTTAAGGTATCTATTTTATTAATGACAGAATTCAGAAGATTAAAATAGAACATAGAGAAGTTTCCTTGAATAATTATAATTTATGTTGGATAAATTATTTCTGAAAATAAGTTAACAACTAGAGAAAGTGACAAGTCGTGAAAGAAAAGAATGTGTGATAAAAACATTATTATTTTTTGCCTTGCACTGGGTTGAAATCTTGTTCCCACTTTGTTTCTTGCTATTATAAGTTAAAATTTTAAAATATACAGTATAGACTTGATGAAAATATGTTGAATCATCCCTGATAATGCTTTCAGATGAATCTAGAAAAAACATCATTGATTTATATGGGACTAAGACACTAACACTGTTCAAAAAGGGAACCCAGTAGTGTGGTATGATAAAATATACATTTATGTTAAAAAAAAAAAAGGATAGGAACTCACGTCCAAAGCTCTTTTTTCTAGTTTAGAAAAGATATTGCACAATTATTTAGAACTTTAGGTAATAAATCTTTAATATCAGTTTAATAAATTTAAATAAGATAACCAATTTGAAATAAGAGTTATATATTGTACTTCAGATGACATAATTTATGAATTCTGAATTCAGGGCACCTTAAAAATATTTTGTATAAATAACCTTTCTGGGGTTGTTTTCTCAGAACAGAAATGTACATTTTCTCACTCTTTCCCATGCTGGATAGGATAGGAGGGTTGATAGATTGAGGGATGTTATCAATTTAATACTAATTCACAAGAAGATTTATTTCTGAGATTTGGTTTATATGTTTTTAACTTTCTGAAACTTTTCTTGTCTTTCTTTTTTTTGCAGTGGATGGGTAGATGGGATTCAGGGAAGATCTTGCTAACTTCAGTATCAAGTTCATGAAACAAATTCTCCAGAAAAATATTCTGTGAATCTTGAGATTAGGCAACTAAGTTTTTTGTCTCTGCTCACAAAGCATAGTGTGTGTTAGTCCTTGCATTAGTCCATTCTCGAAGAAATACCTGAGACTGGGTAATTTATAAAGAAAAGAGGTTTAATTGGCTTACACCTCCACAGGCTGTACAGGAAGCATGATGATGGCATCTGCTTGGCTTCCAGGGAGGCCTCAGGAAATGTAGAGTCATGGTGTAAGACAAAGGGGGAGTACACCTCATATGGCCAGAGTAGGAGGAAGAAAAGTGGGAGAGGTGCTACCTACTTTTAAACAACCGCATCTCATGAGAACTCTATCATGAAAATAGCACTAGGGGATTGGCGCTAAACCATTGGAAACTACCCCCATGATCAAATCACCTCCCACCAGGCCCCATCTACAGCACTGAGGATTACATTTCAATGTGATAGTTAGGTGGGGACACAGATCCAAAACATATCATTCCACCCTGGTCCTCCCAAATCTCATGTCCTTCTCACATTATCAAAATACAATCATGCCTTCCCAATAGCCCCAATGTCTTAACTCATTCCAGCTTTAACTAAGAGTAAATAGTCCGAAGTCTGACTTGAGTAAAGGCTAGTCCTGTCTGCCTATGAGCAGATAAAATGAAAACAAGTTGGTTACTTCCAAGATGCAATGGGGATACATGCACTGGGTAAATACTGCCATTCCAAAAGGGAGAAATCAGCCAAAAGAAAGGGGCTATAGGCCCCGTTCAAGTCATAAACCCAGCAGGGCAGTCATTAAATCTCAAGGCTCTAAATAATCTCCTCGACTCTATGTCTCACATCCAGGGCACACTGATGCAAGGAGTGTGCTCCTGATGCCTTGGGCAGTCCCACTCCTGTGACTTTGCAGGGTTTGGTCCCCATGGCTGCTCTCAAGTCTGGCGTTGAATGCCTGAGGCTTTTCCAGGTGCATGGTGCAGGTTGTCAATGTCTGTACCATTCTGGGGTCTGGAAGATGGTGGCCCTCTTCTCACAGCTCCACTAGGCAGTGCCCAAGGTGGGACTCTGTGTGGGGTCTCCCACCCTACATTTCCCCTCTGCACTGCTGTAGTTTAGTAGAGATTCTCCATGAGGGCTTTGCTCCTGCATCAGGCTTCTGCCTAAATGTTCAGGCTTTTCCATATGTTCTCTGAAATCGAGGTGGAAGCAACCAAGCCTCAATTCTTGCACTCTGTGCACCTGCAGGCTCAACAACACATGAAAACCACCAAGTCTATGGCTTGTATCCTCTGAAGCAGTGGCCCCAGCTGTATCTGGAGCCCTTTTAGCCGTGGCTGAAGCTGGAATGGCTGGGACACAAGGAGCAGTGTCCTGAGACTGTGCAGGGTGGCAGGGCACTGGGCCTGGCCCACTAAACCATTCTTTCTTCCCTCCTAGGCCTCTGGGCCTGTGATGGGAGGGGCTTCCACCAGGGACTCTGAAATGCTTTCAAAGCCTTTTCCCCACTGTCTCTGCTATTAGAATTTGCCATCCTTTTAGTTATGTAAATTACTGCAGCCTGCTTGAATTACTCCCCTGCAAATGTGTTTTTCTTTTCTACCACATGGCCAGGCAGCACATTTTTCAAACTTTTACACTATGGTAACCTTTTAAATATGTTCTAGTTTTAGGTCACCTCTTTGCTCATGAATATAAGCTTTGGCTGCTAGAAGCAACAAGGGCATATCTTGAACGTTTTGATGCTTAGAAACTTCTACCAGATACTCTAAATCATCTCTCAAGTTTAAAGTTCCACGGAGCCCTATTGCAGTGGCACAATGTAGACAATTGCTTTTCCAAGAAATGAAACTGACCTTTGCTCTAGTTTCCAATAAGTTTTTCATTTCCATCTGAGACCTCATTAGCCTGGCCTTTACTATCCATATCACTACAAGCATTTTGGTCACAACCATTCAACAAGTCTCTAAGATGTTCCAGATTTTCCCTCATCTTCCTGTATTCTTCTGATCCTTCCATACTCTTCCAATCTCTGCCTGTTACCCATTTCCAAAGCTGTTTCCACATTTTCAGGTATCTTAATAGCAATGCCCCACTTCTAGGTCCCAATTTTCTGTATTAGTTTGTTCTCGCCCTGCTATAAAGAAATACCTGAGACTGGGAAACTGTATTAGTCCATTCTCACATTGCTATAAAGAACTACCTGAGATTGGGTAATTTACGAAGAAAAGAGGTTTAATTAATTCACAGTTTTCAGGCTGCACGGGAAGCATGAAGGCTGAGGAGGTCTCAGGAGACTTACAATCATGGTGGAAGGTAGAGGGGAAGCAGGCGCATCTTACATGGCTGGAAAATAAGGAGGAGGGCAAAGGGGAAGGTGCCACACAGTTTTAAACAACCAGGTCTTGTGAGAACTCACTTGCTATCATGAGAATATCAAGGGGAAAATCCACCGTTGTGATCCAATCACCTCCTGCCAGCCCCGTCCTCCAACACTGGGGATTAGAATTCAACATGAGATTTGGGTGAGGAAATAAATCCAAACCATATCAGTAATTTAAAAATAAAATAGTTTTAATTGGCTCATGGTTCCTCAGGTTGTACAGGAAACATGACGCTGGCGTCTGCTCAGTTTCTGGGGAGGCATCAGGAAATGTACAATCATGGCAGAAGGCAAAGGGAGAGTACACCTCCCATGGCCAGTGCAGGAGGAAGAGAGAGTTGGGGAGGTGCTACACATTTTTAAGCAAGCAGGTCTCCTGTGAACTCCATCATGAGAACTGCACTACAGGGATGGTGCTAAACCATTAGAAACCACCCTCATGATCCAATCACCTACCACCAGGTCTCACCTACAGCACTGGGGGTTACATTTCAACATGAGTTTTGGGTGGGGACACAGATTCAAACCATATCAGTGTTCTGCTGTAGATTCTTCAAAAGCAGGAAACATACCACATTTATATGAAATTCTAGGTCATAGGAAAATACCTCATATGTAATATGAATTAAAATATAATTCTATGTTTATAATTGTGCATTTAAAATATTTAATATTTTTAAATTGACTAGGAAAGGACCAAATGTTTTCAATCACACTAAATAAAAAAGGTAGACACCTTGTTTAATCCCTCACAAAAAACAATTCCAAATGTCTTCTCTCAGCTACTGCAGGTAAATTCTGCTTTTATCACACAGTATTTTGTAGTTATAGACCCTCCCCTCCCCTCTCTTATCAGGTGCTGTTCATGTTCCTCTAGGTTATGTTGGTCAAATGAGAAGAAGGAGAGACACCTGAGCGGGGTACTTATTGCCCACTAGGGCAGAAGATTCTGCATTAACTTCAAACAAAGAGGCAGGATGATGGCTCTTAACTTTGATAAGTGGATCACTTGTACAGTCTTAGAGAGTTTGAGGGAATCTGAGAATTTGTGATTTTCAGGGGCATTAACCTGAATTGTCCTTATCATAATCTCATTCTTTCCCAAGATGGAACCTGGCCATGGCATAACAGACTTGCCTTGCTTGATAATTTATTTTTTGTTTTTTGGCTAATCTGGAATTATGTCCTGGGCCATTTACTCAGCTTCTTCTACCCTCTCTCTTCAGTAGATGGGACTAAAGAGGTCCTCTGACTTTCAAATCTGTTTTCAGTTCATGACTAGTTTTCTCAGTTTTTGGAACCCTGTTCTAATAGGTACCCAGTTCCATCATTCTTGGAGTTACTTCTCCTTCTCCTATATTTATCAAACACATGGACTATTATACTAATTAATACATTAATTTTCACTAGTATGTCCTTTAACGTACCACTGAACAATTGAATCAACACTTTTTTAGGATTTATCAGTACTTATGACCAGTGATAGTGTTTTTACTGCCACCCAGGCAGTATGTGATTCAGCAACCAGCTTTGCACAAATTTCTCTGACTGCCTGCTTCCCCATGAAGCGGCTTCTAAGGTATAGTTTACTGTACATTTTATTAATTAAGGAGTGTTCTGGTGATTAACACCTGTGGAAAGAAGGAGAGAAAAGCAGGATAGGCAGAGAAAGATGCTGAGCTTCAATAAAGACCCAAGGACAGCTTTGAAACAGAGACTTCAAACTAGGATGGTCTTAGAAAAGGTGAATACAAAACAAATATTAAGATGATAACTATATTGTCTAAAATATATACGTGTGTGTGTGTGTGTCAGTAATTTTACTACTTGTGAAGAGAGTAATATACCAAATAAAATTCAAGATTGATAAGCTGGATTAAAAAATACAACTACATAGGTCCTAAAACAGACCCATTTAAATATAAATAGAAATTAAAATGTTAGCAATCGGAAAAACTATATGACAAAAACTAGTAAGTAAAATAGATAATTTTTCCAATTAGATTTTAAGGAAAGAAACATCAGAAAAAAAAAACAGGAATTTTAAAATATAATTTTAAAATACCAGGTTACTGGGAAGATATAAAATTCATCAATTATTAACTATCACATACAAGCTTGAAAATACAGAAAGCAAAAATTGACAGAACAAAAAAGAGTAATAGACAAAGCACATCATAGAAGTAGACTTTTAAACTTTACTTAGAAGAATTTAAACCTTTAAGCCTAAGAAGAATTTATATCTTTCACACAGTAACCAATGGAAGATGGAAAAAATAAAAGAAATAAAAAGAGAATAATGTTTCCAACTCTCTTTATTAAGTAACTAAAACTTTGATATCTGAGCATGAAATATACATTAAAAGAAAGGAAAACTTTAGACCCATATTTTTCAAAAATATACAAAAATTTCAAACAAAATATTAGCAAATCAAATCTAATATGGTATAGCATGACCAAGTTGGCTTAATTGCAAGTAAGTAAATTTGCTTTAACATTTCCAAAGTCAATGTAATTTATCATATTAATAAATCAAGAAATAGTGTGATTATACTGATAAATAATATAAAAGAATTAAATAGAATTCAAATATATGTGTGACAAAATGAAACAAAACTAATACCCAATTAGAGATATAAGTGAAATTTTTTAAGCTTATAAAATTATCTTTAGGCCAGGCCCAGTGGCTCACACCTGTAATCCTAACAATTTGGGAGGCCAAGGCAGGCAGATCACTTGAGCCCAGGAGTTGGACACAAGTCTGGGCAACATGGCGAAACCTTACCTCTGCCAAAAAATACAGAAATTAGCTAGGCATGATGGTGAAGTCCTGCCTACTCTGGAGGCTGAGGTGGGAGGATCACTTAAGCCTGGCAGACAGAGGTGGCAGTGAGCTGTGATGCTCCCACTGAACTCTAACCTGGGTGACAGAGCCAGGCCCTGTCTCAAATGAATAAATAAATAAATACAATTATCATTAATAAAAGTCATGTGATATAAGCTGGTTAATGATGAGACATTGGAAACTTTCTCTCTGATTTGGGAATGAGACAAAAGACTTAGTTTCAGCATTGCACTGGAGAATCTATACAGGGTTATAAAGCTAATAAATCAAAATCATGAATATAAAAATTAAAAAGAAATAAATAGACATGCTCAGTTGCACAAATGTTTATATTGACAAATGCAAAAGGATCCCGCAGATAAACGATTATAATTTGTTATTAATTTTTAAGTTGCTGAATCTAAAATCAGTATGTGAATAGCTATTGTATTTCTAGCTACCAGCTACACAAAATTTTGTAATGAAATTTTTAAAAGGTTTTATTTAACATCATCAGAAAGCTAGCAAGAAATGTTTTAAATTCTGTCTAACATTCCTACAGAAAGACCACAAAAGATTACTGAGAAAAATTAAGGAAGAACCAGACACATAGAGGGATATACCATTTTCGAGTATTAGAAGAGTTTAAAGAAGGCAATTTTCCCCAAACTGTAACCAATTCTAAAATGTATAGGACAATGCAAAAAGGCCAAGAGTAGTCAAAATCATAGTAAAAAAGTAGGATAAAATTGGGTTTTCACTACCATATATTAAGTGATATAAAATGACAGTAATTAAGATAGTGTGGTATTTGTGCAAAGAAAGCAGACAATGGAGTTCAAGCTCCATCAAAGTAGAGAAACCTTAATAAGGGTTTTGAGAAAAAAAAATATGCCCAAAGAGTAAGGAACATGCTTCAGCAATAAGGACAAAACTGAAATAGAGTCACCTAGAAAAATTCTTCACAGAATTCGGGTGTGCCAATGGCAGTTTAAGTAACTACCACAAGAATTTTCAACTAACTTTAGATGATGGTAATGTAACTCAGAGCCCCTACAATGTATTCTTTGCAACAACAGACATATAATCATTATCATCATCGTCATAATCATCATCTAGACATGGAAAGTAGAAAAACAATGTGACTGATAGTCGAAAGATAAAATAATGAATATAAACAGACCCAGACAGAATACAAACTTTAAA
This sequence comes from Homo sapiens, assembly GCF_000001405.40. NCBI lineage: Eukaryota > Metazoa > Chordata > Mammalia > Primates > Hominidae > Homo > Homo sapiens. The sequence continues at coordinate 121,122,925 of NC_000005.10, read as the reverse complement.
GCTATTAGTCAAACATTTCAAAATAACCATGTTAATATTAAGAAATCAAATAAAAGATAGACAAACACCAAAAATGACTATGTTTTGGGCAAGTTGCAAAATATTTCAAACATTTTACCTATACATTTGAAAATGGAAATTAAATGGGTGAATTCCTTGGAAAAAACAAAATGGAAATTAAATGCACATATTCCTTGGAAAAAATAATTTAGTACAACATAAAAAGAAAAATTAAATAGGCTTATCCTGCTAAAGATACTGAATTTATAGTTAAAAACCTTCCTAGAAAGAAAGCTCCAGGCCCCAATAGTCCAGTGACTTCTGGACTAATAAATTCTTTCAAAAATTCATGAATGAAAAAAAAATGCCGTTCTTTTTTTTAACACTTCTGTAGAATATGGTGAGAAGTAACATTTACCAACACATTATGTGAGACTAGCAAAACGTTGATATCAATACCTGACATGGATATTACAAAAGCATAAGTTTATTGTATAATATATCTAATAAACAGATAGTAGTCTTAAAAGTAATATTATCAAATATAATTTCAGTATTTTATAAGAAACAAAATATTATGACTAATTGGGATTTAGCATAGCTATGTAAATTGCTTAACATTTTTTAAAAAAATCCATGTAATTTACTGCATTAACAGAATAAAAGATAACTGTATAATCACCTCAATAGATGCAGAGAAATTATTTGATAAAATTCAATATGCTTTTATGATTAAAAAATTATAACAAACTATAAATAAATGAAACATTTCTTAATATAAACTTTTGTTTTGGTTACTGTTACTACATAACAAACCACTACATATTTTGTCATGAAAAATTACTTTTTGCTATCACGTTCATATAGTATCAGTTCTGTGGATCAGGAATTTGGGCAAAGCCTAGCAGGAATGGCTGTCTCTGTTCCATTGCATGTAGGAATTCAGCTTTAAATACTTGATCAGTGAGGTAGTCTCAACAATTGAGGTTCACGTGATGGTATGATCTGGAAATCCTCTTACGTGTCTGGCGGTTGTTGCTGGATATTAGCTGTGTCTCTAATTGGGACAATCATAGCACAATGACAATTGATGTGGCCTGGATTCAAAGGATGGCAAACTCAAGTTTGTCAGATTTCTTAAATACCAAATCAAGTCACCAAAAATAAACAAATTAATAGATAGATACCAAAAAATTATGTGGCTAACATAATAATATAGTGAAATATTAAATGCTTACTTCTGAGATCCTAAACATCACAGGGCATTCACTATCACATCTTCTATTCAACATTTTATTGGAAGGCCTAGAAAGTTCAATAAGGCCAGAGAAAGAAAATATATAAAAATGGAAAAGAAGAAATAAAAATTCGTATTTACAAATATCCTAATTGCATATGTAAAAAACACAAAATAGTCTAAAAATAAATTGTTAGAATTAATAAGTATATTTTATAAGGTTGATAAATATAAGGCCATTATACATACAACAATACAAAATTAAAATGAAATTTAAAAATAAATAGTTAAATAAAAAATAAAAAGTGAATAAAATAAAAAATCACATAATGAGGAAGAAATCTAATATGCATTAAAGACCTACACTGAAAGCTATAAATTAATGTGAAATTTTTGCAAAATTTCAAAATATGGGATATATTTTTAAATGTAAATAAATAGAGATGAACCATGCTCATAAATTGTAAGACTAGACACTGTTAAGGTGTCAATTCTCTCTATATTGAGCATATTACATATTTAATTTATATATTGATCTATATAGTATAATTTTAATGTAAATCCCAACAAGCTGTCTGTGTGAAAACCTTTTTCTAAAATTAATATGGGAATGCAAAAACCAAAACTAGCCAAGAGAATCCTAAAGGTGAATTAGCAGAATTACCCATTACAGTACCAGATTTCAAGGCTTATTTTGAAGCTGCAATAATTGAACCAGTGTGGTAATGGAAACAAACAGACTACTGGAAGAGAAGAGAAAGTCCAGCAATTGACACACATATACTACAGCAAGATTTAAATAAAAGTGGCACCACAATTCAAGGGGCAAATAATGGCCTTCTCTATAAATGGTATTGGAGCAATTGAATATCTGTACTTCTAAAAATAATAATTTTGACTGCTTCATCATATCATATTTATAAGTCATTAATTACACATAGATTTTAGGCATAAATGTGAATGTACAACTGTAGACTCTAGAAAAAAATATAAAAGAATATCTTCAGGACTTTGGTTCATTTAATTATTTCTTCAGGTGAATTAAAAAAGAGAAATATAATTGATTAACTGAACTTTATTAGCATAACACCTGTTTCACAAAGGGCATCCTTAAGAAAATGAATAGACAAAACAATCTGATAAATAACTTGACTACTAGACTACAAAAAGAACTACTAAACTCAATAATAAAACAGCAAAGGTCTTAATGTTTTTTTAAAAAAATGGATAAAGTGCATAAATAGACATTTCAACAAAAATCTATCCAAATCCCTAATTGGGATACAGAAAGATGCACAAAATCATTAGTCATCAAGGATATGGAAATTAATTTATATTGTTTAAAATTTAAAAGAGTGAAAACGCTGAATGATGGTGAGAAAGTAAAGCCACTGAAACAATCATAGCATATATGTTATCATAACATAACATACAATATATATATTAGCCAGTAATTTCAACTCTATTTACATATTCATTGGAAATTATTTATATTTATCCAAGAATAATATGTACAAAAATGTTCATAGCATGATGAACCAAACTTGAAAATAGCCCATTGATAAGAAAATAGATGTATGGTGATATAATCATAGACAACATAAGTTAAAAATAAGAAGTTATATATACAACGCATGTACGTCACAATCATTATGTTATGTTGGGAAAATAAAGACACAAAAGGGTGCATGCTACAAAATTAATTTACATGAATTTCAGGAGCAATCAGCTATTGCATGGTGATAGAATTGAACTGTGTGTGTGTGTGTGTATACACACATTATATATATATGTACACACATTACATATACATTATATATACATATTTTTAAATGTCCAATAAAGGACATAACAAATATGAGTAATAACAAGTAAGATATTGAAATATAGCTCTGATGTGATTGGTAGAGCAAACTTACCAGCACAATATTTAGAAACTATGTGTTACTGGAGACCATAAATTTTCAGTGGCTTAATTCAACCTGATCATGTGGTTTCTCCTGCAGCAGTCAGTAGTCCATATGTTGAGAGATGTAAGAGTAATCGTTGTAAGAATCCAAAGTAGGTGCTCTGGCAACATGGGTAAGACAATGAATAGTATTAAGATGGCAAGCCTAGGCCAGAGAGGAAAGAAAGGGAAGCCTTTTAAGAATGAACTGATAAATTTGGTCAAGAGTGACCCACCTAGAGACAAGATCTCTCAATGAGGAGAAAGTGTATAGAAATGCAAGAGAAGGGGAATATATATATTTTGTAGTGCAAACCCCACTCTTTCCAGCTGTACCTCTGATAACTCCTCGGGTTTAGTCCTTCTGAATGACAAACTTATTCAGCAAGATATTCCGTCACTTTCTGCACTTGTTCATATGGCTCCCTCTTCATTTCAGGCAGTAATTGCCTCTAAAATATTCCCTATGCTGCAATTATGTTCATTTCTCCACTCTCAGATCTATTCAATTATCAAATCGTCCATGAAGCCTTTTTGGATCCCTTGCACCTCTGGAGAAAAACCATTTCTATGTGATTTACCAATAGCTTTTCTGATTTCCTAGCACTGTATTAAACGTAGCTGTTTACCTGTACGTATCCCTCTACTCCACAGACAGTCTTGAGAATATAGAATCTGGTCTTGTTCCTGTTCTTAGGACAGTATGCAATACATAATATAATAGCTCCACAATAAATGAATGGTTGGATGAATACAAGTTCCTGTACTGTTCTCCTTTTTCTCCTTCTCCTTCTTCTCCCTTTTCCATTCTTTTATTTTCCTCTTTCACCCTTACCCCTTTCTTTTCTTTCTCCTATGCCACCAGGTCTCTCCTTCTCCTTCTCCTTCTCCTTTTCCTCTTCCTTCTTCTGATTGTGGGATGGTTCTAACTTCAAATAACACTTAACAGTTAAGCTGTATACTCATTTTCCTTAGTGGATATTTATAAAATAAAAATGGGTGGTTATAAACAAGAGGGGAACAAATGGATTTGCAGAGCAATTTTGCTATACTTTGAAAATATGTTTACATTTTAATTAGAGCTTACATAAAATCTAAGCTGGTACCCCATGGAATATTGTAGTCACCACTCTCATTAAAGGAGTAATTAAGTTCCTAATTACATTGGTTTATGTCCTAGATAACAGCCAAAAATAAAGACATTCTGATCTAGGACTGTATTCTCTAAAATGAACTAATTACACGTGTACATTCATACATGTATGCCTTTTTCATACTGTTCTGCTTTTCCGAAATGGATTTTCTCACCCTTTCTGCTTGACTAAAACCCTACTCATAATTTAAAGTTTAGCCTAAAGATTTAAAAATCATAGCTTTTCATGACTTTCACTTTATTTTCATACATAAACCCCAAACATTCTTTTCTCTTTTTAAATTTTACATATGTACAGGAAAATGTTATTTGAAGATTTAATAAATACAAATACACAAAGAAAAATATTAACATTCCATCTTTCCTCACTCAAATTTCACATTCCTAGTCAGAGGTATGTATTATCTTTATTTTGGCAAACTTCCTTTACATACATATATTTGTATACAAATACACTCATATACACACAATATACACACATATATGTGTATAAATGTATATACACACATATTTGCTACATAGATAGTTTTTTTAATCACCGATATTATCATGTTCTATGGTTCTGCAATGTGCTTTTACTTAATAACACACTTTAAAAATCTCCCTATTAGTACATTGAGCTTCAACAGACTCCTTTAAGAGGATACACACTGTCGTATAACATGGAAGGACCCTCTTTGATGTAAAAATGTACTTATAAATGGACACCTAGGGTTTTAGAATTTTCCCACTATTACAAAAGTGCTGTAAAATATACAAAAGATAGTTTACTGAAATGCTGGTATTTTAACAAATTGATCTCCAAAAAAAACCAATTTATGCTAAAACTTATGAGTACTCATTCCTCACATACTCATTAGCACTCTAATTAATCTTTTAAATTCTGCCTGCTTTATCAGTAAAACAGTTATTTCATTGTTATTTAAATTTTGCATTGCCCTGATTTCTAGGAAATCTGAGAATAATGTTTTCATATGTTTACTGGCCATTTGTCCTTTTTGCATGTTCATTTCCTTTGTATATTATTTGCCTAATTCTTTGCTCTTTTCATTTTATTTTTCTTATTTGTGTCAGAAGAGGTTATAATATAGTTCACACATTATCTAACTCACTTTGTAACAACCTATATTATATCCTCTATTTTACTGAATTTAAGCAATTATAGATTTCATTTCTTTCTTTCTAGACTTGTAAAAATAAATAGCAGAATAGAAACTTTAAATCTATAAACAAGCAATACAAATGTCACATACAAGTGCAAAGGATCACTTTTCAGGTTAGGACAGCTGGGGTAAATATATGGCGGGGATGTGAAATAATAAGGATGCATTCATAATTTGGTGGCATATTCAAATATTTTCTTGTAAATATTTTACTTTATTTATGCTATCAATGCTGTTTCTAGCCACAAAAATAATATGTGCTTGAATAACTAGAAATCTGAGCATCTGATACAGAAATGAGTATAGTAGCTGGATAATAACTTAACTTTAGAAATTTCAGATATATGTATAAAATTTGAATTAATCTCTATAATAATCTCAGTAATAACTAGATAACTAACACCTTACTATTTGCTAGGTATGATATTTCCATTTCTCATAAGAACTCCTCAATTTACAATTCATTTATATCTCCATTCAAGAAATTATACAAATGACTAAGAGAGATGGAATAATTTGTCACAGGTTCTGTATCTGGCAAATGACAGCTCTGAGTTCTAAACCTGCTTTAAGTGACACCAAAGCCTAATTATATTCTTCCAAATACCCTTGTTTCTCTGGAATCCAAATGTGTCTTCTTCAAATATCTAGACTTACAACTTTGTGGTATTGAATTTTGGTAGGCAACTGCGATGGGTAGAGTAAAGATATCCATGTCCTAATTACTCCATTCTGTATATATGGAAACCTACATGGTAGAGGGGATTTTACCTCTGTGATTTAGTTAAGAATCTTATAATGGAGTCATTATCCTAGATTATCCAGTGGGCCAAATGTAATCACGAGGGTCTTTATAAAAGGGAGCCAAGAGAATCAGAGAGAATTTGAATGTGCTACTCTGTGGCATGGAGGAAAGCAAGTGGCCTCCAGGTGCTGGAAAAGACAAAAGAACCAATTCTATCTTTAAGAATGGTCTTGGGAGAATTGGTTCTTTTGTCTTTTCCTTCACCATGTTGGCCAGGATGGTCTCAGTCTCTTGACCTTGTGATCCGCTCGCCTCGGCCTCCCAAAGTGCTAGGATTACAAGCATGAGCCACTGCGTCAGGCCATATTTCAACTTAATTTGATGCTATTTGAATTAAACAATAATAAATTGAAAGTCACATACTTGCTTTCATTTCCTACACTTTACTATATTTTCATTATTATATTTTTTGAAAAAAACAACCAAGCATAAGAATAGAATTAAGCATAAGGGGTTTTACTTTTAACTTGACATTTATGAGAATGTCATTAAATGGTAAATTTAAATAAAATTTAAGCCTAACAACATTGTCATCATAGATTTTATAAGGGAGTCAGTAATTTATTGGGTGTGTTTCTCTGCTTTTAACATTTTTGATATAATTATTTTGATTGATGCTTTGTGTAATTTAGATAGAAATAGAAATTGTGATGGCAGCAGGACAATAGAGCATTTATTTCTTTTTTCTTTCCAGCTTTTTAAACTCACTAATTATAAAATTGTATTCTGTGACTATAAAAATGGGCTACTGAGATTTAAAAATTTATACTATATTAAGGTTAGCAGAGTCCTTAGATATTTATCCAACCCCCAACATTTGCATTTCAGGAAATTCAGTATTCCTAAGTAATTTATGTAAATCAAATAGTTAATCAAAGAACTAGGTATAGACCCAGAATCCATAATTCCTTAATATGTGTGTGCATGTAAATGTGTGTACATATACATGACATATATGTATACATACATGTTAATGTATATATGTATATACATATATTTATATATATATAAAGTATACATTTTATATTATGGGGCTTCATGAGACAGGGGAAAAAATACAACTAAGTAGGCATGCAGTCTCAAAACCATCAGTTTTTATTTCAAATTACTGACTAGTAAGACCATAGATATTTACTTATAAAAAAGGAAAATAGGCAAAAATCACTTCATTTGTTTTGAGCTATTTATGACAAGTGGACTGTAATTTTGAATTGTTTAAAAAACATAGTCATAGAGTCAAACAAATTAGCAACATGACAATGGTTAATAAGGGTAAATCAAGGTGAGGTTTTTATGGATGGACAAAAATACTTAGCAGTGAGAATAAGCTTAAGATGAAGCTCAAAGCAACCATGTAAGCAGTTAAACATTATTATTATATTATATATTGTTGTAGAGCTTTCCTGTGAAATGCTTATCTTTGCCTCCTATTTGTGCTTTCTCAAATTGTATCTGGTTTTACAGCACTTTTTAATTGTTTTGTTTGTATTGATTAAACATTATTTTGACATAGGATTAGAATAAATGTAGCAATTTTTATATTTAATATTTTTAAAGAGAAACATTTATTTAACTACAATCTTACTTCTGTATTAAATAGTCATGTGTACCCACATGACTCAATTTATTTTAACTAGTAATTTTTGAGTACCTTCTATGTAACTGATACTGTGCTTGATATTAGGGAAGCAAAGATAAATAGAGTCCATGATTCTGAAAAGTTCATAATAAGCCTCACTGAGATTAAAAAAACAAACAACATAATCAAATTATAATACCATATGCATTCAGTACATATAATTGTTGAGCATGGTGCCAGGAACCAACAGTGGTTCCCATCCACCCGAAACCATTTTGCAGCTGATGGAGGAGAAAGATATTACCCAAATGATAACACAGAGAAATGTGAAAATGCAAACGTTAAAACTGTGGTCAAGGAGAGATAAATAGTACCATGATATTTTGTAATGCGGGATGAGTTGAGATAGAGTTCTAGATGACGAAAGTTTTCAGCAGAGATGTGAAGAACAAAGGCATTAACTAGGCAAATAATTTGAAAAGAAAAACTCTCCAGCCAGAAAAAAAACTACATATAAAAGTACAAGAGGTTTGAGAAGTATGAGGAACTATGTGAAAACATGTGAGACAGAGAGATGATTGATCAGTCTGGCAGAAATCAGAAGATTGCTGAGGAAATAAGGCCAAGATAAGCAAATGGCTTACTGGGTTAAATACTGTTAAAGAGTAGAGAATGATAAGAATCGTAGAGGTCATAAGCAACTTAGCAGAAGTAGTTTCAGCAACTGCTGAATCAGAGAACAGAACCATACTGAAGTGAAGAGTCGTGAGGAAATAAAGACATCAAACTAAAAAAACTTGAATAATTTTGCTGTGAAGAAACAGAGATTTGTAGCTGAAGAGTGATAAGAGTTTGAGTCGACTATTTTTCTTTTGTATTTTATGGAAGAGCCTTAAGAAAATTTAAGAATTCTAGGAAAATGTTTAGTATTTAGGAAAGAGGGTATTTATAGTTAAAAGTCCTTTAAGACGGCAGGGGACAATAAAAATCAATCTCAGATGAGAGAACGAACAGAGACTCTATTTTTATAGTAAGGCTATAGGATAGATAAATATGTATTTGATTTTATGTCTGTTAACAGGAAAGTGATGGAATGGCAATATGTGTCTTCTCTGTTCTCTTTGAAGTAGGTGGTTAATTCAGGTGATAAACGTTAGGGTTATGGAAAGTTGAATGGTTAAGGAAAGTGTGCAAATTTAGAGATGCAAACAGTATATATGCAAGTATAAAAGCACAGTTGACCAGTAGTCATAGAAGATTACTAGGGACTGTGTGGACCTATTTAAAGATGGTGTTCATGAATTAATTGTACATCCAATCTGATCTTTCTCTGTGGCTTTCTGTAACACTGATTAACACTGCTCGGCTTGACTTTACACAGTCAGAAAGCAGATTTTTAATAAAAAGACAATGAGCCACCTACAATAAATCTGGAGAGAAGAAGGAAAGGAGAAATGTTGAGAAGTCAGAATACACAGGAATTGATCACTACATAGATATTATCTGCAAAGCAGAAAAATAGTCCAGGGTGACTCCTGGATGTTATTCATTATGATAAAGAATAAGAGTAAAAATAGAAAAAGCAATGCATTAGAGGAAAGAAAATGAGCTTTTCTTTCGAGATGCTGATTTTAATGTTTTCATGGACATTGGTATGGCAAGGAATAGATCTAACATTCAGCTGAATGTTGGATAAAATTAACCTCAACAATATTCTAATGTAGCAACACTTATTTGTTAAGCATTAACTTAGAGTAAGTCTTTAATTAAATTCTGAGAATAGATAAGATTTCTCAGGAAGGCCACCACAGATAAATTTGACTTACATATACTCTTCCCAATGAGTTGAAATAAAAGATTCCAGTGTTTTAGAATATCAACTAAATTTGTCCTACAATAGCATTTAGTTGTTGGAAAAGATCCCAAAATATAGGCCTGTATCCCTCTAGCCTAAGAATATATTGATGAAAAATATTTAAACATGACTAAAGTTTAAACATGACTAAAATAAAATCACTAGAGTATAATTTATATATATACATATGTATGGACTATATATTTCATAAATGTGCAAGACTGAAAACACGTGTACACATTTGAAGCAAAATGTGTATTAGATGGGTACTCTTACTGGTACTCAAAGCTCCCTTTTAAAGCTACCTTTAAATTAGTAGCTCTAGTTCAAAATCAAATTTTGATCTAGGTTCTATTTTTTCTTATGAATCAAGTACTTTGTTTCCTCTAACTTGAATAATGAATCATCCATATTAAATCCATTCATTTCATCACTCACAATAAAAATCTCTAACAAATTCATTAGTTTGCTGATAGTACCATTGTTAATGCATTATATAATATATATATATTTAATAAATTATGGTTTCACAAATAAATCACTATATAGTGCTATATGCGCATTTAGTCTGTCACATTTAAAAGTTTTTATTTTTATGAATTAGGACTTAAGTGATTTACGTTTAATTTGCAGAAGACAGATCTATCTATGAAAAGATAGTAATGATAGTAGTCAGTTCTACAGACAAGCCAAAATTTTTCTGCACTTTGTCTAATTGTGATAACTAATATTTAGTCATAACAGTATTAGATCTATCAGATTTTGCCAAATTTTACTTCCATTCATAATAATCTGAGGAAAAATGCAACTTGATTTTCCACTTAATATTATGTTAAAGTTAACACTTATACATTGAAGAACCAAACCGGTTAACATGGTAAATTCTGTATTAAAATGAATGCATTGCAGTGCTCTTGCTAAATGTTCTTCTTACATGTTCTAATTTGAGGTCTAGATGCATACTTGGTGAAAATGTGGATATGCTTTTCAGGGAAGACCATTCTTTCATTAAAAGAGAACATCCCTGCCACACACACACATACATATGGAAGTCCTAGATACTTTATTGTATATGTGATTATATAAAGATTATCAATAGCTTCTTCTGCAATTGGAAATTTCAAGACAGTAATTATGTGCTATCTTTACACATATCTACTTTATAATAATGTCAAACTAGTATATGCTGTTTGCCATGTTGAAGTACAAAAAGCAAATATTCAACTTAATGTTCCAATGTTCATAATTCAGAAACCCTATTGCCTTTCTCCAGAAAGCCATTTTATATAACATGTTACAACTTTCAGTAGTCAAAGAATAAAAGAGTCTAGTTTGTTTATACAGTACAAAAGATTTAGTTGGGATCATTATTGTGTCACATAAGTATCTGAAAGTTTTGGTTATTCTGCCAAATAACACTTAAAGAGAAAAACTTCATACCCTAAATCATCCATTTAGAAACTGAGGGAGTGCTTAGAGTGAGCAAGGAGGACAGAAAGCACTGTTCTCACTCTCTCCAAGGGGTAAGTCCTGGTTCTTCTCAACACTTACTACTTGCAGCTGAAATTTAGATATACCCTGAGGAAGATGGCAGGATATAGGATAGATAAATATGTAGTTGGTTTTACGTTTGTTAACCACAAATCTGGTTTCATTACTGGAAGAGTATTTCTATTCCTGGTTTTCCTTTAGGTTCAGCTTATCCTCTTACCTAGGAGAGCTTCAACATGCGAATCCTAGGAGAATAGATGTAGGGGTGAAATCAGCCTCCCCATAACCAGTTTTAAGACTGACCTTAATGCCTGTCTGAGAAATAACGTCTCATAACATGAAAGAACAGCAAAGTTCTGTTACAATAGGCCCTGCAACAAACAGCTTGACATTAGCACAAGTCTTGGTTATTTTTCCATATATTTAAACATTTTATACAAATATAAAAGTTCTTTTTGAATCTTTCTTCTCTGACCAACGTTTCATCTTTGAAAGTTATTAGAATATTTGTTGAAAGATGAACCTTAAAGTAGAGGTTAATTAAACACTGTAATTTTCATGGAGATTCAAGTTTAGGAATCATGTTCAAAAGTATTATTATGGTTACATTCTGAACCTTGTTACATGAGTATAGGCTTCAGAAAAAGTTATCAGGGTAAGACTTCATATAAGATATCTTGCTATTGATTATATAAATAAAATTTCATTCAAAGATTTGCTTTTATGCATTATAGTTTGCTATTCCCTGTATTTCAATAATGTGTTGTGAAATAATAGTCTTGTCTTAACCACATTCTGAATTAAGAAGGAACATGTACCCAGGCTTAAACCAAAACAGTCTGGGCAAACAGTAACATCCTGGGAAAGTTACTTTATTTTATTTATTTATTTTTTTGAGATGGAGTCTTGCTCTGTCACCCAGGCTGGAGTGGAATGGTGTGATCTTGGCTCAATGCAACCTCCTCTTCCTGGGTTCAAGTGATTCTCCTGCCTCAGCCTCCCAAGTAGTTGGGGTTACAAGTGCCCACCACCATGCCTGGCTAATTTTTGTATTTTTAGTAGAGACGAGGTTTCACCATGTTGGTCAGGCTGGTCTTGAACTTCTGACCTCAGATAATGCACCCGCCTCGGCCTCCCAAAGTGATGGCATTACAGGCAGAAAGTTATTTTTGAAAGAAAAAGAAGTAAGCCATAAAAAAGAAGAAAAGTGGTTCGTGAGAGTGGGAAGGATAGTGGATAGAAAAATTAACTATCAGTGACCAGAAGAGATTTATGAAATACACTATCTTTCTTCAGGGATTCCCAGAAATACCAGTAATACACTGAACTACCAGTAATAGACTGGGCTTTCAGCATTTAAACAGAATGTGACTGTTGCTACTGAGGCTTCAAGGAAAGTGCAGCCCCATGTGTAGAAGATCCTCTGATGATTCATGTTGCATGTTTTAATTTCTTGCATCTGATTATTTATCCTAGGAAAATATTTCAGTGGGGTTGGGGTATATGGCACATATAAAAGGTAAATAATTTTCAATGAGACAAAGAGATTTATAGAGGCTACTGCATTAGCAACTTTTTCTGCAAATCAGTGTGGAAATATAACAACAGAAAGGAATAACAGTTTTCTAGAAAGTGTTTTCCTTCAAAAGACACACAGTTTTCAGATTTGTGCTGAATCAGCATGGCTAAGCATTGGAAAAACTCACATTAGGTATCGTGGGAGAAAGGTGGAACTAGCCTTTGAAGGATTTAGAATCACAGTGATTGACTTAATTGAAACTGTGGGTCTAAGACTTCCTTTATTTTGAGTATGTGCAAATGTGAGAGGATGGTTGAGCATACTGTTAAATTTTCTATATTTGGTAACAGCATCAAAAGAATGTATCTGCTTTTCTAGGACAGGATCCATACCTTGCAGAGCAATTCCAATACCAAAGCTGATCATCTGTCCAGAGATGGTCATAAAGCTCACAGACCAAATCTGTGAAACATTTGTAAGTATTTAGCTACTCCTGAGTAGCTTTCACAGCTAGCTAAATCATTCTCTCCAAGTGGTAATTGTTTTGATGCCCCAAGACATTAAAAGCTATTAGAGTCTAACGACCCAAGTCTTGTTTTTCCTGTCAAGGTGGAAACTTTTTCTGATGCTCTAGCTTTTTTTTTTATTATTATTTAACTGGTTACTAGTCTTACAAAATACACAATTATGTCCATCTACACACCACAAATCAAATATATTCAATAAAATTATAGGTTTGGAAAAGTTATATTTTTAGTTCATTTTTTACTTTACTGAAAATGTCCTATATATCCAAAATAGTCTTTTTCATGTTCCAATGAAAGAGATAAGAGCATCATCAACTGACATAAAAACCCACATGTAGCAATGTTATTTTTGTGGGTTTTTTTTTTTTTTTTTTTGCTACCAAGATTTGCAGTCCGTATTTTAACAGAGCTTTTTAAACTTCACCTGGTGAAACCTTTTGTCATAACCATGAGAAAGTGGGCACCGGTTTTATTTTATGTTTTTTAGGTAATTATCTCCTGAAGAAGAGTCCAAGCAATGGCAGCAGCCGCTCCAGTCAGACTGCAATCATCCCAGCTTCAGCAGGGAGGTGTGGCTGGGGCTGCCCTATCCACACAACAGGGAGGAGCCCCGCCCTTTTGGGCGGGGCTGCAACAGCCCAAACCGCCGCTGCAGACTCAGGCATCCCTGCACTCTTGAGGGCCTGAGAAGGCGGCCCCTGCCCTTGCAAGGCTCGGAAATGCCTGCCCTGTCTGCCTGGCTTCGCCCTGCTGTTGGTGCCCCTTGGGATCTCAGAGCAAAGTCGGCCTAAGCCTGGGAGCCAATAACAGCGGGAGGCAGAGTCCTAGGCAGAAGGGGGTGGGTCCCTGGTAAGGTCCCTGCCTCAGACCAGGGAGCACCTGAAGGCTGAGGGGTCAGGCTGCCAGTCCCACTGACTGGAGTGGGAACTGGTGCCTTTTCCAGGCCTGCCCATGGCCACCCATGGGCCAGTCAGCACACACTTCCCCTCTGAGGCCCATAAAAAGCCCCAGGCTCCCCCAGAGCTGAGCAGAGGCCCGGCGGACCAGCAGCAGAGAGGAGCTACTCTCTCTGCTAAGAGTGTCATAGACTTGCAGAGACCTGCAGAGACTGCCAAACTGTGTCCGGAATTGGTGGGTTCTTGGTCTGACTTCAAGAATGAAACCGCGGACCCTCGCGGTGAATGTTACAGCTCTTAAGGTGGCGCGTCTGGAGTTTGTTCCTTCTGATGTTCGGATGTGTTCGGAGTTTCTTCCTTCTGCTGCGTTCGTGGTCTCACTGGCTCAGGAGTGAAGCTGCAGACCTTCGCAGGTGAGTGTTACAGCTCTTAAAGCGGCGCGTCTGGAGTTGTTCGTTCCTCCTGGTGGGCTCGTGTTTTCTCTGGCTTCAGGAGTGAAGCTGCAGACCTTCGCGGTGAGTGTTACAGCTCACAAAAGCACTGTGGACCCAAAGAGTGAGCCGTAGCAAGATTTATTGCAAAGAGCAAAAGAACAAAGCTTCCACAGTGTGGAAGGGGACCCCAGCGGGTTGCCACTGCTGGCTCGGGCAGCCTGCTTTTATTCTCTTATCTGGCCTTACCCACATCCTGCTGATTGGTAGAGCCAAGTGGTCTGTTTTGACAGGGTGCTGATTGGTGTGTTTATAATCCCTGAGCTAGACACAAAGGTTCTCCACCTCCCCACCAGATTAGCTAGATACAGAGTGTCAATTGGTGCATTCACAAACCCCGAGCTAGACACAGGATGCTGATTGGTGTATTTACAAACCTTAAACTAGATACAGAGTGCCAATTGGTATATTTACAATCCCTGAGCTAGACATAAAGGTTCTCCAAGGCCCCACCAGAGTAGCTAGATACAGAATGTCCATTGGTGCATTCACAACCCCTGAGCTAGACACAGGGTGCTGATTGGTGTGTTTACAAACCTTGAGCTAGATACAGAGTGTCAATTGGTGTATTTACAATCCCTGGGCAAGACATAAAGGTTCTCTACGTCCCCACCAGACTCAGGAGCCCAGTTGGCTTCACCCAGTGGATCCCGCAGCGGGGCTGCAGGTGGAGCTGCCTGCCAGTCCTGCTCCATGCACCCGCACTCCTCAGCCCTTGGGTGGTCGATGGGACTGGGCACGGTGGAGCAGGGGGCAGTGCTCATCGGGGAGGTTCCGGAGCCAGGGAGCCCATGGAGGGAGTGGGAGGCTCAGGCATGGCGGGCTGCAGGTCCTGAGCCCTGCCCTGCAGGAAGGCAGCTAAGGCCCGGTGAGAAATTGAGCGCAGCGCCAGTCGGCTGGCACTGCTGGGGGACCCAGTACACCCTCCGCAGCCGCTGGCCTGGGTGCTAAGCCCCTCATTGCCCAGGGCCGGCAGGGCCGGCTGGCTGCTCCGAGTGCAGGGCCTGCCAAGCCCACGCCCACCCGGAACTCCAGCTGGCCCTCAAGTGCCACCGGCAGCCATGGTTCCCGCTCGCGCGTCTCCCTCCACACCACCCTGCAAGCTGAGGGAGCCGGCTCCGGCCTTGGCCAGCCCAGAAAGGGGCTCCCACAGTGCAGCAGTGGGCTGAAGGGCTCCTCAAGTGCCGCCAAAGTGGGAGCCCAGGAAGAGGAGGCGCCGAGAACGAGCGAGGGCTGTGAGGACTGCCAGCAGCTGTCACCTCTCAATACGACCTGCAGACCTGCCTGAGGAGAGGAGCTCCCCTCTCCAGGGCCTCCTCTCTGCTGACAGCAGCTGACCTGGGCACTGCCAGTGACTAGAAAGGAGTTACTCTCTCTAGGGCCTCTTCTGTGCTGAGAACAGCAGACCTTGGCACTGCCAGTGGGTAGAGAGGAGTTACTCTCTCCAGGGCCTCCTCTCTGCTGAGAGCAGTGGACCTTGGCATTGCCAGTGACTAGAGAGGAATTACTCTCTCCAGGGCCTCCTCTCTGTTGAGAGCTGCACACTTCATGGACGACCTGCCTGCCCACAGAGGGGAGCTTCCCACTGTGGATCTCCTTCTGAGCTGTTCTAACTCTAAATAAAGCTCCTCTTCATATTCTTCACCCTTCGCTTGTCAGCAAACCTCATTCTTCCTGCCTGCAGGACAAGAACTCAGGCAAAGGGCAAAGGTGCCACCAGCAACAGAGGTTTCAGGGAAAGAAAACTGATACCCTAAAGATCCTATAACACAAGCGTGGTGCAGATATTCTTCACTGCAATTTTTCCTCTTTGTGGAGCACTGTTGTTTATTCTGTGAAAGCTAATACCCTATATTACAAATGGTACATAGCTAATCAAAATTTTAAAGAAAACATGACAGTAGATTGGATAAAGGAGAAAATTATAATTTTGGTTATTTAATTACACTGGAAATCCATTTACATTCTGCTTTATGCGTAATTTCAGATATTTTAACTTTTAATGTACATCAGCTCAAACATTGTCCCAACCATAGAGGAAATCTACTGAAGAAATATAAACAAAGTTAACCTTTTATTAATCAAAGTAGTATATGTGACAAGGCAGAAAAACATAGAGTGCAAACTAAATGCTGCACTTCCTCATTTGTCTTGGGAAAAATAAACAGGAAAAATATGCCCAGTTATTTACTCTTATGTGAATTAATCTTTTAAATACCCATTAAAATGATCAAGTTGGGTCAAGACAAGCTACTATAATGCTAAATTACATGTAGCATTTGTTTAGCAGCAGTAGGGAACAAACGTCAAATCTGACATTTAACTTGAATTGTAAGGTATATTTTAAAAATATACAAAATTGTATTTGAAGTTTTAGAGAACTTTCCAGGCCTTACTAGGCTACTAAATTTAAATGCTTATTTTTAAGTTTGTATAATTTTTTTATAATACTTTGTTTTAAGTTTGTATAATGTTTTTTCTTATCAGTCATTGCTTTTGATTTTAGAGGAAAAATACATAAATTTTCACCAAATTTCTATTTTTTATATCATTTATTTTCATATACTCAACAAATATTTACTTATGTTTTACTACGTGGCAGTTACCACATTAAAGATTGAGTACATTTGGATGAAATAGAAAAGAAAATGATACCATTTAAAATTAGTGCCAAAGCCATTTTAATAATAAAGTGAAATAAAAGGAAAATATTTCAGTAATTCTAAACAAACTGAGTTTTCACTTAGTGATCAAAAAATATTGCTTTGCTTGACAGAAGAAATACAAGCAAGGAGTTAATGAAATTTTATTCTGGTAATTAAGGGAACCATAATTGAAACTTTGTGTGCAATTATGCATTTTTTATAACTGGTACAGCTTGTCATAATCAGTAACAACTGACTGTTGTTAAACATGCAAACTTAAAATTTAAAGAGCATCATAAAAAGTTAGATTTGCCCCAATACCACATCCATTATAACAACATGAACATTTTAAAACATATGTTACATCTCTTAAATGTATTGCTTTAACACTGAAAATAAATCCTAACAACATATGAAAACCTCACAACTGAACCTAACAAAACAATACAAAGTGAGAAATTCTGAAGAGAGAAGTTTCCTGAGTCAATGTGGAGAAATGTGATATAGCAAATAGCTGCATTTTATTTTATTAATACTTTATTTTTAATTTTTTTTTCGAGAGAGATTCTCACTTTTTTGCCCAGGCTGGTGTCACCCAGGCTGGAGGGGAGTGGCAGGATCACAGTTGGCTTCAATTCCAGCTCCTAGACTCAAAGGATCCAGCTGCCTCAGCCTCCCAAATAGCAGGGACTACAGGCACACACCACCACACATGGCTAATATTTTTATTTTTTGTAGATATGGGGTCTCACTATGTTGCCCAAGTTGGCCTTGACCTCCTAGGTTCAAGGTTTGCTTAGCCTCCCAAAGTGCTGGGATTACAGGCATGAGCCACTGCATCCAGCCCCACATTTTCAATGAGCCTTAATATCTAGGGCCAACAGACAAGTCACAAAAATTTCAGTGAAAATTCCCGTGTCTTTATTGGAGTGTGGTTCTACTGGAGTTTCTGAGTTGAAAATAATAGAAGCAAGATAATTGATTAAAATTGAGAGTAATTAGTTTGTAATGACCTGAAGAGCCCTATATATTCAAGCATTGTGTTATAACCTTCTCTTTAGGCCTGTATTTTTTTCTATGTACAAAATGTCTACCATGATAGTCTGCAAACTTTGGAAATATAATTGTTCCAATTTTCCCATTTCAGTTAGACAGTGATGCCACAAAATACTATTGCAGATAATATGGAATAAATATCTCTATTTGCTGCTTCTATTAAAAAACAGTCAGTGGCTCATTGGGTGTGTGTGTGTGTGTGTGTGTGTGTGTGTGTGTGTGTGTGTGTGTGATGCTGTCAATCCAGCATCAAATCTACAAGTAAAGAAAAAATGAAATTTATTCCAAATACTGAACTCAGTACCACTTCTTAACTTTACAACTAACCCCTATAGTCTTTCCAGGACTCCAGATTCAGAATAATTTAAAAGGTGTTACTTTTTGTGTATTTTGTTCTTTTTCTTCTATGTTTAATTCTTAAATCTATAGCCACAGCTCTGACCAGTTTAATTTCTTATAAACGCAAACTGGATATACCAACATGTTCTTCCTGGGCTGGGACACCACAGTGTCATAAAACATCAGACTGAATGAATTGCTAAAACTTGTTAGGCTTATGTTTCCGACAGAAACAGTAAAGAACACATTTTTAAGAGAATAATTATAAATTATATTGTTGAATTTAAAAGTTAGGAGATAAAAATTAAATGAAAAAGAATCAGCATTTATGCCTCTTTGTAAAATTTTCTTTATTCACATTGAACCAAGCTAAAGAAAAAGAAGTGAAAAAGATCATCCCTACTGAAAGAGAATGCCTCTAGCTTCATTACACAAATGCACAGTTTTATGGCAATTTAAATAGAATTTGGAGCAAATGAAAGAGGACAGTGGAAATCATATAAAACTCTCTTAATGAATGGCATGGAAACGTTCGTGGGAAGTAAGTAAAATAAATATTAAAATATCCTACAAATCTTTTCCAATATAGAGAGACCAGAATTGTGCATATGTGTGTGTTTTACAGGAGACAATAAATTTTATTTTCAGTAAATTTCATCAGGGCTTATCAATACAGTACAAAAGGAAAGATGGCCTAATTGTACATCATCACTTTTGCTCATTGACTAAATCCCTAAATAGAAAAGATATGGTCTGATGGTAAGAGTGGAGAGCAAGCAATAGTGTAAACATCCTACAAGCAAAAATCGTAGTAGCAGACCAAAAGAAGCTTTGGAGTGGAGAGTAGATAAAATGTATTTAAATTCAATTTTCATTGTCATTACATTGCAAAGTGAAGCAAGATATACCAATCACTTTATGGATAAGAAGAATTGAAGATATTCAACCAACTTTCATGAAATTTAGATTTAAAAAAAAAATATAGACTTTAGCATTAACTGTGTCCATAGGTTCTTCTCTCCACTCACAGGTAACTGAATGTCTGAACAATGACTACACATCAGATATTCCACAGTAAAGTTTTTAGGTGTGAATTCAAACAGGAGATAGTAAAAAAAAAAAAATAGCCCATATATGTGATTTTCAGGCAGATAGTTTATCTAGATATTTGTGGGTTCTGATCAAAATTAATAATACCAAAATAAATGGGAATAATGGAATAATTTTGTAGAGAGGCAATAGCAGTGAAGGACAAAGGAAAGGGTAGGAGAAGGAGAAAAAGAAAATCTTGCAAAAGACTGATTTTTAAACATGCTTAGAAAGAAGATTTAATATAACAAAGAAATTTTAAACAACCCACGTTATTCTAGCACCACAACTGCATCCTTAATTTAAAGAGAATGTGAAATTTGAAAATCTGAGTAATAGGAAAACTGAATATAAAAGAGCTGGGTTATGAAAAAAAATCATTAAGAAGAAAGAGGATCATCACAGTAGCTAAACAACATAATCGGCTGAACAAAATCAATATTGAAGACATAAAACTCAGTGACACAAACAGCACACCTAAGAAAATATGCACAGTAACATTGCCCAATGTGAGATATCCCATGTAGAAAAAAGGCATATGTGTGCTTATGCTTACGTCTGTTTGTGATGGATGTGAAATTAGTTTAAGAAATGTGCTTAGATAAAATTGTTTAAAACTGTAAGATTAGTAAGAGCTTTGAATATGGTAATACACAATTTTTAATTTTTCTGATATTGATAAAGTTCATGTATATAACTAACATTAATATTTCCATGAAAACTACATTGAAATGCAGTTTGAGCAATATCTTATACACAAAATGCAGGGGTCTAAAGAAGGCAATAATTAGAGAGAACATATAAGACAGAAAAAAAAACTGCCATAGATAAAACATATATCTAAAGGAAAAACTATATAGCAAAATAAAGAGAAAATATGCTGAATATTGTAATAAAAAGCAATTTTGAAATAAAAAATATTAATTTGAAAATTCCAGGAAAAATTGTTTAAGATAAACAAAAGGGCACATTGTGGTGAAGATGTATAATGGGAATATTACTGTATTGTGATTAAGAACATAGATTTGAAGATGGAAGTAGAATTACTTTTTTCTTTTACTCTGTACCATGTTGAGACAAGTTATATAATTTGCCTTATGTTGTGACATCACTGGTAAATTACAGATAATTACATTTATTAATGAAGTTTGTATATTTAATGTATTTAAGCTCCTTAATAAATTATGAGGCATAGTAACTTCTGTAGATATTTTACTGTTAATATAATAATGTTATTGAATTCTCATTTTACTAAAGAATTCTACAGACATCCAGGCCATCCATAAACTTAATCAAATTTGTCTTTTGCTTTTTAAAATAGATTTTATTTTTTAAAATAGTTTTAGGTTTAGAGCAAAATTAAACCGGAGGTACAGAGATTTCTCATATGCCATCTGCCGCTACACATGCATAGACTCTCCCGTTATGGACACACTCCATGAGAATGATATATTTATAACAATTGATGAACCTACATTGACACATCATTATCAACCAGAGTCCATAATTTACCTTAGTGTTCACTCTTAGCGTAGTACATTCTATAGATCTGGACAAACGTACAATGACATATATCTACCATTACACTATCAGAGTAGTTTCCCTAAAAATCCTTGTACTCTGCCTATTAATTCCTACCTCCCTGTTGAACATAACTATATTTTTACTATCTCCACAGTTTTGCCTTTTACAGACTGTGATATTTTTGGAATCATACCTTATGTAGTCTTTCCAGATTGGCTTTTTTCACTTAATAATATGCATTAATGTTTTCCTACATATCTTTTTATGGCTTGATAAGTATTTATTTTGAGCATCAAAAAATATTTCACTGTCTGGATGTACCAAAGTTTTTTTATTTAACAACCTAGTGAAGGTCATCTTGGTTACTTACACATTTTGGCAATTATGGATAAAGTTGGTATAAACATCCCTGTGCAGTTATATGTTTGGGCATAAGTTTTCAACTCCTCTGGGTAAATACCAAGGAATACAATTGCTAGATTGTATCATAAGAGTATATTTACCTTTATAAGAAACTGCCAAACTGTCTTCCATTTTGCATTCCCAACAACAATGAATGAATGTTCCTGTTATTCCATATCTTCACCAGCACTCAGTGTTGTTGGTATTCTGCATGTTCAGCATTACAATAGGTGTGTAGTAGTATTTCATTATTATTAATATTTGCATTTACTTAATGAAATATGATGTGGATTTTCATATGAGTGCTTATTTCCTATCTGAATATCTTCTTTGGTGAGGTTTCTGATAAGGTCTTTGGGCTATTTTTAAATCAAGGTTTTATTTTTCTTAATGTTTCAAGAGATTTTTTGAGTTTTACGAGTTCTTTGTATATATTGGATAACAGTTATTTATTGGATCTGTCCTTTGCAAATATTTTCTTCTAGTCTGTGACTTGTCTTCTCATTTTCTTGACATCGTCTTTCACAGAGTGGGAGTTATTGATATTAATGATATCCAGTTTATCAATGATTCTTTCATGGATTGTGCTTTCTGTGTTTTATCTAAAGCATTATCACCATACCCAAGGTCATCTAGGTTTCCCTACATTATCTTCTAGGAATGTTACATTTTTGAGTTTTATATTTAGGTCTGTGAGCAATCTGACTTCCTTTGTGTTAAGTATGTAAGGCCTTAAAGTCTATGACTAGATTCATTTTTTGGAATGTTGATGTCCAGTTATTCCCGCACCGTTTGTTGAAAAGACTATCTTCACTCCAACATACTACCTTTGTCCCTTTGTCAAAAATTAGTTAGCCATATTTATGTGGGTTTATTTCTGGGCTCTCTCTATTTGTTCCATTGATCTAATTGTCTGTTATTTTGCCAATAGCATACTGACTTGATTACTGTACCTTTGTGAGTAAGTCTTGAAGTAGTATAGTGTCAGTCTTCTCTGTTCTCTGTCAGTAACTCAGTTTACTATTTTGAGTCTTCTGCCTCTCTCTATAAACTTTAGAATCAGTTGTATCTATATCCACAAAATAATTTGATGGGATTTTTCTTGAGATTGCATTGAATCAAGTTGAGAAGAACTGAAATGTTGACACGAAATATATCCCTATTTATTTAGTTGTTTTTCCATTTGTCTCATCAAAGTTTTGGGTTTTCCCTCATACAGATCTTGTGCATATTTTGTTAAATTTATATCTAAGTATTTTCTTTTTGGTGGATGTTAATGTAAATAGTATTGCATTTTTAATTTCAAATTCAACTTGTTTATTGATTGTATATTAAAAGGTGTTTGATTTTTTTTTTTTTTTTTTTTGAGATGAAGCTTTGTTCTTGTTGCCCAGGCTGGAGTACAATGGTGCAATCTCAGCTCACCACAACCTCCGCCTCCCGGGTTCAAGTGATTCTCCTGCCTCAGCCTCCTGAGTAGCTGGGATTACAGGCATGCACCACCACGCCCAGCTAACTTTGTATTTTTAGTAGAGACAGGGTTTCTCCATATTGGTCAGGCTGGTCTTGAACTCCCCACCTCAGGTGATCCACTTGCCTGGGCCTCCCAAAGTACTGGGATTACAGGCTAAGCTACGGTGCCAGGCCGGTGTTTGATTTTTATATGTTAACTTTGTATCCTGCAAACCTACAATACTCACTTATTACATCAAAGAGATTTTGTTGAGTCTTTTGGACTTTCTACACAGACGATCATGTCATCTTTGAAGAAAGACAATTTTATTTCTTTCTTTCCAGTCTATGTATCTTTTATATCCTTTTCTTGTCGTATTGAATTAGCTAAGACTGCAAGTACAATGTTGAAAAGCCGTGAGGGGACATCCTTGCCTTGTTCTGAATCTTTGTGGGAAAGCTTTGAGTTTCTCATCAGTAAATATGATACTAGCTATAGGATTTTTGTAGCTATGCTTTATCAACTTGATCAAGTTCCCCTCTATTCCTGGCTTGCTGAAAGTTTTATCATGAATGGATGTTAAATTTTGTTAAATGCCTTTTGTGCATCTATGGATATGATTATGTAATTTTTCTTCTTCAACATGTAAATGAAATGGATTACATTAAGTAATTTTCAAATGTTGAATCAGTCTTGAATACCTGGGATAAATCCAACTTGGAAATGGTTTATTATTAAACATTATTGGATTCAAGTTACTAATATTTTGTTGAGAATTTTTCCATTCATATTCCTGAGAGATATTGGTCTCTTGTTTTCTTGTAATGTCTTTGGTTTTGGTATTAGGGTAATGCTGGCCCCATAGAATTGGCTGGGAAGTATTCCCTTTGCTTTTATCTTCTGAAAATCATTGTATAGAGCTGATGTAATTTCTTCCTTAAATGTGTAATAGAATTCATGAGTACAACAATCTAGGCCTGATGCTTTTTGTTTTGGAAAGTCATTAATTATTGATTGAATTTATTTAATAGGTAAAGCCCTATTCAGGTTGTCTATTTCTTCCTGTGTGAGTGTTGGCAGTTTTTGTCTTTCAGTCAATTAATCCATTTTATATAAGTTATAAAATTTAGGGGCACAGAATTGTTTGTAATGCTCCTTTACTATCTTTTAATATCCATGGAATCTGTAGTGATATCCCCTCTTTTATATCTGATAATAATAATTTGTGTCCTTTTTTCTTTTTTTCTTAGCTAGCCTGCACTAGAGGCCTATCAATTTTGATTTTTTTCAAAATTATCATCTGTTGTTTTCATTAACTTTTCTCTTTTGAGTTCCTGTTTTCAATTTCATTGATATCTGCTCTAATTTTTATTTCTTTTCTTTTGCCTATATTGGACTTAATTTGGTATCCTTTATCTAGTTTTCAAATTTGAAATTAATTGATTTTAAATGTTTCTTTTTCTTAATATATGCATTCAATGCTATAGTTTTCTCTCAGAGTACTGCTTTTACTCCAACCCACACATTTTATGTTTTCATTTTCATTTAGTTCAAACTTTTAAATTTCTCTTGAGATTTCTTTTTTGACCCATGTGTTGTTTAAGCTTCAAATATTTTGTAATTTCTTGCTCTATTTCTGTTATTGATTTCTAGTTTAATTCCATTGTGGCCTGAGAACAGACATTGGATGATTTCTATTAAGTTTGTTAAGGTGTATTTTATAGCCCACAATATGGCCTATCTTGGTGAATGCTTGTCATGAGTTTGGGAAGAATGTGTACTCTGCTATTGTTGTATAAAGTAGTCTATAAATGCTCATTATATTCACTTGACAGATAATGTTGTTGAGTTTATGTATGTCTTTACTAATTTTCTGCCTGCTGAATCTGTCCATTTCTGATAGAGAGGTATTGAGGTCTCCAACTATAATAATGTATTCATCTCTTTCTCCTTGTAATTCTGTCAGCTTTGCCTCACTTGTCTTCAGACTCTATTGTAGACATATATACATTACCAATTGTTATATCTGATTGGATAATTGACCACTTTATCATTACGTATTGCACCTGTTTATTTCTGATGACTTCCTTTGGTCTGAAGTCTGTTCTGTCTTAAATTAATATAGCTACTTCTGCTTTTTAGAAAATTAATCTTAGCATGGTGCATCTTTTTCTGTCCACTTACTTTAAATCTTTATTAATCTTTGAGTGGACTTTTTATAGACTATGTACGGTTGGGTCTTATTTCTTGAAACACTCTGACAAGTCTGTCTTTTAATTGGTACATGTAGACCATTGGTGTTCAAAGTGATTATTGACATAGTTGTATTAATATCTACCATATTCATTACTGTTTTTTATTTGTTACTCTTTTTTCTTCTTATTTTTGTCTTCTCTCTATCTCCTTTTTGTGATTTTAGTTGAACATTTTATAATTCTGCTTGTCTCCTTTATTAATATATTAGTTATACTTCTTTTTGTACATGTTTTAGCAGTTGCCCTAGAATTTGCAATATACATTTACATCTAATCTAATTTCACTCTCAGGTAACAATATATCACCTTGAGATTAGTGCAAGCACTTTATAATAACAAAACAACCCTAATTTATCTCTTCTATCCCTTATATTATTGCTGTCATTTATTCTATTTATACATAGACATATAAGTATATGTATACATACATAAGCATACATTATTTAACACATTGTTGCTATTGTTATTTTTAATAAAGTGTTATCTGGCAGAGAAACTAAGAGTAAAGTTTTTATTTTACCCATGTATTCCTTCTTTGATGTTCTTCCTTTATGTAGAACTGAGTTTCTGACCTTTATCATGTTCCTTCTCTACTGTCAGCAAGTTCCCTCAATTTTTGTTTGTCTGAGAAAGACTTTGTTCCTCCTGCCCCTCCTTCACTTCTTAAGGATAATATTTCAGAGGATAGAATCATAGATTGTTGGTTTTTTTCTCTCAACACTTTAAATATTTTACTCCACTCTTTCTTCCTTGTATGGTATTTGAGAAGATAGATGTAATTCTTATATTTACTCCAATGTATATAAGGAAAAACCTTATTCCCCATGTCTAGCTTCTTTTGGGTTTTCTAAATTTATAATTTTCGGTAGTTTAAAAATTATACGCATAGATGAATTTTTTTGGCATGTATCCTGCTTGGCTTTCTCTGAGCGTCTTAAATCTGCAGTTTGGTGTGTGACATTAATTTTGGGAAAATTTTGTCATTATACTTCCAATACTTCTGTTCCTTTCTCTCTTTTTCTGGATTGCTCATTACATGTATGTTACACCTTTTATAGTTGTTCCACAGTTTCTGAACATTCTGTTCTGATAGTTAATTTTCAGTCGTTTTTCTTCTTGTTTTTCACTTTTGACATTCTATTGAAATATCCTCAAACTCCTAGTTTCTTTTCTCAGCTGTGTTCAGTCTACCAATAAGCTTATCAAAGGCATTCTTTATTTCTGTTACAGTGATTTTGATCTATAACATTTTTTTCGGAGAATTTCCATCTCTATGATTACATTGTCCTTTTTTCTTTAATGATGTTATTCTACTGATTAGAGCCCTAAATATCCTAGTCATAACTGTTTTAAATTCCTACTCTTATAATTCTAACTTTCCTACCATATTTGAATCCGGTTCTGAGGCTCTTCAAACTGTGTGTTTTTGTTTGTTTGTTTGTTTGCTTGCTTGCTTTTTAGCATTTCTTGTAATTTTTTCTTGACCACTGGATGTGGGTAAAAGGAACGGCTCTAAATAGGCCTTTAGTAATGTGGTGGTAAGTTGTGATGGAATGGGTAGTGTCCTATTGTTACATGAGTAGGTCTCAGTCTTTTAGGGAGTTTGTACCACTGGATTGTAAACTTCACATGTGCTTGTTCATTTTCATGCCTAATGCCTTTGGTGAAAAATAATTCAGAGAGTAATGAAGTTGAGTTTTTTTCCTTTACATAGGTCAGTTAAGCGCTGACAAAACCCAAGCCTGTTTAGGGTCTGGTTAAATTGTTTCTTCTGAGGGAAGACCTTGTAATGAAGAACAGAATGCTCTGGCATATTGTAAGATGGTTCTTCTTCCCCATGCCCTGCTGGAAGCATGAGGGATCTTTCCTCTGTGCAAACTTCATCGAT
This sequence comes from Homo sapiens, assembly GCF_000001405.40. NCBI lineage: Eukaryota > Metazoa > Chordata > Mammalia > Primates > Hominidae > Homo > Homo sapiens. The sequence goes on along the minus strand of NC_000005.10, from coordinate 121,095,610 downwards.
TTCCTGGAGATAAAACTCACAAAAGTGTGGGGGCCTCCGATGACTGGGTCTTGATACTATTCTGTATCAAGAATAGTTGTTGATTTTTTTTTTAGCTTCTTTTATTTTTACTTTTGTTATAGTGTGGTGACAACTTCCAGCTTCTTATATGTTGGATTGGAAACATATGTTGGATTGGAAAGCAGAAGTCTCTGTTTCAGATTTTTTTCACTTCTTAAAATACATGTGTGTGTGTATGTGTGTGTGTGTATGTATATAATTATAATTGTGGGATCTTTAAGATTCTTATATTGTGGAATGAAAATTAAACAAATGTCAATATATTGCTTTATTTATTGAATATTTTTTCTCTTTTAAAAAATATCACACAAAATTTTACAGATAAAATGACTATTCCATCTCCATGTCTTCTTTCTTTTTTTCTTCCAGGAATGAGCACTATCCTGTACTTGATTAATATTATTCTCATAAGTATAATGTGCTTTTATACTTTCACTGCATGGAGATATTAATAAATGAATAATGTATTGTTTATTTTCAAATTTATAAAAATGGCATTACTCTATGTTTACTTATGTGTACTCTTTTGCAACTTAACTTTTTCAGACTTCTGACATATATATATGTTGTATTAAAAATGTAGTTTAATAATTTCAAGTGTTGTATAGCATGCCATTGTATGAATAAGCAAAACACCATTTATTTATCTATATGTTAGGAGTAGAAAATATATCTTATTTCAAGTACAAAATTTGAATATGATCATATAACTTAACCATATATTATGCTATCCAAAAAATCAATAAATTTCAATATATGTAATATTACATTTTTTAACATAAGTTAAAACTAAATAAAATGAGGAGGGAATATATTTAAATATTAAAAACAAAAACATCTTTTCTAAATAATGCCTGGGTCAAAAAATCATAACAAAAATTATAGAATATCTACACACAAAGAATAATTAGGAGTACATAATTAGAATTAAATCATAAAAATAAAAATATAATGTAGACAAAGCATGTTTCAAAAAAATTACAGTCCTCATTTTTCTGACAGCTACATAGTGATACAAGGAAATAATTAAAATTCCACTAAAGATGATGGAAAAATAATAACACTTAAAACAAAATAAAGAAATAGGAGTGAATGAATAATGATTCAGGAAAAAGTTTAATGAAAAAAGTGTCAGAAAAATTTATAAACAAATCCTAGAAGTGGAAACCATAAAGTATTTTACACATTGGATACAACGTGGAAAGAATGAACAACTATATACAATTATAAAAGACAAGTGAAAAAAATCATTTTTTATAAGAAATTAAAAGAAGAATTAAAGAACATTTTGTAAACTAATTATAATTTTTTGATAAAACTGAAAAATTAATAGGAGTATAGAGGAGGATGACTGACTATGAAGAAACAGCATGAGAGAATTTTAGGAGTGAGAATTGTTCTATATCCTGACTGTGTTGAGGGACATATGCATTTGTCAGAATTCATAGAAGTGTAATACCACAGTTAATTGTACTGTTTGTAAAGTTCTAAAAACATTTATCCAGGATGCTAGAAGAGCCCCAACTGAAATAATAACTATAACTAATGATTCTCACTTTATTACAAGTAAATAGCAAAACCACATTGATGTGGTAGAGAAGAAAAATACTAACCTAAGTTACTTTGGAAAATATCATTTTGACTGGATCCTGTGAGACTAAAAGCAAGGATACAAAAATAAAACGATGAACTTTGAAACATGTCATTGATACTTTATGAAAGTATGTGTCCTATACGGGTTACATCTATCTGGAGAAAAATATAACTTCAGATTTATACAGAGGCATGATTCACTGGTGGAAATACTTTCAAAAATACTATCTAGGATAATGGTGGCCCTGCATAAAAATGAGAAGAATAATCTATCTTTCATTCATTATGAAATAAAAGAGGTCATACAAGCATAAAAACAATATAAATAAGATTATAGAATATATCAAGTTGATTCTATATTAAACTGCAACTAAAGGAAATATTGGGACAGAGACCTAAAAATTCCTTAAATAAGTTTGAATTACACCTTTTCTTCTTTGAAAGAGTCCATATACATTAGTGATTACATTTTCTAAATAATCCTGAAATTAAGAATCTTTTTAATTTTAACTTGGCAAGTATTATACAAAGAGAAAAATTCTGAAACTAAATATTTACAGATGTTATATCTGAGTAAATAGTTACAGGCGATGTGATTCTTTACTTTCCAAATTTTACAGTTTTAAGACCCAAATAATAAATGCATACTTAAAAGATAAGCTGTCAATATTCTTTTATAAAGGATCTTGAATAAATTTTAGAACAGTATTCTTTTAAAATTATATAACTTTGAAAAAATTTTATAATGTGAAGTCTTAACACTATGTTTTCCATTGCTGTTCGTTACAAATGTTTGTTCCTACTTCCTGTCAAAAAAAAAAAAATCATGCTAAAGTCCTAAACCCCAGTGTGGCTGTGTGTGAAGAATGGGCCTCTAATTTCTTAATAGTAATTTAGGTTAAATTAGGTCATAAGGGTGGGACCCTGATGCTGTAGAATTAGTTTCCTTACAAGAAGAGACACTGGCAGGGTGCTGTGGCTCACGCCTATAATCCCAGCACTTGGAGAGTCTGAGACAGGAAGATTGATTGAGGCCAGGAGTTCGAGACCAACCTGGCAAACATAGACCCTGGCTCAAAAATATAAAAATAAAAATTAAAAAAGAAGAGATATCAGGGATCTTTCTGTCTCTCTGTGTCTCTCTCTCTCTAATGTTTCTCTCTCTTTTCCTCTCTTCCTCTTTCCCTCTCTCTTTACACATAGGCACCAGGGAAAGGCCATATGCAGACGGTAGGAAGGCAGCTGCAAGCAGGAAGAGAGCCTCACCAGAAACTGAATTTGTTAGCAAGGCCATTGACTTCTAGGCTCCAGTACTGTGAGAAAATAAGTGTTTGTTGTTTAAGCTACCCAGTCTGCGGTGTTTTGTTATGGCAGCCCAAGCAGAATCATACCTTACATCATATATTCATGATTGCTCATACCACTTTGCTCTCTCAAGCATATTTCTTTATAGGAGCTCCAACTTCCCAGCAGTGTTGTTCTTAGTAATATGGATAGATATGTTCCTTGATAAGGTTTTCAATAATGATGAGCAGTTTTGTCATTACTTTAGAAAAATCACTGGAATTTTAGCTATGTCTGACAGAGACCGATCTATGATGGGGGTACAAAAATACTTCTGTCCGTGGCTCAGGCATTCCATGTTGCACATTTCCATGGCAATTTACAGGTGTATTAGTTATTCCCCATTTTTTTCCTTTATGTCTCCTTTCCCACATTCTCTACTTTGCTAACTTGCCTTAAAAGGTTGTTATGTGTGGACAACAAGAAGACTTCTTTACCCTTGAGCTTTGGTTATAAATGAACAATGAGTTTATAGTCAAAGATTAGAGATTGGGAAGAAAAGGCCGTTGTAATACTTATTCCCCCAGCTCCCTCACTGCTGAGGTGGCCAGTTGCCAGTGGAGGTGTTGCCCTATGAAAGACCACTAATTTTGTGCAACTATCATGGCTCTCCCCTCCAGCACCCTTCAAGTCAGAGAGAAGCAACATCTCACTAGTATTAGCCCTTGGCTTATTCACCCTTTCCCTTTGGTTTCCACCAACTTTTAAATAATTTCTTCCTAAACTCATGTCAACTGCCTCTTTTGAGTGCATTATTTCCTGTGGGGAAATAGATTGATATGAAAATATTAAATTTTTACATTATAGTAAGTTGAAGGCAAAAAAATCTAATTTATCCTGGGCGCATTTTCATTTGCCTGTGGTCTCACAAAAGCAGGGAGCTTTATAAAAGCTATAATAAATGCTGCCTTCAAATACTGGATCAAAAATAAAAGTTAATATTTCCAGTGTATAGTAAAACCAGGAGTGTTCCTTTTCATTCCATTTCACTAAAATGCTAAGCAAAGAGAAAACACAAAACCTGTAAGCATCCATTATTCTGTTCTTCAGGCAAGAGAGTCAAGAAGACTTACACATTGCTTTTGTATATGTACCCCACTAGCTGCCACAGGTTAAAGAGACTTGATCAAAATGACACAAGTTAGTAGAAGAGCATAAGCCAGTACTAAGCCTTTTTTTGCATTTACACTCTTTGCAACTAGATTCAGGACTGGTGAGCATAGATGACAGGCTCAATGCTTTTGAGAAAGTTAATTATGTCCCCATGTTATATAGATATATGGGATGAAGAGAAGGTAAATTTGGAAAATAGTCTTGGAGAAAAAAAATGAATGGAGCGATGAACAAAAGGCAGCATGAGCCCTTGATATGAACCATAAAATTTTCAGGTTCAACACTTTCCTGTTAGATCATATCTCAAGCCAAAAAGAACATGAACATCAATCCCCAAATTCCTGGGGAAGAGTGAGGGCCTGGAAAGTTTTGTGACACAGAGTACAAGTGAAATCACAATGCTTATGAGGAGGTTTTCTGCATTCAAGCCGAAATATCAAGAACACATTGGCTGCTTTAACTTTCTTACGTCATTGCCAAAAGCCACAACATGAACATGTGTGAGGCAACTTGACAGCTCTCTAGCACACTTCTGTTGACCAGATATTTACTAAGAACTTACCAACAACTTGTCACCCTAAAGCACAAGTCAACTAAATTTCTGAATGAATAACAATGCCATTTTATTAACTATTTTGCATCATTACAAGTCAGTGCTTTTGCATTTTGATTAACTAGTTATCTTCAAAGAACAAACAGATTATACACAGAAAGTATAATCATCAATATTTACATAAACTGATAGGTTACTCACTCACTAAAATAAATTTTAGAATTCCATTATATATTTTTTTGTCCATGAGGTATAATGTTTATAAAATCCAGTTTGTTTTATCCCTGAGTTTCACATTTCTTTATGAAGTTGTGTATATCCTGCTGAATTTCATATGCCTGCTCTAGGAAAGACTGCAACATCAGCACTCTGACCATCTCAGTCGTGTAACTATGCAATAGTTAATTTAATTAAACATCAGAAAAAATGTGACATTTTGTGGAAAAAAAGAATAAAGACTGCTAAAACATTAGGGAAATATGAATATTTTTCTTTCCCTTCCATAAACATCGAACTCAGAGAAGAATGAGCTATCAGATTTCTATTCTGCAAGTCAGAGCTAAAGACCAGGGACCTAGTGTTGTTTATTCCCTACCAGATGTAAGAAATGATAGTAAGAATAAAGAGAAAGGAGGTTTTTATCATGTATTTCTATAATGAAGATAAAATTGAAGCTTTAAAATTTTTTTATGCTGATGTAAAGTGAAAGTTAATACATACTTAAAGCTGTATAAAGAAAACTTCAATTTTACCACACTAAAATTCATCATGCTTTCATTTTATACATGTAATCCAATGATATTCCTTTTTCTATTGGAAAAGAAACTCCTTCCATAAAATGTTGGTATCCACTGCTGTTTTGAGATACATTTTTATGTTAGCTATTTCCATTCAGATCTAATGCCAGCATCAAACTTCAGCCAATCTTAAAATCTTTGTAAACACTTTTCATTTTTCTTATATTGTTTTACTCAAAATGACAGAACAGAAATTTGAATACATTTGTCTTCTAGAAATGTATAAAGTTTATTGTTCAATTAATTTTTATTGAAATTTCCTGATCTCATTATATTTTCTTGCTATTTGCCTCTAATGCTTATTCACTGTTCCCCTAAAAGTCTTTAATAGACAGTCAAGGGTCTGTGGCTTAGGATACTTCTCTTGGGCTCTCATTCTAACAGTGAACAGCCTCACCAGCCTTCAGTCGGACACACATCTATTTTGGGTGCTTGACACTTTAAATATGAAAAAAAAAAACACTGTCTGAGAATATCACTTAAAAGAAAGGGCAAAACTTTAATATCTAAAAATGAACAATAATCTGATGTGTGCTAACGTAAATATACACAATTATTTATTTATTAATCACTTATAATAGAAAAATAATAAAATAAAATTAACACTAGAGAATTAATTAAATATATTTCTTTTTAAGATATGCAGGACAGAAGTTGAAGAAATATGTTATATAAGAATATTTTTGACGTGCAGAATATTTTCTATATTGTTAACTGATAAAATAGTAGGGAAAATAAACAGATTAAAGTAGTCTAGAAAAATTTACTGGTTAATGGATCTGTGAATGATTTTTTCTTTTCTTTGGTAATGGTGTTTGTGTCTTCTACTTCATTTGCTAATTTTATTCATTGAATATATATTAGTTTTGTTAATTAAAAAAGTAATTTATAAATTGAGACTGCAGTAATTATCATACAGATGTCCACTATTTATTTCCTGACATCCCCATATGTTTAAATATTTCAAAGCACAAGATAAGCTACAAGTATAGAAAGTTAAACGTGCTAAGGAGAAACATTTTGAACAAAACTGTCACTGGGGGCAAACCTTTTATGCTTTCTGGTGGAGAATGAAAGACATAATAAGGCTTTGACAAGTGTATCATCAATATTCTGTGAGAACAGTATGATGTGTCTTACAGACCCCACTTTAAGACTTCCAGACCCCCAGGTGCAGGGAATCAGCAGATATATCCTTATATGTCAGCTTCTCATAGACTCCCTCAGCTACAGGGAGCAGCCTTGGCCAGAATTCCTATCTGAAGAGTGTATACCTGATCGTTCACTATTTGGAGGTAGAAAGATCATCTCTGCAAATGGAGGACAACTCAGAAGAGCCATGCTAGTTCCAGAACACTCCAAAGGTTGGGCTGGAGCAATTGCTGGGCCTGCATTACAGCTCAATTTATTCCTCTGTCCAATTCTCTTTTATCCCTGATATGGTTTGGCTCTGTCTCCACCTAAATCTCATGTTGAATTGTAAACCCCAGAGTTGGAGGAGCCTGATGCGGGGGTGGTTGGATCATGGAGGTTGTTTCTAATGGTTTAGCACCACCCCCCTAGTGCAGTCTCACCACAGAGTTTTCACAAGATCTGGTTCTCTAAAACTGTGTATCACGTCCCCTTCCCTCTCTCTTCCTCCTGCTCCAGCCATTTAGGATGTGCTAGCTTCCCCTTTGCCTTATGCCATGATTGTAAGTTTCCTGAGACTACCCACCCATGCTTCCTCTTCCTATGCAGCCTGCAGAACCATGACCCAATTAAACTTTTTTTTCATAAATTACCCAATTTCAGGTAGTTCTTTATAGCATAGCAATGTGAGAATGAACTAAAACACAAAATTGGAACCAGAGAAGTGAGACATTGCTATAAAGATACCTGAAAATGTGGAAGCAATTTGGAACTGGGTAACAGGCAGAGGCTGGAACAGTTTGGAGGGCTCAAAAGAATACAGGAAGATTAGGAAAAGTCCCAGCCACTTCAGCTCCAGTTGTAGCTAATTGGGTCCCGGATATGTCTCAGGCCACTGCTCTAGAGGGTGCACACCATAAGCCTTGGTGCCTTCCTTGTGGTGTTAAGCCTGCAAGTGCACAGAGGGCAAGAATTGGGGCTTGGAGCCTCTGACTAGATTTCAGAGGATGTATGGAAGGAAAAGCCTGAAAGTCCAAGCAGAAGTCTGCTGCAGAAGCAGAGCCCTCATGGAAAACCTTTACTAGGGCAGTGTGGAGGAGAAATGTGGGGTTAGAACCCCTCCACAGAGTCCCCACTGGGGCACTGCCTATTGGAGCCATGAGAAGAGGGCTGTCATCCTCCAGACCCCAGAATGTTAGATCCACCAAGAGCTTACACAGTTCTCCTGGAAAAACCACAGGCGCTCAATGCCAGCCCATGAAAGCAGCTGTGGGGGCTGTACCCTGCAGAACCACATGGGCGGAGCTGCCCAAGGCCTTGGGAGCCTACTTCTTGTGTCAGTGTTGCCTAGGTGTGAAACATGGGGTCAAAGGAGATTATTTGGGGGCTTTAAGATTTAATGACTGCCCTGCTGGGTTTCAGACTTGCATGGGGCCTGTAGCCCTTTCGTTTTGGACAATTTCTCTCTTTTGGAATGAAAGCATTTACCCATGCCTGTACCCACATTGTATCTTGGAAGTAACTAACTTGTTTTTGATTTTACAGGCTCATAGGTCAAAGGGACTTGACTTGTCTCAGATAAGACTTGTCTCAGATAAGACTGTGGACTTTTGAGTTAATGCTAGAATGAGTTAAGACTTTGGGGGACTGCTGGGAAGGCATGATTGTGTTTTAAAATGAGAGAAGGTCATGAGATTTGGGAAGGGCAAGGGGTGGAATAATATAGTTTGGCTGTATGTCCCCACCCAAAACTCATGTTGAATTATAATCCCAGTGTTGGAGGTGGGGCCTGGTGGGAGGTGACTGGATCATGTGGGTGGTTTTCAATGGTTTATCACCATCCCCCCAGTGCTGTCTTGTGACAGAGTTCTCATTAAATCTGAGTATTTTAAAGTGTGTAGCATCTCCCCGTTTGCTCTCTCTTCCTCGTGCTCCAGCGATGTTGGACGTGACAGCTTCTTTGCCTTCTGCAATGATTTTAAGTTTCCCGAGGCCTCCTCAGCCACACTGCCTGTACATCATGTGAAACCATGAGTGAATTAGACCTTTTTTCTTCATAAATTAACCAGTCTCAGATAGTTATAGCAATGCAAGAATGAAATAATATGATCCTTCTGCCTTTTTCAATTGTTGATCTCAAGGGTATTTCCAAATAAACAACTGACACATTAAACCATCTCAGAGTCTGTTTCCTAGGGAACACACACAGAAGCAAATAAAGCAGAATTTTAAAAAAATCCTAATCCTAAGCATATGCCAATGATTCTATTATAATGTTATAGTAGATTTCGATCTGGGAAAAATATTCTTCTATTTTCTTGTACATAGTTTCTTCAATATAAAATTAAGGATTAGTGTATTGATTTTCCTTAACTTGCCATCCTCCAGTTGCATCCATGTTACTGCAAATAAAGCCAGCACAGAAAGACATTGTATGTTCTCACCTTATGTGAGAGCTAAAAAGTTCATCTTATAAAGGTAGGGCATAGAATGATGTTTATCAGAGGCTGGGAAGGGTGAGAGGGATTGAGGAGAGGTTCGTTAATAGGTACAAAAACACAGTTAGATAGGAAGAATAAGTTCTGGTCTTCAGTAGCACTTTAGGGTGAATATAGTTGATGAGAATTTATAATATAGTTTAAAATAGCCAGAAGAAAATATATGGAGCTTTCCCAATATAAAGAAATAAAAAGTGTTTGAGGCGATGAACATTTTAAATACTCTGATTTGATAATTATACATTGTATGCATGAATCAAAATATCACATTTACCTCCATAAATATGTACAATTATGCATAAAAATTAGCATTTTGATTTCCATTAGACTATTACTAGAAATGCTATTTGTTTTGAAGTTATAATTTAAATTAAGATGACTTAATATATTCAATCTTCCTAAAAACTAGCAACATGATTATCTTGATCTATTCGAATCCTATTATTTCCTGTTTACTTCAGTAAAGTTTTAATTAATTCTTCAAATTGGGCCTGCCCATTTCTTCTTAAGGATATTAGACCATCTTTTAGAGCTTTCACTTAATTGTGAATGAAATATTAGTTTCTCTTGAATGTTCTGATGTATTTGTAATTTCCTTATTATAGTGATATTAACATTCCCTCAATGAATCACTTTGTAAACATTTTTCTTCCTATATTTTTCTATGTGTATTATCTTAAAATTATATATCATGTTGTTTTTAGCACATCTCATTTAATTTTTTAGAGTTAAAAATTAATACCCAAAAGCCATTAAGCATATTTTATTTAATTTTTCAATATGTGTTCTGGAAATCATTAATATAGCCAATCCACTGCTGCTTCTTTCAGAATACACTGTTAGAATGGGAAGACCTCAGCTTTCTTGGCAAGTCAAAAATTTTGGTTATTGTTATCAGATTAGAAATTCAGTTTAATTCACCAAAGTTGAAGGAAAAAATGTTAAGGGCAGCCAGAGAGAAAGGTCGGGTTACCCACAAAGGGAAGCCCATCAGACTAACAGCTGATCTCTCAGCAGAAACTCTACAAGCCAGAAGAGAGCAGGGGCCAATATTCAACAATCTTAAAGAAAAGAATTTTCAACCCAGAATTTCATATCCAGCCAAACTAAGCTTCATAAGTGAAGGAGAAATAAAATACTTTACAGACAAGCAAATGCTGAGAGATTTTGTCACCACCAGGCCTGCCCTAAAAGAGCTCCTGAAGGAAGCACTAAAGATGGAAAGGAATAACCGGTACCAGTCACTGCAAAAACATGCCAAATTGTAAAGACCATCGAGGCTAGGAAGAAACTGCATCAACTAATGAGCAAAATAAGCAGAAAACATCATAATGACAGGATCAAATTCACACATAAAAATATTAACTTTAAATGTAAATGGGCTGAATGCTCCAGTTAAAAGACACAGACTAGCAAATCGGATAAAGTCAAGACCCATCAGTGTGCTGTATTCAGGAAACCCATCTCACGTGCAGAGACGCAGATAGGCTCAAAATAAAGGGATGGAGGATGGAGGAAGATCTACCAAGTAAATGGAAAACAAAAAAAGGCAGGGGTTGCAATCCTAGTCTCAGATGAAACAGACTTTAAACAAACAAAGATCAAAAGAGATAAAGACAGCCATTACATAGTGGTAAAGGGATCAATTCAACAAGAAGAGCTAACTATCCTAAATATATATACACCCAATACAGCAGCACCCAGATTCATAAAGCAAGTCCTTAGTGACCTACAAAGAGACTTAGACTCCCACTCAATAATAAAGGGAGACTTTAACACCCTACTGTCAACATTACACAGATCAACAAGACAGAAAGTTAATAAGCATATCCAGGAATTGAAGTCAACTCTGCACCAAGCGGATCTAATAGACATCTACAGAACTCTCCAGACCAAATCAACAGAATATACATTCTTTTCAGCACCACACCACACCTATTCAAAAATTGACCACATAGTTGGAAGTAAAGCACTCCTCAGCATATTTAAAGAACAGAAATTATAACAAACTGTCTCTCAGACCACAGTGCAATCAAACTAGAACTCAGGATTAAGAATCTCACTCAAAACCACTCAACTACATGGAAACTGAACAACCTGCTCCTGAATGACTACTGGGTACATAACGAAATGAAGGCAGAAATAAAGATGTTCTTTGAAACCAAAGAGAACAAAGACACAACATACCAGAATCTCTGGGACACATTCAAAGCAGTGTGTAGAGGGAAATTTATAGCACTAAAAAGGCCCACAAGAGAAAGCAGGAAAGATCTAAAATTGACACCCTAACATCACAATTAAAAGAACTAGAGAAGCAAGAGAAAACACATTCAAAAGCTAGCAGAAGGCAAGAAATAACTAAGATCAGAACAGAACTGAAGGAAATAGAGACACAAAAAACCCTTCAAAAAATCAATGAATCTGGGAGCTGGTTTTTTGAAAGATCAACAAAATTCATAGACCGCTAGCAAGACTAATAAAGAAGAAAAGAGAGAAGAATCAAATGGAAGCAATAAAAAATGACAAAGGGGATATCACCACCAATCCCACAGAAATACAAACTACCATCAGAGAATACTATAAACATCTCTATGCAAATAAACTAGAAAATCTAGAAGAAATGGATAAATTCCTCGACACATACACTCTCCCAAGACTAAACCAGGAAGAAGTTGAATCTCTGAATAGACCAATAACAGGCTCTGAAATTGAGGCAATAATTAATAGCTTACCAACCAAAAAAAGTCCAGGACCAGATGGATTCACAGCTGAATTCTACCAGAGGTACAAGGAGGAGCTGGTACCATTCCTTCTGAAACTATTCCAATCAGTAGAAAAAGAGGGAATCCCTGCTAACTCATTTTATGAGGCCAGCATCATCCTGATACCAAAGCCGGGCAGAGACACAACCAAAAAAGAGAATTTTAGACCAATATCCTTGATGAACATTGATGCAAAAATCCTCAATAAAATACTGGCAAACCGAATCCAGCAGCACATCAAAAAGCTTATCCACCATGATCAAGTGGGCTTCATCCCTGGGATGCAAGGCTGGTTCAACACATGCAAATCAATAAATGTAATCCAGCATATAAACAGAACCAAAGACAAAAACCACATGATTATCTCAATAGATGCAGAAAAGGCCTTTGACAAAATTCAACAACCCTTCATGCTAAAAACTCTCAATAAATTAGGTATTGATGGGATGTATCTCAAAATAATAATAGCTATCTATGACAGACCCACAGCCAATATCATACTGAATGGGCAAAAACTGGAAGCATTCCCTTTGAAAACTGGCACAAGACAGGGATGCCCTCTCTCACCACTCCTATTCAACATAGTGTTGGAAGTGCTGGCCAGGGCAATCAGGCAGGAGAAGGAAATAAAGGGCAGTCAATTAGGAAAAGAGGAAGTCAATTTGTCCCTGTTTGCAGATAACATGATTGTATATCTAGAAAACCCCATCATCTCAGCCCAAAATCTCCCTAAGCTGATAAACAACTTCAGCAAAGTCTCAGTATGCAAAATCAATGTGCAAAAACCACAAGCATTCTTATACACCAATAACAGACAAACAGAGAGCCAAATCATGAGTGAACTCCCATTCACAATTGCTTCAAAGAGAATAAAATACCTAGTAATCCAACTTACAAGGGATGTGAAGGACCTCTTCAAGGAGAACTACAAACCACTGCTCAATGAAATAAAAGGATACAAACAAATGGAAGAACATTCCATGCTCATGGGTAGGAAGAATCAATATCGTGAAAATGGCCATACTGTCCAAGGTAATTTATAGATTCAGTGCCATCCCCATCAAGCTACCAATGACTTTCTTCACAGAATTGGAAAAAACTACTTTAAAGTTCATATGGAACCAAAAAAGAGCCCTCATTGCCAAGTCAATCCTAAGCCAAAAGAACAAAGCTGGAGGCATCACGCTACCTGACTTCAAACTATACTGCAAGGCTACAGTAACCAGAACAGCATGGTACTGGTACCAAAACAGAGATATAGACCAATGGAACAGAACAGAGCCCTCAGAAATAATGCTGCATATCTACAAGTATCTGATCTTTGACAAACCTGAGAAAAACAAGCAATGGGGAAAGGATTCCCTATTTAATAAATGGTGCTGGGAAAACTGGCTATCCATATGTAGAAAGCTGAAACTGGATCCCTTCCTTACACCTTATACAAAAATTAATTCAAGATGGATTAAAGACTCACATGTTAGACCTAAAACCATAAAAACCCTAGAAGAAAACTTAGGCATTACCATTCAGGACATAGGCATGGGCAAGGACTTCATGTCTAAAACACCAAAAGCAATGGCAACAAAAACCAAAATTGACAAATGGGATCTAATTAAACGAAAGAGCTTCTGCACAGCAAAAGAAACTACCATCAGAGTGAACAGGCAACCTACAGAATGGGAGAAAATTTTTGCAACCTACTCATCTCACAAAGAGCTAATATCCAGAATCTACACTGAACTCAAACAAATTTACAAGAAAAAAACAAACAACCCCATCAACAAGTGGGCGAAGGATATGAACAGACACTTCTCAAAAGAAGACATTTATGCATCCAAAAAACACATGAAAAAATGCTCATCATCACTGGCCATCAGAGAAATGCAAATCAAAACCACAATGAGATACCATCTCACACCAGTTAGAATGGAGATCATTAAAAAGTCAGGAAACAACAGGTGCTGGAGAGGATGTGGAGAAATAGGAACACTTTTACACTGTTGGTGGGACTGTAATCTAGTTCAACCATTGTGGAAGTCAGTGTGGCGATGCCTCAGGGATCTAGAATTAGAAATACCATTGATGCAGCCATCCCATTACTGGGTATATACCCAAAGGAGTATAAATCATGCTGCTATAAAGACACATGCACACGTATGTTTATTGCAGCATTATTCACAATAGCAAAGACTTGGAACCAACCCAAATGTCCAACAATGATAGACTGGATTAAGAAAATGTGGCACGTATACACCATGGAATACTATGCAGCCATAAAAAACGAAGAGTTCATATGCTTTGTAGGGACATGGTTGAAGCTGGAAACCATCATTCTCAGCAAACTATCACAAGGATAAAAAACCAAACACCGCATGTTCTCACTCATAGGTGGGAATTGAACAATAAGAACACATGGACACAGGAAGGGGAACATCACACACTGGGGACTCTTGTGGGGTGGGGGGATGGGGGAGGGATAGCATTAGGAGATGTACCTAATGCTAAATGACGAGTTAATGGGTGCAGCACACCAACATGGCACATGTATACATATGTAACAAACCTGCACGTTGTGCACATGTACCCTAAAACTTAAAGTATAATAATAATAAAATTAAAAAAAAAAGAAATTCAGTTTAGCTTCAAATATTTTGCTCCCTATTATTTGCTCATAATATTAAAAATAAATGTCTGGAGCAGTGGCTTTTAAATTTCTGTATGAAGAGGCACTGGGGTGCTTGATAAGATGCATATTTTCAGACTTTTAGAAAGTGTGATTTTTGACTTTCTTAAAGGTATCCGAAGTGATTCTGATGTAAGTAGGTCCAGAATTATATATTAAATGATAGTGGGCTGATGGTGTTGGGCTGGCTCAAGGATATCTAATACCTGGTATAGCCACATCCTCAAGGAAATTAAAACTTCTGAGATGAATCCACAGTGATAATGCAGGTGAATGCAGTCTTTGTGAGGGGAGAAATTTCCGTTTTGTTCACATTGTTATGTCTCATTTTAAAAAGCACATGATGATATATATTGTAGTTGTTTGTTCCTTACTCAACATGAGAAAATTAGTAGAAGGATTTTATCTAAACCCAGTTATTGTGATTACTGATTTATAGTCAGAGTGTGCATTTATTATTTAATCTTTATTTTTACTTCCTTTCCAGGTGTTTTGTTTTGTTGTTGTTGCTTGCTTTCATTTATTCTCTTTTTTTTCTTTGGGTTGTATGATTTTCAGCCATTACTCTAGTATTCCAGTGAGTACACCAACTATTTTACATGATAATTTATGTAGTCTCACACTAAGATACTTTTATTCTCAAATCATTATTTTTAGTTGTTCAAATTATGTATGAACTTATTTAGTGTTATCTATCGTTCATACCCTTTTTGAAAGCTATTGCTTCATTTTGCTTAGGATCTAGTATGACTACTAAAAACTGAAGATCTTTTAATATTTTTCTGATGTTTGCCTATAAAAAATATATTTATTCTTCAGATTCTTGAGAATATTTTCAAAATTAACTAAAACATCACTTTCATTATTGTAGACAGTGTTTCCATTACTTTTCAAAGGGATAGTGTGAATGTTTTCAGTATGTGTTTATTGAACTATATATTCTCCCATTGTCTCTTTGATTATTTTATTCCCTAGGTTATTTTTTGGAACTATTTTATAAAAATTCCAGTTAAACTTTCAATTGTATTTTCCCCGATCAAACTTCCAGCTCAAAAATTTATTCTCAAATTGTTCATTATTCCATTTAGTTCTTCTATTGAAATTTATTGAGTTGTTTTATGTTTTACTCACAAGCAAATTTTAAAATTTTCAATATGTAATTTTTCCTCTTCTTAACAGTAGCCTATTCTTGTTTGTATTGTGTATTTTTATATTTATAAATTTATAAATTATGCTCATTGTAAGCATTTTTATCTCTATTAAATTATTTCTCCTAAGATAAATACTTTTTTGTTTGTTTGTTTGAGACAGGGTCTCGCTCTGATAAATACTTTTTCCTGATGTTTCTCTTTCATAATTTGGTCTTTCTCAGATTTATTTGATAATTAAAGATTCCCTTTATTTCCTAAATATTGTCTCAATATTTACATTCGAGAGCACTTGTTATTGTTAATCTTCTGGAGGTTACAGGCTTCCATGACAGAAAGCTAACTATTTTGGTTGAGTAATATATTTAAATATACTTACACATAAATTTATTCTTGTTATTAGCTATCATGTAACTAAAACAAACATTACATTAAAATGACATCTTTTATTCAAAGGAAATTTTTTTACTAGTCACTAAAGGAGGTAATTTCTGAAACACTATTTATCTTTTAAAAATGTTACATTTCCTGGTTGTCTACTGGTTAGAAAAAAAATCCTATATATTGCTAAGGAAAAATCTAGTCCAAGAAACTTGTGGCACTTTTAATTTTTGATGGGTATATCACTGTTACTCTTGATAATTCCAGAGTAATAATTCCCATCTTGTCAGTTACTTATATTTATAAACTTACACACACAAGCAGCTAAGGTTTATTTGAAAATCACAATTTTTTACGTGGGAAGTAGTTTTCAGTTTGTAATGCATTTTGATGCTTCATCTCATTTTTTAAAGTACTTAAAATATTCCCTCAAGGGATACTATTCTGATGGCACTATTTAAAATTCGAATGTCCTTTCAAACACTCTTACAGCATGTCTTTAAAAAATAATATAAAAATATATTATTTTTAAATGTCAGAACTAATTAAATTTATTTTGCCATAACATATTCATTTGTCATTAGGTACACTTTCTTCTTTCCACTTCCCTGATCCCGTTTCTTCCCTTTCCTCTTATATCCAGAGGCTCTTCTGGCTTTTTACTTCAGATCCCCTTTGTCAGCCCTCATTGCAATGAAAAACTGGCCTTATTCCTCCAAAATTGAGATGACCCTTCCTCCATCGCTTGTGTACACAAAGACATGATGTAATACCAAAGTGGTATCTCACTTTTGAAAGAAAAAAAATATATATATATATAAGTGCAAGGACATTTTATCCCAGTATTTTCCACTCTTAATAACACTGAAATCTTTTTAAAATATAGGTAAATAATTTTTCTTGCTACAGGAGAATAGATTGTGCGAGGAGGCAAAAGAGTGTATTTTCTTCCTAGAGGCAAAAAAGACTGACCATAAACAACAGGTAGTGGAAGGAGAAGAAGCTGAGAAAGTATTAGAAAAATGGATGGGAAATGCTCCCGCACTCTCATTTACACACATACAACTATTTTCCCCTTCAGAAGTCTGTGGGAATGGTCTCCAGTGATTTCTGGCCCTGTGAGCACCTGCCGCTTCCATCATAGCAAGGAGACAGTGCTAGCATACCGATTGTTAGATGTATTGTTGCCTACAGCAATTAAAATTTCCCAACTTGAGAGGTGGACTAGGTTTTAAGTGGGGTTTTGAGAACTATTCTAAAAGTAGAGAACATACAACTGTTCCAATTACAAGTAAAATCCAAGCCTAAACAGATGACATTTAAAGTCTTTTCTTTATACAGTGAGACATAATAACAGAATCTGTATATTTGATATGATGCTGCTAAGAGTTTTACCTGGAATTAAAGACATAGCCTGAAATATTTGACCTAAGAGCTTGAGGTTACTTGACCACTCTTACTGTTCAATGAAAGTGAAATTGTCATCCGCTTGTGTGCCTTTCTAATCCCTAGGAAAAATAAAGGTGTAAGCACTTAAGGAAGAATTACTCATCTCAGAATTTATGGGTGTGCTCACTACACTCTTGAACACTGATTATCTTAGGAGAAAATATCCTAGTTAATATTTGGATGTTTTGAGAGATTAGTATAGATAGATTAGAAAAGTGGAGTGAAGAAGCTCAACTAAAAAATAAAAAATCCCTCTTGCATGGGATAGAAAAAACACCACCACCGTAGAACAGAAGTTCTCAATCAGAGGCATTTTATCTCTCCAGGGGAACATTTGGTGATACCTATCTTTTTGACTTCTGATTGGGTCAGTGGGGAAGCAGAGTGGCTTGCATTTAGTGAGTAGAGGCCAGAGTAGATGCTAAACATTCAACAATGCACAGGACAGCTCCTACCACAAGCAAAGAATTATCCAATCCAAAAAGTGCCATGGTTAAGAAACTGCCATGAAAAAGTGAAAAATCGTCACATCATCAGAGAATAGCAGATGACCACGGCAGTATTGCGATGAGATCAAAGGCAGGATATGCTTCAAGGCAGAACCTGGTGTGCAGTTCACATTAACAGAAGGAATGTGGCAGAAAATCCACTAAGTAGGTGAGTTAAAAAAAAATAGGGATGACACTATGGCACAAACAGATAAAAAATCTTTAGGACTACTGTGTATGTTACAAAGTTATGTTAAGCCCAACCATTCACCCAAAAAATTACACAAGGCTTCTTGATAGAGACTCCAATTGTTAAACATAACATTCCTATTACAGAAGCAATAATTCTATGGACTGCTATAAAACTAATGGTGTTAGATATTTATTTTGTTAAATTTGTTTGAGGATAGTGGAAGAACAAAGATTGTTCAGTATTCTGGGGCATTTTCTTCCACATTTTACCTTCTCCAAAACTATTGTTTTGTTTTATTTTTTTCTGAAAGAGCAGTAGATCTGTATTATCTTTTTTCTAACTTTACTTTCTGTGAATCATAAACCATGTTAGCCAATATATCTCATCAGAGAAAAGACATTACATTTCATCAGAGACACAGAACGTGACATTATCAACAGTGAACTGAGAAGAAATCCAGTCATAAGCCAAATTATTTTTCTTCTAAAAGCTAAGAGACAGCCATCATAATCTCTGCTCTTTTCGGAAAGCTACATATCTTTATTACTTTGGGAAATATCTATCTAAAACACTAAATATGTCTGCAAATTTTCAAGTAGAGAAAAGAAAATCAAGATAACATGAGAGGCGAGACAACAGTAGTGGGTATGATGTTAATGACAACACAGTGAAATGAATAATTGAGGAAAATAAGCAAGTATAGAGATTATAGCACCTTTAAGTTATGTTTAAGTTCTACCAAACATCATGCCCTATGTTTTGATCCATAGTCTCTGGTGATTACAACTAAGGAATGAGCAGAAAACTGACATTTTGAGAAGACAATATATTCAGTGCTTCAAATCACACTGATAAGTTATTACACTGATGTATAAAGTCTCTTCTATAATCATAGGTCCTCACAGCAATGGTTATGATATTTTTGGATCCCAAATGCTACTGTGTTATTTTCTACCATTCTTGATGAGCAGGGAGATTTTCCCCACTACTTTTAACCATGAATCTTGAGATATAAAAAATAGAAAGCTTTTGACACTAAGGTGGGACTCCATCTGCATACATGGTCCCTTGTTCTTGGCTGAGAGTCACCATAAAAGCAGGAATTTGGACAAAAGAGAATCATTTTGATGGCTGCTATGTAGTTATGTATATACAGTGGTGGCTATTTAATGCTATTTTTCTCTGTTAATGTTTAATAAGTTGTGGTTAAGGATCAAATCTTTCTCTATAGAAAATAATTAACAGAATGAAGATAATTTTAAAACCAAGTATCAAAAATAAGGATCTTAAGAATAAAAAGTATTATTTCAGCAATTTTTTGCTGCTCAAGATTTACTGTGAAATGTTGAAAACAATGAAATGCTTGGTTTACATCAGATGTGCTAAAAGCTTTGTTTATGTGTTAAAAGACAATGCGAAGTAATGAGAAGATGTACCAACTTGAAATCTAAATTTGGGTCAAATACTAAACTTCTAATTAGGATGTGATAGAGAATATAACAAATATTTGAGATAAATGTAAGCTTTTAGAAATGAAATTGGTATACATTAAAACAGATACATGAATTTGCCCTGAAAAAAGATTGAAATATTAACTACTTAAAATAGTTTGTCTACAATGTATTTAACTAATATAATGTTAATCTCTTAAGACTAGAAGTAAAATCCACCTACTAAAGCCAGATTTATTTAAGACACAGGTATTGTACATTATGCAATTTATGAGGATAATCTGTTTAAAAACACTAGTGAAACAAATAGACTAGCAAAAAGAAATGTGGTCACAAACAGGCACTCATTTAAGCCTAAATAAAATATTCCAACAAAATAAAACTGCAATGATTTCATTGCTCTGCAAAAAAAAAATTTGTGAGTTTTTAAGGCCATGAGTTTTACAGATATTGAAGCTTAAAAAACTCAGATTGAATTGCACTGGTAACCTCCATAACCTCCATATTCAGTTTTGTTGACCTCAAAATCATGCATACAAACAGCCCACATTTTAGTTACATGAGCATAAAATTCTCTTTAAAAAATGAATGCCTTGATGAATATTAGTAGATTCTTACCTATGCTTCAAAGAGCATGAAGACTCTTGTGAGATATATATGTGTGTGTGTGTGTGTGTGTGTGTGTGTGTGTGTGTGTGTATGTATATGGAAGCATTCTAGTTCCCAGTTTTGCTCTTTCATCCCTTCTACCATGTGAGCACACAGCTTTTATTTCCTATGGAGGATGGTCCCATCCTGGAAGCATATATGTGTATATATATGAAACATGACCTGCGTTTTACAATTTCATATTGTAGAGGTTTACTTTTCAAGAGACTACTAGGTTTAATAGCTTAATCCCTCAACTAATGGGTAACATGTCTTTTTGCACCAGCATTGATATAGATAGATATATACATATAGCTGTTGTTAAAACCTGTGAAAGATTTCAGTTTTCTCTACATGCAAGCTAAAAAGTTAGGTACCATCCTTTCATGAATGATGGCAGAAAAGACATCTGCCTGAATCAGCAACGAAGGACATAATACTCATGGCACAGAAGGTAGCATGGATATGATATTAATATTTTCCTCTTTGCTCCTCATGTACCACAGAGCTGAAGCATAGGTGCTTGAATAAATGTTGTTCTTGCTGAAGATTTACATTAGAACTGAGTCAGTCCCTGAGTCTTATATGCTACAATTGCTTATGATATCAGTTTATTAGTGATAATATTGATAAGGGTCATGATTCTGTTTATGACAAACAATTCATTGAGAGCTTACTATGGGCCCTGCTTTGCATTAAATGACTAAATATTTCCCATTATCTATTTATTATGAAATTTTCACAGTAACACTGAGATATAGAAACTATTGATATTCCCAGAGGAGAAGATGGAACTGAAACAAAGGGAGCTTAATTAACTAAATCCACAGAAATGAATTATAGAAACCTAGTTTCAGGGCCTATAGTTGTAATTACTCTGTTAAGTCCTCTGTTTCATAATGAAATTACTTCTAATTTGTGTACTTTGAGAGACTACTGATCAAATTTCTCTTCAAAAGCCTTAAAACTAACCATACAGCTAATGATTTGCTATGATTTTAATGTATGTGTCCCTCCAAAATTTGTGTATTGGAACCTAATATGCAATGAGATGGGGCCTTTTGGGAAGTGATTAAATCATGAGGGCTCCACTCTAATGAATGGAATAGTACTCTTATAAAAGAGTTTAAAGGGGCATTCTAGTGTGCTCTTTTGCTCTTCCATCCCTTTCTGCCATGTGAGGACACAGCTTTCATTTCCTACAGAGGATGGTATCATTCTGGAGGCAAAGATTCCTATTTGATACTAAATTTGCTGGTGTCATGATCTTGGACTTCCCAGCTTTCAGAACTATAAAAAATACATTTCTATTGTTTATAAATTATCCAATATAAGGTAATGTATTATAGAATAGGAACAATGTGATCTGTCATTGGAATCTTATAAGATTTGCAAATTTTGCTATTGTATTTAAGTAAATTATACTAAGAACTATGTTTGAAAGATAAAATTTATATATTGCAATGGAATAATATGTAACATTTGCAAGCCTCATGTAGGACAGTGGTTCTCAAAATGCAGGCTTGACCCAGCAACATCAGCATCACCGCTTGTTAGGAAATGTAAATTTCGGGCCCTACCAACACCTACAGAATCACAAAATCTGGAAATGTGTCCATGCAATCTGTGTTTTAATGAGCTCACCAGGTGATTGTGACACATGCTGAAGTTTGACAAACATGTTGGGAAAAACCGTAGTTGGCTTCCAAATCAAGAAAAACAAAAATAGCATAAAGCAAGTAGAAAAGTTATATTCTGAAAAATAGGGAAACTGACATGCTTCATACAGAATACTTATACTCTGAGTTTTCTTTCAAAATTTTAAGTTAAAGAATACCTTAGTAGGCGTTCATTTTTCCAGACAGGAGTTTGAAGATTTACTTATTTTTCCTGGAGAATTTAAATGACTCTAAAGAAAATCCTTACATATGTGAAATTTGAAATGTTCAGAACTTTCTCAGTTTTCCCACAGTACGAAGCCATCAGCAAGTCCTGCAAATAGTCATAGAGGTTCCAATCAGCTTTTTAATGCCCCACTCTAAAAGTCTGTACAAGTCAAACTATAAGATAATTATAAATAATAAATGCATTTTAATAAATATAACAGAATTTTAAATAATAAAGGCATATATGTATATGAAATGTGTGTGTATATCTGAAAATATATATGTATATGAAATGTGTGTATATATGTGTGTATACGTATATTTATGTGTATGGATGTATATGCATAGATGTATATATGTATATGAATTACATAGAGGTTGAGCCTATGATTATGGTCTCATTAGATTATATTGTAATCAAACAAAGTGCTTTCTCCAGGCTTCGAACATGATGAGTTGAGCTCTATCTTCATGTAGTCATCCTGAATCCTTATTTTTATAAAATAGCACCCTTTGTTAATTATTTAATGGCAATTATTGCTCTATGTTATGATTAAATCATAGCTAGTCTGACTCTTCAGATGAATTAAAAAGAGTAGAAGAGAGTGTGGCTTTGTACAAAACCATGTAAAGTCATCATCAGGTCATCTGGACGAATCTTGAAACACATTTAGCAGCCAGTTTTACAAACCTTTAATATATCAGTGCTCTAGTATACAACTTCAAACAAATGTAAGTAGAACAAATTATTTTCTTGTTCTGAATTGTCAATATATTAAATGATAAGTCTTTGGGAGAGTTGTTGGCAAGTTTCAATGGTGAGAAACATGCTATTGTCAACTTGAAATGTGTTCTGTAATGGAGACACTAAAAACCCTAGCTTTCCAATGTGTGCATAGTATTGGCAGTATGAATATATATTGCATATAATCTAATAATTATTATAAGCTGCTCCCTGTCAATGTATTTGGAAACCTTTTCACAAAGGGAGTTGCCTATCTGTGAACTTTTAAATAGAAATGCTACATTCTAAAAAAAAATAAAAAACAAAACATACACACACATGTGCATGCATGCACACGCTCTTAAAAAATTGGAAACAAACCTAAGAGAAAATTGAGCAAAAGATATGTGCAGTTCACAAAAAAGAAAATGCAAATGTTCCTTAAGCATAGAAAATAAATTCTATCTCAGTATTAGTAAAATAAATTAAAACTATAGATCTATCGCTTCTTACCTACATGATTGGCAAAAAATCCAAAGGATTGACAATATACTCTACTGGTGAGATTGGAGAAAATAAGTTATTTCAGATATCACTGGTGAAAATTCGCTACAGTGCAATAGAGTAAATTGGCTATATAGGGTAAATTGGCAATATTAAATACAATTAGAGATGTACTTACATGTTTGACCTTCCAGTACAGTAATCTGAAAATATCCAATTACAAATATAAGATAACATATGCACAAATTTATGAAAGCTTTTTTTCTTATGTCAGTAGATAACTGAATCAACTTTGATAAATTGCGTAAACACCTCTCTCTGCTAAAATAATGCAAAACCACTTACACATCCTGAGGAATGGAACACAGAGCTAACTGGGATCTAGAAGTTAATGCTCGCAGTTCTTTCTTCTAAATTCCAATCCCCAGTCTTGTCTACCATTCATAATAGAACCAATTGAATTACTGGTTTCTTCTGTATACTTCTGGATTATTAAATCATACATTTCACCCTCGGAAATGTGAGTGTAAGCACAGCAGTAACATTGGTATCTGACTTATTTTACACTTCCTGACCCTACTCTTTTCAATCCAACATTCCACCAACTGGAATGCTGAATCTTTCTGTTCTTCGCTGTGTGTCAGAAATATCCTTTAAATTGCATTTTTTAAGAGACAGGTTCTTGCTATGTTGTCCAGGCTGGAATGCAGTGGCTAGTCACAGGCATAATCATTGTATACCGCGTTCTTCAACTCCTGGGCTCAAGCCATCCTCCTGCCTTCACCTCCTGCCTCAGCCTCCTGAGTAGCTGGGACTTCAGGTGG
Source organism: Homo sapiens (assembly GCF_000001405.40). Taxonomy (NCBI): domain Eukaryota; kingdom Metazoa; phylum Chordata; class Mammalia; order Primates; family Hominidae; genus Homo; species Homo sapiens. Next base: position 121,071,380 of record NC_000005.10, on the reverse strand, counting down.
GCAGGGGCGCTCGGCTCTAAGTTACATTTTCTTTCTTCCTAAAATTGTATTGAGACTCTCCTCTTCTATAAATTGAGTGGCTGTAACTTCTTTGTGAGGGTGAGAGTGAGATGGAGATAGCATCATTTAACATTTTCAAAATTTTACTTGCTTTGCACTCACATTGAGAAACACTATAGCAATGAGTATGTATCATCAAGAGAGAACAGAGTACTCTGTTTATCTAGTGTAAGAATGGCAATGCTAAAAGAAAAGAGAAAGAAAACAGCCTTAGGGCCTATTGTTTGCCTTTTCCTATGTTCCCAAATAAGTAATCAATCCTTGATTTCTAAGGTAATATTCTTTTAGTTAGGACTATTACAAAGGTTATCACAGTAACTTTCACCCCAGAACAATTGAGCTGTTTGTTACCTGAAAAACTTTGTTTCTTATACATGTGGAGAAAGTTAGAATTTGCGATTTCATCTAAATATTCTTGTCTATGATTTGTGACTTTGAAATGAAGGAAATATACTGGGTTAATTTGATAATATGCAGAAATAGTAGGTTCATTCAATAATAAACATATATTTTAATGGTCATAATTCTTACTCTATGAGAAAAAATTCAATTCGTATATTTTAGTAAAGTAAGGTTGATACATTTTACTATTAAAATAAATTGACAGAGAATTATTTATTCTTTTTACGTTGACATATTCTTAAGAAATTTCAGAAAAAGCTTAAATACTGGCAGCCTGATAAAGAAAGTCCTTTCTGTTATGAACTATGCGATCAGTGATGTGTGCTGAAGTGCCATGATTTCAGTGGCTGTAGGTGAAAGGCACCGTCTCTCATGCCTTATTGGCAAGGATTATGTTCATATTGTTTTCCTGAAAAAGATGCATATTTTTATTCTATTGTTGAAGATAACCTAGTGACATAAAAGGAAATTAAACTGCTTTTCATGGGCTTTTTATTCAGCTGATGTGACCTGCGAATAAGGTTTAAATCTTACTAGATGTTTACATTTTCAGTTGATTTGACAACACAGCAAGATATCCAACAAGAGTTTGTTTTGCTTGGTTGTGAAAGTACATGATCAATGTGCCTGAGGGCCCATATGTGTTCATGTAAGTTCTTTTTCTTTTTTTACGTTTATTTATTTATTATTATAATACTTTAAGTTTTAGGGTACATGTGCACAATGTGCAGGCTACTTACATATGTATACATGTGCCATGCTGGTGCGCTGCACCCACTAACTCGTCATCTAGCATTAGGTATATCTCCCAGTGCTATCCCTCCCCACTCCACCCACCCCACAACAGCCCCAGAGTGTGATGTTCCCCTTCCTGTGTCCATGTGTTCTCATTGTTCAATTCCCACCTATGAGTGAGAACATGTGGTGTTTGGTTTTTTGTTCTTGCGATAGTTTACTGAGAATGATGATTTCCAGTTTCATCCATGTCCCTACAAAGGACATGAACTCATCATTTTTTATGGCTGCATAGTATTCCATGGTGTATATGTGCCACATTTTCTTAATCCAGTCTATCATTGTTGGACATTTGGGTTGGTTCCAAGTCTTTGCTATTGTGAATAATGCCGCAATAAACATACGTGTGCATGTGTCTTTATAGCAGCATGATTTATACTCCTTTGGGTATATACCCAGTAATGGGATGGCTGGGTCAAATGCTATTTCTAGTTCTAGATCCCTGAGGAATTGCCACACTGACTTCCACAAGGGTTGAAATAGTTTACAGTCCCACCAACAGTGTAAAAGTGTTCCTATTTCTCCACATCCTCTCCAGCACCTGTTGTTTCCTGACTTTTTAATGATTGCCATTCTAACTGATGTGAAATGGTATCTCACTGTCGTTTTGATTTACATTTCTCTGATGGCCAGTGATGGTGAGCATTTTTTCATGTGCTTTTTGGCTGCATAAATGTCTTCTTTTGAGAAGTGTCTGTTCATGTCCTTTGCCCACTTTTTGATGGGGTTGTTTGTTTTTTTCTTGTAAATTTGTTTGAGTTCATCGTTGTTTCTGGATATTAGCCCTTTGTCAGATGAGTAGGTTGTGAAAATTTTCTCCCATTTTGTAGGTTGCCTGTTCACTCTGATGGTAGTTTCTTTTGCTGTGCAGAAGCTCTTTCGTTTAATTAGATCCCATTTGTCAATTTTGTTTTTTGTTGCCATTGCTTTTGGTGTTTTAGACATGAATTCCTTGCCCATGCCTATGTCCTGAATGGTAATGCCTAGGTTTTCTTCTAGGGTTTTTATGGTTTTAGGTCTAACGTTTAAGTCTTTAATCCATCTTGAATTGATTTTTGTATCAGGTGTAAGGAAGGGATCCAGTTTCAGCTTTCTACATATGGCTAGCCAGTTTTCCCAGCACCATTTATTAAATAGGGAATCCTTTCCCCATTGCTTGTTTTTCCCAGGTTTGTCAAAGATCAGATAGTTGTAGATATGCGGCATTATTTCTGAGGGCTCTGTGCTGTTCCATTGGTCTATATCTCTGTTTTGGTACCAGTACCATGCTGTTTTGGTTACTGTAGCCTTGTAGTATAGTTTGAAGTCAGGTAGTGTGATGCCTCCAGCTTTGTTCTTTTGGCTCAGGAATGACTTGGTGATGCGGGCTCTTTTTTGGTTCCATATGAACTTTAAAGTAGTTTTTTCCAATTCTGTGGAGACAGTCATTGGTAGCTTGATGGGGATGGCATTGAATCTGTAAATTACCTTGGGCAGTATGGCCATTTTCACAATATTGATTCTTCCTACCCATGAGCATGGCATGTTCTTCCATTTGTTTGTATCCTGTTTTATTTCATTGAGCAGTGGTTTGTAGTTCTCCTTGAAGAGGTCCTTCACATCCCTTGTAAGTTGGATTCCTAGGTATTTTATTCTCTTTGAAGCAATTGTGAATGGGAGTTCACTCATGGTTTGGCTCTCTGTTTGTCTGTTGTTGGTGTATAAGAATGCTTGTGATTTTTGTACATTGATTTTGTATCCTGACACTTTGCTGAAGTTGCTTATCAGCTTAAGGAGATTTTGGGCTGAAACAATAGGGTTTTCTAGATATACAATCATGTTATCTGCAAACAGGGACAATTTGACTTCCTCTTTTCCTAATTGAATACCCTTTATTTCCTTCTCCTGCCTAATTGCCCTGGCCAGAACTTCCAACACTATGTTGAATAAGAGTGGTGAGAGAGGGCATCCCTATCTTGTGCCAGTTTTCAAAGGGAATGCTTCCAGTTTTTGCTCATTCAGTATGATATTGGCTGTGGGTTTGTCATAGACAGCTCTTATTATTTTGAGATACATCCCATCAATACATAATTTATTGAGAGGTTTTAGCATGAAGGGTTGTTGAATTTTGTCAAAGGCCTTTTTTTGCATTTATTGAGATAATCATGTGGTTTTTGTCTTTGGTTCTGTTTATATGCTGGATTACATTTATTGATTTGCATATATTGAACCAGCCTTGCATCCCAGGGATGAAGCCCACTTGATCATGGTGGATAAGCTTTTTGATGTGCTGCTGGATTCGGTTTGCCTGTATTTTATTGAGGATTTTTGCATCAATGTTCATCAAGGATATTGGTCTAAAATTCTCTTTTTTGGTTGTGTCTGTGCCAGGCTTTGGTATCAGGATGATGCTGGCCTCATAAAATGAGTTAGGGAGGATTCCCTCTTTTTCTATGGATTGGAATAGTTTCAGAAGGAATGGTACCAGCTCCTCCTTGTACCTCTGGTAGAATTCGGCTGTGAATCCATGTGGTCCTGGACTCTTTTTCGTTGGTAAGCTATTTATTATTGCCACAATTTCAGCTCCTGTTATTGGTCTATTCAGAGATTCAACTTCTTCCTGGTTTAGTCTTGGGAGAGTGTATCCATTCTTCTAGATTTTCTAGTTTATTTGCGTAGAGGTGTTTGTAGTATTCTCTGATGGTAGTTTGTATTTCTATGGGATCAGTGGTGATATCCCCTTTATCATATTTTATTACATCTATTTGATTCTTCTCTCTTTTTTTCTTTATTAGTCTTGCTAGCGGTCTATCAATTTTGTTGATCCTTTCAAAAAACCAGCTCCTGGATTCATTAATTTTTTGAAGGGTTTTTTGTGTCTCTATTTCCTTCAGTTCTGCTCGATTTTAGTTATTTCTTGCCTTCTGCTAGCTTTTGAATGTGTTTGCTCTTGCTTTTCTAGTTCTTTTAATTGTGATGTTAGGGTGTCAATTTTGGATCTTTCCTGCTTTCTCTTGTGGGCATTTAGTGCTATAAATTTCCCTCTACACACTGCTTTGAATGCGCCCCAGAGATTCTGGTATGTTGTGTTTTGTTCTTGTTGGTTTCAAAGAACATCTTTATTTCTGCCTTCATTTCGTTATGTACCCAGTAGTCATTCAGGAGCAGGTTGTTCAGTTTCCATGTAGTTGAGCGGTTTTGAGTGAGATTCTTAATCCTGAGTACTAGTTTGATTGCACTGTGGTCTGAGAGATAGTTTGTTATAATTTCTGTTCTTCTACATTTGCTGAGGAGAGCTTTACTTCCAAGTATGTGGTCAATTTTTGAATAGGTGTGGTGTGGTGCTGAAAAAAATGTATATTCTGTTGATTTTGGGTGGAGAGTTCTGTAGATGTCTATTAGATCCGGTTAGTGCAGAGCTGAGTTCAATTCCTGGGTATCCTTGTTGACTTTCTGTCTCGTTGATCTGTCTAATGTTGACAGTGGGGTGTTAAAGTCTCCCATTATTATTGTGTGGGAGTCTAAGTCTCTTTGTAGGTCACTCAGGACTTGCTTTATGAATCTGGGTCCTGCTGTATTGGGTGCATATATATTTAGGATAGTTAGCTCTTCTTGTTGAATTGATCCCTTTACCATTAAGTAATGGCCTTCTTTGTCTCTTTTGATTTTTGTTGGTTTAAAGTTTGTTTTATCAGAGACTAGGATTGCAACCCCTGCCTTTTTTTGTTTTGCATTTGCTTGGTAGATCTTCCTCCATCCTTTTATTTTGAGCCTATGTGTGTCTCTGCCCGTGAGATGGGTTTCCTGAATACAGCACAGTGATGGGTCTTGACTCTTTATCCAATTTGCCAGCCTGTGTCTTTTAATTGGAGCATTTAGTCCATTTACATTTAAAGTTAATATTGTTATATGTGAATTTGATCCTGTCATTATGATGTTAGCTGGTTATTTTGCTCATTAGTTGATGCAGTTTCTTCCTAGTCTCAATGGTCTTTACATTTTGGCATGATTTTGCAGTGGCTGGTACCGGTTGTCCCTTTCCATGTTTAGTGCTTCCTTCAGGAGCTCTTTTAGGGCAGGCCTGGTGGTGACAAAATCTCTCAGCATTTGCTTGTTTGTAAAGTATTTTATTTCTCCTTCACTTATGAAGCTTAGTTTGGCTGGATATGAAATTCTGGGTTGAAAATTCTTTTCTTTAAGAATGTTGAATATTGGCCCCCACTCTCTTCTGGCTTGTAGAATTTCTGCTGAGAGATCAGCTGTTAGTCTGATGGGCTTCCCTTTGAGGGTAACCCAACCTTTCTCTCTGGCTGCCCTTAACATTTCTTCCTCCATTTCAACTTTGGTGTATCTGACAATTATGTGTCTTGGAGTTGCTCTTCTCGAGGAATATCTTTGTGGCGTTCTCTGTATTTCCTGAATCTGAATGTTGGCCTGCCTTGCTAGATTGGGGAAGTTCTCCTGATAATATCCTGCAGAGTGTTTTCCAACTTGGTTCCATTCTCCCCATCACTTTCAGTTACACCAATCAGATGTAGATTTGGTCTTTTCACATAGTCCCATATTTCTTGGAGGTTTTGCTCGTTTCTTTTTATTCTTTTTTCTCTAAACTTCCCTTCTCACTTCATTTCATCTTCCATCACGGATACCCTTTCTTCCAGTTGATCGCATCGGCTCCTGAGGCTTCTGCCTTCTTCACATAGTTCTTGAGCCTTGGTTTTCAGCTCCATCAGCTCCTTTAAGCACTTCTCTGTATTGATTATTCTAGTTATACATTCTTCTAAATTTTTTTCAAAGTTTTCAACTTCTTTGCCTTTTGTTTGAATGTCCTCCCGTAGCTCTGAGTAATTTGATCGTCTGAAGCCTTCTTCTCTCAGCTCGTCGAAGTCATTCTCCGTCCAGCTTTATTCCATTGCTGGTGAGGAACTGCATTCCTTTGGAGGAGGAGAGGCACTCTGCTTTTTAGAGTTTCCAGTTTTTCTGCTCTGTTTTTTTCCCATCTTTGTGGTTTTATCTACTTTTGGTCTTTGATGGTGGTGATGTACAGATGGGTTTTTGGTGTGGATGTCCTTTCTGTTTGTTAGTTTTCCTTCTAACAGACAGGACCCTCAGCTGCAGGTCTGTTGGAGTACCTGGCCCTGTGAGGTGTCAGTCTGCCCCTGCTGGGGGGTGCCTCCCAGTTAGGCTGCTCGGGGATCAGGGGTCAGGGACCCACTTGAGGAGGCAGTCTGCCCGTTCTCAGATCTCCAGCTGTGTGCTGGGGGAACCACTGCTCTCTTCAAAGCTGTCAGACAGGGACATTTAAGTCTGCAGAGGTTGCTGCTGTCTTTTTGTTTGTATGTGCCCTGCCCCCAGAGGTGGAGCCTACAGAGACAGGCAGGCCTCCTTGAGCTGTGGTGGGCTCCACCCAGTTCAAGCTTCCTGGCTGCTTTGTTTACCTAAGCAAGCCTGGGCAATGGTGGGTGCCCCTCCCTCAGCCTTGCTACCGCCTTGCAGTTTGATCTCAGACTGCTGTGCTAGCAATCAGCGAGACTCCGTGGGCGTAGGACCCTCTCATCCAGGCATGGGATATAATCTTCTGGTGCACCGTTTTTTTAGCCCGTCGGAAAAGCGCAGTATTCGGGTGGGAGTGACCCGATTTTCCAGGTGCCGTCTGTCACCACTTTCTTTGACTAGGAAAGGAACTCCCTGATCCCTTGCGCTTCGAGAGTGAGACAATGCCTCGCCCTGCTTAGGCTCGCGCATGGCGCACTGCATGCACCCACTGACCTGCGCCTACTGTCTGGCATTCCCTAGTGAGATGAACCCGGTACCTCAGATGGAAATGCAGAAATCACCCGTCTTCTGCGTCATTCACGCTGGGAGCTGTAGACCGGAGCTGTTCCTATTCGGCCATCTTGGCTCCTCCCTTCATGTAAGATCTTAATACAGCAAAGATAAACCTATTTTTACACAGTACATTCGTGACATTTTTAAATATTTATGCTATATTTTTCTTTAAACTATACAAACAACAATTCAAATGAAATGTCCCTAAATGGGTCTAATTATATCTAAAAATGTACAGAAAGTACATTATTACTGCTATATTTATAGCCTTTTGGATACTCTAATGTTTTATTGAATTCTTTTATTTTCAATTTAATAGTGAGATACCTTACTTCCAGGTGAAAGAGAATTTTATGTTTTCTGATTTCACAATTATATTTTCATTATATTATGACCAGAAATATTTGCAATATTAATACTTATAATAAAATAAGAAAGTGTTCAAGAAGTCTAGAAACATTAAAAATGGGATTTAAAAATAAGTTTCTGCTATGGTTCCCAACACTTTGGAATTCCTATACATGTTATCAGTCTCAAAGAAATTTGCCTCTAAAGAATAAGCTTCTTTACCTACAGATGGCAACACCCACCTCTAAGAATAACTGCATGAGACTCTAAAGAAATTTAGACGTTAGGGTTATAATATATTGATCCTTCTTTTTTTTATCTATTCATCTATCTATATCTTCTATATATATATATATCTGTATATAGATATATATATCTATCTATATATCACTTCAATAGTGACACAACTTTAACCTGTTACTTGTTTCTATTTCTAAAGTACACAAAGCAAACAAGAATAAACATGGTCATGCCAAAATGGAATTATTTTTGTGTGCCTTATATCCTATATCCTGAAGTCCAATTCTCAGTAGTAGTACAATACTCTATTGATATGAGTATGCTTTCTGAGAAACAAGAAAATACTAGTATTTTAGATTGATGCTTATTAATTGTAATGTATGCTGCAACTTCAAAAAGTTTTAAGTGTGCAGAATATACTTATTTGAGGAAATAAAGATTGATTTTATTTATTACTATTACATGCTATGATGATAAGTTATATAAATTTAAAAAAATAGAAACACAACATAGCAAATTAGTTCTAACTCATTGTATCTATAATAAAACATATTTTAAAAATGTATATGCCATGAGTAAAAACAAGTTATACAATGCAAACATAGTACTAATTTAAAAGCTAAAGATACAACATGGTAATATAGGAACATTTCATATTAATATGTGTAGGCTCAATTCTCACCACATAAGAAAATAATGGTAGAGCTGTCCTTATCTTATTTAACAAGTGATTGTCCATGCTTAAGTCAATCTTTGGTAGCCACTTTAGAAAGTAGTAAACTTTTTAATAAAAACATTTTAATTCTGTGCTTAATATTACTTATACTGGAATAGAGGAAGAAAATGAGTACAAACATAGAAAGAATTCTCAATCTTGGAACAGAACATACATGCACTTTTACAGGCAAATGGGAAAATCAAGGTTAGTAAAATCCATACTCATATCAGAATTATTAGTCATTGTATAGAAAACAAGAGTAAATAGTAAATACCCCAAATGAGATTGGTAGCTGGTAAAAATGTTTTACTTTCTTGTTCATTTAATGAAATGCACTGTGGTTCTTAGTGATATAGATCACTTTGCAGTATATAAGTCCCTAAAGAAACAATTGGTGCAGGATAAAGTTAATGTACATAGTATTTTGTTGAATAAGACTTTCAACACCCAATACTTTCATATAATGAAGCTTCAAATGAGCAGTATTAACAACTGAAAATGAATGAAGATTTTGAGTGTCCATCTTGTGCCAACTCCCTAACTCTAAAGCAACACATGTACAGGATGGATTCAAAAAACATACTGAAGACCTTGAAAACTGAACTGACATTGAAGAAATCACTCACATAAAATGATACAGAATTTCTACTAAGAACTACACCTTTATACAGAAAATTTAGGTCAATTTTTCAATGCCACTCTATCTGTGACTTTTGGAGTATAGAAGATAAGCATTTAATTTGTCCATCAGTAAAATGCACACCTTTATTTCTTGCAGTATGAGCCTGTCTTTGCAACCTCTTGGTAGCTTGTCTATGTTTAACTTCTCTGTACCGGTCACTTAGAACAAGACATTGGAAGCTGCACCAAAAGAAAGAATAAGGTTTGAGAACTGTGGAGTTTAATTAATGAATATGAGAGTCTTCCAGGAAGCACATTATACTAAAAGATTCCAGAAATCGTTTGTGACAGAAGGAGAAACTGTATTTCCTTTCTTTCCCAGTTACACTTGACACCTTAGGGAAAATAGCCTTTAATCCTGGTTTTTAGTATATACCGTGGACACTTTTTCCCAGAAAAAGCAAATTCCACTCCTCGTGGGGTTTTGAATAATTAAAGCTCCTCAGCAGTCTCCTCCCAGGCATGAGAATCACAACATGGAGACCAAAATCTCACTGATATCTAGAGAAAGTGCAGGGCTGTAAGTGGCCTGCCCATCAGCACTTCCTTGGGGATAGAACACTGTCTCTGCCTTGTACTGTGCCTTTTGGAAGAAAGACAGGTCAGATAATAAAATTAAAAGGGCTATGAGTCTCGTGAGCCTTGGTTCATCTAGGAATGGTGGACCCGGCCTCTTCTGCTCTACTGAACTGCTAGACATGTCTTTGCTCCTGTCCCCTCATAAGGCATGGATAGGACACATTCTCCTTTATCATCAGTCAAATGTTTCACCTCTATGTATATATTCTTCTGAAGAAAATTATTTACCACAGCAATCACTGAACCTTGGAAGATACTTCGGTGAAGTTCCCTGCTACTGCCAACCTCTGAATCTCAAGTATTTGGAGGTCTTTCCTGCCCATCATGGCTCTCACCTCTTCCGCAACCCACTCCACAGCAGTTTCTACTACCAATGAGTCTCTTTTTCTTAACTCTAGTGATGGGGGCGATAAACTGTGTTCATTATTCCTTAGTTTGTATAAGGATATTTTACCCTTCTCTGTGGTGTGGTCAGCCATCTTCTCCTTCCTTCGCAGAGGGCAGTGGATATTATTAAAAGGGTTTCTCTGATCCTATTGGTGGTCTGGTGGTAGTGGTGGTGGTGGTAGGTACATATGAGAAAAGGTGGGTACTATGGCTAGTTAGAGAAGATGAAGATCCTTCAGTAGAGTCTGGCCTGTTTTCCTTTTTTTAGGAGCTGAAAATAGTCTGTTTGCTTACATGAGGATGTTTTCATGCCAAAATGTCTCCTTTTTTTTTTTCAGCCAAATGTCATCATCTTGATTTTCTTCTTCTTTATCCTCCTTCTTTTCCCTTTCCTGTTTCTTTTGCTCATTAGCCAGGTCAGGGTAAGATGGAAAGCAAGGTAGCTGAAGCCCTCAATGACCCCATGCTCCACATGCTTCTGAAGGATGGGGAAGACCCGGGAGCAGGCCATGCATCTGAAGCCACTGTCCAGAGCTACCAACAAGTCAGTCGTCCTCGGCCTGGAACTCTCCTCCAGAGCTGGGGGCTCTACTGGGTTGTCAGCCTCTCAGGCTTTGCTGGCCAAGCTGGACTCACTGTCAGTTAGGAGTTCCTTTGTAGACATATGGGAGAGAGTGACTTCTGTATGGATCTTCTCAAGCAAGGCCACTTCTTCTATTATTGTCTTCTTTAGGGAGTGCTCCAGTTCTTTCTCCATATCCCATAAGAGAGCCACACCCTTTTTCATTCAGACACACATGTAGTAAATTTTCATGACTCTTTACTCTTTCATATCTATTGAGGACAAAAGGGATTGTTGGCTAAATGAAAAGGAAAGCAGACACGGTTGCTCCAGATCCTGGGATAGAGGCATCTCAGAGGACCCAAGACAAGGAGCATCTTGATGTAATTGAATGCTTCCCAGGAAAAATAAAACATTTCAAACATAAATAAATTTGAATAAGTGTATGTGAAGTCTGTAGGAGTTAAGACAGACATAGAACTCTGCATGTGGTCATGTATATGTGATGTTCCAGAATTCTGTAGGTGATATGTGTAATTTGAGGTGTATACTTGGTATATCTATGTAGAGAATGAGTAAGTGGTGTGTCTTTGGGGTTTTATGTATGTTCCGGGATATACCTTGTGAGTGTTTCCTGTGTTGGTAAAATGGGATGATGATAAGTGTGTGTGCATGTGATGACACTACATGTGAATGAGTGTAAGAGTGGTACATGTTCTTTGTCTCAGTTTGACACAGTAAGACTTAGAGTGTTAGAGGAAGTGTGTAGAGTTCTTAGAATGTGCAGTTCTATGAAAGGTCAAAGGCATTGTTGATGAAGTGACATATGGCTGAGAAAGGCTACATATGAAAGTGCATTTTCTTAAGGACATAGACATTTTCTAGAGTTTGTATAGCATGAGGGAGTTGAAACATAATCTATGTGAGGAGATGTGAAGTACTTATGGGATTCGTGTGTAAATGAGTGAGGCTGAGAATGACTGTGTGCAGGAATGAGGGTGGGAAGGTGTACCTACATAATGCTACTAGAAAATGGGAAAGATGGATGGAAAGTGAAGATGTGTATTTAAGTAAGTGGAAGAAGAAATAGGGCCATGCTTGGTATGAAGGACTATAACTTGTGAGTGTGTTTGAGCCTGAGTGTGTGCCTATCTGATGAGGAAGGTTCTAGCCAACTTCCCATGCATGTTATCAGTGGTACTCACTGCCTCACCCACAGCTGCCCTAGTGTTCACATGTTGGAACATTGTGCTGAGGACCTTTGTCCTATTCTTGAAGGCACATTCCCTATTTATCCTTTCCCAGAGACCTCAGCCCTAGTCACTGTGCCCTGAATCCCTTCCTTGTTTATGAGGGGAAAGTAATGTAAGTAGGAAACGGGATGAGCTCCTGCCCAAGCTCAGACCTCACCTTAGCATCTGCCTTACCATCCTTATCAAGAGTGAACTCACTTGCAGAGGAGACACTGGAACAATTCTCTGAGGCGGAGGGATTCTCTCCTGCTCCGTGACTCCATGCTGGGACCACCACGCAGGTCTCAGTAGCAGCCTCTTGAGAATTCCAGAATTCTGGGAGAATGACATTTTTAAAAAATTGAGATATGGTATAACCGGAGATATGGATATTTTGTGTCAGACACCATTAGTACTCATAGGACTTGATCTCACAGAAATAAAGTTGTCTTTTCCATTCAAAACTTTGAAATCTCAGTTAAAAACAAACAGTTTTTAAAATCATGTGTGTGGTGCATGTTGATGGGATTTTGTATCTTGTGTGTGATATTTTTGGAGGTGTATGCAGAATATCAGAAAATATTGCATGAAATACAATATGTAGGCATTGAAGGCTAAGTATTATTATTAGCCCAATTTTTCTTATGAGAGATTGTGCAAGTAAGGAATATGGAGTTCAAGTTTTATGAAGAATTATGTATGTATATCTAACTGTTTATATTGATATCTACATTTACAGGTATATTTATAGAGAGGTGTAGATATAAATATAAATAGATAATAATTACATAGCTAGCTAGCCAGATAAATATATATGAAGATGAACTTTTTTGGAGGTCGTCTAGCAACTGGGCGTGGTGCTGGATGTATTCAAATGAATACTTCAGAGACTTTCCCCAGACTCCACTTCTGAAAATATCTTTCCACGTTACTCTTGAATTTTTAACCTTCCTATTCATGTCCTTTAGGAGCCTCTTCCAAAGAAGAGAGGAAAGTATACATGGTCCATTTCTGCCCATTGATGGGAAACAGAGGTCCTGAGTAGTCCATGAGAGAAGGAGTCATTTATGTCAGTTGCTGAGCAAAGGAGCTTAGCTCCAATTCTAGACCAACATTCTGCCCCACTTGTCCAGCTCCTTCTTCCTCAGTCCCACATGCCCTCCATCCTCATACCATCGTGAATGAATTTGTCTACAGAGGAGTCGCAGGAGATGTATTCTCAGGTGGAGTTCTCTGCTGTCTATCTGTGGCCTTGGGCCAAGCCAGAGAATCCAGACTGTGGAGGGTATTCACCTGAGTCTAACATTCCTGGGAAAAGAAGAAGGAAAATCAGACATGTGGTATTTTTTCACATTCAACAATTAATCAAGAAATATCATAGGGTCACACCTGTAATCCTAGCACTTTGAGAGGCTGAGGCAGGCAGATCACTTGAGTTCAGGAGTTTGAGACCAGCCTGGCCAACATGGTGTAACCCTGTCTGTACTAAAAATACAAAAAATTATCAGGGCATGGTGGCACGTGCCTGTAATTCACCTGTAATCCCAGCTACTTGGGAGGCTAAGGCATTAGGATCACTTGAACCCAGGAGGCGGAAGTTGCAGTGAGCCATGATGGTGCCACTGCACTCCAGCCTGGGTGACAGAGTAAGACTCTGTATCAAAAAAAAAAAAAAAAAAAAAGGAAAGAAAAGAAATATCATGTGTGCAATTACACACACGGCACTTTTCCTCATGGATATTTTAATCTAGATACTGTTAAAAGTTCCAAAATCATGGTATACAAAAATATCTGTTGGAATGATGTGTCTGGCTGGATGGGGCTGGATCACCTATGAGTGGTGTATGCTGTTCTGTGCAGTGTGTCTGAGGCTTAAATCTTGCCTGGCATATGGAAAGGTGTCCATATTATTTGTTATCACTGTTTCTGTTTATCTGAAGAATAAATTTGATGTATGTGTATAGGTAAAGTTCTTTGGTTTCTCATCTGAGATTATCATATGAAAGTCCTGCTGCTTTCTCAAAGAGTTAGAATATGCAGGAAATAATCCGTTGACTCCCACCTCTGTACTGCAGCATCCTCATTCAGATATCTGCTCTTGTGGCCTCTGTTGCCAGAGCTCTGTAGGACCTGAGCCTTGTGAGAAATGGTGGGTTCTGAGATTGAGTAGGAGATTCCAGTGGGATCTCTGGGGCTGGATTTAGACTGTACCTCCCAACACTGGGCACATCTCTTTCTTGGGTGCTTACCAACTCTTACCTAGCACAGCTATGACTTGGCCTGATTAGCAGTGTCACCTTTCTCAGTGACCCCTGCTCACGCGAAGCCCTAAGTTTTTTATCTCTACTAATCACACTCATAGCCGATCATAGAATCTTCCCGGATTTATAAGTACATGCTGGATGGTTTTTCCTATCATAATTTATGCATTTTTTTAATCAACTCTACCTCTACCATGAATTTAAATATATCATGAAAATCTCCAGTTAATTTGTATTACTCCCTTTTAATCTGCATTTCCAACGTAAAGAGAATTCACAAGCTTCACTAAATAAACTGGCAAATTCTAGTTTCTGACAAAATAACTCATAAACACTTTAAGTCCCTTCCCTTGTTTAAATCCTCAGTTAAGTCTGTAAGCAAGCTTTTATTTCTCAAAGTACATCCAATTAGTCTATTGACCTACTGGAGTGTGTCTGGTGTGTTATTTTGGTGTGTAGATGGCAAAATTTAGTGTGTATAGTGTATTTATTACAGAGAGTGTGTCATCTTTGGTGAGCATAGTCTGACATATGCATATGACTATGTATATTTGTCTTTTTTAACAATTTTTTGTAGTAAGTATAAGGGCGAGATTGTCATTGTGTGTGAAGGTAGCGTGAGCATGATGTGTTTGAGTATTTTCAGCATAGGTTTATATATGTATAGGTATTTCATCTTCCATGTATCATGTGATTTCTATGTCATGTGCTATTGAAGTATAAAACAGTTATATAATAGCCTTTTGGTTCATATGATAGACTGTGTGGATCTGAGTAACTTTGTGAGATCTGCAGAAACAATAAAAGTGTTACAGAGTGGCCATGTAACAGATGCATAGGAGAGAGGTCCTGTGAGCTCTTAGATTGTGGGATTATGTGAAGTGACTAAGGAATTGGGAACAGAGAGGAGTTTGAAAAGGGGTTATATGATGTAATGGCTTCCTGCATTGTTAATGTGAAGTAGAGTTCTACAAGAGTGAATTATTTGTGTGAGTTACAGATTGTGATGCTGAAGGAATGAGGTTAGGAAAAAGCCAATTTGAAAAATGCATATGCTGTGAAATGAATGAAATTAGGAAAAAAAAACAATTTGAGAAATGCATGTGCTGTGAAATGAGTGTGTAAAGGTTTAACTTGTGAGGATGAGTTTATGAGAATGTCTGAGTGTATAAGGAAATGAGAGTAGGGAATGAAGAATGAAGGAATGAGTGTTTATAGAGACTGCTATGGCTAACACGGAGTGTCAACTTGATTGGATTGAAGGATGCAAAATATTGATCCTGGGTGTGTCTGTGACGGAGTTGCCAAAGGAGATTTGAGCCAGTGGGCTGGGAAAGGCAGACCCACCCTTAATCTTGGTGGGCACAATCTAATTAGTTGCCAGTGTAGCCAGAATAAAAAGCAGGCAGAAGAATGTGAAAAAACTAGACTGGTTTAGCTTCCTGCATCTTTCTTCTATGCTGGATGCTGGGTGCTTCCTGCCCTCAAACATCGGGCTCCAAGTTCTTCAGATTTGGCACTCAGACTGGTTTCCTTCCTCCTCAGCTTGCAGACAGCCTATTGTGGGACTTTGTGACTGTGTGAGTTAATACTTCTTAGTAAACTCCCCTTTACACACACACACACACACACACATATGTGTGTGTATACATGTATACATATATATGTATGTATATACATGTATACATATATATGTATGTATATACATGTATACATATATATGTATGTATATACATGTATACATATATATGTATGTATATACATGTATACATATATATGTATGTATATACATGTATACATATATATGTATGTATATACATGTATACACATGTATACATATATACACATGTGTATATACACATATATACACATGTGTATATACATGTGTATATATACATGTATATATGTATACATGTGTATATATACATGTATATATGTATACATGTATATATGTATATGCACATGTATATATGTATACATGTATATATATATACACATGTGTATATATGTATGTATATATGTATACATGTGTATATGTATACATGTGTATATGCATACATATGTACATGTATACATGTGTGTATGCGTACATGTATACATGTGTGTATGCGTACATGTATACATGTGTGTATGCGTACATGTATACATGTGTATGTGTATACATGTATACGTGTGTGTGTGTGTGTGTGTGTGTGTGTGTGTATAATCTCTGCCCCTCTAGAGAACACTGATTAATACAGATTTTGGTACCAGAGTGGTTCTAGAGAAACAGAATATTAAGGATGGAGTTTTTTCATTGGTTTTGGGGTTTCAGGAGTTGGCTGCTGAATATGATTAGACCTCAAAATGCTAAGGACTCTACTTCTAATAGTATGGAGAACACTGATAGTCCTCCATATGAACTCTTTAGAGAGTTATGCAAAATAAGTGTATTTGACACTCCTAATTCACTGCTCCTGAGAGGCAAGTTTAGTGACTCTGGGCAGCCTTATGTCAACTGATGAGCAGAACCACACAAGTCATCTCTGGATTATGCCTGGATCCAGCATCACTTCTGCATCGTTCAATAGTCTCTTCTTACCAGTACCAGTGAGCTTGTCTTCAGATGAGATACAAGAGAAGTAGTCTGAGGAAGAAGAAGAAGCTTCCTCAGCTTTGTGGTCCTGAGTTGGGCACAGCACCTTGTATCTATGTTGCGGAGCATCTTTTTGTAAATTCAGCTTTCCTGAGAAATTAAATAAGATATGTGGTCCAGTTTCATGTTTCTATGATTGTATCCATCCTTAAACATTCAATAGGAGTCTACCATGTGATTTGTTCAGTGAACACTCATGGCTTCCGTCCTTACGGATAGGAGAAGCCACAAACTTTGTCGGAAATATCAGATTCTCCTTGGGAATATGAGACTCTATTTAGAATGTTAGAGTTGGCTCCAATCTGTCCCATACTACCACTGAGTAATGGTCCTCCCTCATAGGAGTTACTTGTTTATTCTTAACCTTCATGTTAACCACAACTATCTGGTTTCCTATCTTTCTGGAAAGAACTAAATCCCATCTCCATAATTTAACATCATGGCTAAATGTTGTTTTGTATATATGTGTTTATCTGTGTGTGTGTCCTGTTTTTTCCCTCACATTTTACACAGCAGCACCATGTTTACATCATCATAGTCTTAAATAAAACAAGTTTTACTCTTGAGTAAATAATTTTTTTAGGACTTTATACTCTCATCCCTGAGCAACCAGTTTTTAAATGTTCAAACTTGTTTTCAATGTTTTTCTCACTGGGATGAGCCTCAGTTTCTTCTTAAATAAAAGGAGAAAGTACTGTTAGAAAATGCATAACAACATTTACTTACCCATTGCCCTCAGAAAGATATCAAATAAAGGAAAATGCATTTTTAATGAAACATAGTCTAGACTAACCAACCACTATGTCTGCGACAGTAATGCAGAGTGGCTTTGTGTAGGCAGCACAGTCCTTAAGCCACAGAACTGAGGATCTGGGTCATCTGAACCTTCTCTTTACTCTTAGACTACTTGAGCCCTCAAGACCAGTATACATGCACACATCTCTCCCTTCCTCCCTCCATCCTTCAGTTTCTTCCCCTCTATCACTTACTCCTCCCCTCCTCCACCACAACTAGGAATCCTCTTTTCTTCCTTTTTAGGAGGCAATTCCTGGTTACACTATGCTCAGAGAATATGCTGCCACATACCTCTTGACGTTTTTGCAGCATAGGGGGAGTATGTGCTTTCCAGATGTTTTCTTTTTTGTTTCTGTTTCATGTTTAAGCTCTGGAGAGCTACTCAAATTAGGCACTTTGCTCCCTGAAACAGCTCTTAGAGAATCAATTGATTATGACAAAGAATGAAATTTGTACATTCAAAAACAACAAATCACTGAAGACATGCTATCGTTTCATTGACTAGTGCACGGTTCATAATCAGGGCTGTTATAGGACAAATTGTTGCTATGGACTCAGCAATATTTTATGACCTACTGATAACATCAGTGTATTCCAGGAATTAAGCTAGTATGCACAGAACTGCAGATCTGTCACAACCCATTGCCTAAGGCAAGTCCTTTTATTCAATGGAAACTCTACCATTAACTTGAGTTTTTATGTCTTGCATGTGATATCAAAACTAGAAGATAAATGACTTGGATTTAACAAAGGAAGTTATTTTATGCATTTAGACGTACTGCATTACTAAATCTCCCTAAGAGTGAGGATAAAGCAGTGCCTGAGAGGATTCGGCTTAGAACCATCTTTGTCTCAGAAAATAGTAAATGTTATATCTTGTTATTATTATTTAACTTATGTACAAACATAAGTAATATGTAAGGTGTATGTTGGTATTTAGGTATGGAATTGAGAACATTCATGATTCCATACAACTCTAACATTTATTGAATTTCCCTTGGCTAGTGAGAACAGTCCAGTGCATTTTTGCAGTGAGACATCTCTTTAGCCACTCTTCCTCATCACTTCCCCCTTGGTTAGGAAGAAGAGATGAACCTTGGTTTTACAACCCTGGCCCTCGTCAGGAGTTCTGGTCTTGTCCATTCTGAAGGTCTCTCTCTCTGGGCTTCTGTCCCAGGCCCAAGTCTGTGTCTCCTGGAAAGACCTGGATCTTGTACAGGGTTTGAATTCTGGAGCAGCTCCGTTCTGCCTCCCATCCATCACAGATTACATCTCATCTCTTAGGGTCAGTATGTGTTTTTTTCAAACTTAGTAATTACCATGGAAACCAGGTCATGACATAACATCCTTCCATCTTCTTTACCCTCAAGACCTGGTTTTTGGATGCTCCCTTTACACACCATGGCCACTAAATGATAGGCACATTTATCAAGAAATCCTCAGTTTTGTTAGTTATCAGAAAAAAGTAAAACTAAAGCAAGAAATTAATAACTTTCATATATCAAATTGATAAAAATTAGAGGGTCAAACTATACCAAATGATTATAAGGATAAGGGTGAAAGAAGGAATCTTCATGAACTAAAATTAAGAATTGGCATATGTAGATATATTGAAAAACAAGTAGGCAATGTTTATAGAATGAAATAAGCATGTAACTTATAGCTCTATAATCTCACTCTACAAAAACACATTTACAAACATGATACTCATAGTATTATTTATGCTATCAGGCATTTGGAATTTGTAGCTTTCAACTCAGTAAGAATGAATGAGCAAATTATGGTAGCTACATAATACAGAATTCATTCTAAAGACAGAGATCAAGTCGATTAAAATGTAGACCTGTTGGGAGGAACATCAGGAAGGGACTGGTGATCACAGATACAAGAAAAAAATATAACTCAAAGAAATAGTCACGTGGATTCTTGAAAAGCTGGTAACTGAGAGTACTGTTAACTTTATAGTTTGTACTTTTTAAACAGGACAAAAAAAGAATAATCTCTTCCCAGTAAAAATGGCTCAGGTTAGGTCTAGAGCTAAGGGAAAGGATTATTCTTATTGTATTAATTTTCTATTACTGCTATAGCACATTAGCACAAGATTAGTGGCTTAAAATATAAATCTTTTATAGTTCTGGAGATAAGAAGTCTAATATCCATCTTGAGACTTAAAATTAAGGTGTCAGCAGGGCTGATTCTGTCTGGAGATTCTAAGAGAGAATCTGTTCTTTTCCTTTTCCAGGTCCCAGAAGCTGCCTGCAATCCTCAGCTCTCCTTCACTTTCTTCATGTTCAAAACATATAATTCCAACATCTGCTTCCATTGTCACATCTCCACTCCGACTGGCTCTCTCTTAGCTCCCTTTCAGAAAGACCCTTGTAACATAGTCGCAGGTTCTGAGGATTAGGAGGTTGGCATTATTTTTCTGAGGTGGGAAGGAGGGTCAAGGGTGCATTTTTCAGCTTACAATACCAAGACAAAAACAGAAAGTATCAGAGAGAATGTACCTATAGTAAAACATAGTAGTCTGAGAACAGAAATTCCAAATTAAGCAGAGGCAATAGGGAAAATTTGCACAGCAACTTTGTATGCATATTGAATAAAACAAAGCAGAATGAAACAAAGCGCAAATTCCAGTTGAAATTAAAAACTGAAGGAAGAGAACAATTACATGAGAATTCTTAATGCTATAGAACTTTAATGACTAGGTTCAATAAGAAAAGTAAGACAAGTGAATGCAAAGAAATAAAAATGAAGAATTTACGGAGGAAAAATAGAGATACTAAACAAGGTTGTAACAGAATAAATAAATAAATTAGAACCATAAGGAAATAGATAAAGCTTAAGATTTAATAATTAGTATATAGATTTAAGGTAAATGTGAAAGGAAGAGACAAAGATATAATTAATGATAATATAAGAGATTTAAAAAAGAAAGGCCAAGCGATGCAAAATAACAATAATTAGTGTTTCTAAAGTAAACAGGTTAACAAATAAACCAGACAATTATTCAAGATTTAATGCCATAAAATATTCATAGAATGAAGAACTACAACTACAAGTGAAAATGATACACTTTTTTTAGAAAAAAACTGAAAGAGGACAACTTATAGAAATTAATTATACTTAGTTACATGTTTGATCTTTGAAGATAAAGTAAACTAAATTCTTCACCCACTCTAGGGAAAGAAGCCAGTAATTTATAGGTGCTAAATGTTAAGCTGGTCTTACACTTCTAAAAAACAATATCTATTGTTTGAAAATAGTAGAGTAGTGTTTGCAGGTGTTGAGAGAAAGAAGGTGTAATTGTGCAATATTATTTACAGCCAAATTTTTATTCAAGTGTAAAAGCAACTGGCAAATATTGTCGAATGTGTATCAAAAATCATTCATGGAATATCTGTGTTACAAGATCCCTTCTTTAAAAAGTCACCTAACTCTAATACAGCCAACTAAAAATTGAATGGAAATGTCATTAAAAAATGATAAGCGCAGCCATCAATGCCTGAAGACAGTACAGGACTGACAGCAAACATCTGGGCACAGAGGTAGAAGTGGAGTTGGGTGGGAATTGATTGCTCTTACTGTATCATGTGTTATGAATAAAGTTCAGGCTTCAGGGCTTTTCCAGGTCTACTGTTCCACACTGTTCTGTCATCTTGTTGTGTTTTACCATGTGCTCTAACAGTATCTAAATCCCAGTGATATCACTGTATGATCTTTTCCATCTCTGCTTTTGCTCATTATGTTCTTTCTGTCTTGAAAATGCATATAAAATCCTAGACCTAATTGCTATTGCATTTAGTAAAACATATGGCTGATTGTTCAACTTTAAATCTTTTCAGGTCATGAATTTTGATGTATACATCTCTGTATACCCAGTCTAGCATCTTATTTGGTGACCTGTATCCTCCTTCAAGCACAAAAGGCCATACATAGATAATCATAACATTTTAAGAGTAAACAGAATTATGAATACAGCACACATGAGCCTTAGTTGAAAATTTATTAAAGAAAATTAGCTTGACAATGAAAACCAACCAACAAAAGAGAATTTTTAAAAAATCCCTTTTATGTTATGAATATGGTGAAAGGACTGGGGATGGGCATTGAATCTATTTAAATACAAAAATAAGACATAACAAAAATAGAGATTACAATTACAAAAGAGATGCAAATTTTAAAAACTTTCACAAGGTAGAAATCACTACAATAACCAGGAGATACAGACAGAGAAGGTGTGTAAAAACATGCAAATTTCTTCACTTTAATGTCAGGATTTAATTGATGAAACTTAAAATGACACTTCAAATTATATCCAACACAATATTTTGAATCATTTTTCTTGATTACAAGAAGCATTTTAAGTATTAATAAACTTGTGTTTTTGTTTTCTTTTTTTACTTTGGAAATTTATTCTATTTTAGGTTCCAGGATATATGTGCAGAAAGTGCAGGTATGTTACATAGGTAAGCACATCCCATTGTGGTTTGCTGCACCTATCAACCCATCACCTGAATATTAAGCCCCACATGCATTAGTCATTAGTCTTAATGCTCTCCTTCCCCCGAACCTCAACAGACCCCAGTGTGTGTTGTTCCCCTCCCTATGTCCAGGTGTTCTCATTGTTCAGCTCCCACTTATAAGTGAGAACATGCAGTGTTTGGCTTTCTGTTCCTGTCTTAGTTTGCTGAGGATGATGGCTTCCAGTTTCATCCATGTTCCTGCAAAGGCCGTGGATGCAAAGTTCATAAGGCTGCATAGTATTCCATGATGTATATATACTACATTTTCTTTATCCAGTCTATCATTAATGGGCATTTGGGTTGGTTCCTAGTCTTTGCTATTGTGAATAGTGCTGCAGTAAACATATGTGTGCATGTATCCTTATAATAGAATGATTTATATTCCTTAGGGCATATACCCAGTAATGGGATTGCTGGGTGAAATGGTATTTCTGGTTCTAGATCCTTGAGGAATTGCCACACTGTCTTCTACAATGGTTGAACTAATTTACACTCCCACCAACAGTGTAAAAGTGTTCCTATTTCTCCACATCCTCTCCGGCATCTGTTGTTTCCTGACTTTAATAATCATCATTCTGACTGGTGTGACATGTTATCTCCTTGTGGTTTTGATTTGCATTTCTCTAATGATCTGTGATGTTGAGATTTTTTTTCCTATGTTTCTTGGCTGCATAAATGTCTTCTTTTGTGAAGTGTCTGTTTATGTCCTTTGTCCACCTTTTGATATTTTTTTCATAAATTTGTTTAAGTTCCTTGAAAATTCTGGATATTAGACCTTTGTCAGATGAATAGATTGCAAAATTTTTTGCCCTTTGTGTAGGTTGCCTGTTCGCTCTGATTATAGTTTCTTTTGCTGCAGATAAGCTCGTTAGTTTAATTAGATCCCTTTTTTTCAATTTTGGCTTTTGTTGCAATTGCTTTTGGTGACTTCACCATAAAATCTTTGACCACACCTATTTCCTGAATGGTATTGCCTACATTTTCTTCTAGAGTTTTATCGTTTTGGGTTTTACCTTTAAGTCTTTAATCCATCTTGAGTTAGTTTTTGTACAAGGTGTGAGGAAGGGGTCCAGTTTCAGTTTTCTGCATATGGCGAGCCAGTTTTCCCAGCACCATTTATTAAATAGGGAATACTTTCCCTATTGCTTGTTTTTCTCAGGTTTATCAAAGATCAAGTGGTTGTAGATGTGCTGTCTTATTTCTGAGGTCTCTATTCTGTTCTTTTGGTTTATGTGTCTGTTTTGGTACTGGTACCATGCTGTTTTGGTTACTGTTACCTTGGCCTATAATACTTTGAAAATAGGTAGCATGATGCCTCCAGCTTCGTTTTTTTTTTTTTTCCTTAGGATTGTTTTCGCTATACAGGCCCTTGTTTGGTTCCTTATGAATTTTAAAGTAGTTTTTTCTAATTCTGTGAAGAATGTCAATGGTAGTTTGATGGGAATAGCATTGAATCTAAAAGTTACTTTGGGCAGTATGGCCATTAATAAACTTGTGTGTTTGAAACATTTAAAGTTTATGACACTGTTAGACTTATTTCCACATAATTTTTCTGATAAATTCAAGTATTGTTAAATTTAATATTTTAATTAATTCTAGTATAATTCAATATCTTGAAAAAAAATCTTCTATTTCGCTTTCCATCCATCCATTCATCTGTACATACATAAATTTTTAATATCATTAGCCAGGAATAACTGATATGGAAAAAACTGCAGGTGTTTAATGTGTACAGTTTGCTGAGTTTTATCCATCCATCCGCTTATCCTTCTATTTATATAAAGTCATAAATAAAAATATTTATTTGGTATGATATCCAACTAATGTCAAAATGATTACATTGGAATAGTAAACTTTGGAGTAATTTTTAAATTTATAACTTTTATTAAGTTTTGAATTTCTCTTTTAACATGTATCAGTAATACAAAAACACTGAATTTTTGCCAAAAGTAAAAACAATGTAAATCTGGAGGAAATATTTTGAAAACTTTCATATAATTAGCTTAGGAGTCTTTTCTCTGTGTATTTATTTTTACAAGTATCTTTGCTTAATAATGTTATCACAACCTTGAAATTTTCTGACATTTTAGAAAATAGTTCAGGTGAACACTTTTATGTGACTTTTCTCTTGTAAACACAAGATAGAACTTTTCTATTAACAGACCAGTTTGAAATTATGCATATATCAGCCAAAAATGATCAATGAAAGCACAGAAATATATTCAATAACATTACTGATGTACTCAATCGGGTAAGTTATCCAGTGTTATGAAATGTTTATGAATATAACTGTATAGTCATTACTGCCTGATGAAATACCCATCCTTAAGACATTATCACAGGGTAAGGCAATTATTAAGACAGAAAGAAATGTTCCCCTCTCAGAAGAGGATCACCCACTGTTTGGAAAGTATTTCTAGCCTTTTTTGTTGTGGTTGTTGGACATATGCCCTTTAACATTTAATGGTAACTCAGGCCATAGCACAAACTCTTCTAAATGGACATATATAATTATAGATATACTTGTGCTGAATCAGTGATATACTGTCTCCCACTGAATTTTTAGTAGGAAAAAAATTCCTAAGAAATAAGATGTCTACCAAAATGTAAACTTTGTAAAAGCAGGGTCAATGGGCTATCTTGTTAACTGCTATATCCCTAGTATTAGCAACAGCCATAGACATTTGACATGATTGAACAAAGATATCTATAAATCTATAAATGAATAAAAATGAATTAATTCAGATAGCCTAAAGTATGTTCACCTTTCCTCTGGTTTAGTTAGTTAACTTATATTACAGGAAAAAACAATGTATTACATAATAGAATTTATTTGTGTAGAATATTATAGTTTAAAAGCACATTCATAGGCTGGGTGTGGTGACTCATTCCTGTAATCCCAGTGCGTTGGGAAGCTGAGGCAGGCGAATCACCTCAGCCCAGGAGTACTAGACCAGCCTGGGCAACATAGTAAGACCCCCCTCATCTCTACAAAACGTTAAGAAACTAACCAGGCATGGTGATGCACATCTATAGTGCCAGCTACTATGGAGGCTGAGGCAGGAGGATCATTTGAGCTGCACTCCAGGCTAGGTGACAGAGCAAGACCCTGTCTTAAACACACACACACAGACACACACACACACACACACACACTTTATACATCATTCTATTTCTTACAACAAAATAAATATTAGTCATAATTTATAAAGTGCAAAGGTTAAGGAAAGCCTCAGAGAATTCAGCAATCCTCTTGGTCATATAACTAGCAAGTTTGAAAAGTGTCTAGTAACTTAACACGAAATGTAGGTGAATTGGTCTTGCCTTGACCTAGGAGAAGGTGCATTCTGTTTTGAATGCTGCTCTCAATAATACAGTGTACAAGATTACTAACAACATTATCAGGTTAATATATCAGTGGAAATTATGACTCAACCCACCAGCTCTACAATTTTTAACAATGCTAACTATTTAATGCTCTCAAACAGCTGATTTTGTAGAAGTCAAAGACATTGGCTAGAATAGTTCTTGCTTGGGGGCACTCTCAAAAGAAAGTTTGAATAATAGACTTCATACCTGACTGTAACAATCAATCTGTACCAATTATTTCTGTTTAAGTAAAGCTGTCTAAAGCAAAGTGGGAGGCTTACTACAAGGGAGAAAAACAAAAAGTGAAAAAAAGGCTATGATTTTTCTCTACTCCTTTTTTTCTACATGGACCTTCTCCCTTTTTATCTACATGGACCTTTGACTCAGAAAACTGGCAGAGAGTGAAATAGATTGGTTAGAGTATTGGATAAGCCAAAAGAAAGGTGAAAGAGAACTGATACCCTAAACCCTTCTTCCATTCTATTCCTTATAACACCATCATAATTCTGTATTGAATGTATAGTTTGCAAGAAAAGACACAAGCAAGGTTAGTTTCTGAAATGACCTTGCTTGAGTCAGATTTATAAATGTAAGGCAGAGTGGTTTAAGACCATAGGCTTGGGAGAAAAATTTGACACTTAATACCTATAAAAGTTTGGGCAGACAAGTGGAACTTTCTATGTCCCAGGTTCTTTCTTTTAAAATGGTGGCAATCTTATAGAGTTGAGGATTAAATGATAAAAAGCGGTATACACTTCTGGAATGATTGTTAACACTTAATAAATGTATTTCAGAAGTTGACTGTGTGGTGAGTGATTTCACATAAATCGTGGGTATAAAAATTACAAAAACAATTTAAAGTATTGAAGTTTAGAATTAAAGATTTGGTAAAAACCAATTGAAGAAATAAAATAGTAATTTATTTTAGGCGTTTATTCTGTTTAAATATTTTCACATCCTACTTAATTTTATTGATGGAAGTCCTTTTAGTCAATTTCCATTCTCATTTTCCTCTGCCAGGCCTACGAAGGAATTGCTTTTCTAAAGTATTCTTGAAAGTTGGCATTATGCTGCTTTGATGAATATGCTTCTATTTTCTTTCTCTAAATGTACTTTTAAATGGGTGCTCTGACAGATTCGATGTAAAAAGTTATATCTGTTTTCTGGCAACAACTGTCTTTTACTACCTGTGGTGATAAAAACATCTCTTCCTATGGTGATGAGAGGATATTTAACATTTCATTGTGTCAAATCAGCTGTAGTTAAGTTTCTTTATGGGAGTTTGCATAGCAGAAAAAAAGTAGTCTTCTACAGGTTTTTAATAAACTCAATTATTACAGGAGAAAGTATTTACTAACCAACAAATGGTTTGCAAACATTACTTTTTAATAGTCATCAGTGCTAATTGCCTGGTGTCAAGATTTGAGATTTCTTGAGGATCCATTTTATTTTAATTTTTTTTCAACTATTATAACAAATTAATATTTATTTGTACAATTTGTCACATTTATTTGCATAATCAAGTTACTCTCTTAGTCTTACTAACAAGAATAACTCTTAACAAAGGCGATTTATTTCACATAGTTATAATTTCCTATGTTTTTCATGATTTGAAATTTACCTTAACACTATTTTCAAGGCAAAAGAAAACATAGGACTGAACCAGTGAAATATACTTCATGGTAAACACAAATGAGAAAATCTGAGACCGCTGTAATCCTAAAATATAGAGGAAACGGTTTGGAGCATATTACTAAAAATCAATTTAAGTACTTACTTGATTTGTGAAAGGCTTATATAAACATAACTTGAACACACTTGAAAAGGAAAAACAAAGACAAAAACTGACATTTGTAGCCTCTCCAAAGGATCTTATTCAGATAGGAGTTTAAGTCATATGCCAGTAAAAAGATAATAATTTTTAGACAAAAAGCTCACAGAAGAGGCACTAATCATCAAATGTAATGTTTCCCCAGAAACCACAATGTTAGATTGCTGTGCTTTTCACCTCCTGCTCACTTCCAATGCAGGATGGAGAGTCAGATGCAATTTCTGTTTTTTACTTTCAAGACTTCTTTGTGTGCTCTTATTAAACTGATTCTTGATCTGAGATTCATTTCGCTGAAAATCTGGAGTTGTGCTATTAAAAGCCTGTTCTCTGTAATTTCTTCTAGAGCTTTAAAAACCATATAAAGAATGGAAAAATACTTTTTATTGCATCTATTTGATTCTTCTCTCTTTTCTTCTTTATTAGTCTGGCTAGCGGTCTATCAATTTTGTTGATCTTTTCAAAAAACAAGTTCCTAGATTCATTGATTTTTTGAAGGGTTTTTTTGTGTCTCTATCTCCTTCAGTAATAGATGCAATAAAAAATGATAAAGGGGTATCACCACCAATCCCACAGAAATACAAACTACCATCAGAGAATACTATAAACACCTCTATGCAAATAAACTAGAAAATCTAGAAGAAATGGATAAATTCCTCGACACATACACTCTTCCAAGACTAAACCAGGAAGAAGTTGAATCTCTGAATAGACCAATAACAGGCTCTGAAATTGAGGCAATAATTAATAGCTTACCAACCAAATAAAGTACAGGACCAGATAGATTCACAGCGGATTTCTACCAGAGGTATAAGGAGGAGCTGGTACCATTCCTTCTGAAACTATTCCAATCAAAAGAAAAAGAGTGAATCCTCCCTAACTCATTTTATGAGGCTAGCATAATCCTAATACCAAAGCCTGGCAGAGACACAACAAGAAAAGAAAATTTTAGACCAATATCCTTGATGAACATTGAGGCAAAAATCCTCAATAAAATACTGGCAAACCGAATCCAGCAACACATCAAAAAGTTATGCACCATGATCAAGTGGGCTTCATCCCTGGGATGCAAGGCTGGTTCAACACATGCAAATCAATAAACGTAATCCAGCATATAAAGAGAACCAAAGACAAAAACCACATGATTACCTCAATAGATGCAGAAAAGACCTTTGACAAAATTCAACAACCCTTCATGCTAAAAACTCTCAATAAATTAGGTATTGAAGGGACGTACCTCAAAATAATAAGAGCTATCTATGACAAACCCACAGCCAATATCATACTGAATGGGCAAAAACTGGAAGCATTCCCTTTGAAAACTGGCACAAGACAGGGATGCCCTCTCTCACCACTCCTATTCAGCATAGTGTTGGAAGTGCTGGCCAGGGCAATCAGGCAGGAGAAAGAAATAAAGGGTATTCAATTAGGAAAAGAGGAAGTCAAATTGTCCCTGTTTGCAGATGACATGATTGTATATCTAGAAAACCCCATCGTCTCAGCCCAAAATCTCCTTAAGATGATAAGCAACTTCAGCAAAGTCTCAGGACATAAAATCAATGTACAAAAACCACAAGCATTCTTATACACCAATAACAGACAAACAGAGAGCCAAATCATGAGTGAACTCCCATTCACAATTGCTTCAAAGAGAATAAAATACCTAGGAATCCAACGTACAGGGACATGAAGGACCTCTTCAAGGAGAACTACAAAGCACTGCTTAATGAAATAAAAGAGTATACAAACAAATGGAAGAACATTCCATGCTCATGGATAGGAAGAATCAATATCATGAAAATGGGCCATACTGCCCAAGGTAATTTATAGATTCAATGCCATCCCCATCAAGCTACCAATGACTTTCTTCACAGAATTGAAGAAAACTACTTTAAAGTTCATATGGAACCAAGAAAGAGCCTGCACTGTCAAGACAATCCTAAGCCAAAAGAACAAAGCTGGAGGGATCATGCTACCTGACTTCAAACTATACTACAAGGCTACAGTAACCAAAATAGCATGGTACTGGTACCAAAACAGAGATATAGACCAATGGAACAGCACAGAGCCCTCAGAAATAATGCCACATATCTACAACTGTCTGATCTTTGACAAACCTGAGAAAAACAAGCAATGGGGAAAGGATTTCCTATTTAATAAATGGTGCTGGGAAAACTGGCTAGCCATATGTAGAAAGCTGAAACTGGATTCCTTCCTTACACCTTATACAAAAATTAATTCAAGATGGATTAAAGACTTAAACGTTAGACCTAAAACCATAAAAACCCTAGAAGAAATCCTAGGCATTACCATTCAGGACATAGACATGGGCAAGGACTTCATGTCTAAAGCACCAAAAGCAATGGCAACAAAAGACAAAATTGACAAATGGGATCTAATTAAACGAAAGAGCTTCTGCACAGCAAAAGAAACTACCATCAGAGTGAACAGGCAACCTACAGAATGGGAGAAAATTTTTGCAATATACCCATCTGACAAAGGGCTAATATCCAGAATCTACAATGAACTCAAACAAATTTACAAGAAAAAAACAAACAACCCCATCAACAAGTGGGCGAAGGATATGAACAGACACTTCTCAAAAGAAGACATTTATGCAGCCAAAAGACGCATGAAAAAAATGCTCATCATCACTGGCCATCAGAGAAATGCAAATCAAAACCACAATGAGATACCATCTCACACCAGTTAGAATGGCAATCATTTAAAAGTCAGGAAACAACAGGTGCTGGAGAGGATGGGGAGAAATAGGAACACTTTTACACTGTTGGTGGGACTGTAATCTAGTTCAACCATTGTGGAAGTCAGTGTGGCGATTCCTCAGGGATCTAGAACTAGAAATACCCTTTGACCCAGCCATCCCATTACTGGGTATATACCCAAAGGACTATAAATCATGCTGCTATAAAGACGCATGCACACATATGTTTATTGCGGCACTATTCACAATAGCAAAGACTTGGAATCAACCCAAATGTCCAACAATGATAGACTGGATTAAGAAAATGTGGCACATATACACCATGGAATACTATGCAGCCATAAAAAAGGATGAGTTCATGTCCTTTGTAGGAATATGGATGAAGGTGGAAACCATCATTCTCAGCAAACTATCACAAGGACAAAAAACGAAACGCCACATGTTCTCACTCATAGGTGGGAATTGAACAATGAGAACACTTGGACACAGGAAGGGGAACATCACACACCAGGGCCTGTTGTGGGGTGGGGGGAGGGGGAAGGGATAGCATTAGGAGATATACCTAATGTAAATGACAAGTTAATGGGTGCAGCGCAGCAACATGGCACATGTATACATATGTAACAAACCTGCGTGTTGTGCACATGTACCCTAAAACTTAACGTGTAATAATAAAAATTAAAAAATTTAAAAAAAGAATGGAAAAATACTGATTCAAACTTCCTGGCTTCTGTACTTTGTTTGTTGTCATTCTTTTTTTTTAATTTTTTTTATTATACTTTAAGTTCTAGGGTACCTGGGCACAACATGCAGGTTTGTGGGGTGGATAGCATTAGGAGATATACCTGATGTCATTTCTTATATACCAATGAGATTCAAGAACATCTTCGCCAGGTAACATTTTTGAGAGTGGTTTGCCGTTGTTGTTATTGTTTTTGTGCTTAAACTGAAGAATGACAACTACTTTCCTTCTTTCAGGTCCATCTGACTTTTTAAATGAAGTCATCACCACTATCTCTATCCTCAAACATTGAAGACTATAAAACTTTTCATCTGTTCTATCTTCAAAAGACTTTCTCTTCACGCAATTCCTCCCCATCACTGTTAACACCAACTGAGTTATTAGACCTTTTACTTTTTGCAATGTGACATAATGGTTTTATTTTCGGGCCAGCAGGTATCTTCTGAGACTCAGGATGAACTACATAATCCTTTTCTGAAGGCTTTGATGGAGAATCTGGAAAATCCTCTGCTTTGGGTCCATGTTTCATCTTGTCAATTTTTTCTTTGGAATGTTATATGGGTTTCCTTGCCAATATTTTGACTTTTTTCACCTTTTGCTCATCTGTTTTTTATTTTATTTATTTATTTATTTATTGAGATGGGGTCTCACTCTGTCACCCAGGCTAGAGTGCAGTGGTGTGACCTCGGCTCATGCAGCCTCTGCCTCAGGGGTTCAGGAGATCCTCCCACCTCAGCCTCCTGAGTAATTGGGACTACAGATGTGTGCCACCACACCTGGCTATTTCTTGTATTTTTAGTAGACATGGAGAGTTCACCATGTTGCCAAAGCTGGTCTCTAACTCCTGAACTGAAGTGACATACCTGCCTCGGCCTCCCAAAGCGCTGGGATTACAGGAGTGATCCACCACACCCAGCCGCCATTTGCTCATCTCTGTGTAGATGATCTCAAATTTACATCTCTAGCATTCTCATAGCGCTAGTTCCTCTTTAAACTTCAGTTTAAGTGAGCAAGCACCACCACCATGGCAATATGAAAAACAAAACAAAATATATAAACAAAGAAAACGTGAGAGTCTTGTACTTAGTAAGGAAAGACTGTTCAGGGGACTCTTGCAACATGTACGACCAGAATCTCTGACCAGAAGATTTGCAAGTGTCTTAAAGGTCAGACAGAAAGGTCTTTCCTTTTCTAAGAAGGAGTAAGCAAGACTAGAAGGAACTGGTGTTTGGGAGTGGGATGAGTAGATGATATGGTCAGACAGTTAAGCAGGAAATGTTTTTCTCCATGGTTCCGATTCTCTGGAGGGTCCAAAAGGAAGAATTGTTCCACTTTCCCGTGCTTTTGCAATCTAAGGGCAAGTCAAATTCAGAGGGAAGGAGAGAAGCCTAACTAAATTTTGTTTAGTAACATTTTTGGGTAGTTTATTCAGATTGAGCAGAAAGAACAAAACAGTGTAGGCTATCATTTCTTGGTCAAAGAATGGAGATTTAGTATGTCTGTGTCTGGTCTGGTCACAGGTAAAAAGCCATCTATTCGAGTTTTTGAAGTCCTATGGAAAAGGGTGGTTCTTTACAGTAAACTGTTTGCTAGTACACAAACATGTAGGGGATTTCTTAATCATCACTGTTTTCCAGGAGCACAGGAACCAGGTAAAGTTTGCCATCCCCAAAATAAATACTGACTTCTATTTTACCTTATGAAACATTATTTTACCTCAGGAAAATATTACATCTTTCTTTTTTCTTTTCATCAATAATATTCCTAAGAATGTGGTAGCTCTGTGACCAGCATCCACCGAAAGGATCTTTGAAGGGATAACCTGCTCTAAATGGATGTGGGGAAAGTGCCATACACATTTGAGGTAAACGGTTGGCCTTCCTCTCTTCGTCTACATCTTTTCTTGCCAATCATTGAAACATCTGAAATGACCCTCGACTTGGGAGGACTATTGCAAACTCTCCAGAAGACAATTCTAAACTATCTTTCTACAGTCTTTATCTCACTTTACCATGCATCATTCAGCATTCTCATACTGCACTCTACTTTCTTTTATCTGGCCCCACTCTGCCTTCTGGAATGTTCCATTAGCATCAACGCCCTCTGTGTCTTCAACTGTTTTTCAGTGTTCCTTTTTCATCACTTTGATGCAAAAAGGGATGCTGCTTTCCCTGTGGTCTCTTAAGTGGAGTTTGCTTTTTCTCTCCTACTCAGCATTTCTCCACATTGAAAGGTTAAGTCTATCCTCTGTTTGCTGTGCAGATATATCCAGACTATTATCACACCAATTTGTTATGAAGACCCTCCTCCTTTTCATTATTACCAATGATCACATTCTTGAATGTTTACCCCTAAAGTATCCATCTCCTACTATCATCCATGGGATCTTCATTGTCTACCTGGATACCACCTTAAACAGAGAGTATCTCAGATAGATAAATGATTCATCCTCTACCACATTTATACAATTGTTCACCAAATCTTTTTTTTTCTAGAATGTGCTTATAATTAATGAATTTTTGAATAGGTATCCTGTTTACATAGTATAAAAATCAAAATAATATTTATAAGTGTTCCCTGAAAAGTCTTGTTCCCATCTATGTCAAAGCTATTACATTCTTCCAACCTCCTTTGAAAAAACCATTTTAATAATTGTTTGATATTAATGTTTCTTATACAAAAGCAGTAAGAGAAAATACTATTCTTGTTGTCTTCTTTTTCCTTTATAGGAATTAACATACTGTCGACAATATTTTCAACTTGCATTTTTAACTTAGCAATGTTGCCTGACCATCTCTCCAGAACAATACACAGAAACCTTTCTCCTTCTAAAAAAATTGTTGGTAATACATTATAGTTTACTTAACCAATTCCCTATTGCTGGATTATTGTTTTCCTATCTTTTGTATTACATACAATACCTAATTGAATAAACTTAGATCTATGCTATTTCTTACCTATTCAGTTTTATCTGTAAAATGGATTCCCCTAATGAGATTGCAGTTAAAGGGGTAAATATATCTCTAATTTTGTAGACAATGCCATATTCCCTTCGTAGGGTTATATCCTACTGCGCTCCTAACAGCAAGTTACATAGCGTTGCTTTTCCTCTCAGCTTTCTCTACAACATATTGTTAAATTTTTGTATTTTTTCTGGATATGAAAATGACATTTTAATGTGGCTTTCATTTGCACATCTTCTAAATGAAGTTAAACATCTTCAAATATGTGTCTTATTTATTTTTCTTTGAAATGTCAAACCGTGTGCCTTTTGCCTTTTTTATATAGAATTATTTATCATTTTCATGTAAATTCCTAGGAGCTTCTAACATAAAACAGGAGTTGTCCTTTTTCTCTGATATAGCTATTTTTTTTGGTTTGTCATATGTATTTTGAAATTGCTTATATATCTTTCTCATTTTACTATGCAGATGTTTTTGTATACATATGCTCAAATTTAACAATATTTTATTTTATGACTGTTAAGTTTTGAATATTAGTAAGAATCAACTTCTACACTGTAAGATTTCACAGACAATTCAATTTTTTTCTAGTATTTTAATATATTGACACTTCACATGTAAACCGTAGGTGCTACTGGATAAAATAAATTGCTACTCAGTTATGACAATATAGTCTTTTATTTTTTTTAATTTTTTTATTATTATACTTTAAGTTCTAGGGTACATGTGCACAATGTGCAGGTTTGTTACATATGTATACATGTGCCATGTTGGTGTGCTGCACCCGTTAACTTGTCATTTACATTAGGTGTATCTCGGGACATGGATGAAGCTGGAAACCATCATTCTCAGCAAACTATCGCAAGGACAAAAAACCAAACATTGCATGTTCTCACTCATAGGTGGGAATTGAACAATGAGAACACTTGGACACAGGAAGGGGGATGTCACACACCAGGGCCTGTTGTGGGGTGGGAGAGGGGGGAGGGATAGCATTAGGAGACAATATAGTCTTTTAAAAAGTCCATCATCATGCTACTGACTGAAACGTCACATTTACACTAAATTATCATATGTTTATTTCAGGATTTTCTATTTTGTCTGTTTGTTTTTATGTTTTCACATGTGCCAAAGTCACAACATTTTAATAATTAAGGCTTGTTTGTCTGTTTTGATATGTAGAGTACCTGATGCCCCCTCATTGCTCTTAATTTTTAGGGTTTTTCTTGCTAGTGGTTTTTTTTAATAAAAACTTTAAAATCAGCTTGAATAGATCCACAAGATAAAAATGGAAGAATAATATTTTATCAGGTTTACATAATATTTATAAATTGACTTACAGATAATTTATATCTTTTTATATTTAATCTATATATCCAGAAACACTGAAAGCAGTTTCATTTTTCAAGTCTCTTTTTGGCTTCTCTAGAAGCATTTTAATTTTTCTTATATAGATTTTACATGTTTCTTGTTAAGTTTAATTTTAGGTATTTTATTTTACTTTTTTGTTTTAAATGCGATCTCTTTCAATGTATTTTTTCAGCTAGATGCTTTTATATATGAAGATTGTTGGTTTATATAAGTTTATAGTTATCTTAACCCACACTTCTCATTCCTTGAATATGTTTATCATGTCTAAATTTGTTGGCTAATACCACAAGTGAAATAATAGTAGTAATGGTGATAGTGGTTATAGAGGGAATGTCCCTAGTTCTTCTCCAGTAATAAGTTGTTAGCTTTTAAGTAAAGATACACATTTCAACATGTTAAGGAAATATTCATCAGTCTGAATTTTATGTAATGATTTTGAAATCAAGAATCAATGTTAAATTTTATCATATTCTTCTTCAGTATTTATTGAGATAATCATATGAGGTTGATCTTTGGGTTTAATAAGGTGAATTATACTACCATTTAATATGGTGAATTATACTTTCATATTAACTTCTTAATATTGAATAATGCTTGTGTTTCTGAAATTAATCCAGCTTAGTCATGCTGTATTCTCTTTGAAATGGTAGATTTCCTTGACCTATCTTAGTTTACAGATCTGTTTTTCAGCTGCATTAATTCTGCACTTCATCTTTTTTTATCAACTACATTATTTTCCATGACCAATATTTGCAGACAGTACATTTAATATCTTACATTTATTAACTAGTGTTTACAATACCATCCACTATATTTCTTCTGTCTTGTCCCAAAAATCTACATGAACTCATAAATATTGTTCACTTTATGTTATTGTACTGTCTTTCTCTTCAAGTAGTTGTGCTAAAACACCTTTTCATGTTTCTCTCTGAGCTAACATTTTCCTGAGGCATTGGCCCCATTAGCCTAGTAATGTAAATCTATGTAGAGAAATCAATGTCCAAATCCTAGTTTTCAAAGTTTGGAAGATGGAGATCAGATGGTTTCTCAAGACAGAGAGCCCTGGCACTTCATTTTTTTATGGGGTAATCACTATCTCCTGTTGTGTTGTATTGTTGTTCACTCCCAACCTCACCTGAGATATCCTGGAATAATCCTGATGCTACTCCATGACTCCTGGACACCCCTGAAATATATGGTATATTTTCTGCATTTGAGAAGTAAATATTGTGGAACTAATCTACAAAAGTCAATGATGAGAGACCAAGGCATATCTTAAAACCTCATATTTACAAATATAAGGCTTTGCTCTGTTACACTCCTAGACGCTGTTTTTATTGAATGCACTATTACCCAACCACGTTATGTTTCTCACCTCTGGTATTTTCTCAGTTTCTGTAATAGTTTAACAAAGCCATGAGCCTCCTTAGGCCTTATGCATTATGTCCATGATGGAAGTTGTACAAGGGGAAAAAATGTAGATCCACACTAATTTATCATATTTGGAGGAAACAGAAGTTTCAATGCGATTTTCTGTTAACAATTTCTTTCTTTGGTTATACCACAGGTCCAATGTATTTAAAGGCTGAAAACTGACTGAGGCAAATTGGTAATATCCTTAGTGGTTAAGTTTAAGCACCAATGCAATGTTTGAAGTAAAAGACTTTAATTTTAGTTTAATAAGATTTAATATGCTTAATGAGGTTAGATAAGATACCAAGGCTAAAACTATTCCATCATAGGAGGTCTGCCCACATACAATAAGAACCGTAAGTAAACTCAAGGGGCCCCTAAAGAGATGGCCCAATAACCATCTTTCCTAGAGACCCAGAGGAAAAGTACATGAAATGAGTTCATACTGCTACTGTTGGATCTGCTAAAAGCTCTGAAAGTGCTTTTCCTCCCCAAACCAAAGAGGAAGGGTCCTGTTTCCTTGGTGAGTCATAGGCTTTTAGAACACCAACTCTCACTTTCTCTCCTTTTATAGTTGTTCTGTCTTCCCTGATATGTTGAGAACCTGTAGTCCTAAAAGCGCCTGCTTGACTAGGAACTACCTGCTTGCTTCCCCACCCTCACGAGAGAGCATTAAAACTTTATCCTTAATTTACAAATCTATATAATATAGCTCCACTTATTTAAGAAGAAAAATACATTTCTAGTTCCATCTCTACATTTAGAAAGTTAGTTTATAATCAGACTAGTGAAAGTTTATTGGGAATTTGTGTTTTCCTATGAGCTGGAGCTTGATAGCTGGTGTTACCGATAGCTGGTGTTACCAATCGCTGTCAGCTGGGGCCTTTTGCTGGATGACACAGGTTCTACTCTTTCCACTGAGATTTTAAATCTTCTGTACCAGAGTTCTTCTTACACACTGGTGGGGGTTATCAGACAATATGATCTTCCTTAAATTCAGGGTAGAGCTCTTATGATAAAAATAAAGCTTCTGTTGAAGAGAATCATCCCAGTTATTCAAGTCCTGCTTTCATTCTTCTCCACCAGTAACAATTTACAGGTCAAACAGGGAAAGGCAAAGAGTAAAAACCTATCATACGTAATTCACAGATGAGTTTGGGTACTTCATTTAGACCTCAATATGCCTGCCCCTCCTGATTTAAATGTGTATGTTCCCATTCAGCTTTCTCTTCTGTGATTGTTATTCTTGGTTGCACATTGTATTTACCTTAAAGCTTTTAAAAATATTGTGCCTTGTCCTATCCCACCTCACTACCCCTGCCCCCACATCTGTCAAGACATATTGAATTGATTTGGAATGCAGCCTGAGCATTGTGATTTTAAAAAGCTCCCAGATGAGTCTAATATATATCATAGGGTGACTAAATGCCTCATTTAGAATTTTTCTTTCAACCTGGTGAGACCAGATGTCAGTTCCTTCCCAGAGATCATAATTTATGGCACACAGTACAAAATAAATATACAGATTAACTTGTTCAAGAATTAAGATTTTCAAGACTGTAACAGCAAAATATTAAACCAAGAATGGAACCCTTCTAAATGTGAAGCCCTATGCACAGGTGGCATGCCCAATAAGCTAGCTCTGCCTGAGATCCACAGGTGAGTTAAGGGTTTGTCCTCTTGTGGATTATTCTTTTCTGTCATAATTTTCTGTCTTTCCACTCAGTCTCTTTAGCCCACTCACCAAATCTCAATTCTTTTTTTTTTTTTTTTTTTTTTTTTTTCTTGAGATGTAGTCTTACTTTGTCACCAAGCTGGAGTGCAGTAGCACAATCTCGGCTAACTGCGATCTCTGCTCACTTCAGTCTCTGCCTCCTGGGTTCAAGTGATTCTCCTGCCTCAGCCTCCTGAGTAGCTTGGATTATAGGTATGCGCCACCACATCCAGCTAATGTTGGTATTTTTTTCTTTTTCTTTTTTTTTTTTTTTTGAGGTGGAGTCTTGCTCTGTCGCCCAGGCTGGAGTGCAGTGGCACGATCTGGGCTCACTGCAAGCTCCTCCTCCCGGGTTCATGCCATTCTCCTGCCTCAGCCTCCCAAGTAGCTGGGACTACAGGCACCGGCCACCACGCCCAGATAATTTTTTTGTATTTTTAGTAGAGACAGGGTTTCACCGTGTTAGCCAGGATGGTCTTGATCTCCTGACCTCGTGATCCGCCCTCCTCGGCCTCCCAAAGTGCTGGGATTACAGGCATGAGCCACTGCGCCCGGCCTTTTTTTTTTTTTTTAAGTAGAGATGAGGTTTCACCATGTTGGCCAGAATGGTCTGGATCTCCTGACCTCGTGATCCGCCCATCTCGGCCTCCCAAAGTGCTGGGATTACAAGCGTCACCCACTGTGTCAGGCCTCATCAATTCTTAAGATTGTATTATATTGTTCTCACTCCCCACTTCTGCTTTGATAGGTAAAGGTGGTGTTAAGAGTAACCTGAGTTATAGTAGAATCTTCTCTTTCCCTGGCTACCTTTTATGGAAGTGTCATTGTCCTCTTTTTCTTACTTTATTGTTGCTGAAAAATACTTATGATTGATTTTGAAAAGTGTGTTTAAACTTTATTTTAATAGGTGTTGGGGAAAAGAGATTCTTAAATCTGGCTTTACTACATTTTTACCGGTAATACAGTTTACAATTTTGATTTTCTGTATTTTAATATAATTTGTTGTATTTAAGTAATGAAATAATTTTAAAATTAAAATTAACCAAAACAAAGAGAATTAGAAAAGATCCTAAAGCCCCCATTGTACAAGAAATTGGTATTCTTAAAACAAGTCTCCCATCTTGGGCTAAAGAAAAATGAAGTCTAATGTAACTACCAGATTCTTAATTCTGCATGACTCTCTGGACTTACTTTCTTACAGTCACTTATTCCCATTTCAGTTACAGTTCCTTCTCTCTATCAGCTTTTCCAAAAGCTTTAAGAAAGGACACCATAAGGTTCACCTCTGGAAAGAGATTTAAGAATCATAGAAACACAGTCCCTAATAATCATCATGTCCTTTGAGATGAAATCATTTTTGACTCTTGGGCCAGTATTGCAACCAAATTTCTGAACGCGGCACTCTCTTTCCCTTAGAAAAGATGGAGCTGTCAGCACCCCTGGCAGACCTCTGTATCTAATACTCAGCTGACCTTGTGGCATGCAGTGGATTTACAGCACACAGTGAGTGGGGAAGGTGCCAACATCACTGTGAAATTGTGCTGTGTCAAATAAAGTGGGAGAAATGCTGCTCAGTCAGGCTCTCAGGAAGACTTTAATCCTCACTAGACCAGAGCTGAAGTTTATATGAGAAGCAGATGTGAAATCTCCTCTGAGAATTTAGCTGACAGCAATTCAACAAGAACAAACTGAAAAGGAAAATAAAGTTCACTAATGTGCGATGTATAATAGTGAACCTAACAGGTTGATATGGGTCTAGTTGGTCTAGGACAATCCCTAGTTAAAATCCCTAGTTAAAAAGAGACAAAAAAGTGCTTTGTTCCTCTCTTTTTAACCATGTTCTTTCAATTCTTCGAAGTTGGAGTCCAAATGCTTAAGTGTTTTCCCTAATGACATCAGTGCTATCCGGGGTGGGGATGCTTGAGTGTGTAATCTTACTAAGAACCAATAGAAAGGCTAGGATGAAACCTATTTGTTTATGGGGCAGTGTGGGCCCATCCAGACATTTTCAGTGCATTGCTTTAAGGGAATAAGCTACATAAACTGTGTGAGAGCATGTCTTTGGGGTTAGGTTAATTTAGGGTGTGGGATTAGCAGCGGTGTGCGTGTTGAATAAAGTGACTGGAAAAAGAAATTAAATTGATAGAGCCAGTGGAGTGGGGGTTGAAGGAAAAAGTTGTGTTAGTTGAGGGGTGACTGTTAAAAATGCATACCGCCAGAAGATAAAATTTGAACTCTGGTTAAGTTGTCTATACTCTTCCAAATTTTTTCTACAAATTATTGATCTATAATTTAAAATATGTACCTACTGTATTCTGTTCTGTTGATAGGCAACTCATTTTATATGTTAGAATAATGATATAAAAATGCACACAGATGCTTTAATATCTGCATGTTTTGTCACACCAACTGAAATGTCTGCTGCTATGACCAGCACCACTGGGCAAGCCATGTACAGTTATTTTGGTCCTAATAATTTTGAATGCATTGCTATAAACCTATTATCAAACACTTAGTACAATTGGGTTTTGTGGGATATATTGTAAGGCAGAACTATTTTGTCAATTCTGAATGAAGCATTATTTTAAGTAAATATAATCCTTGTGAACTTGGAATAAACTTATTAGAGCTATAATAACATTTTTTTACCTAGTTTGAAGGTTTTCTTAATGATACAAAAAGGGTGAAAAGTAGTAGGATAGAGGAAATAGAAATTAGAAACACAGAACAGCATGATATTGTGCGAGGTAAATGGAAACATCTTCTTCAGCAGGGGTTCCCAACCCCCAGGCCACAGGCCAGTACCAGTCTGTGGCCTGTTAGGAACCAGGCCGCACAGGAGGAGGTGAGCAGCAGGCAAGCAAGTGAAGCTTCATCTATATTTATACTTACTCCCCATCGCTTGCACTACTGCCTGAGCTCCACCTCCTGTCAGACCAGTGGTGGCATTAGATTCTCATAGGAGCATGAACCCTATTGTGAACTGTGCATGTGAGGGATCAAGGTTGCATGCTCCTTTTGAAACTCTAATGCCTGATGATCTGTCACTGTCTCTCATCACCCCCAGATAGAACCACCTAGTTGCAGGAAAAATAGCTCAAGATTCCCACTGATTCTACATTATGTTGAGTTGTATAATTATTTCATTATGTCTTACAATGTAATAATAATAGAAATAAAGTGCACAAGAAATGTAATGCACTTGAGTCATCCTGAAACCATCCGCCCACCACAGTCTGTGGAAAAATTGTCTTTCACGAAACCGATCCCTAATGCCAAAAAGGCTAGAGATTGCTATTCTTCAACCTCTGTACCAAGCATATGTTGTCCAAATATCAGAGGTTACTTTTTCTTCTAAAGTGGTAGACATGTGTTTTAAATGTCTATTCAAACACAGTCCCATAGGAAAATGTTTCTTGTAAAAATCAGGCAGATCTTGGGATGGGAATTTAATATGAACCAAAAAACTGCCCAATTAAAATGCTTTTACCAAGCCACAAATTGATTTTGTGGTAAAATATTATTCAATGGGGTAAAAGTCAAAACCAGGATATAATCCAATTTCATTCCTAGTTTTAGCAGGAAAACAAATTTAGTGGCCTGAGTTCTAACTTCTAAGAAATAAAACATAGCAGTTTCGGGCAAA
This sequence comes from Homo sapiens, assembly GCF_000001405.40. NCBI lineage: Eukaryota > Metazoa > Chordata > Mammalia > Primates > Hominidae > Homo > Homo sapiens. The sequence goes on along the minus strand of NC_000005.10, from coordinate 121,029,583 downwards.
GAAATTACAAGTAAATTCTAGTGCTTTCCTCCAATATGATTTATAATTTTTTGAATCACTTCTACTTCTACCATGAATATAAAAATAATATTAACATTTCCAATTGACTTCTCTTACTTTTGTAAATGTATGCCTTTCCCTTTAATTCATTCAAAGGGCTTTCTCTTCTTATTACCCCCAGAAGCAAGCATATATTAACTATCAATTATCAAATGAAATATATCATTTGGTTCCCTGTGTCATCTCTCATCTCCTTTGTACCTTCATCCTCAACTAAATTCTGAGGCATAACTCATCAAATCCAGTTCGCTTCCTTCACCTGGCTCACATATAAGAAAAAGCCTTACAATTTATTACTTGTTCTTTTTTTATCAAAAAAATACGATTCATTTATAATTCAAGTTTGCCTATATAAAGTTATCCCAATGAATTCCTTCTTGCTTTTACTAATTTTACTGAAATTTCATGGCAGTATTCAGTCTAACTTCCCTGATATTTCTATAGGGTAGATATGGAGTATTGAGAGCAAAGGATAGCAGAGCTATGCAAAGCACATTAGAGTAACAAATAAAGGACCACAGCCATTTGCAGTTAAAAGAAAAAAATTCAAACCTAGCTCATTGGCTTGCTCCTGTAGTCCCATGTACTTGAGAGGCTGAGGTGGGAGTATGCTTTGATCCAGGAGTTCAAGTCTAGTCTGGGCAATATAGTGAGACCCCCCCCCATCTTAAAAAAATTAAAAATAAAAATATTCTGAATCTAAGGCAGTGCTACTGCCTTAGATTGAGATGGGTCAAAGATTCTGGCATACATGCCAAATTAGTAGACACATAAATACATTCAAATGATATATTATGCAAACCACTTTAAGGAAGAACAGTTTTATTTATGAACAAAGTATTCAATAACATATTCCAGAGAGAGTGCTTCATTATAACAATAGAAAGTGATTTTTAGAAAATATTTGCTGCATTCGTTTGGATTCAAAATATTATTCAAGCATTTTACTTTATCTTCCCTACTGAGTTTTTCTTTAGGCTACCCATATCATAATGTGTTCACCCATGCTGGTTTGTCAGGAGGCAAAAACGTAAGAATTTTATGTTTTATGACCAAAAGCTCCAAGACTCTGAAACACTGCTCTTGGGAGGCATACGATTCTTGTTTCTGTGGTTCAAAGGAAGCATGTGCAGCTTTCCTGTACACAAAGCAGTGAAATCCAAGGCCCTAATTTCCTTTCTCTAGGACATTTCAACTGACTCCTCCAAAATCAGTTATCTGGAACACACAAAATAATCCCATGTGTGATGAGTGAAATCCATCACTTCATTCTCTGTTTGTGGGAATTAAATATTTGTTATTTAACCTATAATTTTTAATCATAAAAAAATATGTGCAGCAGGAATCAGCTGAAGCTGTGACAGAAAGCAGCAGCAACCTTACGGAAGGTGCATAAATAAATTTGGCAAAAAGGTAGAAGCAACCCAATCGTCCATAAACAGATGAATGGATGAATAAAATGTGCTATATACATACAGTGGAATATTATCCAACACTAAAAATCAGATTCTTACACACGCTACAACATGAAGAAACATTGAGGACATTATGGAAGTGAAATAAGCCAGTCACAAGAAGAAAAATAATATATGATTTCATTTATACCAGGTACGTAGAGTAGTCAAATTCATAGATAGAGAAAGAAAAATTGTGGTTTCCTGGGGCTGAGGGGAGAATCCAATGGGGAGTTATTGTTTAATAGGTGTAGAGTTTCAGTTTTACAAAATGAAAATGATACAGTGGACAGATGATTGTTATGGTAGCAAAGCAATATAAATGTATTTAATGCCACTGAGCTGCACCTTTAAAAATTGTCAAGACGTGAAATTTTATGTTATGTATATTTTATCAGATTTTTTTTAAATTGAGGAGAGCCAAAATAAATATGAAAATAAATATGGTAAGCCCCCTAAATAGTATCATTGGATTTAATATTGATCTTTGGCATCACAGAAAGCTGGGATTGAATTTGTTTTGCCACTAAACTGATTCTATGTTCTTGGACTCTCAGGGGCTAACGAGAAAGGGAATACATATATGTTTACTATAATTATTCTGACATATAAATGAGAAAAAATTAAGCCATTTCTCTTGCTAGGTAAATTTCATAACATGAATTGATTATACTGTGATCTATTCGGTGATTGGGAGATAACATTTGCTTTAGGCAGATTACTCTTGCTCTGATTCAAACTGGATCAATCATTTCAAGCCAAAAATTAACTGTGATTGCAACACAGCTGCTGTATTTCAGTGGTCTGCTCTTTACTTATTCTAACAATGGGCAATAAACAAAGGAATCAAGTAAGAAACATGTGATTAAGTTCTGATAGCAAGAAAAGTCACACTACTCTTGAATTAAAACTAGATTAAACCAATGCTAGATTTGCTCAGAAATATTTAGGTTTTATACATATATACACACAATTATACATATATATAGTATATGTAACTATACAAATACCTTTGTTATTAAAATTTGTGCAAGAGTTAGAAATAAAGTTTTTATTACTGTGAGTCATGACCTCTATGCCTCTTAAGGCTTATTTTCATGAGAAAAATATAAAATGTGACATCTTAGAAATATGATGATGAGATATATTATTAGATCTGTTACTTGATGACAATATCTAGCATAGAGCTCAGCAAACTGAAGGCTCAATACCTATTTCTTTCCTTCCACATTTCTCTCCAATGTATACAGTATGTTAATAGTAAAAAGAATAAAACTCAGAAAAGAAAATAAGATATAAAATTTTTGAGGAGGCATTTGAATACAAATGGGAAATATGGAACATCGATAGTCTGACTAAATCTCTCTGATTAACTATGAAAGATCAGATTTCTCATATGATGAAATATTTCTGAAGAGGTCTGGTTTATATGGTAATCTATGCCACATAACCAGGAGAATTTTATCTGAACTATATATTATATTTATATCTAGTTAATTATCAAATAAATTGAATGTTTAAGTCCAAAATAGTCTGACTAAAATATAATTGATTCTATATGAGATGACCATAACACATTTTTTCTCAGGAGCTAAAATTGCCTTACAGACATAAATTATCACAGTCATTCTCTCAACATCCTGTCAGGGAAGAAATTAACTTTTTAAAAAAGTGAGTACTGGGACGAGGGTAGGTGAGAGAGGCTACTAGGCCATAAAAGTCAATGAGGCCCTTGTTCTTAGGGTCCTGCAAGTGAAAGTCTCTTTGACTTTTGTGTCTGAAGTGCCTCACCCTAGTCCTGGCCATGAAAGTGAGGTTTGGAGATAAAAGCTTATTCTATATGAGGTGAAGCCAGAAAGTAACCAAAAGAATACAAAATAAAATCATCCACTTTAATTCTGCCTATTTACATTTATATGCTATTAGCCAAATACCTATATGCCCATTCAGATGTAAAGGATGATGGTTTCTAGGAAATATGATTGACTTGAGATTTTGGCCCTAGAAATTTTAAGCTTTCTAGCCTAGTGTCTTAAATAAATTAGCACAAAGTAAGACAAGATATAAATGGAAATGCAAACTTTCAAATTATAGTAAACTAGCTATAAAAAAAAAAAATTGCAAGAACCCTAACAGGAAGCACCTGAACGCTGGCCCTGGGATCATAGATTTTACCTGCTCACATGGTTTCCACCACATAAGACTCTGAAGCTGTCCTTAAGTGTGGATAAAACTTCATTTCTAACAGGCAAGTGCAGGGGCAGAACAGACCAAAGCACTAATGGCGAATCTGTGAATACACTTTGTGTAACCTTTTACAAAATCTCATAAATTATCTGGGCATCAGCTTCTTCATTTTTAGTTAAAGATCTGAACAAATAGTCTCTAAGATTTATTCTGACTTGAAAACTCTTTGATCTCTTGGCTATTCCTGTCGGTTTGTGATTAATAAAACCACTTTTCCTTAGACTCTTAGTTGAGGGAAATATTGTGTTGACCTTACCAAAGATGTACCTGTGGGATTAGCTGAGGACCTCCAGAAGGCATGGCTATGCTAGTATCTTATAGACCCAGCAATTTAGTTCAAATATATGATATTTTTTACAACAGTCTTTAGAATGCCAAACCATGAACATTCTAGTATTTTGTTCTTGCTTTATTCTTTCCTCACGTGATAGAATTACTAGAGCATAGTTTGCATTGATTTTAAAATCATTATATATTGTTTTCCTTCTTGTCATTTATAATATCCAAGTGTCCATTAACTGGAATAAATAGCAAAGATATTGCTAAATGCATAGAGAGAAGTGTTCTTTCAGAACAGCTTTTCCAAACATAGAGCGCTAGTTTTTAAATATTGTAGTTTCAGCACCACTTAACCTCTGCTCTTATAGCTACAGTAAATTCTCCTTAAATTAGGAAGATTTCCTACTACAACTGAAAACCACACATTCAGTTAACCAACTCTGTACGTTAAGCCACCTCACTTTGGTGGTTTTAGTCGAGTCACTGACTCATTAAGAAGCGTTCATTACTGTCAATAAAACAATTTGCCCTCATTTAAAAATATCCTTAACCTTTATGGTCTTTAATAAAGTATTAAATTACAAGCATTTTGTAAGCATTTATAAAAGGGAAAAATAATGGCAAAACAGAGATACCTTGCCTTCATTACAGTAACATTTAAAATTAAATAATGTTGCTGGATATAGAATCATAAGAGATAAGATCAGGTTACTGGCATAACAGCTCTTCCATAGTCATCAGTCATGAAGGTTCATTTATGTCTAGACAATGGCTTGAACATTCAGCTCAATAAATAGCATGAATCCTTTATGGCCCACTATGTGGACAACCTAGTTCAGAGTTTTCAATGAAGCATCCAGAATTATCTAACGCAAGAGCAGACAAACTATGGCCTGTAAGCCAAACCCAGCCCACTGCTTGTTTTTATAAATATAGTTTTATTGGAACACAGCCATGCCCATTTTTTTACTATTGCCTGTGGCTTCCTACTATAGTGGCAAGGTTAAGTCATTGCAATAGAGAGCATATGGCCTGAAAATATGAAAATATTAACTATCTAGCCCTTTACAGAAAGTTTGCCAAAGCTGATATAACACATTAATTCAGGCTACTATAATTGTGGTCTATGTACATTGAAATACTTTTTTGAACTTTTGAACTCAGTTTTGTAAAGGGTCCTTCCTAAGTCAATAGAAATATCCCCTTTATCTTCTCTGTTTCATAAATTAGTTTGCTTTTAAAATTAGGATTTTAATGTATTTTAACTACACATAGCATGATTATGAACTTAATAAAAAGAAAAAGATATGTTTAAATAAAGAGCAGATATAGCATTTATTTGTTCCCAGGTACCTAAGTAAACAGTGAGAGAGATAGCCACCTAAACCTTCACAAACTTTGTCTTACAGTTATAGACCATATTCATGTACATTCATTTTCTCTTCACAATGCCAAGAGATAGACCAATTAAATATCCTCTTTAGAAGACTAAAGATGATGCTTAGATATGTTTAAAAGATTTACAAACATAACCAATTTGTGGCATTAGTTATTACATATTTTGTCTTTGGTCAACTTTATTAATCTAACTTTCTCTATAAGTGACAAGAAAAGATCTGCAGTAAGTTATCTGTACACCATTACAAATATTTCTCTTTATCAAACTTCCTTATTGGAAAAAATCCTGCCTTCTTGAGTGTTTTTAGTAACTTATATAGGAAGTGAACAACAATATTGTCCTTAACTAGACCAGTGTTCATCTGCATTAAGTGGATACTAAGGAAAGCATTGCTTAAATAATAATTTCCAGACCTACCCCACTCAACTAGAAAAATTAAAAATATATTCAGAATCAAGAGGGAAGTGCCAAAAATCTTTTCTGCTGCAGAGCAGGAACTAGGGCAACATAAGTAGGCACGCACCTTGGCTGTAAAATTTAAGGGAATGCCAAAAACTTTGTTAATTAAGATAAATTATATTTTAGGATAATATGTTTAGAAATCAACACTGGTGCAAAAATCCATGGGAAACAAAATACCAAATTTTAAATAAAGATGGATCACTAATAGTGCCCTATAAAGCTGTATTAGACCATGAGCCACAAGAAAAAAAAAATCAGTACTATTTGTCCTGTTTTGAATTAATTTTGATTTTTGGTGTCCGCTTAAATTTTGCATCTAGAGGTAAGTGTGTCTCTCCCCTCATTCTAGACTCACCCCTGTTCTTCATCCAATTATCTAAATGTTTATCAAATGGTAAGTAAGTTGATAGGCTGCTTTGTGAGTAGTTGAGAACTTTTGGCAATTTTGCTAACCAATAGCTCTACAGCTGATATTGATAATCCCAATACAAGAAAACACATTCCCTCCTCCTGTTTTTCCTTTCTCTCCCATTTTCCTCTTCTTTCTTTGTATCCTTTGGCATTACTTTCATCAACACACATATACACAAACTGTGTCTTGACCCTTATATTCAAGGATAAATGAGGGGCTGATCTCAGCCCTTAGACCTGGATGGTGGGCCATATGCTATCAGGCAACCAAAAAAACTAAAAATGAGTAATTGGCCTAAGGACTGGCAAAGCCCAAGGGACGCAAGTAACTTATTATCAAACATAGGCCCCATTCATTTCCCCCTTTAATCAACAAGCAGCAGAAGAACTGGGGAGTATTAATTTAAATGTCACCACTTACTGCATTATGCCTCACTTCACAAGTCTTCTAGGCCATGGCATAGCTAATTTGTAGAGTACTGTGTGGCCAGTTTTACCATTAATGAATGAAAAGACAAAGAGGATTTGTGGCAATTTCTCTTTTGGAGCATGCGTAAAGCAATGCTGACCCACAGATCGACCAAGAAAGTCTTAAAGTTTCCCTCAGCTTAACGTTGGGCAGATTTGTTCCTAACTATAGCCCCTGATTCCCCCAACCTTTATGGGGCAGGGGTATATTTACTTTAGAAAACTTTCTATTGTAAATTATTTTTCTGCTCCTTTGAGATGTACATCTTCTCCCAGTGTCTTAGCACATTTATAACCCAGAAATGTTATTCTTCAGGACCTGGGAGCCTTCCCTTTGACATGTAATCATAAGGAAGATAGTGTCTCCTTCCATAAGCAGTCTATAAGGAAGACATGGACTGAATCATGTCCCACCAAAAATTTATTTATTGAAGCCCTAACTCCTATGTGATTGTATTAGAGGTAACACAGTACACCTTAGGAGGTGATAAAGGCTAAATGAGGTCAGAAGGTTGAAGTCATAATCTAATAGAACTAGTGTCCTTATAAAAAAGGAAGAGAAACCACAGATGCCTGTCTCTGTCTACCATGTGAGGACACAGCAAGAAGGTAGCTATTTGCAATCCAGGAAGAGAGCCCTCACCAGAAACTGATCCTATTGGCACCTTCATCTTGTACTTCCCGGTATCCAAAACTGTGAGAAATAAACTTCTGTTGTTTAAGCCACCCAGCCGTATTTTGTTACGGCAGCCCATGCAGAGTGAAACAGTGCTCTCTCTTAGCGTCTGTGGAAACATAGAAGCCTAACTTTGATAAATGACGATTAGCAGAGATAGCCTAATCATATTGACCAACTTCCATTCTAATCTCCTTCACTACTTTTCCATTAGCTCACCCTTGCACTTAAAAATTCTACTGCCTTTAGTGTGAGCCAAGTTGAACTCAATCTGTCTCTTTCTCATGGCAATATTCTTGAATATGATCTTCCTTGCCAGCTTAACTCAGTCCAGTGCAATTTTTCCTTGACGAGTTTAGTTAATAATAAGTAATCTGTTTATTCTCTGCAATCACTTTGCCATATGCATTTTTAAACAAAAGCATGACTGTGTAAATACATGTGAAATATTGTTAATAAATATTGAGCCAATACAACATATTTTGCCTGTAATTCCTTGCAGTATTTTGTAAAGATATTTTTTTCTTAAGCCCAGCACTGATTTTTGACCATTTTATTGAGTTTCTCTCATGCCTTTTTAATATTCTGCTTGTTTTGTGCTACATGACAATTGTAGATAAGCATAATCACTTAATTCAGTAAAACAGAATGCTTTCTGTTTTCTAGAAAAATATGTGTTAAGTAAGTCATTTTATCCCCAAATAGATTTACACTAGGATAATCAAAGTTTCAGACTGTCCTCAATGAACCTTGTTTTAGAAAGCCCAGTGTCCCAGGAAGCTCTTAGTTTCAACTTTAATAGATTTCTGTTCTTCCTTTGGTTTTCTCTAAGACCTAGCTATCCATCAGGTCATAAGAACACAGCCATCTGCTGATGGTCAATGTGTTCTCTATAGGGCTGATAGAACTGCAAAAGATAAAGATAGTACAGGAGTGAGGGGGAAAAAGAAAAGAAAAAGAAGAATAAAGGAAAATAAAGAAAATCATGTTCCTATGGCTACTACCACATGAAAGAAACTAATTCTTAACATATTTATTTACAATTAAGTACATTTACAAAGCAAGTGTGTCTGTTTTTATGCATGTATAAGCATGCTACATTCAAATATATTTTCAAGTTTATCTATTCCCCATTGAATGCAAAGATGCACCAGTATTATGTGAGTGATACCAATGTATTTTAGAAAAAAGATAAATGCCTCAAAGAAAAAGCGGCTCAGTATATTCATTCTGTACAAAAGAAAAATGAAAGACAAGTTTAATAGCGGAACCAATTGCTGAGAAACTTGCAAATGTGAAAAGTGTTTGAGTTATTGCTTCTGTAAATACCCCTAACATTTTTATTAACTTCCAAATGCGTAATAATGACATTTCAGGAAAATTACCATACTTAGAAACAGATTTTGAGAGAGGAGTTACTCCCTGAGCCCAGCTCTCCAGCTATCATGATAATAAAAATTCCCTGTCCACGGCAGCGTTCAGCTGGCCCGATGTTCTTACACCTTCAACTTGACAGACCCAAGGACACAGACACAGATATAGTGAAATTCAGAATTCCTCAACTGGTGTTGCAGTTAAAGTGTGTTTTCAATGTATGAGTTATTTTCTTCTGTATATAGTATGAAATAACTATAACAGTACATTTTTATTTATAATCATATAGTTTTCTCTTTTATAATGATATTTATTCTGTCTGTTGAGAAAAATATTTTAGATGTATGAGTTAAAAATTGGTTAATACCATTTATTTAGGTGTATATTACTCTTTATGGAAAAGGTATTGCTTATTCATACTATTCGATATGGAGTTTAGTTTTAGAATACATCTATTTTTCTAAATTATGTTTTTTTCAAATTATCAATAACCCACTAAGAATAAATCTCATTTTTATATGCTTTCTTTCATCAGAGAAATTTATAAAAGCAATAAATTTGTCAAGAATTAAGTATACAGAGGTGTTTTCTTTTCTTCATGTCTTAACACACTCAAAGAACCTAGCTTTCATCTATCTTGTCTTTTGATCTAGTTTCCTAGTAATCCTATTCTGTGTATATAAGAAATTCTTAGAAGACTGATGATATGGTTTGGCTGTATCTCCACCCAAATCTCATCTTGAATTGCAGCTTCCACAATTCCCACGTGTTGTGGGAGGGACCCAGTGGAAGATAATTGAATCTGGGGGTGGGTGTTACCTGTGCTGTTAGCATGATCTCACAAGATCTGATGGTTTTATAAGTTGGACTTTCCCTGCACAAGCTCTCTTTTTGCCTGCTGTCATCCACGTAAGCATGACTTGCTCCTCCTTGCCTTCCACCATGATGGTGAGGTCCCCCCAGCCAGGTGGACCTGTGAGTACATTAAACCTTTTTCTTGTATAAATTACCCAGTCTTGGGTACGTCTTTATTAGCAGTGTTTAAATGAACTAATACAACTGCTGAACAGGTAGATGTTCTAACCCAGTTCCTGGAAATTCTAATTCAATGACGCTCAAGTATTCTTGTTGACTTTCAATAAAACTATCTTATTTAATTAAACTGTTCTTGGTAGGTCTGGATGACTTTATAAATAATGTATAATAATACTTTTCTCCTAATTGGGAAAAGTAAAACAAATCCTATGAAGAAAAGGCTCTTAGATATGAAAAGCACAAAGGAAAATATATCACCTGCCCTTTCACTATAGATCTCTGCAAATCATGAGTCTATTTTTTTTTCACTTATAGCCTTTCATGGAGTCTCACAGGCTTCTGACTTTAGAATAAGAAATTAACTCTGAAAGAATGAGGTGGTGGGGGATGACTCAGTCCTCCCTGTGTGGTAACAGCTAGATGGTGCTAAATAGTATATGTAAATTATACCAAGAAAAAAACACTCCTGAATACTAATTAGGAGTCCAGCCTTATGCTGGGCATGGAAGGTCAAAAACAATGAATGTTATCTACATCTACATAGAGCATGAAATCCAATGAAATTCATACTACAAAGTCTGTATTTGTACACACCACTGAGTTCTTACCTCCTTATAAACTTTCTTTCTTTCTAGGCTACCTTTAATATTTTTAGAGACATAATTTTCCTGCCTTTTACTTTATTGGAGGGATATGTGGAAAACTAGTCTAAAGTAGTAAAACATTTTCTACGATCTGGTCCCCACCATCAGTCCAACTATATACCTGCCTTACCAGAGGGAAGACGTTGCCTTCATTGATTGACGAAAATTGATGATACACAGAGTGAAAAGTCTCCTGTTAGCCCAGAAAAGTAACTTGTATTTTTATTTAGTAACAATCCTTTTATTCTCACCACTCTAGAAGCTTCTTTATTTTAGTATGTGAACTAAATCTGCATATGAAAAAAAGATTTAAATACTCGAAAAGTTAAGTAAATAAAATTTATTGAACAACATGTTTGAAATGTATTATATTGAGCATGGACAAGTAATAGTAGATATCATCTTTTACCTTCTTCCCTACCTCCCTTTAATCTTCTATTTCTGTTAAGCTATTTGAATAGATTTGTAATGTTAGTGGAAAATCATCTTGCTGCTTTGCAATGATGATAGCTAAAAAAAACAAGATTGCTATAAAGCTGAAAGTTGCAAAATTACAAAAACAAACAGAAACAAAAATAGATAGGACTTACTCAAATCATATCCCTTAAATCACATCATAGAAGCAAACACTCAGGAATGTCCTATGAATTCTGTGTTAATAATAAGGTGTGAAGCCTGAACACCTTTGGGATCAATTTCAAATTCCAAAATAACAAAAAAATTTAGAATTACTGATATAGTTTGGATATTTGTCCCCATCCAAATCTCATGTCAAATTGTAATCCACTATCGTGGAGGTGGGGCCTGTTAGGAGGTGTTTGGATCATGGGGGCGGCTCTCTTGTGGCTTGATGCTGTCTTCATGATAGTGAGTTCTCATGAAATTTGGTCGTTTAAAAGTGTGTGGCACCTCCCCCCACCCCCACACTTGCTTTCTCTCTCTCTCTTTCTCTCTCCCTCTATCTCTTGCTCCTGCTTTCGCCATGTGAAGTGCCAGGTCCCGCTTTGCCTTCTGCCATGATTGTAAGATTCCCAAGGCCTCATCAGAAGCTCAGCAGAACCATGAGCCAATTAAATCTCTCTTTTTTAAAATAAATTACCCAACCTCAGGTATTTCTTTATAACAATGCAAGAATGGTCTAATGAAGTTAGTCATCTTTTCTTTTTTCCATTTAAATGGGAATTTAAAAAAACCTTTTTTGATGATTTGAGTTGTAAAGTTGGATCCTCAGCTTGTGAACCTAGAAAGAAATAGCAGGAAACTAGAATCCTCATTTTTATCTCTATTGTAGAATTTGAAGTTTTTTCTAACTTTGAAGAGTAAAATGCATCATGAAGAAAACTGATGTCATGATCAAAATGAAAATGTAAAGTATGTAAATTTAAGAATTTTGATGTAAAAATGTAAATGCCTAAGCTTCTTATTCAATGTACAGATTCGAATTAGGCACATTATAGACATTTAATAAATATGAATAGGTTAATTCTGCACATTAATTCCCAATCCAATATTTTTAGGGTCACTCATGATAGAATTTATGAAATTAATTATATGTTAGATATGCAAAAAGATATGCAAAATATGCAAAAAGAAATCTGCCAATTGAACATTACTATCTACAGAGAAGAAAATACTCTTAAAGTATGTCATAAAACACATGTATTTCAATAAAATTGAGTCCCTCTCCCCCCAACCCACTGTATTTTATCATACCATTGGAAATAACATCTTCTTAAAGAAGGTTGCTTTTATCCTCTGAATGAAAGAAGCACTGAAGTGAAGAAATCATGTTATAACAATATAACAATGAAGTTATACTATATTCAATTGGAAAATGATAAAATTCTAATAAAATAAAAATTCTACTGCAATTATAATTGTTGAACAGATATAAAGAAAACAGTATTTAATTGCTTTAGCTAGGACTTTCATTTCCTTTTGCTATCTACCATATAGAGTAAGTGATGATAATGTTTTGTCCTTTTCGTAAGCTTCTTTTAATTACATTTTGATAATATATTTTAACAATATAAACAATATAACAATATAAAGAGTGAGGCCAAGGATTAATGCATCAAATTAGAACTTAATAATGGAAAGGTAAAAGTGCTGCAAGTAGGAGAAAACTATGGGGTTACTTGTGAGAATCTAAGCCTAATTGCCAATTTAAGAGTTGGTTCAAGGTGGATGATGTTGATCTCTACTTAAAGGCAGTATATCAGGTAGTAAACAAAATAAAATGGGACAAAAGCACAGCAATGAAAAGAAAATTACTACAACAACAGTGACAATATCCTGGAGGTGTAATGGTCTGAAACAATGAAGTTCTGGTCGTGGGAGCACCGTTTAATTAAATCTCACTTTGATTTTGGACAATCCATATCATTATATCAGTTTAAGTTTCGTTACCTGTGAAAAGTGATTGGGTCAATGGTCTCTAAGTTATTGTTCAGCTCTAACAAACTTCGTATTCCTCTAACAAATAATAATTTTAATAAGCCCTGAGAGCAGAGCAAAATTTTGTTAATTGAGTCTGATTAAATGCTTTCCAGTATTGCTGGAGAGAACAAATTGTCAGAGCTCAGCCATAACATATATAATAAAATATGGAACCAGAAATAATTTTGATGAAGTGGCAGCATAATATAACCAGTTTATGTAGTTAGGGTGTGATCAATGGAATCTGTACTAAAACACACAAACTAATGGAATTCTATTTATATTAATGAAATATAACATATTTATTCTAGAAATTTCTTTGAGACCATTTATTTAATTTAATGAGAAGTAAACATGTCCAGGGGAGGCAAAGGACTGTCTCAAGATGCACAGAGCTAATGACACAGTCCCACATTATATTATGACCTTTTGATTCCTAAAATCATGCTGCTTTTTCCCCTACTCTCTTGTGAGAAATTTAATTTCTTGTAAATAAGGAATGTGGGAAATTAAATGACCCCGATTCTGTGCTCTCAATGTCTTAACTCAAAAGTATTATGCATAAGGTATACAATAAATTGCTTGTTAAATATACAAAACTAGAACTCTTTAAGTAATTCTATGATTTATAATAAAGTAATTGGAGCATGTATTTTTTCTATGCTCCATCTGAAGTTACAATGAAAATATTAATTTTAAGAAAGAATAAACCAACAAAGACACAAAAGAATAGGAAAGATAATTACAGAAATGAAATTTTAGAATCTAAAGAAAAAATTTGTGAGTATTAGATGACTTAGGTGTAGAAAGTCAAATACTAAATTGCTCATTGAAGAATTCTAGAAGAAAAATAGTACCAAAGAATCGAATAAAAATTAAGAAGTTGGAGGGAGTAGAGCTCTCTGAAGTTGGGATACTGACTCTTTTCCCAATTTTATATAGCCAATAAAACAACTTTTCTCCAATCAGGAGTAAACCAGAATTTTCCGCTCTACAAAGAATGAACTAGATGGATGCAGTATTGAGAAACACATGGCCCCTGCTGAGAATATGGAAACCATTCTCCCCTTTAAAAAGGGGAAATAAAGCAAATTCTTTCTATTAAGCCATAAGATGCAGCATTCTTCTTCCTCTTGGTTTGAGCACATTGCAAGTCACAGTTGGAAGTCTCAGGACTTATCACTATAGTGGATAAATCCTTTCTGGAAGAGGCCCCAGAAAGAAACCAAAAGATGGCCAGGCGCGGTGGCCCACACCTGTAATCCCAGCACTTTGGGAGGCTAAGGCAGGTGGATCATGAGGTCAGGAGTTAGAGACCAGCCTGGCCAACATGGTGAAGCCTGTCTCTACTAAAAATACAAAAATTATCTGGATGCGGTGGTGCACGCCTGTAATCCTAGCTACTCAGGAGGCTGAGGCAGGAGAATTGCTTGAACCCGGGAGGTGGATATTGCAGTAAGCCGAGATCATGCCACTGCACTCCAGCCTGGACAACAGAGCAAGGCTCCATCTCAAAAAAAAAAAAAAAAAAAAAAGAAAGAAAGAAAGAAAAAGAAAAGAAACCAAAAGACACCCAGAGTCAGGGAAGTTAGGAAAGCAAGACTGCATAAGATGTTATAAGTCAAGGCAAGGTGGACCTTAAGCAGAGAGGTGATCTGAGACTGTCAGAAGTTAGGAATGAAGAAAAACATATCTCACATAACTGTAGACAATATTGAAAGACACACTGAGGAAATAAACATTGTGCAAAATATAATTAGAATAGCAGTAAAAATAAAACAGAACTAAATAGTAAAAGCATTACAGAGAATGTTAGAGGAAGGGGGTATAGGAGATCCGGCATATACAAATTTACAGCCCCTTCCTTAAAAGAAAATCAAAACAATGTCTTGTCTAGCTATATACCTTTCTAGGAAAAAGTAACTTTCAAGAAATAAAAAAGATAAAAAAAAGAAGACTTAATCATATATATGAAAGGTATACTATGTGTGAGATAAAATTGATTCAGAATGTTTCACACCAAACCTATTCTTTTAAAAAGTTATGAAATCTAGCAATAAAGAAGTTTTTGGGTAACCTGGCAAAAACTCGATTGTCTTAAAAGTGGAAACAGTAGGCCGGGTGCAGTAGCTCACGCCTGTAATCCCATCACTTTGGGAGGCTGAGGTGGGTGGATCACCTGAGGTCAGGAGTTCGAGACCAGCCCAGCCAAAATGGTGAAACCCCATCACTACTAAAAATATAAAAATTAGTCGGGTGTGGTGGCAGGCGCCTGTAATCCCAGCTCCTTGGGAGGCTGAGGCAGGAGAATCACTTGAACCCAGGAGGCAGAGGTTGCAGTGAGCCTAGATCACACCATTGCACTCCAGCCTGGGGAAAAAGCAAGACTTCGTCTCAAAAAAAAAAAAAAAATGTGGAAACAGTATACTGCCTCAGATTTCTGTACAGTAACATTCAAAACCAACAAAATACTCAAGGAAAAAAAGTCAAATAGTTTATTTTCAGCTGTCTGTCCTTCAATTAGAAAGAGTTTTGATTAAAGCAATCATTTTCATGGGTCCTTATCACAAAAGCTAGTAAAGAATAAGCCTCTGTCAATCAAGAGTTGCCTGGAAAACCACTGCAAAAATATTGGCTAAAGTTTATTTACAAATAGAACTAAGTCTAAAACAAATGCAGACACTAGAATTACAGAGCGGAATACAAATACTATGTGCATCAACAACATACATGGTTAGAAGTAACTATTTTAGAAGAAAATAATAAAAAATTATTTGATTTGAAGTGTTTGTTGGCTAGGCCCAGTGGCTCACACCTACAATTTCAGCACTCTGGGAGGCCGAGGCAGGAAGATCACTTCAGACCAGGAGTTCAAGACTAGCTTGGGCAAACATAGTAAGACCTATCTCTACAAAAAATTTAAAAAGTTAGCTTGGTGTGCTGGCCCATGTCTGTAGTCCCACCTACTTAAGAGGCTGAGGTGGGAGGATCACTTGAGCCCAGGAGGTCGAGGCTGCTGTGAACCATGATTGTGCTACTGCACTCCAACCTGGGTGATAGAGAGAGACCCTGTCAAAAAAAAAAAAAAAAGGTAAGTTTGTTGATTAACTCTTGTTAATGTAAGATAAGCAACTATAGTATTCAAGAGTCAAAGTACATCATTTATTACCAAAAATAAAATAAAGATGTATTAACATACTGAACGATACCAAGGAAAATATTATGAAATATATTACTATGTAGATTAGAAGGTAAAGAACAGGCGAGCAGAAGAGTGGAAGAAGATACTTGCTTATTTTAACATTTCTCATTGTAGAGAAATAATAGATCCTGTTAAATCTGGTTTAAAGAAACAACATTTCCATTGAAAGTGAAAATGAAATATTTAAGACAGCTACCCAAACATAAATCATCCAGGATCATAAACTGAATGAGTAAAAAATGGCAATACTGGTTAATTAGCAAGTCTGAAGGAACAAATAGAGCACAGTCTCACACCCAATGTGTCAGAGCACACTACTACTGCGCTAATATGCTAAGATATCAATTCTACCTGGCCTGTGTATTCAGGGAGGCTTGCAGCAGCCAGACCCCTAAGAGGGTTGTATTCAACCAACAGTGATTGGCCTCTTCTGTCTACCACAGTGTTTTTCAAAATGTAATCATTCTCCATATATCGTAATGGAAAAAGTGCACTTTCCAACATAGCTCTACATGTACACATAAAAGAATTATTACACCATTCTTTGGTCACTCTCTCATATATAATTTTGTAATGATGACAAAGTTAAAAACAGTAGGTAGGCAAATAAATGCAGTTTCTGAGATTCACTCAACGGGATACAAAATAATATTCAAACTTTTAGTTTAAATGTTGCCTTCATTTTCTCCCTTGTGAAAGCTGCTATACAATTGAACCATTTTAAAACAAAACAAAACAAAACAAAATAATGACACCTGATATTCAAAAACCAAATTCAGAATGTTTTCTTTTCAAGGATAGTATATTGAGCATTCTACCTGAGACATTTTACTTTCTGGTCAATTTGACTTTATAGCCTTCAAACTGTTTTTCAAGTGGACCAAATGATGTCATTACTGTGGCCATATGTACTTTAACCCAGAGTAACCCTTTAACACCAGCAGGCTGCAGCTTAATAGTCTCAGACTGTGGTAGGGAAGACTGTCCCCCAAAAACCAAGGGAGTCTTTTGTCAAATCCAAGAGCCACAAAGGAGTGGGCTGGATGATATCAACTATATTTATGGGAATTTCTGTAAAACCGAGTTTGACATTTCTTATTTTCCAGAAAATAGTTAAATTTTCAGAATATTTATTATAATTGTATTCATTTTTAATGAATAAAAAATTATGCATTTGTATTATCTTTTTAAAAATATATAATCAAACTTTTAAATATATTCATGAATTCAGTGTGAGAGATAAAGAAAGAGATCCTATTATATTTTTCATTATGGGGACATTACATTAAAGAAAAAATACTGTCTAAGAAGAGGGCTTATTATTTTTATATCTAGTAGATTTCAACTAACTGCTAAATCCATTTTCTTCCCTAAAATGTATGCATTTTTAAAAACTCTACATTTATTTCATAGTCATAAAATTTTAGAATTTATCTCTCCTTAATGTGTTAGAAACTATAAAAACAATATTAACTACCAATCTATTTTTGTTTAAAGGCTCGTATAGGGATATTATAGGTCACATGATAGAACCACATTACCTGTAGTGAAGCATCTGTATGCTTAATAAATACAAATTAAGCGGGGAGTAAAAAACTTATAATTTTAATTTGTTTCATGAAGTATAATTTCTATTTTAATTAACAGAAAAAGGGGTGTAATTAAACCATGTAATGCAGAAAGGCATGATTAAAAGTAGAGTTTACAACTAGTGGTGCAAAACCATTAGGATTCTACTCCATGATCCTTCTTCTCTAACAAAACATGGAATGAGACTGCTGTTGTGTGGAACTTTAATGAAAGGCCCGAAGCAAAGACCAGTGGGCACAGTTTATAGCAAGATCTTAGATACGGCCCTTCAGGCTAACAAAGAAGATGGTGAAACAGTTCTTATGGGTCTCAGCTGGATTATAAACAAGGCTAGAGTTTTGTACAAGATTGCCTGATTGACCTAGCTTTGGCCATGTTTCACAATGGCACGCAAGTGTATTGTTAGGAGGTAGGTGGAAAGTTTGTTAACAAAAGAAACTGGGAAGGGTGCTTGGCAGAAAGACAAACTAGCAACTTTAATGGAAACTTGTATAAAGTCAAAATAGTGCCCAACTGCCTTAGGAGAAGACAGTTACCCACAATTCTTTCCACTCCTCTGACTATGAAGAGGGTTGATACAAGTGTGCAGGGTGAGGCCAGATCTATATAGAGGGACCAATACCTTCGTCTAGGAAAATCGGAGTGATATAAGATAATATTTAAAGCAGTCATTACGTTCATTTATTTAAAGACATGTAACAACCAATTTTTACCTTCCATCTTGGCTGAATTGCATTGAAGTTCTCAATGAAAAAGCACTTCTTTGAACAAAAGTAAAAGTTTTCTTGAAACCAAAATGTGTAATATACATGAAAAAGTCTTGGGTACATTAAATGGCTTATTAAGAAATTAACTAAAAACAATTGTCAATGCAACATGTGATACTCTCTGAGTGTGTTTAACCTCATTAGCCTTCGTTTTTTGGGAGAAATATTAATATCGTTGGCAATTTAATTTTAGCTTCGCAAGCAAAATTTTGCTTCAGAAACATACTTTGCCTTGTAAAACCTAATAATAAATGGTAATATATGAAAATTATCATATTCTTATTTCAAATTACCACAAATCAGACACAAAGACATGGTCTTGGGCACAAGTAATTTATTTGAGAGGTGGTAAGAAAGCAGCACAGATAAGGAAGTGGAGAAAGATAGGGAAGCCTGGAAAGTCAGGAAGTTTGATTAATAGTAGGTTACTATTGAGAACAACTAGACACAGAATTGCCTCAGAATTGACCATGGAGGGACAAAGAATGGTGATCTTGATTGGCTGAGGTTGTTAAGGATTTCCTTAGTCTAAATCTCAGGTACTTCTGGGCTGCTGTTGTCACAGGCTAAGCAGGCTCCTGCAACAGTGGCAAAAGCAGATTAGGTACAGACACTTGCTGCTTGATGTGAAATCAGCATGTAGAGTAATTGTCAACTGTAGTTTCAAAGGAATTCAGAAGTAAACTGAATAGATATAAAATGAGAAATCATTAGTGTTTGCCACAGTTCACACCTCAAATTACCCAAATATTTTCATGTCCCACATTGGGTATACTTGGCTATTAGTATTTCAAGCTACTGTTCAGCCTAAAGTCAAAAAAAAAAAAAAAAAAAAAACTAGAGAGTTAATGAAACAAGCTAAAATCTTACTGCCCCAAGATGTTCCAAGGCATTAATTGATATTGATTGAATATCTTCTATCACTTATACTGATTTTTAAAAACTTTTTATGCATACTTCTACTGATCTAAGTTGTTTATCCAGGGGAATGACCCAGATTTAATCTCTGAGAAATATAAGCCCCTAGTTATGTTGGATTGCTGCAGTTGCATATTTACTGTTTTCACTGATTATGGAAATACCAAGATGACCCACAGTGCTTTCCAGCTTCCAGACATATTCTGCCCTTTCTATAACACCTATTAACAACCCTGGATCCTCAAGTCTTCATGATTATCAGTATTGATAAAATCCAACAATGCAATAACTTTTTTCTTTCTGTGCTACTCTACTAAAATAAGCAGACATATATTTTTGTGCTATTGAGTGCACAGCACTATTTGATGGCCATTGATTCAACACACTGTATCTCATATCAAAAATACATTTGGGCATCTGCCCACAACTATAATCCATATGTTAGTTTATTGGCTAAGTTTTAAGAGACAATCCCAATGTTCAATCAGACAGCAGCTTCCAGATGATATAGTAGGACCAGAGGATTGTTTGTACACATACCAATTGTCACATATGTACACCTCTTTTCTTATAAAATTGATCTTTGGGTCCAAGTAATGTTATAGTGGATCACATTTGTGGTAGAATGCCACTTCCACCCCCTGTATTTTTCCTGTTAGGAACAAAGTATAGTATTAAAGTATTTTCTACTGTGTACATAGTGAATCCTGGAAAATGACTCCCCAAACTTATATTGCCAGTAACTTGACATTTTATCTGTATCTTTGATAGGTTATTTCAACACTCTAGTAGCTAGGAAACTCTAGTAGAGGTTATTTCAACACTCTAGTAGCTTGAAATAGCCTATCAAAGATACATTTTATCTACTAGAGTGTTGAAACACCTTTCAAAGATATGTTTTTTCTGTATCTTTGATTAGTTATTTCAACACTCTTGTAGCTGAATGGTTCAGTATGTGATAGGAAAAATGTATGACACAATCATGAGTGCCCTGTTACACTTCCTTTGAGGGACTTTGGGTCTTCTGGGCTGTTGTGATATATAATTGTCCATGCTGGTGGACCAAACATAGTGTTCTGATAATAATGCTGGCTAAAGACCTGTGAGGTAGAAAAGCAAACCCAGGCCCATAATGTGTATTTGCCTATTGAACAGATCTATGAACTTTCCAGAATGGAAGGGTCCCAGTGGGTCAGCTTGTCATCAAGTAGACAACTGGAATTCCTGAGGAATACAGCCATGTATGGATCTCAGTATTGTTGTCTATTGCTAATAGGTTGAACATATGTTGACAGCAGTAACTAAATGAGCCTGGGTAAACGGAAACTTCTAATGTTGGGCCTATGCATAAGTGCTGCCATGGCTACATCAGTGAGCTCTAGCTCAGAAAACTGGCTCAGGGATTGTGACATTTTGGTGGAAAGCTAGCCCTCAGCCTCCAGGATGTCCACACTTCTGTCAGTGGTACATACTGAACATGTAAATGAGTGGCCTTTGTTGGTTGCTCATTTATTTTTGCCTCTAGGGATGACATATTCTATTAACCATCTCCTTATTGCTCTGCGACCAAATTCCTCTAGCTACCACTTCTACTCGACTACTCTGACATCTGGAGGTCAAGCCCTGTCACCTGGCTTCTGTTATTTCAGGGTTAGGTCAGCCCTATTAGTGTTAGTGAGTCCATTGTCTATTCTCCTGGCCTTTCCATAAATACCTTCATCAGTTTTTCAGGCTTGAATAGTATATTTATACCAGCTTGCTTATTTCTCTGAGCCATTTAGTTATTTCCCCCACCAATAACCAGCCACCAGTATTCTGCCATTTATGTACTACTTAGTATGAGCTGTCAGATTTTCCATATTCCTAGAAGCCATTGTAGTTCTCACCATCTCCTAAGGCTCATGACAAAGTACTTATTCCTATGCCTCAGGAGAATTATCCTAAATAAACTCAGAAGGCAATCTTACTTACACTGTCATACATCTTGACACTTCGTGATGGTTATATTTTGCAGTTTCTATTAGTATAGTTACTTTTCTCCCTTATCAGAGCCAGCACATTTCTTGGTGGGTTAGGCTACAATTTAACCATAGTTTATGGATTAGTGGCAAGAAAATAAGGTGGAGACCATCCTGAAATTAAAACATGACTTGCAGGAGAGAAGCATCTGCACCACCTTAAGGCAGTGGGAGAATGGTAGCTCTTAATGGAAAAAGGTGTACCATTTCTGCAGGCTCAGAGAGCTCAGAGGTATCTGAGAATGCAGGTTTTGAGGTGATATTTACCAAGTGTTACCATTCTATGTGCCTGGGTCCCATTCCTTTCTGAACAGCCTCATGACATTAGAAAGCATACTCTTCTTCTATTGAGAGTTTATGCTTCTTTGGAGATTGACTATTCTGAGAGTTAAGATGTGGATTTGATACTCAGCTTGCTCAGCTGTCTTGCTGCAGTGGATATTAGCACCCTTGAATGCTATCAAAAAGGTCTTCTGGCTTTCACACTTTACTTGTAATGGACAATTACTTTCATTTTTTTCTAGGGAAATAAAATAACTTTCCAGAGCATCAATTAGGTGGATATGAGTATTTCCACAGGCGGTTTCTGCTACTCTAGAAAGTTTATTTATATTAAATGTCTCTTTTCTGAACAATTGTTTCCCTGTTAGCATCCACACTTTATCACAGCAGGCATTTGATGTTGTGAACTCCATCTTCCTTGTTGTTCCACCATCTTTATAATAAAATGTTGAACCTGATTTTTAACATGATCTTTTGTCCTGCTTCAGAAAATAGGAAATTACTTAACTGCTATGACGGATGTCTTCTGGCTTTCATAGCAAACCCTGAGTAGAGATTTGGCTTTGCTGAGGCTATTATTATCTCTTTGTCAAAGTTGTAGGGCAGTTGGCAATAGCCAACCAAAAGCATAGTCTTTGTAATCCCCATTACCCCTACATTTGATAGAGCTATTGCAAAATGCTATGGTCTGAATAGTTGTGTCCCCATCATGCCGCCAAACTAATGTTAACATCCTAAGCCCAAGGTGATGGTATTAGGGGGTAGAGCCCTGGGAAGTAATTAGGTTATGAAGACAGAGCCCTTGTGAATGGGATTAGTGGCCTTATAAAAGAAGCCTCAGAGAACTTGTTTGTCCCTTCCAACTTGTGAAGACACAGCAAGAAAGTGCTATGTATGAATCACAAAATAGGTCCTCACCAGAATCTGATGGTGTCTTGATCTTTAACTTCCCAGTCTCCAGAACTGTGAGGGGAAAAAAATCTACTGTTTATTAAAAAATTAAAAAAAAAAAAAACAGCTTGTGTTATTTTGTTATAGCAGCCCAAACAGACTAAGACCTATAGTTGCTTCCTCTTCCACCCAAATCACATCCCAATCTATCATATGTGAGTCTCTTGGCAAGAAAGATTCTATCATACTGCAGTGGGTTATTGTCATTCACCCTACTTACTATCAACCAGGGAATCTTTTGTTGCCATCTGATATGGTTTGGATCTGTTTCCCCACCCAAATCTGGTGTTGAATTGTAGTCCCCAAATATTGGAGGTGGCAACTGGTGGGAGGTGATTGGATCATGGGGGTTGTTTCTCATGGTTTAGCACCATGCCCCTGGGTGCTATCATTGCGATAGAGTTCTCCTGAGTTCTGGTTGTTTAAAAATGTGTGGCACCTCCCTGCTCTCTTTCTCCTGCTCTGGCCATGTGAGAATGGACTAATACACCATCTGAATGATGAGTCATTCAATTCCAGAATCTTGTTCCAAGGTTCTTTCTAGGCACATTTTCATTACTAACCTTCATAGTATGGCAAAAAGCTCTGAGGCTCAGAAGCAGAAAGATTCCTGAGCTTGATGGGACAAGCTGTCATCATGTACATTAACTGTCCACAGTGGTTATTCAGAGGCGAGCCCAGGTTATATATGGTGGACATCAAAAGTGTCTGCTATAATCATTTAACCATTCCTCTTAAAAGAATAGTTCCAAAGAATTGCTCAAAAATGTTTGCCTTCTGCCTACTTAGTAATTTTCTAAAGAGTATATCTAAAAATAAAATATCAGTTTGAATATATAGTTAATTCATTATTTATACATGTCCACATTATCAATCCAATAGCACCAAGGCAAGTCAGCTGTATTATTTGAGCCAGACCAGAAACACCCAAAGCTCTATAAAATCATATTTGTTGCAACTTTTAATCTGATTTAATCTAATGCAGTCTTTAGATATGCTTTATCCTAAGATGAGTTTTGAAAGAAGTCTTCTACACTAAAATCCAATTTACATATTTCAAACTATAGTATCAAAGATGACATGCAACGATACCAACCTGATTGATTTTTGACATTTCTACTGGAAAGTTGATAAAATTAAATATAGGTGTAAAGTCTGAATGATGATATACAGGTGAGAGAGAGTCTCAGTGGAGAGTTGAAGAAGAGAAAAAGTAAGCTGGTCCCTCTATTCTCAGCCATTAAGATACAATCCATTCTTTTTTCAAAAACTTCACTTCCTTTTTCAATATTATAGAAAAAGTGAATAAAAGAATTCCAAGACTAGTGAGTAACTTTGGTAGGAGGTTAATCCTATCAGTGAGATACAAATATTATCTTCTCAAAAGCATCTAATGTTAAATATTTATGTAAATTATGATAACTTCTATAATGATTTCATCAGGAACAGGCATTTAAAAGTATGTATCAATATTACACCATCAGATAATATTCTAGTAATGACAAATATCAAAAATAATAATCAATATTCTCTATTACTGCCCTTTTAGCAGTATATTCTTTTCTCTTATGATAAAAATGACATATCTATACTTCCCCAACTGATATTTTATTTTAAAGGAAACTTCTTTATTATCAGTAATAAAATGTACATGCTTATATAGGCAATTTTTAATAAAATAAGATGAATAAATTTAGAATTCAGATCTTTTCCACTATTTTTTTCATTAAAGAGCTTAAGAATACAAATGAAAGGGAATGACACATAGTTAAAATCTAAACCTAAAAAGAAATTCACAAGAGCTCAACAAAAATAAAAACTCTGCTTCCTAAAAATATTACTTTCTGTTGACATTAGCATCACAAACGTATTCCATCTTTCTCTCCATGTCTTTGCATATTGTGTTTTTCTGATTTCCACAGAAACAGTACAAATTATCTTATACTAAATTAATTGCCGACTCACATTTGCTTTGCTTGTTTGTTTATTTTCCCATCGATTTTCCATCTGGCTAAAACAGTGTTTTTATAAAACTTTAAAGAAAAGATAAAGGGAAACTTTTTGCATTTCTCAATAATTCCTCATTTCCTATGATTCGATGAGATTCCACTCAAAGGAAATGTAAAAAAGGACATTTGGATTCAAAGGAAAAGAAGCAATGAGTTAAAGTTGACTCATGAATATCTGTGAAAAAATATTTAAATTTAATGACAATTTATGAAAAACTGTGAAATATCCAGAAATGTACATATATAAATATTTACAACACAAATACTACAAATGTTCTATCCTTCAGTTGTTCCTATCTATAAGTAGTAAATGATTTTGGACCACTCTTTTCAGTTGTGCCCTCTATAAACCCAATAATAAAGTAATAGAGATCATATGAATAATTATTATTCATAACTATTATCACGTAATCATACAGATCGTTTATATATTTACATATATGACTTTATGAAGTCATCATAACAAATCTATTATTTATGGAAGAAACAACTGAAACTCAGAAACAGGTATTAAATAACTTTCCCAAAATCTGGGGTCTGTAACTCTAAGTCTTTATAATACTGTGTTCAGTCTCATAATATTTCTTTCTACATCTCACTGATTTAACAGTTTCAACTCTTATGAATCTCATGAATCCATATGCCTTTACTCTTTTTCTTTTCTTCATTTGAGATCAACTCATACACCCACAGTTATCTTTACAGGTGCTACCACCATCATAAAGTACAGATTTGTGGTACAGATTTGTACTTTGTAGTGCAGATTTCCCTTTGCCCTAAGGGCAAAGTGTACAACACTCTGCTTGATATACTAGCATAAATCATTTCTCTTATTGCATTGCTTTTTCCATTTATAAAGATTAAATAAATTCACCTTTAGGATTTAGTCCTAATACCATGATAAATTGTTAAATTTATAGCAAAGCCAGAAGATTATAAAATTTTCCTTTCCGAACCATTTGATATATTAGCGAACTCTACCCCAAGCTTCCTTGCCACTAAAGACAGTATCTGTGCCATAATCTTTGGATTCAAAATTACACATAGTGTTGGCCCCCAGAGGTTGCTAAATCTTATCTTTAAAAAAAATGCCTTATTTATTTGCTACTAACCAAATGCCTGAAAAGCCTATCAAAATTAAATTTAAAAAAGAAATCCTTTTAAAAATTGCCTTAATATTTGACTAGAAAATATAAGAATTCAACAAAAATATATGAAAACAAGTAAAGATATTAGTGTCCCTGAATAATTAGTTTTCTAGTTTTAAGCTTACACATGTAAATAACATAAAAATTATTTGTAAACTGCTTTCTGAAACCACTGCAAATAAAATCCTAAGTAATAATTATCATTTTATTTTCCTTGCGTTTATCAGTGTGATAAACATCACATTACATTTATGCAAATTATACTGTGTTATAGGTTTGGTGATGGCCCTATCAAAAAGATTTTAGAATCAGAAAGTATGATTTTTATTTAAATAGATTAGTTCAACTTCAATAGTGTCATGTTTTTTTCTTCTGAAATTTCTTGAAAATTACCAGCTTTTCTGAGATGTGAGATTTTCAGAGTTCACTTCCTGAAGATAGTAGTTGGATGGTGATGATGATAAACTGATATAACAGTCATAGAAATTTCAGATAAATTCAGAGAAATGAACAGCAAATGCAGAAGTTTCAGAAATTAATTTCAATAGTTCTTAGTGTGTTATGTTTCTAACTATTAATGTCTTGGTTTTCCATAAAACATTACCAAAGCATAAATATCCAACATTAACCTCTCTAGACTGATCGATTTTCTGTAAATCCAAAACTACTCTAAAATATAAACTCTGTTAATTTTTAAAGTCATGTATAGAGTGTTATCAGAAAGCAGGAGACAGTTTTATGCTTTTGAGCCTCAATAGGACTTGTGATGTTCAGGTGGTATAAAATCTTGTGCCTCAAAGAACAAAATTTAAGAATCTAACCAAAATGTGTTTTCAGAAGGAATTGTGCTGGATAGATTGGAAATGCTCTGAATGATATAATTGCCTATACCTAAGACTTAACGCCAGCAAGTCAAAGGAGAAAAAGCAATTTTGTGTCAAGAAATAATCTAAGTCACTTTTGTTGGTGAGCACTTGCTACTGTTGGCACAACTGGCTTCCAAAATTGGGTAAACTATGATAGCCAAAGAGACAAGAATATTAGAGTATTTCAGAAATGCTGCTTTATTTTATCATCAATAATATCAGTAACTGGCTCTGGAATATATTATCAGAATAATTTAACATAGGTTTTTTTAAAATTTAATTTTAATTTTTGACTGTATGTGTAAGTAAAAAATATCATATAAATCATTCAAGAATTTATAATATGATCTTATATTTATAGGTAACTTACCAAAATATTATAATATAATTTTTAAAACCATATAATATAAAATTAACCATTAGTATGACCGTTAAACATCCTCAAAGAGAAATATATTTTTCATTAAGGAATTTTGTATTTTTATTAGTGCTTTTGTTTTTTCTTTAACAGTGATGCTAGAGAGAATGTTTGTTCATTGGTTTTTATATAAAATGTTAAACCTCATAGAATAATGTTCTATTATCTGCGTAAGTTATTTGGAGAGGATTTTATGAGTAACTGTAAAACTTCTCAAATGAGGTTACATTTAAGAAGTACATGCCAAGTGTATGTGAATAAGCTGTTATAGAACAAAATACATTCAATTGGAACACCAATTTTATTCAAAGATTTACAGAGGAAAAGTTGGTTAATGTTTGTTTTAAACAGCTCTTGAGAGATTTTTTAAGGTAAATAAAAATCTATTGCTCTTTGGAAAAAAATATAAAAATTAATGTAAATTTTTAAGTAGAAATACAAAAGCTCAAAGAAACTTTATTTCTGAAGCAGAGTACATAAAGGACATGAACCCACAAAGATGGCTATCTTTTTATTTAATATCAGAACTTTGTATTCAAGATCCATTTCTGCTTGGAAACATGGAATGCACAAACTAACTTAGCTACCACTAGAGCCTGAACATGTCTGAATAAAGCAACCAGTAGATTATAAACTCAAACCCACTAGCTACTGGGTCTAGGTTTTTCTTGCTGCTATTCCTCATCCCATAGTTTATAAGCAGTGATATATGGGAAAATGGCTAACAATGAGCCCTCTGTAGTTATATAAATCTACTGAAATGGATACATACTCAGGTACAAGTTTATCATAAATTTTGCTGATTTAAAGAATACATGGCACACAATTTACCAATAATAATAAAATATACAATACTCATTATCGTCAATTTCATATAGCTAATTGATTCTCACATAAAGTTTTAGTTAACTTTCACCAACCTCTTGTATTTATTGCCAATATATAGTTGAAATTGATGACAGTGTAGTTGCAACATCAATGTTAGTTATATTTTTGTTTGCTTTAATGAGTAGGAGAAAGTGAAACAATAAAATTAAGACATTTGGAGCTATACTCATTTGTCAATGGTGTGAATTAATATTTTAATGAGAAGAATAATGACTTTCAAATATTAAAGAATATTTTCTCTTTTTTTGTACTATTCACACTGTAACAGCTAGAGACACCATACATTTTGAAGCTCAGTCTGCATTATTAACATTTTCCCCTATCAACTTCTAGAGAAACACGAAAACACCTCCCTATTTCAAGCTAAAAGCATGATGTCGCTAAATGCAGAGTTGAAAAGAAATGTGAAGTAGCTCACCATTATGTGGTCTTCCCACCCTACAGATTGTTACAATAAGTATAAGTAAGCTCAAGATCATAGACAAGAGAAGAAAAAAGCCTAAAATTAATAGGCAGTGAGTTTTGAATATTTATAAGTATTTTAACATAATTTATTTAATTATACACTTAAATAATTTAAAATTTAATAATTGCTTCACAATGGCTTGCCAAATTTCTGAAAATTTAACAAACAGCTCTCATGAGTATGCATGAATGAGCTTCAGCACAGCACTGCTTATGACCTCTGGTAAGCCCCAACCACCTTAATACACTCCTCCTGGGTTTCCAGGGACATTGCTGGTGTTAGCACTGAGTTTTATGTTCCAGGAAATTCTTCAGTCTTAGGCAAGCCAGGATATTTAGTTACACTAATTCGTAGACTCTCCAAAATATCTATGTAACTGCTTACTTAATGATAGATTAGGAATGTTTCTCTGAACATACAGCCCTTGACAATTCCTTTCCCCACAGGATCTTTGTCCCTCTGCCTTCAGCTATTGTCTAGGATGCTAGAGTCTGTAAGATATCCTATTGCTATGGCTTCTGTCACTACCAGATATTGCATAGCAACCATGTGCTATTTTCCATTTTGAAGTTGTAATTCAGGTTGAACCTAAATTCATCATTCTTTTGGCTCACTGGGACAAAGCCACTGACTTCATTAGGACTTTTTTTCTCCTCCACTTAATGAAGGCTCCCGATAATTACTTTAAAGAGTTACTCTGAAAATTAAATGAGATTATGTTCCTACAAAACCTAGTATAGATGTTCAATAAATAGTAACTATTACAATAGTTTATTATTAGTCCTACTTCCTTCTAAAGCTGCTATTTCCTTCCCATGGTGACCCTTGCTAAGAGGCAGACAACCTTTCAGCTAAGTATATGCAAGTTATTACATAGCCTATCACCATCAAATATAACTTAATAAAGGAGTCATATGGCTAGCACTTCATACTGGACCAATGAGTGTCAGCTAGGATCTTGTACCAACAATTCAACTGGTTCTGTATCTATTTTCCAGTCTGCCCTAAACATGGCTGATTCTTACAATACATCTCTTTAGGTACATTTTACTTAAAGTCCTTTATTTTTCAGATGTTATTCAAACATAACTCATGTTTATATCCAGGAGGAGAAAGAGATTACTTCTTGCCAGAGTGACAAATACTTCTCACTTTGGTATTATTATGTTGATTAGAAATAAAATCTAGAAAAAGGAGTGAAAATGTGTGTAGTGGGTTTTTTTTCAGTTTCCTTAGCAAGTTTTTTATGGAACTAACAAGATATAAACTGAAAAAGAGACTAATGCTCTACAGGAAAGGTCAGCAAACTATGGCCAGCCCACATTCTACTTTTGTCAATAAAGTTTTATTGGAACACAGCCATGCCTATTCATTTACATATTGCCAATAGTTTCTTTTGAACTACAAGGTCAGAGTTGGGTAGTTGTGAGAGAGACCAAGTGGCCTGCAAAGACTGAAATATTTATTATCTAGCTCTTCAGATAAAAAGTTTGACAATTCCCACTCTAGTGTCTAAATGAAGAAATACTTCTATAGTCTCACCTGGTCATGGGCAGATGACTTTGTAAAAGGGGAAAAATAGTCTCCAGCTGTTCCTAGAATTTCAAATAAGAAAGAGAACATGTTCTTGCTTTTTTCCTCAAATAAAGCTACACAATCTCTCTCTGAGAACGCACTTACCTAAAGTGATTGAAGACCAGGACTATGCCTATTTTTTGCTTTGACAAGATCTCCTAAAATAAAAGTTAGAGTTCAAAGAGCCTGCATTGTCAGGTATTGAACTGTTTATTATAACAAAGGCAGGAATTGTTTCTTTTTGCCATGTAGCTTTCATAATATTATCATCATTTCCTGAAATTTTATCTAAGTTACCTAACAGTGAGGGATTAGCAAGCCCTACTGCCCCAGGCTGAAATTAAATTAGCCTTTTCATGAGAAATAATTTTTTCTTTTGTATACAGGAGTAATCATGAGTATATCTTAAGAAATTCTTAGTACACGCTGCAATTTATATAACAAAGTATAATAATTTGTCAGTCAAAGAATGGTATAAATTATACTTACGTTTTATTGTGTTTCATTGCAAAGTTATTTAAAATAAAACCGTTTCCTTTTCAGTTCTTACATTGCATTTCTTTACAGGTTTTCATAAAATAAAGCCAAATCACTATGAATATTGAGTTTTGTGACATCTGCTCCAATTGATACAGTAGAAAAATAGGTTAGACTGTCTGGATCCTTATTCTTCAATAGTCTTTTTAATCTCTTTAAACAAGATGCCACATTCTTGCCTGAAGCATTAGCAATAAAAAGTCCTACGTAGAATTGGAAAA
This sequence comes from Homo sapiens, assembly GCF_000001405.40. NCBI lineage: Eukaryota > Metazoa > Chordata > Mammalia > Primates > Hominidae > Homo > Homo sapiens. Next base: position 120,998,779 of record NC_000005.10, on the reverse strand, counting down.
TTCATTCAATATTAGCATATGATGATTAATACTTTTAAAAGAATGTTATAAGTCTCCCTAGTTGACTAGCTGTTTTTTTAAGGACTTTCTGGTAGAAATGATGGAACTATTGAGTCAGGTCCTAGAATGTGGCTTATTTCTACATGTCAAGAGAAAGAAAGCTTAAAATAGGACAATTTACCTTGTAAGCAGACTTCTTTCTCCGCTGCATTGAACAATATGGAGATAAGTAAGAGGACAGCAAGTTGTTTGTGGTGTAGGGCCAGGCCTGAACAATTCTGCAAAAATAATCACCACTGACCCCTTTCCCAAGGCTCTACCACTCATGGTTGTGTCTACCCAAATATACACACATATGCACCCATAAGGAGTCATTCAAAGTTTTAGAAAAATAAGAAGTCAGATAGAAGTAGTCACCCTACAAGCCAATTTGAGCTCGTTGCAGTAAGCATTGGTACCTCATGATTTTTATTCCTTGTTGCCTACATGATCAGAGTGAAGCAGACATCACTTTCATATTGTCATTCTTTTATTCCTTGTTGCCCAACACATGATCAGAGTGAAGCAGACATCGCTTTCATATTGTCATTCTTGACTGAGCTTTAGCAAAATTAATTTTAATGTGTAGCAGAGTATTGGGCTTGTTGATGATCATGAAGAAAATGGATCATCTGTTCTCCTGTTCTGCTTCAATAATCTAATAACCCTTTTCCTGTTTGATGGCAATGAGGTGAAGAGAAAGGCATGCTCTCTGTTCCTACTATGTTAACATCATACCTATTATTTAGGGCAAATAAAGCTCTGTTTTCTCCTAAAGATCAAGAAAAAGAATGTCTTGATTTGTAGGGGCAAAATTAAACTCTCTTTACTAGAATTCTCTAAAATTTGGGTTACAGCTTCACTTTAGCATTATTTTCCAGCGTGACTGATGCATGAAGAGACATACATATGATTTGACTGAGCTAGAGTCAGACAGTGTTGGGGTACCAGGAGCAGACATACCAAGTCCACATAATGTTTAGTGAAATTGTGTTTCTGAAGGGACAAATAAGGTTTTAAATGTTCTTGCTGCAATGTGATTTCTGAGCACATAGAGCCAGTAGTATCCATGATTCAGGAAGAAAGAAGGTGCTGCCAGAGCAAAAACATTATATAGCTCAGACCTGACTTTCACAATAGAATTTTAAAAGCTTTTTGTCAGAAATAATAGTCTGGAGAGGAGTGCATTCATTTGAAAGACCCAGATTTTATCAAAATAAGAACACGTTTGTTGGTTCTAAACACAAAGCAAAAATTAGAGAATTAAACAGAAAGAAGAGAAAACCCTCTACTGGACTTTAAGGCCTTAGAGAGGACTAGAGAGTTTGTACTTCTATGTGGAGCCTATCCTGACCTTTCTTCAAGTTTTAAACCCTGCAGTGAAATAACAAAACCCTCCAATTAAGTTCAGGACACTAGGATATGAGGTGACTTAGCCAAAATTTTCTAATAAACCATCCTGAAGGAGGGAATAAATATGATGCTTTCTTGGGAAGGTATAACCTCAGAGCTCTGGAGGAGAGGAAAAATACATGACTTAGGCAGCTCATCCTGTTACTTCATGACACCATGAAGACTACTGCTTCATGCTTCAGTAAGCTGTTTCTTCAGCTAATGTGTCCACTCAGCTGTGAGGGACATTTCTGGACAAACCCCACTGAGAAATCATGCCTTGCAGAAGTTCTTCACAGGGAGGAAGAAGTGGAATCACGTTTATTTGCACAGCTTCCTCTAGTGTTGTGTTTTCTCTATAGGAAGATGCTAACCCACACTTCCAAATTGTGTCATCTCACCACTTTGGTAGTTTCTTGAAAAGTCCAATAGTGTAGTGTTTGCTCTGAGTCCAGAAGTGGCAGCAATTATGAGAGATTTCAGTTCATAGGCAATGGTAAGCCACAGGTAGCAAACAGGGCAAACACAAACAGAACTGTTAGGCCTTGGCTATAGCTGATATGAAGAAGGCTGCTGAATGCTGAGAGGCAGGGAAGGCCAAGAGAATCTGAGGAGGCACATAAGATGTATCTGCTCCACTGGGATGATTCTGTCACTTTCTCCTTGGAAAGCTGAGAGGAAGTGTCCATGCATTTGTTTTTTTCTTTGTTTGTTTTGTTTTGTTTTTTGAGATGGAGTTTCGCTCTTTCACCCAGGCTGGAGTGCAATGGCACCATCTCGGCTCACCGCAACCTCCGCCTCCCAGGTTCAAGCAATTCTCCCGTCTCAGCCTCCCGAGTAGCTAGGATTACAGGTGCCCGCCACCATACCTGGCTAATTTTTGTATTTGTAGTAGAGATAGAGTTTCACCATGTTAGCCAGGTTGGTCTTGAACTCCTGACCTCAGGTGATCCACCCACCTCAGACTCCTGTGCTGGGATTACAGGCATGAGGCACTACACCTGTGGCCATACATTTATATACATGTCAGTATGAGCTGGCCACAGTAAAGCAGACACAATGGCATCACTATCCCCATCCTTACTCTCAAACACTTCCAGAGAGTCATGGAGAAATGTAAAATAATTTCCTGGGGCTTTCCTACTACAAAAGATGGCTGTATTGAGACTCAATAGATCATTCATCCGAGAGATGTGAACTCCAAAACTTGGCTCAGTTCAGAGCAATGCTAGTTCTGGTGTAAAGAAAACAAATGAAATTATACATCTACATAGCTTAGATTGCAATTGTAAATGTAAATCTGCTTTAGATGAAAAAAACTAGCCAAACAAAATAAAATAAAATGCAAATTAATGGATGTTACATGCCAAATGAATAATATAAGAAATATAGGTAATAGTATTCATGGGAGAAGACAATAAATGGTAGACACATCAGGGGAAGGAAATAAAGATGGTGAGAATAAAAGTAGGCCTCAAGGAATGTTAGAATTTTGACAGGCAGAAAGGAGTTATGACAGCATTATAAGAAAGGGGCATAAATTTAAGAAAGGAAGAGTTTGACACTGGGTTTTGTGTAGCTGAATATAGAAGTGAAATGAACCCAGATCATAGAGCTTTGATGGTCAAATTGAAGCAATTGTTATTATAAGCATTACATATATATATATATTTATATCATAAGCATTATATATATATCATAAGCATTATATATAAGCATACATATTTATATCATAAGCATTACATATACGGGGGACAGAGCGAGACTCCTCCGTCTCAAAAAAAAAATGTAGGCAGAAAAACATGGAAAGGCAAGACTGGCCTAGCCTCCCAGCCTACATCTTTCTCCTGTGGTGGGTGCTTCCTGCCCTCAAACATCGGACTCCATTCTTCACTTTTGAGGCTCAGAATAACTCTCCTTGCTCCTCAAACTTGCAGACAGCCTATTGTGGGACCTTGTGATAATGTAAGTTAATATTTAATAAAATCCCTTCATATGTGTGTGTGTGTGTGTGTGTGTGTGTGTGTGTGTGTGTATCCTATTAGTTCTGTCCCTCTAAGGAACCCTAATAAACAAGGGATACCACTTATTGGTGCATAGAGGCAGTTATATTTTCCAAGGAATGTGAATAAAAAGATTAGCATAACTGCACTGTGAAAGACACATATTGCATATCACAAACTTGACAAATGTGTATGTGATAATAGGAGTAGCATCAAAGAACCTCAAAAGAAAGGAAGCTTATTCTCTTACATTCAAAGATTTTTTGTGTGTGTTGTATTTCTATTGTAGTTTTAAAAATTTATAATTAATATATATATTAATTATAATATATATATTAATTATATAATATATATAATTAATAGCTATATAATATAAAAATTCCAAATAAGACTATAGCTTATGAACGTCTAGCCTGATTGTGAACTGTAGCACAGAGTGTGGATCTCCTATTTCATTTTGGCCCCCTACTTCATACCAGACAAATATCAAATGTTTCTTTCTGATGGCCAAATACAAATGTTTTTCCAGTGACTTTACTTAATGGTGAAAAATCAAAAATATTTTGTGCACATGCATTACACATCAAGGACGGTATACAATATGATAAATAAGTTAGTTTGACAGTCATGATTTTAGTAATTCATAGAGTTTTTAAGGTTATAATAACTGTATTATTGGTAATGATTAGTATATATTTCTATTGTTAACTTTAAATTATGTTATTTGCATGTCAAAGGGATGTGGCTTATTTCCCTTTTATCGGACCTTCCTTCATTTCTTTCTTTTTTCTGTTTTTTTGAAATAATTCATATGATAGATTTCATAGCAATGACTTTCTTTGATTCTTCTCATTTTATTTCATGACTATTTATTTTTTAGCAAACCATCCAAAGGAGATACAGTCATGTGGTACATAACATTTCAGTCAGTGACAGATGATGGATCCAATGGTGGTCCCATTAGACTATAATGCAGCTAAAAATTTTCCATAGCCTAGTGATGTCTTAGCTGCCATAATATTGTAGCATAATGCATTACTCACATGTTTGTGGTAATACAGATGTAAAAACAAACCTATTACACTGCCAGTCATATATATGTATGTCGTATGTATAGCACATACAATTATGTACACTGCCTAATACTTGATAATAATAATAAATGACTATGTTACTGGTTTATATGTTTACAATACTATACTTTTTATCATTATTCTAGACTGTACTCCTTCTACTTACAAAAGAGTTAACTGTAAAATCACCTTAGGCAGATCATTTAGGAAGTATTCCAAAAGAAGGCATTGTTATGGGAGATGACTGCACCATGTTTATTATTGCTCCTGAAGACCTTCCAGTGGGAGAAGATGTGGATGTGGAAGAAAATAAGCTGATGATCCTGACTCTGTGTAGACCTAGGCTAACGTGTGTTTTTGTGTCTAACTTTTTAACAGCAAAAAAAATTTAAATAAAATAAAAATAAAATTTTAAACTTTAAAAATATAAAACGTTTAAATGATAAGAATATAGAGAAATACAATATTTTTGTACAGCTGTACAATGTGTTTGTGTTTTAAGTTGTGTTATTACAAAACAGTCAAGAACTTTTTAAAAATTTAAACGTTGTAAAGTAAAAATTTACAATAATAAAAATTTAAAAGTTGTAAAGTAAAAAAGTTACAATAAGCTAAGGTTATTTTATCTTTGAAGAAAGAGAAATTTTTTTGTAAATTTAATGTAGCCTAAGTGTACAGTATGTATAAAGTCTACAGTAGTACACAGTAATATCCTAGGCCTTCACATTCGCTCCCCACTCACTCACTGACTCACCTAGGTCAACTTTATGTCCTGTAAGCTCCATTGATTGTAAGTGCCTGTGTTAGTCTGTTTTCACACTACAGATAAAGACATACCTGAGAGTAGGCAATTTAAAAAAGAAAAAGGTTTAATTGGACTTACAGTTGCACATGGCTGGGGAAGCGTCACAATCATAGCAGAAGGCAAGGAGGAGCAAGTCACGTATTATGTGGATGGCAGCAGGCAAAGAGAGAGCTTGTGCAGGAAAACTCCACCTTATAAAACTATCAGATCTAGTGAGACTTACTAACTATCACAAGAACAGCACGGGAAAGACCTGCCCCATGATTCAATTACCTCCTACCGGGTCTCTCCCACAACATGTGGAAATTCAAGATGAGATTTGGGTGGGGACACAGCCAAAACATATCAGTGCGTTATAGATGTATTCCATTTTTTATCTTCTATCCTGTATTTTTAGTGTATCTTTTCTAGGTTTAGATACGTTTAGATACATAAATACTTACCATAGTGTTACAATTGCTTGTGGTGCTCAGTGCAGTAACATGCTGTACAGGTTTGTAGTTTAGGAGCAAAAGGCTATATGCCATATAGCATAGGTGTGTAGTAGGCTATATCATCTAGGTTTGTATAAGTACACTATAAGGCCACACTATCATGAAATCACCTAATAACACATTTCTTAGAATGTGTATCTATAGTTAAACTATGCATGACTGTAGTTGCAAGAAGTCACTGGGATTTGACCAGGTACAAATTCAAAGGATTAATGATAAATTTTGCCATATTGTTAAAAGGGCAACTACTGCAATTTTAAAATAAATACTTTACAAAAATAATGTTTATTTATTCTATGAGAGAGTCTTACTCAATGGTGGAAGAATAATTTTTAAAAATTCCACCAGTATGAACCCTTGATAAGCTCTTTCTATAATAATTAATTCAGTTTTCATTTTTATTTCTCTCCTGATCTTTCCATCCTACATTTCCACATGTCTACAATTTCTCATCTTTATTTCATGCCTTCCCAAATCAGCCTCTCTCTCTCTCTCTCTCTCCCTCACACACACACACACACACACACACACACATACACACACACTCTCTCATATACAGACCTGCATACACACTTCTCCAGTTATCTGTGTATCAGGTTAAGATCTTCATCACAAACTCAAGTGTGTGAAAACATTCTTACTTACAAGTATTTTTTGTTACTATGCTCCCCAATTCCAGGGGCAGCATCTAAATTCTGACAACTTTTACATTCTCTCTTTGTGCCTGTCTTCCCTATTTCAGAGTACAATACGAAACTAAAAATTTCTCATTTTACTCTTTGAAATCTATAGTTCTTCAAGTAATTTTATAAGAACTGTATTATATTGATGTAAAAATAGGATATATACAGCAAAAGGAACATTTTAAATGTTACTATGAATTTTTATGCAAAGTTCTAAATAAATTCTTAGCAAACTAAATCCAAGAATGTAGAAAAATGATTATAGGGAATAAGAACAAAGTACAGCATAGCAATATAATGAATTTTTAAACTTTAGGCAATCCTTTGGTGTAATTCATCAAATTGAGCCAAAAACAATAAAAAGACAAATGATCATCTTAATAAATGCACACAACAATTTTGGTAAAAATGTAATAATTCATGATTTTTAAAAAATGAAGTCTTAGTGTAAAAGGAAGCAGCTTAATTCATTTAACTCAATAAAGAACATCTGTCAAAAAAGATAACATCACATGCAATGGTGAATAGTTAGACGACATCTTTTAACAGGAGCAAGATGTGGATGCCTGCATTATAACTGTCATTTATGTTGGACTAGGAAACACAGGTAATACAACAATTCAGAGAAAGAGAGAAAAAGAGACAGAGAGAGGAATATTGAGAGGGATATTGATTTAAGGATTAGAATGTCAGAAACAAACATGTCATTGTTCGCTAAATGTGTGATGTATTCATATAAAATCCAAGTGAATCTACTGACTACTTATTACAATTAGTAAGTGACTTTTGTTGCATAAGTGTATGAAAGTTTGTAGTATAAAAATTAATCATTTTAATAACCCAGTTAGAAACATTTAGGAAATAGAAGTTTTTAAGTTTATTATAATAGAAATAAAAACTGGAGAGTAATGGAATAAGATTAACAAAAGTTATGAAAGTATTTATTGAAAAATGTATAAAATTTTATGGAAGGACATCAAGGAAGATTTAAAATATAGGGATATACTATCTTAATGGATGGGAAAACTATCCAATAAAAATTAAAATATTCATAAAATAAATTCTATCAAATTCTAAATTGGGTTTGCCATAAAAATTTTAAAGCTAATTATCAAACTCATGTAACTAAAATAAGGAGAAGAAAGGAAAATATGTCCTACCGGGTATCAAACTGTTTATAAAGTTGTAAGAATCTTCATTTAAATGATAAACAAAATATACCAACATGCAAAGTAGACAGCCTAGAAAGAGATCCATTGATACTTGGAAGCTTTGCACATGAAAACTAGCGTTGCAAATCAGAAATGCAAGGAAAACTGGAAATAACAGAATTGAATCACTATTTTACTCCTTAAAAACAGCTAATTATTTTACAACTACATAATATATAACATATAAAAGGTGTGGGCAAAGAGACACTGACTAGTAACTTTAGCAAACAATGGTTTAACTGGTGCTGTAAGGCTAGAAACAAAAAGAACTTTCATAAGCACTATAGTCTAGAAGGTAAATTTTCTTTTACAGGGATAAAGGATAGCGTTTCTATAATTAATTTACTTGTATACTAGGGTTGAAAAAGCAAATTTTGGATATTTGGAGTCTGGTTTCTCCTTATCTGAGAAAGATGCTACAAATAAGCAAGGGAGTGGAATGGAGGGAGGAATGACTCTGAGGCGCAGAATTAGAAAAATCAGAATAAACTCATGTTTATCATGTACCCATGTGAAAACATCACAAAAACCTGAAGTGAGAGATTACTAGAAAATAATCCACTCATTACTCCTCAAAAGTGTCAACATCATGACAAACAAGGAAAAACTGAGAAACTGCCATGGATCTGAGGACAATAAGCACTTTATGACAACTAAATGAAACATGGTGTCCTGAATTGAATCTTACAACACAAAAAGGACATTAGCAGGAAAACGAAATTTAAATTAAGTCTGTGGTTTAATTAGTAGCATTATACCAATGTTAATTTCTTAATTTTGATGAATATAGCATAATTATGTAAGCTACTAATATTAAGGGAAACACAGTGAAGGGTTATATTGAAACTCTCTGTACTATCTTTGCAACTAGTGTCTAAATTTTAAAATTATTTCAAAATAAAGAATTTAACAAAACCTGATTTCAACTTTACTCAATCCTCTCTCATTTCCGTTAAAAGTAAGAAAACCTAATAATAAATGATGTAAAACTAATATTCTGTTTCAAAGGGTATTTTGAATTGAAATCAAGCTTGTTTACATAAACCTTATTTTATGCAAGACATTGTTATAGAAGCCAATTATCTGCAAACATACATTTATGAAAAATTAAATTATGTGCAATATGATTTCCCAATACCACCTAACCTCCCATCAAGTTAGAATTGTGTAACCTGACTGTAAAATTAAGTGTGTGCTGTTTTCTTAAGTTTTTTTTTTTTAAAAAAAAGACCTATCTCAATATTTTAATTTTTTTCTAATTTACTGGCTAAAATATTTCCAAGGCTAACTAAAATATCTCTTTGTATAAAAGATAAAAAAAGAAAACTCAAATCATACTTGTCATATCTTTGACAACTGCCTCTTTCTCCTGTTCATTAACATATTTCAGATGTCTATGAAAGAATATTTGACATGTATTTTTTTAAATAATCAAGACAAGAATTTCACAGCTAGTCCAGAACAATGCAGAGTCAAAAGTAACTCCTATATATTTGAATTCTCTATGCATTCTCACACTCATACACACAAACACACACGTAGGTTGTGCATGTGTGTGTGTATGAGTGTGTTGGGATTGTATAAAATTATGTGCATTTCATGAACAGCCAGTGAATGAATATAGAAAAGAAATAACATTGAGATTTTAATTGGCTTTTAGCCTCTGCAACACACATAAATAAGAGCTGAACTTCATATTAATTATAATTTTCTGTGATTCAGTCAATATCCTCTTTTATTTCTTTCACAGTATTTCAAACATTTTTCATTTAATCCTATTTTCACAGTTTTTATTGTAATGGAATTCCTATCCTTAGAACAATTGCTGGCAAACTGTAGCTATCATGCATTAAAATCACCTGGAGGGCTAGATAGGGAACAATTTGTCAGTCCCCACCTTCAGAGTTCCTCATTAACTCTGACTGGAGACTGAGAATTCCCATCTCTAACAAATCCCCAGCTGATACTGTTGCTGTAGCCTGAGAAGTACACAGTCTTACTGTATGTGTCAGATGTTTCTGCTACCAGTATTACAAGTAGGGGTGTCAAGCTTATTTCTCCCTCTCTTCACATCCAATGTGGCAAGAAGAAATTACTTACAAACTGATACTTCAAAATAATGTCTTTAATGTGAATAAGCATATACAATGAAAATAGATTAGCAAACAAAGAACTGAAGGGTTTACAAAGATCATTTATATTCCAAAAATCCTAAACCAAATTAACTACCATTTGACTGCACAGTTGTTTACCTCTGAAACAGCTCTACATTTTGCAAATCAATATATGGTTGTCTGAGAACAGTATAAGGAAGAGAGCTGCTGAGACTAAATGGGGTTCTTGTAAATTGTCCTCCCACTCCCCTGGTAAACAATGTGAAACATCTGCTATCCAACAATTTCACAACAGACTTATCTTTCTGGGTGGTTTATAAGGCAGCTTTGGTCTCAAGTAGCTTAACACAGAAAGTGTGTCATACAAAGGTTTGTATTTATATTTATAAGCCGAAGGCATATCTGTTTATGAATTAGTAGCACATTCTGCATGGTTTTTTAATTAATTTTTACTACCATTAATGTCCAGTAGCATGAAACAGGCCACTACCTCTTCAGAACAGTCAGAATTACGTGAAAAGTATTATTCTTATGACTTTAACCTTTTACCACCTGATATTTCATGATCCAAAAAGTCACAGGCTTTTATTTACTTATAGGTTTTCTGGTAATTTCTGATGGAAATTACCAAGCTCTGTATAGAAGTGTCCTAGTCTGATAAAATGAATGGGTTTTTACTCACCAGTTCCCTTGAAAAGCATTTGTAATATTTAAAATTATTTGCAAATGGCCATGAACTTATTAGAAGATTCAAAAATTCAATACTTTTTCAGTTATGCATTGAGTTTTTCAAATAAGTTTTTCTTAGATGTATTATGAATAATAGCAGTCATTTCAATTAGTTTCTTTGCTCCATTGTTGCTAGTGGAATATTGTGTTTTTTTCAGATAATTATTCTTTTTTAATGTATTTAAAATTAGTTTATCACCTTAAAATTAAATAAGCTTTCTCAGGAGTGAAGTTTACTGAGGATCTAGATCCAAATTCTTTTCATATGCTGTCTTAAATCATTTTTATATCCTTCTCATGGAACTTAAGAGGAAGGTATTATCATTCTTGTTTTGTATGTAAGGAAAAAGTCTCAAAGAGATGTCATCTCTTGCCTGAAGTCATACAACTAATAAAAGTCAATAATATATTGAACTCAGTATACCTTGATTGTACTCACTGTACAAATAAATGAAAATAGGTTTGGGATAAGTGTTTTATTTTCCACCAAGTAACAAAAATTTAGTGATTAACTTAGAGTTAGAACATCAAGTTTAGTTTACTTCCCCCCAAGGAAGTGGCACTTAGATTCTCCAACCTTAAACCTAAGATAGCAAGAGAAATTAATACTAGAAAATAAGAGAGAAGAACTTTGTATTTTTTAACTGACTATTTTGTAATCCACAGATAAAACTATATTTATTGCATACAACATAATGTTTTGAAATATAGACAGCTTGTGGAGTGACTAAATCTAACTAATTAACATATGTATTAACTCATATAGTTATAGTTTTTAAAAAATAACACTTAACATACACCCTCAGCATTTTTCAAGAATACTGTATATTATTAACTATAGTCACCATGCTGTACAATAGTTTTCTGAACTTATTCTTTCTATCTAACAAAAATTCTGTATCTTTTGACCAACAACTCCCCAACACCCCTCTCAATTATCCTAGCCTGTGGTAACCACCAATCTACTCTCTACTTCTAGGAGATCAACTTTTTAAGACTCCACATATGAGTGAGATCATGAGTTATTTGTCTTTCTGTGCTTGGCTTACTTCAGTTCACATTAATATTCTCCAGATTTATCTGTGTTAATGCAAATGACAGGATTTCCTCATTTTATGGCAAAATAATATTTTTGTATACAAAGTGTATACAATGTGATATATATGTGTGTGTATGTGTCTATATATTTTTATATATATATATATACATTTTGCTTATCTATTCATTTGTTAATGGGTACTTAAGTTGATTCCATATCTTGGCTATTATGAATAATGCCGAAATAAATACAGGAATACAGGTATCTTTTGACATATTCATTTTATTTCCCTTGGATATATACCCAGTAATGGGATTGCTGAATTATGTTGTAGTCTTATTTTTATGTTTTGAGGAACCTCCACATAGTTTTTCTAATGACTATACTAATTTACTTTCCCACAACAGTACGCAAGGGTTTGTTCCCTTTTCTTCACATTCTCGCCACTATTTGTCATCTTTCCTCTTTTTCATAACCATTCTAACAGGCATGAAGGGATATCTCATTGTGGTTTTAATTTGCATTTCCCTGATGATTAGCATTTTTAATATACCTATCGGTCTTTTATATGTCTTCTTTTGAGAGGTGTCAAAACTGATTAAAGATTTTAATTGATTAAGACTGGAAACTACGAACCAATTAGAAGAAAACAGAGAAAATCCTCCATGACAATGGTCTGGGCAATGATTTTTTGGATATGATTCCAAAAGCCCGGGCAACAAAAGCAAAAATAGACAAATGGGATTACAACAAACTAACTGCACAGCAAAAGTAAATCAGCAAAGCAAAGAGATAACCTACAGAATATGAGGAACTATTTTACATCTCATAAGGGGTTAATACCAAAGTATATAAATAACTCAAGCAACTCAATAGCAGGAAAAAATATAACCTGATTAAAAAATAAGACAGCTGTGTTTTATCTTTGGTCTTCTCTTCTGTTTACCTTATAATCTAAACTATGTTTAAATGTCTTTCTCGCTCTCTCTCTCTTTTTTTTTTTTTTTTTTTTTGAGACAGAGGCTCACTCTGTCCCCAGGCTGGAGTGCAGTGGCGCAATCTCGGCTCACTGCAACCTTCACGTCCCGCGTTCAAGTGAATATTGTTTTACTGAAATTTATTAAAATTTTCCACCTTCATCTTTCTAACAGAAAAATAGGTATTTTTTCAGCTGACAGGTATAACCTGGGCTTGACCCTGCTAACCTATATTCTCATGCAGAACAAAGGGAATAAATGAGACTTATGATTTTTCACTCTTTCTATAAATGTTTGATTTTCCTAAGGTTCAAATTATGTTTTAATTAATATGCTGAGCCCACAAGCCACTGGTGATTAAGTCATTATGATATCATTTCTTCATTTGCTCTTTTTACCCAATTGACTTGAAATGCTGTTTCTAGAACTTTTATTTGATGTTTCCCTGCCAATTTTGTTCCTGGTGTTTGATCTCCTAAAACAAACAAGTGCCACTAGAATAGTATACTTTTGCTCCCAAGGCCTCCAGCTATCTGGGACAAACCAATTACAATTGGATCATTTAGCTTTTAAATGCCTACCTACCTCTTCTAACATGTTTAGTCTGCCATCTCAGAGTCTGTATAAAATAGATTCTAATGAGCCAGGTACTGCCTTGGAAGAACTCAGAAGATTAAATTCTGTTTGAATCAATATTTTAGTTTCTTTTGCTTTCTTCACAGTATTTCAAAAGAGGAAATGATTAAGAATATATCTAGTCCTTAGGTAAAAATAAACATCAAACTGCAGACAGCAGGAAGACTCAAATTATTCCTAATGATCAATGTTGTCAGCATTAAACTGCCCATATCATCATTGATCAAGAATGAAGAGTTCCTTGGTGAATAGGAGCCCTGGGAAGAAAAAAAACAAGGAAGAATAAAAGTATTTAGGAAAAGTAGCATTTAGCTCTTTTCTTTTTTCTCCGTTCATCCTCTCTTCAAATGAGGCCACTTCCCACCTTCCTCTTGTTCTCATTTTCTATGCTTCATGCTTATAATTCTAAGGTAAGGTTTCTCAAGGCAGGAAAGTAGGTTGAGCTGTCAGGGAGGAAAGGAAAAACTTGCTAAAATGATTTGAGTTAGCTAATGAGTGACAGGATGAGAAATGTGTAAGGAACTAGCTTTCCTTCCAGGCTTCATATATTTCCAGTTCTAATCCTTCCCACTATTGAGTTTTCTCCACTGTGCTCTAGCCAGGGAACTGTGAACCCAGGGAAAGAACACCTCCAAGTACATTGACCAAAGGCTAATTTGCTTTTCTTATATCTACAGAAAAAAAATACATACATGGTTTATATATGAATAAAAACAAATACAATAGGTTTTCATAGCATAGAATATTCTCACTGGTAAACTTTATTATTATAATTTTCTATTATAATGAAACCATACTGGAGAATTCAGCCTACACTTGTGGAAGGGCCATAGGAACTGGAGAGTCTTAAGTCTGTAGGGCCTTAAGAGAGAAAGACCTTATTAGATACTGGAAATGACTTTCCAAGTTTCAGAAATCATTATAATCAGTTAGAAGTGGATGTCAAATCTTTAGAGCCATAGGAATGGCTATAAAAGAACTAACGTGTTTCTTACCCTCAGGAAAATCAGGAATCCTGGCTCTAAAGATTGCTAGAATTCTATAAAAATATAATATATATATATATATATAACATTTTAGAGATAAGTTACCAATATATGCATAAACTTTCCTGGCTGATGCCTACAATGTCTCCAAAATAAATCTACTCTAATGATTTAATTCTCTGTAAAATTATGGGTTGTTAAACTTTATTTATACTTTTGCATGAATAACAAGTTATGGATACATTCATGATAGTAGGGTCCAAGCAGGAGGGGAAGAGGAGGACACTGAATGCCTAAAAGAGATTGAGAGAGGAATTACAATAAGATGAGAAAAGAACAATGAGCCTTCAGAGTTATTCTTCCTAAGTTGATTAAGAGGAAGACTTAAATGGGAATCATTATTATACTTCAATATTGTTTTATTATGCAAGAATTGAATGGTTCAACTTTTAAAAGTAACTGATGCAAATGTTTAAAAATAGCTGATACTTTGAACTGTTATATGTAGGATGGTAAGTGAAAAGATGCTGTTTTACAGTAAGTTCTTTTTTCTTCTTGTATTCTAGGGACAATTTCTCAAAACTATAAAATAGTTAAATATAAGATATAAATTCTATTTTTATACTGAATTATATAAAAGCAATTAAAGACAGTGAGCACTGAATGGATTTACACAACAATCTTCTTTTTTATTATACTTTAAGTTCTGGACGACATGTGCAGAACGTGCAGGTTTGTTACATAAGTATACATGTGCCATGGTGGTTTGCTGCACCCATCAACCCCTAATCCCCACATGCATTAGGTATTTGTCCTAATATTATCCCTCCCCTTTCCCCCTACTGCCTACAGGCCCCAGTGTGTGATGTTCCCCTCCTCGTGTCCATGTATTCTCATTGTTCAACTCCCATTATAAGTGAGAACATGCAGTGTTTGGTTTCCTGTTCCTGAGTTAGTTTGCTGAGAATGATGGTTTCCAGCTTCATCTATGTCTCTGCAAAGGACATGAACTCATCCTTTCTATGGCTGCATAGTATTCCATGGTGTATTTGTGCCATATTTTCTTTATCCAGTCTATCATTGATAGGCATTTGGGTTGGTTCCAAGTCTTTGCGATTGTAAATAGTGCTGCATGTGTCTTTATAGTAGAATCATTTATAATTCTTTGGGTATATACCCAGTAATGGGATTGCTGGGTCAAATGGTATGTCTGGTTCTAGATCCTTGAGGAAGCACCACACTGTCTTCTACAATGGTTGAACTAATTTACACTCCCACCAACAGTGTAAAAGCGTTCCTATTTCTCTATATCCTCTCCAGAATCTGTTGTTTCCTGACTTTTTAATAATCATCATTCTAATTGGTGTGAGATGGTATCTCACTGTAGTTTTGATTTGCATTTCTCTAATGACCAGTAATGGTGAGCTCTTTCTCACATGTTTGTTGGCCACATACACAGCAACCTTAAATTCACTTCTCAGTAGAAGAGACTTGTTTATTAAACAAAGAAGTTTTATATAATTTATATTTATTATATTACCACTATAGCTAGCTAGTAAAAACTTTAAAACTATTATTTTGTATTCTAAAAGAATTGCAATCTAGTTTATAGTCTACTTGAAATTTGTAATTTTGAATGACTTTCACAGAAGATATAACACTGAGAATTTTAAAATACTATTCACCCAGAAAAGCATGCAGCTTACTTGAAATTCTGAACAATTCACTGGTTATTTTGAAGTCTTTATGTTAAAATAAGTAAACTTTCAAATCAAAACTTTATTTGCAGTTGTGAGATCAAATTTTATCTTACAGTTATGCAATACAAAAGCAGGACTTCAGGAACAAAGGCATTGCCCTTCTTGAAGACATTGCTAGTTTTATATTAAAATCACAGAGGTTATGCTTTTTCTTATAATGTATTTTGAGTTTACTCTCAAAAGAACCTTGGATACTCTCTATCCAGATCCCTCTGTCTTATTTTTCTTTCATTTGAACTTTTCATGCATAATGCATTTTAATACTAGGGCTGCATAGAGATTTAGCAACAAAACATATGGGCATTAAATATACATGCCTGAAGTCAAACCAAACTCAGGCAATGTGAAAGCCATTAAAATTATGTTGCATTGCTTTCCTTTCTAATCACAGTAGATTGGAAGAGTAGGAGAGGTGATATTCACATGGTGAGGGACAGACTTCTCTATATAAAGAAATATATGCCAGCCCAAATTTTAGAAAGATCATCAGTTAGTTTAGGTCCAACACTACATTTTCCTTTTTATTTATATATTTTTTGGCTTTTCATTGCATTATCCATATTTCATGATTATTGGGTGCTGTAGGGGAGGTAAAATTTTACTTTTACTCTTTTAAGTTTGTTATTTTTTTCCTAGACCTGAAATTAAATTGACATAAGACAGATCAACAGGAGAAAAGCATGAAAATTTAGTTAATACAAGTTTCATATGGCACAGGAGCCTTCATAAGGAAATAAAGGCCCAAAGATGCAATTAGAGTTGAATACTTACATATTGAATTTGACAAATAGTAGGAAGTTGTGAAAAAGTAACTAAATTATCTGGGAAGGCTAAAAGAAGATACATATTGTTCTAACAAGGTCTGTACAGAATTCTCTGGGTTTCAAGTTCCTGTCCTTGGTCATAATAATATTGCCTTCCTTCTGGTACAGGGAGGACATCTTTCATGTGGGACTGTCATCACCTGTTGTTAAGAAAGAGAAGGAATCTCAAAGTGATCTTGTTGCACCTGCTGTTTTTCAAGTACTCTTAACTCAAAATAGTCAATATGCCAGAATGGTAGCATATTTTGCGGTGGCATCATTTTAACTCCTTCAGTGCTCTGCTTTTATAAAAAACCTGAAGTCATTCTTTCTGGGTTTTCATAATTTCATTCATCTCTTTTTCTTAATATATCACCTCTCCCTCAATCTTCTGGAAAAGTCTATATATATTTTTACAGATGAGCATTATCCAAAATGGCATTGCATGGCTGTTCTGTGCAGATCAGTTTCTGAAATCCGAGGTAGGCTGCATTCTATACTGACCATACACATTCCCGTATTAAAGATTCTGAGAACATCTACAATTAAAGAGAAACAAAGCCGTTTAATGTAAGTTTTTTCAAATGTATTTAATTACAAGACATTTTTTACATAGCACATAAAATGTTAGGAAAGACATAATGACAGAAAATACTATCCTAGATTCTAATCTGTTCTTGAAAATTGCCCTCTTATATGCAAAGTATTTAAAAGGCATATTGTTAACAATAAGGTAGTATTCAGCACTCCTAATTCAAAACGTAAAGCTGTATTTTAAATCCACTCATATCCAACAAGCATAGACTACAGTGACTCAAAATGGCAATACCAGAGAGATTCTTCTACCAACACATAAAAGTTGAGGAAGAACTTTTAATTTGTTACTGATGTCTGACAATTTAACAGTCATTTTTGTTACTCATCTGAAGATATTCTATATAAAAATAGAATAAATTGTATAAATAATGAACTGCAATAAAAACTAATCAGTCAATGTTATTGGAATCTCTTAACCTTAATATAAATTTTTAACAAATAAGCTATATAATAGAGTACTTTAAAAATTAAAACTACATCTAAAGTAGAGAAACTCTGACCCAAATAAATAACTCCCTTAAAACTGTTCCTTTTAAACACAAAATTAGTTAAAAGACTGATGTGAAGTGGCAGTTCTTCACCAAGAGGACACAGCATATTAAAGTTAAGTGGCTTTCATGCTAGAATCTTTCTTAGTTATGGATGTAACATTGTAGACATGCACACACACACACACACACGCACACACGCACACACTGCAGATGTGAGGCTTTTGTATGCTCCAAAAATGTTTTATTTTTACATTAAGAATACTCTATTTCTATTTTACACTGTATTTAGGTCTAGCTATGGAGCTCTCTTTAGATTTTTTTTAAGGCCCCTTTAAGCATCTTTCCATTCCTTTAATGTCAAAAATATCTTTTTACCTCAGAATAATCAGGCCTCTTCTTCCTTCTCCCCTGGATTCTCCTACTTCTCCTTCAAGTTTAGCATAAGCATCACTTTTTCCAGTTTTCTTAAACGTCTAAAATTAATTTTTGCACCTGTTTTATGCTTTCATTGCACAATCTTCCTTTGTAATACTTATTGAAATTATAATTAAATAATTACTTACATGATAACATTTTATGACAGTCTCTGTATGTGGACTGTCCACAGTACATTCATTATTATGACCCCCCAGTTTCTAGAACATGTAGCACATAGTAGGGTAATTGATAATATATTTTTGAATAAATAATGGAATTGAGTAGTAATTATGGCATATTTTCATTTTAGCCTAGGTGAATTTATTTTGAAAGATATCACACTGTCATTTTTATACTTGATATCTCTCTGTTATTTTAATTTTAACAGTGTTCAGTAAGTCTCCTCAGATAGATCTTGCAAGTTAGATAGCCTAGGCCCTCAGACTATTAGCATTCCTTTTTTTTTTTTTTTTTTTTTTTTTTTGGTTAAACGGAGTTTCGCTCTTGTTGCCCAAGCTGGACTGCAATGGCAATGGCGGTGACCTCTGCTCACCGCAACCTCCACCTCCCGGGTTCAAGCGATTCTCCTGCCTCAGCCTCTCGAATTACAGGCATGCGCCACCAGGCCCAGCTAATCTGGTATTTTTAGTAAAGACAGTGTTTCACGATGTTAGTCAGCCTGGTCTCGAAATCCCGACCTCAGGTGATCCACCTGCCTCTGCCTCCCAAAGCGCTGGGATTACAGGCGTGAGCCACCGCTCCTGGCCTTTTCACTTCCTTTCAAATAAATGTATGACCTTTATGCTCTTCATGAGAGAGAGCTAGTACAACTTCATTGCACTTCCCTGCTTCATACAGCCTCCCCATCAACTCTGGCAGGATCCTCTCTCTCCTTTCCATAAAGGCCGACCTCTCTCAGCTTTCAGTTCTTTCCTTTTCCGGTTCATCTCTATAATTATTTTTGGAGAACTAACGAGTCTAGTGGAGGAAAGCTGAGACTGAATATCACTTCTAACTTCAAGACACATGCCCTGTAAAGAATAAGGCCCCATATCGACAATGATTTGTTTGAATATTTTTATAAACATAGAAAACATGGATGCACAAAAATCATGAAAAGTACATGGCATTACTTATGTCTTTAAAAGAGACAGAAACTTAAACATAAGTCAAACATAAAAAAATAATAATCCTTACAGTTCCTCAGATAATATTACTGAGAGATCCAGGTCATGAGGACTATTCACTTATGTAACTTAGAGAAAGGCCTCTTGAAATCATTTTCCATTTGCCCCAAGAATACTGTGCTGGCAGCAAGCTGCACTTTTTTTTTTTTTCTAAATGGGAAATGGGTTAAGAAAAAAAGAAAGCAAAATTGAGCAAAAGACTGGCATAGGATACACATATATATCAATGGAATAGAATTGGAAATCCATAAATGAACTCAAATATCTCTGCGCAATTTATTTCTGACAAGAATGCCAAGTCCACCGAGTGGGTAAATAACAGTCCCTTCAAATGATGGTGCTGGGACAACTGGGTTTCCACATAAAAAATGATGAAATTGGAGGTCTACCTCATATCACATAGAAACATTAACTCAAAATGGATCAATGATCTAAGTATAAAAACTAAAACTATAAAACTCTAAAAATAAAATGTATTAATCTTCATGAATTTAGATTTGGCAATAGGTTCTTAGATATGACTCTGAAAGCACGAGTAACAAAAGACAAAATAAACTGAACTTCATCAATCTTAAAAACTTTTGTAACTTAAAGACATTATTATAAAATTGAGAAGACAACCTGTAGAATGAGAAAACCTTCATAATTGAAAAACATATTTGCAAATCATGCATCTGATAAGGGTTTAATATCCAGAGTATATAACAAAAACTCCTAAAACTCAAAAACACAAAGACAACCCAGTGAAAACAAATGGTCAAATGACTTGAATAGACATTTCTCCAAAGAAGATATGCAAATGGCCAGTAAGCGCATGAAAGGTTGCTCAACATCATCAATCATGGGGAAAATGCAAATCCAAACCGTAATAAGATATCATTTTATACCTGTTAGGATAGACATAATTTTAAAAATGATTGGAGAAACTGAAATTCTCATTCATTGCTTATATGAATGTAAAATAGACCAACTCTATGGAAAAGTTTGGCCATTTCTTGAAAAGTTAAACCATATATGCCAGCAATTCCACCTTCAGATATGTACCCCCCAAAACTGGAAACAGGTCCAGAAAGTGATGCTTGTATATCAATATTTATTTCAGCATTACACACATTAGTTAAAAGGTGGAAATGACTCTAGTATCTATCAATAGTTGAATGATGAATCCAAATGTGGTATATGTTCACAGTGGAATATTATTCAGCAATAAAAAGAAATACCTCTGATGCATGTTACAACAAGGATGAACCTTGAAAACATTATGTTAGTGAAATAAGCAAGATAAAAGGGGACTATTATTATTATTGCAATTTTATGAAATATTGAATGGAAAAATGTGTAAGTAAACTAGGGATTACTGGGGCAAAGGTGAGGGGTCATTAAGGAGTTATTGCTTAATGGTTACTAAATATCTGTTTGAGATGAAAACATTTTGAGATAGATAGTGATGCTGGTTGCACAATATTGTGAATGTGATTAATGTCACCAATTTGTACACTACAAAATAAGTGGCGACTATTTTACCAAAATAAAATTTTATGCCATATATATTTCATGTTACAGAGATATTTTTACCAAAATAAAATTTGACTCATATAATTAATGAATATTTAAGTTTTGTATTAAAACCATGCACAAATAAAAGAAATTCTGCTGGGACCAAAAACAGAAAAAAAAGAAAGAAGTTCATTCCTTGCTCTTCTTTTTTTTTTTTTTTTTTTTTTGAGACGGAGTCTTGCTCTGTCACCCAGGCTGGAGTGCAGGGGCGCGATCTCGGCTCACTGCAAGCTCCGCCTCCCGGGTTCACGCCATTCTCCTGCCTCAGCCTCCCAAGTAGCTGGGACCACAGGCGCCCGCCACTACGCCCGGCTAATTTTTTGTATTTTTAGTAGAGACGGGGTTTCACCGTTATAGCCGGGATGGTCTCGATCTCCTGACCTCGTGATCCGCCCGCCTCGGCCTCCCAAAGTGCTGGGATTACAGGCGTGAGCCACCGCGCCCGGCCTCCTTGCTCTTCTTTACAGGGAAATTAATTGAATCGCATATCTTGAAACCACAAAGTCATGGTTACACTTACAGTCTGAACAATGTATTAAATTTTAGAGTCTCCACAAAAAATTTAAATGCAGGGGTGAATATTTATTTTCAATAAGGAAGTGCATCACAGCAAATTGCAACTCAAAAAAACTGACATATGTAAAAAAATCCCAAGAATCTGCACATACATGGTTTTTATTAATTGACTTTCTGATATACCTCTATGCTTTTCCTATTTCTTTTGCTCTTTATTCTTTGAAATTTTCTTCATATAATTATGATTTCTGAACCATTTTACACAGGAAGAATAGAAAGATGATTCAATATTTTCACTAGTATAATCTGCACCAAAAAGTTTACTTTTGTGATAAGAGTTATTTTCATGCCCTAGGAACCTCAGTATCCCTTCAGGGAATCTTTATTTGCAGCCATTACAGTTTACTTTCCCTCACCCTACTGACCCCACCTGTCCTGCAGGAGCAAATGTTTGCCCTAAAGGCCATGCTCATATTCTAAGGGATTTAATGCACATCTCAGATAAAGTTCTGAGCTTTCTTAGGCGATCTCTAGATGGAGTTTTTTGATACTATTTCCATATACACTTCAGCCTCAGAAGTTTCAGTGTCTCCCAAAATAACGAGATTTCATAAAAGCATTTAATGTTACAGCTCAGAATGACCATGAAAAGCATCTAGTCCAGGACTTTTTAAACTTTACTCACCTAAATTCCACTATCACAATTTTGCCACTTCCATATACCACCTTTGCAGTTATTTGCTTAGAATTTATTTCCTAATTGTTTACTTAGTCATGCATGTTAATCTGGCTTGACACAATTATATTCATAAAATCTCATGCTTAGATTGAAATGTGTATATATATATGTTTGATGTACATTAAAATACATTTATACATACAAAAGAAAAAATGGTTGATGATTTAGAAATAAGAAATCTCAATGATGAAAACTACATAGAAATCTTGCATTTTTAAAAGTAATTATCATTTTTATTTAAGTGAAGTAGTGAAACAGTAATGTGTTTTCTGTTTTTCTCTAGGAATTTTTTTTAACAAGAATGATGTTGTTCATTAGATTATAGTAATGCTCAGTGCACTCAAAAATCATTTTAATCAAGTGAAAAAAAGGAATAAAATTGAGTAATAAAGAAAGCAGGTGAGGGAGCCAGGCCCAGGGTTAACGGGGGACAGAAGAAATGCTTTGCTTTGGCCACTTCCTCTATGAATCTATAAAAAAATTCCCTCTCATTTCTACATGTAGAAACAATCATTCCACACTTTACACACTATATAGCCTTCTGAACTTTGTTGTTTACCTTTTTCTCCCACAGCCTTCAAGCTCTTGGGAGCACTGAATAGGCCTTACTATCATAGACATTTCTATTGCCTGGTATCATGTTAAGTATCTGGGAGGTATTCACTATTATTGAATAAATGGCCAGAAAAGTATGTATAAAAACAGACACCTAGAAAAATCACTTTAATACTTATTGTAAATATGGATAAATAATAATAATAAATAAATAGAATAGCAAATCTAAGATCGGAACACCCATAAGAAGAACTGAACGAATACAGATTTAAGATGATAAAGACTAGAAGATTTTTTTGTAAACTTCTGTGCTCTGACATGTCAGTAAACTCCCAGTTTAAAAAAAAACTCACAGAACACATATAATTGGCTTAAACCAAGACACAACAAGCCATGCATACCTCTGATTCTTGACACTAGGAACAGATACTTGCTGAAGACATAGAAGACATGGTCTTACCCTCCCATCAGCTACGTTTTCTTTACAATGTTATATTTTATGTCCAAAGAGACTTCTGCCAATATGAGATTTCTAACTGGACAGCCAGTATATTTCCTAAAGGATTATTTAAAACACAACTCCATTTGTTTTAGCACTTTGCCAAACTTCAAATATTTTTTGATCAGGAAAACAGACACCATCCCTACCACTATGATGGTTTTTGCCTAATGAGAGAGAGACAATAAACAATTTTTAAAGCCATGCATAATTGCAAATTTTGATAAATGACAAGAAGAAAACACCCAAGATGAACTGAGGAAATATATGGGGAACTTACATAGGGATAAACAAGAAAAGACTTCCCAAGGAACAGAAGATCAATTCCAGGTCTGATGGAACAATCCTTATAAAAGCAGCAAGACAGAGAATTCTAGGCAGAAAAGTGTTTGAAAAGTCCCTGAGTTGAGAAAGTGCTTGGTTGAGCCTAAAAATGTACAGAAGACGAGGGAGATTAGTGTGTTTCAAATGTAGCAGAGAAGGAGCTGAGATGAGTTTGGAGAAGAAATTCAAGCCCAGATTGTACAAGGTACTATAGGCAGTAAGAAGTTTTGCTTTCATTCTATGTGTAATACAAAGTATGCTAATGGTTGTAGATATGCACGGCTATGCAGGATGAGTAAGATCTGGAGGCTATGGTTAATAGTACTGTATTGTACATTTGAAATTTGTGGACAGTAGATCTTAAATGTTCTCATCACAAAAAGCATGGTAACTATGAGAGGCAATGGATATGTTCATTAGCTTGCTGGTGGTGATCATTTCATAAAGTAAACCTATATTAAAACATCCATGCTGTATACCTCAAAATTATGCAATTTTTATTTGTCAATTATACCTCAACCAAGCTAGAAAAAGTAAAAATTGAAAGGTAAAAAGGCAAGATGCAAGAATGCTAATAATAATTATTTCAGCTGCTTGGTGAATAATAGATTAGAAGAGGTAATGGAAAAATTGGGAAAACCATCAGAAATCCATTAAATTGCTCAGGAGATAGGTAACAAAATTTAGGATAATTTCATTAGGATAATGATGGTGGATGATGATGGTTGGCATGGATAGAAATGGAAGATTTAGAGGCATTATTTGGGAAGTCGATATTAATATTGCAGGATAAAATTTAAGATGTCGAGTTTCTGTCTTGACTAACTACATGTGTGCCATTTACTGGAAAAGGTAAAAATAAAAGAGCAAGGGATATGCAGAGGAAAACCAGTAGTTTAGTTTTGAACTCATGAAGATTACAATGCTTGTAAAACATCCACGTTTTAGGTACGTAGTGGGCAATTGGAGACACAAGTCTTTAAAACTTGTATATATAAATCTCATGATATAAATATGGATGATATAAATCCAAATTACACATAAATATAGAATATGAATGATGTAAATTTTAAATGAAATTAATTAGATCCAGTAGAGGGAAGAATTTAATAATATAGGAAGGGTCAGTAGCAGAGATAGAGGGAGAGAAGTCCTTAAAAATGCAGTAGGAGTTTGGTTTCTAGATTGGCTTTTTATAGATGAGGTGACATCTTGTGTTTTTGAGAAGACAACAAGTAGCAAATTGGTGCAGAGAAAGAAAAGTGTGCAGTTTTGGTGTCGGGAAAGTGAAGAAAGTCTCTTCTAAAGGTTTCATTATTTTTTCAGGTTTGAGAGACAAGAAAAAAGGTAAAATAGTCATCATACAAGATGAATAAAGAAAACAAGAAACTCTTCAAGTTTTACAACCAAAAATTACCCAAACCTCCTAAATGGGTTGGATGTCCTCTTAGTCAGGACATTCTGGCAGAGTTGTGCCACACTTAAGAGACCAAGGTTGAATCATCTTAGACATGCTGCCTATTAGAAGTGGGGCAATGAAAACCGAATGGTTCCCAGGGAAAGACGGCTTAATTTAAATGTCCCTATTTCACAAAGCCCACTAAAATAAGCATTGCTTTAATGCTTAAATAATCAGAAGGCATTTTTCTTGTTCTAGTTTTCTACTCTGTTGAAGGATTTCTGCCAGAAGAATAAAAGAAATCACACAGAAGAGCCTGTTCTCTCCGGATTTCTAACAGTCACTAAAATGCAGAGCATAATGTTGCAGTGAACTTCAAATTTTAGTACGCATTTTACTATGCAATTTCTGGAGCCTGCCCTCAGAGAATATGATTATATGTTTGGAGTTATATGCAATTTTAATTAGTTCCTCAAATGATTTTGAGGCATGGACTATATTTTGAGAGAAATAAAATAGGGATGAACCTAAATGGTAGATGTAGTGACTTCAACATTCTATCCATGTGCATTATCTTTAAGTTCAGGGATTATTATAATAGGAATTAAGAGCATCAAAAAGCAGAAAAATATATATGTATTTTCTATATATAATTGGGATACATGAGTTTTGCAATCTGATGAAGGCAAATTAAAGACAAACACTATCATTTTAAGATTCTCTGTTTTGACACATCTGTCGAAACCTAAACTCGGGTAGAGGTGAATTGACATCAATTTTATTTAACAAATATACTTTTAGACATAGAACTAAAATTAAAATTGATTTTACTGCAACTAAAGCTACACAGCTGGCATTAAATTGCTGTTGAGTAAGACAAAGCATATGACAAGAACGTATTTCCAAAGGTGCATTATAGAACTGTCAAAATATTCTGAAATATAAATCTTTACAATCACTTTATAACTGTTTCTTTCTTAAGGTAATATTTCTCTCTTTATATGTTAAAATATTATATCTAATAAGTCAAATAACCAGATAAGATAATGTAGAACACAATAAAACAAGTTTAAATGCTTATTTTATCAAGATTTAAAAAATAGCAGTAGCCCAGCAAGCATTTACATTTTCAACTATATTTTTGAAGTTGTCTTAAAAAATAAAGGACACTATACTAGCAATAAAGGAGTAGTAGAAGATAGTATAAGGAAGACAAAAAAAGTTTTTACATGATGTTTACATTTCTGAACTTTTTCTAGAATTATTAAAGCTGGAAGAAATGCATTTTTAATATTCCAAATTTAGGAATTAAACATTTCAATTATTTTTTGCTTTAATTTTATATGTAGAAACCAGTGTTGACTTAGAAACCCAGAGCCTGTAGCCAGGATGGCTGAGAGATCATGAGCAAACGTCTTTCAGTTTTCCCATCTGTAAAATAGGATAACAGTGATACATACTATAAGTCTTCTGAAAGTGTGAAATGAATTAATATACAAAAAGCCCTTACACCAGGATCTGGCACATATTAAATACTCTGTATTCACTCTTAGTAGCATATAAATTTTATTTTAATATTTAATTTGAAGTTTTTCTGCTATTTTATCCAAATTACTCTGAAATTATTCTGAGGGTAGTTTATACACCCAGTGGCAGCTGAGGTTACCATGTGGCAGAGTGCAGACAAAAAAAGATGTGTTTGGAAGTCTACTGGAGATTTAAAGTTTATTTTGGTGCATAAAGAAGGAATCCAGGACATGAATGACATTGTGGAGATGCTACACCTATATTGGACTTACTTTCTTCAGACTTCTTGTAAGTGAGGAAAATACATAGTTATTTGGTTAGGAAATTGTTTTTAGGTCACTACATGCAGCCACAGAGCCTAATTGACAGATCCAGTAAACTTCGATTTTTTCTTAAGAAACAAAGTATCATCTGCATTTTGATCATCTGAAAACTAAAACTAGAAAGTAATTCTCCAAATGCATTCAATAGCTAGATAGCAGAACCACAACATTCAGGTCCCTTGATTCTCTATTCTGTGCAATCATTCTGACATTGCTCTGCTCTGGTTCTCTACTTCTACCTGACAAATATCGCTTCCATCCCACTTCCC
This sequence comes from Homo sapiens, assembly GCF_000001405.40. Lineage (NCBI taxonomy): Eukaryota > Metazoa > Chordata > Mammalia > Primates > Hominidae > Homo > Homo sapiens. The sequence continues at coordinate 120,971,635 of NC_000005.10, read as the reverse complement.
TTGAAGGTAAATTATAGATCCTCTTCTTTGCATCTCTGTAAGTTTCCTCAAGGGAACTACATATTAGTGCTTCTGGATCTTGTCTCTTAATCATAAATTTCCTTTTCTATTTCTCTTTGAAGGAAGAAATAATATTTTCCTATGCATTTAAGCACCTGAGAAATGAATGAGCTGAAATGAATGATTTGTTTTAGAAATAAAGAAGCAAAGTTTTAAGAGTAGTATAGAGTTAGTGTCACAGAAATTCCATTTCATGTTAACAGTGACATTGACAACTAGTATTATTGAATGCTTGCTATGTACTGATGATGATGCGTGGCACTTATCAAATGTTTGCTATGCCCCATGTCCTATACATGAATTAACTCATTTAATCCTCAAAATATATTTATGAGCTTAACATTGTTATAATTCCTCTATGATAGATGCAGATATTGAGGTCATGTGATCCTCAATTACATGTTGGTAACCACTAGAATTAACTTACCTCTTATTTCCATTGTCAAAGCATTCTACTTTCCCTTAGCTTGAAGAAAAATGAATTACTTGCAATGTAGCTATCAAGTCTTTAAATATCTCTTTTTCTGTACTACTCAGTCTGACCACATTCTTCCCATCTAAAACTTGCTTTGACTTCTAGGTTCCCCCTTCCAGACAGATACCACTTTGCAAAAAAATATTTTTGTGCCCCTCTATATTCCTACAAATAATTTCCTCATTTGGGCTTCTATCCCAATTTGCCAAAATTATTATTATTATTTATTATACTTTAAGTTCTGGGGTACATGTGCAGAACGTGCAGGTTTGTTACATAGGTATACATGTACCATAGTGGTTTGCTGCACCCATCAACCCATCATCTACATTAGTTATTTCTCCTAATGCTATTCCTCCCCTAGCTCCCCAGACCCCAACAGGCCCTGGTGTGTGATGTTCCCCTCCCTGTGTCCATGTGTTCTCATTGTTCAGCTCCCACTTATGAGTAAGAACATGCCATGTTTGATTTTCTGTTCTTGTGTTAGTTTGCTGAGAATGATGGTTTTCAGCTTCATTCATGTCCCTCCAAAGAACATGAACTCGCCCTTTTTTATGGCTGCATAGTATTCCATGGTGTATATGTGCCACATTTTCTTTATCCAGTCTATCATTGATGGACATTTGGGTTGGTTCCAAGTCTTTGCTGCTGTGAACAGTGCCACAATAACTATACGTGTGCATGTGTCTTTATCATAGAAGGATTTATAATCCTTTGGGTATATACCCAGTAATGGGATTGCTGGGTCAAATGGTATTTCTAGTTCTAGATCCTTGAAGAATTGCCACACTGTCTTCCACAATGGTTGAACTAATTTACACTCCCACCAACAGTGTAAAAGTGTTCCTATTTCTCTCCATCCTCTCCAGCATCTGTTTCCCTTTTTCTTTTTCTTTTTCTTTTTTTTTTTTTTTTGAGGCGGAATCTTGCTCTGTCATCCAGGCTGGAGTGCAGTGGCATGATCTTGGCTTACTGCAGACTCTGCCTCCCAGGTTTATGCCATTCTCCTGCCTCAACCTCCTGAGTAGCTGGGACTATAGGCATCTGCCACCACGCCCAGCTATTTTTTTGTATTTTTAGCAGAGACGGGGTTTCACCATGTTAGCCAGGATGATCTCGATCTCCTGATCTCATGATCCACCCTCCTGGGCCTCCCAAACTGCTGGGATTACAGGTGTGAGCCACCGTGCCTGTCCTGTTTCCTGACTTTTTAATGATCACCATTCTAACTGGTGTGAGATGGTATCTCATTGTGGTTTTGATTTCCATTTATCTAATGACCAGCGATGATGAGCTTTTTTTCACGTTTGTTGGCTGCATAAACGTCTTCTTTTGAGAAGCGCCTGTTCGTATCCTTCGCCCACTTTTTGATGGAGTTGTTTGTTTTTTTCTTGTAAATTTGTTTAAGTTCTTTGTAGATCCTGGATATTAGCCCTTTGTCAGATGGATAGATTGCAAACATTTTCTCTCATTCTGTAGGTTGCCTGTTCATTGTGATGATAGTTTCTTTTGCTATGAAGAAGCTCTTTCATTTAAATAGATCCCATTTGTCTATTTTGGCTTTTGTTGCCATTGTTTTTGCTGTTTTAGTCATGAAGTTTTTGCCCATGGCTATGTCTTGAATGGTATTGCCTAGGTTTTCTTCTAGGGTTTTTATGGTTTTAGGTCTTACGTTTAAGTCTTTCATCCATCTTGAGTGAATTTTTCTAGAAGGTGTAAGGAAGGGATCCAGTTTCAGCTTTCTGCATATGTCCAGGCAGTTTCCCAACACCATATTAACTAGGGATTCTTTCCCCATTGCATGGGCCCCAGACTCCCGCTTCTCTGCCTTTACAACTATCATAACTTGCATCTTAAGAATTAAACTTATCTTTGCTACAGGCCTTAAGGATTATCCTGCCCAACAATTCTTAACAGCTTGAAGGCCCCACTACTATGTAAGTGTTTGGGAAGGATGCACTTGAACAGCACCCACCTTTAAGAAAGCCCAAAATGTTACAGAGATTATTTTAACATAGCAATGACTCTAAAAATGTTCTTGTGTTTAGAGTGCAAAATATTGATATGTTGAAAAAATATATTAAAATATTCTGGAAAAAATCACTTCTAAACATTATAGTATAGTAGATGAAGTTAGACTGCAAAACTCTTGAATGTAGGGACCACTGACTTTTATATTTTATAAAATAAATTTTCTCTCTCTCCCTCTCTTCCACTCTGTTTTAGAAAGTTAATTATGCACCTCAATTCATGGCAAATGACCACCATTAGTCTTTCAATTCAATTATTTAGTATATTTTAACTATTCCTCATGCATTCCTTTCTCTTCCAAAAGGGTGAATTATTCTAATATGTTTGATATGTATAAATTTATTTCTATGTAGTCTTATAAAAGTGAATTGTGTTTGTTCTTATATTTTTAGCTTACTAAAATGATATTGAACTGTAGAGTTAGTGATTTTTACTTTTTTCGCTAAGCATGTTGTTTTCAACATGCGTGTTCATCTGACCTATTCTCTAGTGTTTCCGAGTAGTACATCACAGTGTACATCCACCACATCTACCTACCCATCCTGAAATTACAGATGTTTGGAGATAATCCAACTTGCCAATATCTTAAGCAATGCTGCAAAAAATAACCTGTGCATTTTCTCATGTGAACTTCTATAAGAATGTCTTTGAGCTATACGTCCAGGATATAAATTGCTAGTTCATAAGGCATATGAATATTTGGTTTTACTAAGTACTGCTTGGCTGCTTTCTAAAAAGCCTGCAGCAATGAGAGCTCCTATAGTCCACATCCTGAGATACACTTGGCATTATCCGGGTTCTTAATATATCTAAAATGACATATAGTTATATAGTTGTTATTTCTCTAGCTACCAATAAATATGATAATCTCTTCATAAGCTTTTTTCCTGTGAACTCTGAAGAGAAATATACTAATTAAAAATAATTATTTTACGTGGTCAATCAAAGCCAGTGATGTCCCTCAACTTATTCAGATCATCTTCTATGTTTATTATTAAGTGTGAAATTTTTCCACAAAATACTTGGTTGAAAATTAATTTATTGTATTCTTGGTTAAGCTAAGTCCCAAATACATTGTAGCTACATGGGTATTTTAAGTGTTTTATTGTCATTTATATTTGGTTATAATTGGTATAGAAGGGAATAATATTGATTTTATACTATTCATTATTTTAACCAACTTTATGATTTCATTAAATTATATCATTAATCCAAATAGTTTATTGACTGTGACCGTTTTTGATTGACTTTAGGTAAATGGCCACTTAATCTAACTAAAATCTTTTGTTTATGTTTCAATTCTTACACTTCTGTTTCTTTTTTCTTCAGAGCATTAATAGTGACATCCATAGAACCCTTCCTAACAGACTGGAAGGAGGAACATGGAGCAGACTTTTTTCCAACACAGCCTAGATATTTATGGCTTAAGTCTTTACAGTTAATTCAATTCAGAATAAGGAAATAATTTTGCATAATCCTACAAGTTATTTTTAGTAGATTTTAGCAGAATTGTTTACCACATTTTTAGCACATATAATGCAGCCAACACTTCTGTCATTGGCTAGCACATTTTAAAAATATTTCCATTCTAAAGCTCTCCAAACCTTATTATAAAACCATGCTTAAAAAATATAACTAATAACTGCATTTGGAAGATATGCATTGTGGATGGAAACAGAATTTACATTCATTGGTAAGAAAAATACTTGATATTTTCTAACATGTTTTTTCAATGATAAAAATCATATTATCATTGCCATCTAAAATGTGAATAATGATAAAAATTTATTTATACTGTTTACCATTTTTTTTTTGTCCTTAATAGAGTTCTTAATCAGGACTCTATGAAATCTTAGAGTTTTCCAGTGGCATCTATTGTTTCTGTTGCCATTCTCAGCATCTCATCCCTCACTTCTTTTGCCGATAGTACCTCAATTATTCATTCATAAACTTCCCCCCCGCCCCACTCACCCCTCATTTACTCCAACAATGGATCTGTGACTCATACCCAAACAGCAGAACATCTAGTGCACACTAGTTATAGTGACTGGTTCAAGGATTAGCATATGGGTTGAGCCAGGTCAATGAGTCTCTAACCTGGGATTTTACTGCAAAAAGAAGCTCTCTTTCCCACAAGGATATTAAAAGTGTTAAAATTGAATGTCTAAACTACAGATGGTCCTCTTGCCACTCTTATCACAGGAGAGCAGAGGCACAGATTCCTGATGACACTATTTGAACATCTGGTTTCAACTTTGTTGGAAATGAGCTTTACCCTGAGCTTCTCAGTTTCTTATTAAAATCAGCTTGACTTGGTTTTATATTTTTTCAACTGGGAAAGTCTTAACTAATAATTTGATTCCAATGATTGTTTTTGAGGTTTATAAAAACTATGAAGTTATTTGCAAATGCTCTGTGTGTATGTGAATGTGTGTAACAGGGTATTTTTTTACAGTTTTACAGATTTTTTTACAGTTTTTACAGATTTAAGGTTTGCTCTGATGAATGGCATATTAGACTGCCGATTTCTGTTAAAAGGTTATCTTTAAAGTTTCAAAGAAGATAAGTCAAAAAGTAATTAAAAATCACTTAGTCATTGACATTTTCAGGACTTTATTGTTTGTAAGTTAATTCATGAGTGTTTGCAGGAAGACAAAGATCAGGAAAGCTGTTTCTTAGCAGCCAATGTCAATGGCTAAACAAAATGTTTTTTACCAAAACTTTATTCAGAAAATAGAAACTCTATTACAACTATACAAATAAACATGCATTACATAAACTTGACTTACTATATGCAAATATACATAATTCAATTTAAGGCATAAAAATTAATTTATTAAAAATAAACATAAGCATATGCACTAGTTCATAAAAGACGGTCTAATGTGAATGAGATCATTTTTAAAACTTTCATCTGAAGATAAGAATATAATAAAACTCTTGAAGATAGTGAATTGCTTCAATCACTTAGAAAGAACTTGACCCACATGGGATATTCAGTAAACCTTTTAGGATTTTACTCCTTGAAATTTCAACTAATTATTATATACACAAGAATTAGATACTTGAGGAAGCAATTAATTGTTATAGCACAACTATTGGTAACTAAAAGTGCAGAAGATGTGCTTTATTCTTTGAAAAGCCTAGGAACTATTTTTCTTTAATTATACTTTTTTTTTTTTTTTTAACAGAGACTGGGTTTCGCTTTGTTGGCCAGGCTGGTCTCAAACTCCTGGCCTCAAGCAATCCTCCCAAATGCTGGGATTACAGATGTGAGCCATGGCACTCAGACCAGGAAGCTATTTCTTTATGTAAATATAGGTATGTCTCTACAGCTGGACTTAAACATGCATCATGACGATCAGGTTTGTTGTTGTTTGTTTCCAAGATAGTTATTCAAACACAAAGGTCATCGTAGTTAAAACTGATAGATGCAAGAGGAAGATAAGGGGGAAGGTCCCAGGAGAATTTCCCACTGGTCTGCACACGGGAAGGATGGAGTGGAGCCTTGGGAAGTTCCCGCTGTTTGCAGGAGGAAGGAGCCTGGCCTCTCCTGTTCCTGGGTGGTTCAGTCTGTGAGGCAGAAAACCTGTGAGCAGAATTCTATGTATCTGACTTTGCTGAGAGTTATTTTTCTTTTTCCCCTTTGCCAGTTAATTCCCTTCCCCCTTACCCTTCTAATTGTCTACGTGACTAACTTTTCCTGGTTGTGTGGCAAGAACCCGTTTTTTTCTACAACAAAACAACCTGCATCGTGGTCTTTATAATACACTACAACTAAAGTAGTGATATCATTTGTTGTCCAAACTGTGATAATTTTGAGAGTGAAGATGGTTCTGATAATAATTGTGCTGGGATGAAAACCGAAGCTGTCATGAACAAACTGAAATATATGATTATCCTAGCTACAAAATCCTATCCTGAAATATGTGATTATCCTACCTAGTTCAAAATTATTTCCTTTTTTTTCTGGAAAAACAGATGAAACTTTGGAACATTCTTTACAGAATAGGCTCAGGATGGCAAATCTCCCATTGATTGCTGTTTGGAACACTGAGCTAATTGAAAGGTCATCTTAGAGCTCAGCAGGAAGACTTGCCATGATCAATTTTCAGTAGAGGAGTCAATGATACAGGTGTGGAGTAATTTTTGGCTTTGATGGAGAGTGTTTTTTATGATTGGAATAAATTTTTTATTATACTTTAAGTCCTGGAATACATGTGCAGAATGTGCAGGTTTGTTACATAGGTATACATGCGCCATGGTGATTTGCTGCACCCATCAACCCATCATCATCAACCTATCATCAACCAACCTATCATCAACCAGATAGTATTTCTCCTAATGCTATCCCTCCCCTAGCTCCCAAGTCCCCAACAGGCCCCAGTGTGTGATGTTCCCCTCCCTGTATCCATGTGTTATCATTGTTCAACTCCCACTTATGAGTGAGAACATGCAGTGTTTGGTTTTCTGTCTCTGTGTTAGTTTGCTGAGAATGATGGTTTCCAGCTTGATCCATGTCCCTGCAAAGGACATGAACTCATCGTTTTTTATGGCTGTATAGTATTCCATGGTGTATATGTGCCACATTTTCTACATCCAGTCTAACATTGATGGGCATTTGGGTTGGTTCCAAGTCTTTTCTATTGTGAATAGTACTGCAATAAACATACGTGTGCATGTGTCTTTGTAGTAGAATAATGTATAATCCTTTGGGTATATACCCAGTAATGGAATTGCTGGGTCAAGTGGTATTTCTAGTTCTGAATCCTTGAGGAATCACCACACTGTCTTCCACAGTGGTTGAACTAATTTACACTCCCACTAACGGTGTAAAAGTGTTCCTATTTCTCCATCCCTTTGTTTTGAGCCTATGTGTGTCTTTGCATGTGAGATGGTTCTCCTGAATACAGCACACCAATGAGTCTTGACTCTATCCAATTTGCCAGTCTGTGTCTTTAAATTGGGGCATTTAGCCCATTTACATTTAAAGTTAGTAGTATTATGTGTGAATTTGATCCTGTCATTATGATGCTAGCTGGTTATTTTGCCCATTAGTTAATGCAGTTTCTTCATAGTGGCTATGGTCTTTAAATTTTTGCATGTTTTTTGCAGTGGCTGGTACTGCTTTTTCCTTTCCAAATTTACTGCTTACTTCAGGAGCTCTTGTAAGGCAGGCCTGGTGGTGGCAAAATCCCTCAGCATTTGCTTGTCTGTAAAGGATTTTATTTCTCCTTCACATAAGTAATTTAAAGCAGTTTTTCTAATTCTGTGAAAAAAGTCAATAGGAGCTTGATGGGTGTAGCACTGAATCTATAAATCACTTTGGGCAGTATGGCCATTTTCACGATATTGATTCTTCTTGTCCATGAGCATGGAATGTTTTTCCATTTGTTTGTGTCCTCTTTTATTTCCTTGAGCAGTAGTTTGTAGTTCTCCTCGAAGAGGTCCTTCACATTCCTTGTGAATTGTATTTCTAGGTATTTTATTCTCTCTGTAGCAATTGTGAATGGGAGTTTCCTTGTGATTTGGCTCTCTGTTTGTCTACTCTTGGTGTATACAAATGCTGCTTGTGATCTTTGCATATTGATTTTGTGTACTAAGACTTTGCTGAAGTTGCTTATCGGCTTAAGGAGTTTTTGGGCTGAGACAATGGGGTTTTCTAAATATACAATCATGTCATCTGCAAACAGAGATAATTTGACTTCATCTCTTCCTATTTGAATACACTCTATTTCTTTCTTTTGCCTTATTGCCCTGGCCAGAACTTCCAATATTATGTTGAATAGGAATGGTGAGAGAGAGCATCCTTGTCTTGTGCTGGTTTTCAAAGGGAATGCTTCCAGATTTTGTCCACTCAGTATGATATTGGATGTGGGTTTATCATAAATAGCTCTTATTATTTTGAGATAAATTCCATCAATACCTAGTTTATTGAGAGTTTTTAGCTTGAAGGGGTGTTGAACTTTATAGAAAGCCTTTTCTGCATCTATTGAGATAATAGTGTGGTGTTTGTCATTGATTCTGTTTATGTGATGGATTACGTTTATTGATTCGTGTATGTTGAACCAGTGTTGCATCCCAGGGATGAAGAATTCCTTTGGGAAATGCTAGAGATACTTGGAATTCTGGATTACTGATGCCTATAATAAATAAAAAATCTAAGTTTTATATTGGGCAATTATGATATATACAGTCGCTTCTTTAAAATTATTAAATTTCTATAATCAGAAAAAAAGCATGGAAATGTTGAAGTATGGATAAGATTAAAAAGTCCAAGTTAATATAAGAGGAGGCTTTAAAATAATAAAAAATTTATTGATTTGCTTCAAAGAATCACTTTGTTCACTGTTTTATGCACAGAAACTAGAATGGCGTATTTGGTGCTTCATAAATAATTTAATAATGAATACATGGATATTTACATACACACCTGTGATCTTTTTTCTCTTTCTCTATTTCAATCACTTCCCACAAAAGGCAAGGGTATTAAGGGTTAGAAAAGAGCAAGACTGTTCAGCAAGCCCTAGAATAGTGGAGAGAAATGCCATGCACGGCTTCTGGAAAGAGCTGTGGTGAGACTGGGAGGAGTCCATTCTTAAACAGACGTATCTCCAACTAGCAGTCTGATCTTAAAATCTGACCTCAAGATATGTAAACTCTCTCAGCATCTCTTATCTTTAAAATAAGATAAATAAGCCTAACATTTTAATGTCCCTTAAAGTTTTATAATTTTAAGTCATGGCTTTTGTTCTCATACAAGTGGCCTATGCTGCTGCATATTAACAGGGAGACTGTTAAAGTGGATGGTTAAAGTCTTAAAGGTTTTCTAGCTATTCTATCTCATTTCAATTCTTTCTTCAATCTAATTTCAAAACATTTCATCAAATTTTCCCCAATATTTTTGGTGTTTCTTAATTACTTGGGGTGGAGAATATCTGATAATACTTTTCCAATATTTTGTTAACAAATATCTGAGAAAGATATGCATTTGGCAGAAAATCATAAGAGATTTACTACCTATGACAATTGGTGCCTGAGTAACATTAGTGGCTATGTATCCATGTTGGTAATTTAGAGGGGTTGGTCTGACTGACTGATTATTATTCTCATGTTGTTTAAGGTTATCTCAATTAGCAAACCATGATCCAAGTCTGACACAATTATTAGAATGAACAGATTTTTCTCAACATGTCTAGTAGCTGCTGAGAATGAACTGAGGACCCCAGGAAATCATTTCCAATTCACACAAGGGCTCCAATCTAATTTATATCGTGTGCTCAGTTATCAAAATTAGAATGTTGCTTTCCTGGGGTTAGAGTAGGAAATGTGTACATCTCTATACTGTTTGAAATATTATAATAAATACATAGTACTTTTGCAATTTAAAGATGAAGTAAAGTAGAAGATATCTGACTAAAGGCATCACCTCCTCCACAAAGAACAGAAATAGTGAGTATGTAATCAAACAACAAATGGAGCATCTAAGAGATAACATTGGAATTCAGTAGAGAAATAAAAAAAAAAACCTGAGAAATGGAAGAAGTGGACAGTGAGGTAGCTGGTTCAGTTGGGATCATCTGGGAGCCTGGAGAAGCTTCCCAGTGCAGAGGAAAAAGACAAGTGAGAGATATTCAGCAATCTACAGTCCCACTATGGATTCCTGGAACCCTAGCCACAGAAGAGCCCCTCATTTCTGTGAGCCCTGAGACTAGTATTGGGAGCAATGGCATTGTTCCAGGGAGAGAGATCTCATGCTGGATCCCACACACCCCTGAGACCCAAGCAGTTAGAGCATGGCGCCATTTGAGTGCCCAGCCTCCCAGCCTGCATTCTGCCTGAGGGCCCAACAGCTCCTGCATCTCTACATCCCTGGAAACACTGACATCTCCCCATGTCCACTCAGAGGGCTGCTGCTATGCAATACCAACTGGACCCCCGGGAGTGCAGCAGGGTCCCCAGCACTCTAACCCACACAGTGTACTATATACCCAGAAATGGGAAGTGAAGCACAGAGAGGAGGCTGCCTCCAGGACAAAGGGAACAAAAACATGCACTTCACAAAGCCCCAAAGCTGCCTGCCTGGAGCTGCTATCACTGACAGCAATTCAGCCCTCAACAGCAGCAGGACAACTGTGCACTTGCATATACCTGAGATCAGGCTTCCCCCAACCCTCTCAGTGGCTATCATAGCTGCCACCACAAAAGCACACTGCCTGGAGGGCTGAGTATTACCCTTTCCTGACCAAAAGCACCACTGAAGAGCCTGAGGATAGGTCCACCTGGTGTGGCACTGCTCCTCCAGTGCCCCAGGGGCCTAGGGATTATCACACCCCATATACCATCACTGGCATTTGTGCACTCCTCCTGGAGACCTGAGCATGAACTCACCCAGCCTGCCACCACCACTACTTCTAGCACCCACTTGACTGTACCGCCTGGAGTCCTGAAGACTGGACCACTCAGCTTGTTGCAGCCACAGAAAATATCATCCTGTGCTGCCTGCAAGCCCAGGGTTTTTTCCCATCACTGCTAGTGCCATTGCCCATGCCACACATGCTGCCCAGGGGCCTGAAGACATGCATGCCCACCTACTCAGTGCATTTCTTCCACTGCTGATACCCAAGCAAGCCACCTGGAGGATCAAGAATCAGCCCACCTGGACCCATTAACACTGATGACAGTGCACACTGCCCAAGGGCCCAAGGACAAGCAAGCTCAGGCTACTGTTTCCACCACTGGGGCCTGAGGGCTGGCACGCCTGGAGTCTGCATCCTCAGCAAAGCTTCATCATAGCCTCACTAACAGCTCAAGCCTAAGCCACTAAGGAAATCACAGATATTACTGATATTGTTTATAGCCAAAGAAATTATACAGAGACTATGCTACTGCACTCACTCAGAATCAAAACTGTTCTAACCAACGAACACCATAGATACACTTTCAGGAAAAAATCATCCCCTATGAAAGTCAATCCAAAAATTGGAAGAAATGACTGTTACTAGATGTGCATAAGCATAAGTACATAAGAAACATAAAAAAGCAAGAAAATATGACACCTTGAAAGGAACGTGATAATTCTCCAGCAACAGAGCCAAATGGGGAAAAAAATATGAAATACCACAAAAAGAATTCAAAATAATGATATTAAAGTAGTTCAGTGAGATACAAAATAAAACATATTAAAAATACAAAGAAATTAGAAAAGCAATTCAAGGAATGAATGAGACATTCAAAAAAGATTGCTATCTTTAAAAAGAACCAAATACAAGTCCTGAAACTAAAGAATTCAAGGAATAAAATAAAATACAATCAAGAGCTTAACCATAGATTATATCAAGCAGAAGAATTTCAGGACTTGAAGACATTTTGAAATTGCCAATTCATACCAAGAAAAGAGAAAATAATAAAAAAATAAGTAAGAAAGCTTATGTGACATATGAGATGCCATAAAATGACTAAATACATGAATTATATGAATTTTAAACATTCCAAAATGTGAAGAGAAGCACAATGACATAGAAGACATATTTAAGAAAATAATGCCTGATAAACTCCCAAGCCCAACAAGAGATTTAAACATGCAAATACAGGAAGTTCAGAAAGCCCCAAGGAAATAAAACTGAAAAAGTAATTTTCATGGCACATGGTAGTCAAACCGGCAAAAGTCAAAGAGAGAATTGTAAGAATGGCAAGAAAAAAGCTCTACAAGAAATGCTTAAGGGAGTCTGTATTAGAGTTCTCCAGAGAGACAGGACTGATAGGATATATGTATATATGAAAGGGAGTTTATTAAGGAGAATTGACTCACACAATCACAAGGTGAAGTCTCATGATAAGCTGTCTGCAAGCTGAGGAAGAGAAAAGGCTGTAGTGTCTCAGTCTGAGTCCAAAAGCCTCAAAAGTAGGGCAGCTGACAGTGCAGCCCTCAATCTGTAGCCAACGGCCTGAGAGCCTCTGGCAACCACTGGTGTAAGCTCAAGAGTCCAAAGGCCGAAGAACCTGGAGTTTGATGTCCAAGCACAAGAGGAATGGAAGGAAACTTCTGGCACGGGAGAAAGACGGAAATGAGAAGAATCAACAAACTAGCTTATCCCACCTTCTGCCTGCTTTGTTCTAGCCACGCTGGCAGCAGATTGAATGGTGCCCACACACACTGAGAGTGGGTCTTCCTCTCGCAGTCCACTTACTCAAATTTTAATCTCCTCTGGTAACACCCTCACAGACACAACCAGAAACAATACCTTATCAGCTATCTAGGCGTTCTTCAATCCAATCAAGTTGATAGCTAATATTAACCATCACAGAGTTGTAAACCTGAAAGCAATAGGACAATATCTACCGTCATAAAAACATACTGGTAAAGCAAGTACAAAAACATGAAAGAGAAAGAACTCCAATGTTACCACTACAGAAAGCTACCAAAGAATAATCACAGAAATAAAATCATAAAAAACTAAGGAAAGGCTGGGCACGGTAGCTCATGCCTATAATCCCAGCACTTTAGGAGGCCAAGGCAGGAGGACTGTTAGAGCCCAGGAGTTCAAGACCAGCCTGAGCAAAATAAGGAGATCCAATCTCTACAAAAAAAGTTAAAAATTGTCCAGGCATCGTGGCATATGCCTGTTGTCTCAGCTGCTCAGGAAACTGAGACAGGAGAACTGCTTGAGCCCAGGAGGTCAAGGCTACAATAAGCTGTGATCATGCCACTGCACTCCAACCTGAGCAACAGAGTAAGACCCTGTCTCAAAAACATAAGAAAAAAGAAAAGAAAAGAAAAGAAAAATATATATATACATACACAATATATGTTATGTAAATAATATATATCTTTATATAATATATACATAAAGAACAACTAGGAAACAATTAACAGAATGATAAAAATAAGTCCTAACATATCAATCATAAGCTTGAGTATAAACAGATTAAATGATCCTCTTAAAAATATATATACTGGGTGAATAGATTTTTTTAAATATCCCAATTATATGCTATCTACAAGAAGCACACTTTGCTGTAAAGATAAAATGTGCTTTGTCTTTTAGAAATAGAGACTGAAAGTAAAGGGATGGAAAACATATTCCATGCAAATGAAATCAAAAGTGAGCTGGAGAAGCTGTACTTGTAACAGATAAAAAAAGACTTTAAGTCAAAAACTGTAATAAGATGCAAAGAAGATCATAATGTAATAATAAACCAAGTCAGCAAGATTGTTTAACAATTCTAATATGTGCACCCAACACTGGAACATCCAGATATATAAAGTAAATATTATTAGACTTAAAGTGAGTTATAGCCTCTGTTACAATAATAGGTGGTGATTTCAACACCCTACTCTCAGCATTAGATGGATGATTTACACAGAAAATCAACAAAGAAATATTGGCTTTAAATGGCATTTTAGACCAAATAGACTTAATACACATTTATAGAGTATTTTATCCGACAGCTGCAGAATACAGATTTTTCTCATAGTCAAATAGAACATTCTCCAAGAGAGACCACATGTTAGGACACACATACCAAAAAAAATCCTCAAAAATTTTTAAAAATATTGAGATCATATGAATTATCTTCTCAGGCCATAAGTGAGTAAAATTAGAAATCAATAACCAGAAGAACCTTGGAAATTGAACAAATACAAGGAAATTAAATAACATGCTCCAAAATGACCATTGGGTTAATGAAGAAATAAAGAAGAAAATAAAACATATTTTGAAACAAATGAAAATAAAAACACAACAAATCAAAACCTGTGGATACAGCAAAGTCAGTGCTAAGCAGAAATTTTATAGCAATAAACACATCAAAAAATAGATTTGAAGAAAAATCTAACACTGTGTCTCAAGGAACTAAAAATGCAAGAGCAAACCAAACCCAGAGTTAGTAGAAAGGGAAAATAATAAAGCTCAGAGAATAACTAAACAAAATAAACATTTAAAAAATAAAACAAAGTATTAACTAAACAAAAAGGTGGTCTTAGAAAAGATAATCAAAATCAATAAACCACTAGCTGGGCTAACCAAGAAAAGAATGGAGAAGATTGAAATAAACAAAATCATAAGCTGAAACGGGACATTACAAATGATACCACAGAAATACAAAAGAAGAGACTATTCATAACAAATACTATTCTGAACAATTATATGCTAACAAACTGTAAAACATAGAGAAAGTGATAAATTCCTGGAAATAAGCAACCTACCAATATAGAATCAGGAAGAAATAGAAAGCCTGAACATGCTAAAAACAAGTAATAAGATTGAATCAGTAATAAAAAAGTCACCCAAAAAAGAAAAGCCCAGGAGTAGATGGGTTCACTGCTGAATTATACCAAGCTTATAAAGAAGAATTAAACCAATCCTCCTCAAAGTATTTCATTAAAGAGGAGGAAAAATATCCCCAACTCATTCTTTGAGGCCAGCCTTGCCCTGATCTAGAACCAGACAAAGACACAATAAAAATGAAAACTATAAGCTGATATCCATGATGAACATAGACACAAAAATCCCCAACAAAACACTGGTACATTAGAAAGATAATACACCATGATCAAGTGGAATATATGCCAGAGATAAGTAAATCAAAAATAAAGTTTTAAGCCCCACAACTGACTTAATGGACCCTTCTTCCTATCTAAAGGTGTTCCAAAGTAAACCTGAAGAAATAGTTCCAGCCATGATGGAAAGGGAGGGCCAGACATGCCTCACTATACCCTCCGCCCTTTAGAACTCAAGCACAACCAATCAGCATTAACATTAAAGCAGAGATCTTAAAAGAGACAAAACAGACTCTTTGCAGCAATAAGATACAAAATTCCAACCTGACTGTAGTATAGCATCACATAACAGATAGCAGGCTCTGAAAGAAATCACAGTATTTTACCCCTAAATGTATTTCTTTGACATATTTTGAAAAGGCCCTGCAAAGCTATCTCTTGTCAAAATAAAATCTACATTCTGTAGAGAATCCTATTCCATTTCCAGGTCTTTCTCTGATCCAGAAGAGATTACCTATGAGTCTGGCACATTTTAGCATCTAATGAGAGATATTTACTATCTATTCTCTCTGAAGCCAGCCACCTGGAAACTTCAACTGCATGACAAGATCCATGGCTTCCACAACCCCCCTTATCTTAACTACAAACATTTATTTCTGCTGACTTCAATTCTCTGGACAGAGCTTAGCTCTTTTAACCAATTACCAAGAAATCTTTGAATCCACCTATGACCTGGAAACCCTCACTTCAAGTTGTCCCCTCTTCCTGATGTATACCTTACATGTATTGATTGATGTCTGTCTGTAACTTCTGCTAAAATGTATAAAATCAAGCTGTAACTCAACAATCTTGGGCACATGCTTTCAGGGCCTCTAGATATTGTGCCTTAGACCTTAATTACTCATATTTGGCTCAGAATAAATCTCTGAAAAATATTTTACAGAGTTTGACTTTTTAAATTGTTGTCAATAGATGCAAGGATGGCTCTGTATATGCAAATCAATAAACAGTATGTGTCACATCAATAGAATGAAGGGTAACAAACAATTGTCTTAATAGATGTAGGAAAATAATTTGATAAAATTCAACACCATTTTTATGATAAAAACTCTGAACACATTAGGCATAGAATGAAGATACTGCAAAATGATAAAGATTAGATATGACAAAACAACAGCTAACATCATACTGAATGGGAAAAAGCTGAAAGTCTGTGCACTAAGAACTGAAACAGTACACAGACGCCCACTTTCACCAATCCTATTCAATGTAACACTGGAAGTCATAGCCAGAGCAATCAGGCAAGAGAAAGAAATAAAAGACATCCAACTTGGAAAAGATGAAGTCAAATTGTGTCTCTTCCCTGCTGATATGATCTTATATTTAGAAAAGCCAGAAGACTCCACCAAAAAACCTCATAGTTCAGATAAACACATTTTTTAATGTTGCAGGATACAAAGTCAACATACAAAAATCAGTAGCCTTTCTATATACACCAATATCAAACTAGCTGAAAAAGCTAGCTGAAATCAAGAAGGCAATCCTATTTACAAAAGCAACAGAAAAAGATATACCTAATAAAAAATTTAATGAAGCAGATAAAAGATTTAGATAATGAAAACCATAAAACACTGACGAAAGAAATGGAAGATGGTGTATTAGTCCATTTTCATGCTGATGATAAAGACATACCTGAGACTGGGAAGAAAAAAAGGTTTAATTAGATTTACAGTTCCACATGGTTGGGGAGGCCTCAGTATCATGAAGGGAGATGAAATGCACTTCTTACATGGTGGCAGCAAGAGAGAAATGAGGAAGAAGCAAAAGCAGAAACCCCTGATAAGCCCATCAGATCTTGTGAGACTTATTCACTATCATGAATAACATGGGAAAGACCAGCCTCCATGATTCAATTACCTTCCTCTGGGTCCCTCCCACAATATGTGGGAATTCTGAGAGATAAAATTCAAGTTGATTTTTGGGTGGGGACACAGCCAAATCATAGTATTCCACCCCTGGCCACTCCAAATCTCATGTCCTCATATTTTGAAACCAATCATGCTTTCCCAACAGTCACCCAAAGTCTTAACTCATTTCAACATTAACCTGAAAGTCCACAGTCCAAAGTCCCATCTGAGACAAGGCAAGTCCCTTCCACCTATGAGCCTGAAAAATCAAAAGCTAGTTACTTCCTAAATAAAATGGGGGTGCAGGTATAAGGTAAATACAGCCATAACAAATGGGAGAAATTGGCCAAAACAAAGGTGTTACAGGGCACATGCAAGTCCAAAATCCAGTTGGGCAGTCAAATTTTAAAGCTCCAAAATGATATCCTGTGACTCCAGGCCTCACATCCAGGTCATGCTGATGCAAGAGGTGAGTTCCCATTGTCTTAGGCAGCTTCACCCCTGTGGCTTTACAGGGTAAAGCCTCCCTCCTGGTTGCTTTCATGGGTTGATGTTGAGTGTCTGAGGCTTTTCCAGGTGCACAGTGCAAGCTGTCAGTGGATCTACCATTCTGGGGTCTGGACAATTGTGGCCCTCTTCTCACAGCTCCACTAGTCCCAAATAGGGACTCTGTTTGGGGGCTCTGACTCCACATTTCCCTTCTGCACTGCTGTAGCAAAGGATCTTCGTGAGGGCCCCATCCCTGCAGCAAATTTTTGCCTGTGTATCCAGGCATTTCCATACATCTTCTGAAATCTAGGTGGAGGTTTCCATACCCCGTTTCTTGACTTCTGTACACCCACAGGCTCAACACCATGTGGAAGCTGCCAAGGCTTGGGGTTTTCACCCTCTTAAGCCACAGCCCAAGCTGCATGTTGGCCCCTTTCAGCCAAGGCTGGAGCAGCTGGGACACAGGGCACCCAAGTCCCTAGGTTGCATACAGCATGCAGACCATGAGCCTGTCCCAAGAAACCATTTTTTCCTCCTGGGCCTCTGGTCCTGTGGCTTTACAGGGTAAAGCCTCCCTCCTGGTTGCTTTCACGTGATGGGAAGGGCTGCCATGAAAGTCTCTGACATGGCCTGGAGACATTTTCCCCATGGTCTTGGGGATAACATTAGGCTCCTTGCTACTTATGCAAATTTTTGCAGCCAGCTTGAATTTCACCCACAGAAAATGGGTTTTTCTTTTCTATGGCATAGTCAAGCTGCAAATTTTCCAAACTTTTGTGTTCTGCTTCCCTTATAAATCTGAATGCCTTTAACAGTACAAAAGTCACATCTTGAATGCTTTGCTGCTTAGAAAATTCTTCCATCAGATACACTAAATCATCCTTCTCAAGTTCAAAGTTCTACATATCTCTAGGGCAGGGGCAAAATGCCACCAGTCTCTTTGCTAAAACTTATCAAGAGTCACCTTTATTCCAGTTCTCAAGAAGTTCCTCATCTCCATCTGACACCACGTCAGCCTGGACCTTATTGTCCATATCACTATCAGCATTTTGGTCAAAGCCATTCAACTAGTCTCTAAGGAGTTCCAAACTTTCCCACATTTTCCTATCTTCTGAGCCCTCAAAACTGTTCCAACCTCTACCTATTACCCAGTTCCAAAGTCACTTCCACATTTTCAGGTATCTTTTCAGCAATGCCCCACTATACTGGTACCAATTTACTATATTAGTCCATTTTCACACTGCTGATAAAGACATACCCGAGACTGGGAAGAAAAAGAGGTTTAATTAGTCTTACAGTTCCACATAACTGGGGAGGCATCAGAATCATGGTGGAAGGTGAAATGCCCTTCTTACGTGGTGGCAGCAAGAGAGAAATGAGAAAGAAGCAAAAGTGGAAATCCCTGATAAACCCATCAGTTCTCATGAGACTTATTCATTATCATGAGAATAGCATGGGAAAGACCGACCCCCATGCTTCAATTACCTTCCCCTGGATCCCTCCCACAACACATGGGGATTCTGAGAGATACAATTCAAATTGAGATTTGGGTGGGGACACGGCCAAACCATATGAGAGGGCACAAACAAATCAAAAGACATACCATGCTCATGGGCCATAAGAATTAATATTGTCAAAATTATCATACTACCCACACAATCTACAGATTCAATGCAATCCCTATCAAAATACCCATGACATTTTTTCCACACAAATAGAAGAAAAATTCTAAAATTTGTATGGAATTCTTAAAAAGCCTATTAGCCAAAGTAATTCTGAACAAAAAGAACAAAGCTAGAGGCATCACATTATCTGACTTAAAAACATGTTACAAATCTATAGTAACCAAAACAGCATGGCATTGGTATAAAAACAGATATATCGACCAATGGAACAGAATAGAGAACCCAGAAACAAATTCATGTATTAATAGTCAACTGATTTTTGACAAAGATTCCAAGAACATACACTGGGGAAAGGGCATCCTCTTTAATAAATGGGGCTAGGAAAATTGAATATTTGTATGCAGAAGAATGCAGTAAACCCCTGTCTCTCTCCATTTAGAAAAGTAAACTAAAAATGAAACGACTTGAACATAAAACTTGAAGCATAAAAAATACTATATTTCAGAAGAAATATAGGATGCACTCCAGACATTGTTTTTTGCAAAAAATTTATGGTTAAGACTTCAAAATTGCAGGCAACAACACCAACAATAGACAAATGGGACTCTTCTAAACTAAAAATCTTCTTCATCGTAAAAAAAAACAACCAACAGAGTGAAGAGACAACCTTGTAAACTATTCATCTAACAAAGTACTAGCATCTAGGCTATACAAAGAACTCACACAACCAAACAGCAAAAATAGTAATAATAATAATAACCCATTAAAAGGTGGCCAAAGGATCTGAATAAGCATTTCTCAAAAGAAGACATGTAAATGGACATCAGGTTTATTTAAAAAATGCTCAACATCATGAAGCATTAAGGAAATGCAAACCCAAACTGTAATGTGTTACCATCTTATCCCTGTTAGAATGGCTATTATCCAGAAAAACTAAACAGATGCTGGTGAGAAAGTGGAAAAAAAAGTAAACTTTCATACACTGTTGTTGAGAATGTAAATTAGTACAACCATTATGGAAAACAATATGAAGTTTTCTCAAAAAACTAAAAACTACCATATGATTTGCCAATTTCACTGGTGTATATTTATCTAAAGAAAATGAATTTGGTATATCAAAGGGATGCCTGCACCCCAATATTTACTGCAGCATAATTCACAATATCTAAGATATGGAATCAACCTACATGTCCAACAACCAATGAACGTATAAATAAAATTTTGTATATATACAGAATGGGATACTACTCATTCCTGAAAAGGAATAAAAATATGTCATTTGTAGCAACATGGATGGAACTGAAAGTCCTTAAGTTTAGTGAATTTATCTAGGCACAGAAAGACAAATATGGCATGTTCTTACTCATTTGTTGGAGCTAAAAATGTTAGTCTCATGGAGGTAGACAGTAGAATCATAGTTACTTGAGCCTGAGAAGAGTATGTGTGTGGGTTGGAGGGATAAAGAGAATGTTAGTTACTGCGTACAATTATTTAGTTAGAAGGAATAAGTTTTAATGTTTGATAGCAAAGTATGGAGACTATAGTTAACAACATCATATTGTATATTTTAATGTAGCTAAAAGGCAGGTGTATTAGTTCATTTTCATGCTGCTGTTAACGACATACCTGAAACTGGGCAATTTACAAAAGAAAGAGATTTAACAGACTTACAGTTCCACATGGCTGGAGAGGTCTCACAGTCATGGCAGAGGCAAAGAGGAGCAAGTCACATGTTACATGGATAGCAGCAGGCAAAGGGAGAGCTTGTGCAGGGAAACTCCTGCTTCGAAATCCACCAGGTTTCATGAGACTTATTCACTATCATGAGAATAGCATGGGAAAGACCTGCCCCCATGATTCAATTACCTCCCACAGGGTACTTCCCACAACACGTGGGAATTCAAGATAAGATTTGAGTGAGGACACAACCAAACCATATTCCACCCCTGGCCCCTCCTAAATCTCATATCCTCACATTTCAAAACAAATCATGCTTTCTCAACAGTTGCCCTAAGTCTTAACTCATTTCAACATTCATTCAAAATGCCACAGACTAAAGTTTCATCTGAGATGAGGCAAGTGCCTTCCACCAATGAGCCTGTACTATCAAAATCAAGTTAGTTACTTTCTAGATAGAATGGGGGTATAAGCATCGGGTAAATAAACCCATTCCAAATGGGAAGAATTGGTCAAAACAAAGGGACTATAGGCCCCATGCAAGTCCAAAATACAGTGGGGCAGTCAAATTTTAAAGCTCCAAAGTGATCTCCTTTGACTCCATATCTTACATCCAGGTCACACTGATGCAAGAGGTAGGCTCCCATGGTCTTGGGCAGCTCCATTCCTGTGGCTTTGCAGGGTATAGCCTCCCTTCTGGCTGCTTTCATGGGATGGTGTTGAGTGTCTGCACCTTTTCCAGTGCACTGTGCAAGCTGTCAGTGGATCTACAATTCTGGAGTCTGGAGGATGGTGGCCCTCTCCTCACAGCTCCCCTAGATGGTGCCCTAGGAGGGACTCTGTGTGTAGGCTCCGACCCTACATTTCCCTTAGGCACTGCCCTAGCAGAGGTTCTCCATGAGGGTCCCGCCCATGCAGCAAACATCTGCTTAAGCATCCAGGCATTTCCATACATCTTCTGAAATCTAGGCAGAGGTTCCCAAACCTCAATTCTTGACATCTGTGCACCCACAGGCTCAACACCACGTGGAAGCTGCCAAGGCTTGGGACTTCCACCCTCTGACGTCACAGCCCAGGCTGTACCTTGACCCCTTTTTAGTCAAGGCTGGAGTGGCTGGGACGCAGGGCATCAAGTCCCTAGACTTCACACAGCAGAGGGACTCTGGGCCTGGCCCATGAAACCATGTTCTCTTCCTAAACCTCTGGGCCAGTGATGAGAGGGGCTACCACAAAGGCCTCTAACATGCCCTGGAGACATTTTCCCCATTGTCTTGGTGATTAACATTCAGTTGCTTGTTACTTATGCAAATTTCCTCAGCTGGCTTGAATTTCTCCCCAGAAAATGGAATTTTCTTTTCTATTGCATTGTGCTGCAAATTTTCAAAATTTTATGCTCTGTTTCCCTTTTAAAACAATGCCTTTAATAGCACCCAAGTAACTTCTTGAATGCTTTGCTACTTAGAAATTTTTTCCACCAGATATACTAAATCATCTTTCTCAAGTTCAAAGTTCCATACATCTTTAGGGCAGGGGCAAAATGCTGCTCGTCTCTTCACTGAAACATAACAAGAGTCATCTTTGCTCCAGTTCCCAACAAGTTACTCATCTCTATCTGAGACCACCTCAGCCTGGATTTAATCATCCATATCATTATCAACATTTTGGTCAAAGCCATTCAACAAGTCTCTAAGGAGTTCCAAACTTTCTCACACTTTCCTGTCTCCTACTGAGCCCACAAACTGTTCCAACCTCTCTGCCTGTTACTCAGTTTCAAAGTCGCTTCCACATTTTCAGGTATCTTTTCAGCAGTGCCCCACCCTACTGGTACCAATTTACTGTATTATTTCATTTTCATGCTGCTGATAATGGCATAGCTGAGACTAGGGAATTTACAAAATAAGGAGGTTTAATAGACAGCTTACAGTTCCACATGCTGGAGAGGCCTCACAACCATGCGGGAAGGCAAGGAGGAGTAAGTCACGTCTTACAGGGATGCTGGCAGGTAAAGAGAGAGCTGGTACAGAGAAAAAGGAAACTCTTTCTTATAAAACTATCAGGTCTCATGGGACTTATCCATTACCATGGGAACAGCACGGAAAGACCTGCCCTCATGATTCAAATACCTCCCACTGGGTTCCTCCCACAACACATGGGAATTCAAGATGATATTTGGGTGAGGACACCACCAAACCATACCAGCAGGTCTTGAAGAGTTCCTAACACACAGAAATGATAAATGGAGGTAATGGATATCCTAATTACCCTGGCTTACTCATTACACATTATATGCATGTAAAAATTATCACATGTACCCACAAAATATACACAAATATTATGTATCAATAATTTTTTGAAAAAATCTGCATTCTCTTTATAGCAGGATACAATTGGAAATTTTGGTTATATTACCAAGGCCTTCACTGAAATATCATAGTTGAGAATGTGCCTTAAATGCATGGTTCCAAGAGTTCCTAGCCTGTGTTTATTTTAAAGAAATATTGTCACTTTCTGGCAGGCTCAGGAATCTTAAGACTGTAAGTAAAATCTAAAGTCTGCCTAGGTTTGCTTTCTAGCCTCAATAAATTTTTAAATCTGAGATTTCTATGTGGTCAAAGTGGAGAGAAAAAAATATATTTTTAAAGAAAACTGTAATATATCTGTTATTAGACTGTAGCTCTGTGCATTCTCTTGAAGTTATTATCTACCTGTAGACTACAGTAGATTCTGAATTCTACTAACTTCCTGCATTATTTGGCTACAATTCTCTAACTAAAAACAAAAACTGTCCTATTCCTGAAACCTTGTAAGCTGAAACAAGTTTTAAGAAACAAGTCTCGTATCTGATATGTGGGCCACACAAATAGTTTACCAAGCCAACTGAGGTAGCTGATGGTTTCACTCTGTTAACAGCTTTTTCTAAGATGTCAGAACAAAAATTCATAGCATAAGGAAATTTGAACCCCTCTTTTTTTTTTTTTTTTTTTTGACGGAATCTCCCTCTGTTGCCCAGGCTGGAGTCCAGTGGCACGATCTCGGCTCACTGCAAGCCCCGCCTCCCGGTTGAACCCCTCTTAATGCCTACCATTTTTATTTGGCAGGATAATAGTGTAATAGAAATTTCACTATGAGTATCTTCTAATAATTTGACAGAACCTAACCTAAGGAATCTTTTAATATCCATTGTTTAAATGAGAATATGTCTGTGCAATTGCTAATACTACAGACTGTAACTGGAGATATTCCTCTGGGAATATATACAAAAGAAAACAGGCCACATGATTACAATAGGTATCATCTAATTCCCTAGGGTCGTTTGATTTATTCAACTGGCTGTTTTGAAGCTTAGGATCCGGGTTCAAAATCATTATGCAAGCTGGAAATGTCATATTACTATTAACTTATTCTGCATTTTCCCTTTATAAACTTTGTATATATTACTTGCTGAATGTTTTCAAAAGTGCAACTCCTAATAAAATAATGTTAGCCTAACACTTTGGGCTGATGCTAAGAACAGACAAAATTGAGCTTAATAATGGACTCCAGGTAGACTTAGCTTGAGGTCACGCCCTGGCGAACCTCTCTTCTTGCTCAAATATGGCTAAAAGGGTTTTGACAATGACTCCTAGCCACCATTCTCTTCCCTCACTGTGGAACAAGACCAACAACTGACAAAACTCCATCCTAGCACGGTGGGACATCAACACCTAAGTCCAATATGATTAATCTGACATGCATTCAGAGAAAAACCTCGGTCAAAAGAGGAAAAAGGTAACTATAGTTAACGACAGTGTATTGTATATTTTATTATAGCTAGAAGACAGGTCAAAATCAAAATTGGGTCGCTAGTGTTAACCCTGCCCAACAACCAATGCTATCACAAAAGACTACAAAAATCACAACCTTGCTCAAAGGCCACTGCATTTCACAAATATACTTCTGTGAGAACATCTTCCTAGTAACTTTCTCTCCAACCTCAGACTGGCATCACACTTATTCTTATTTGTAGCTAAATATAATCATTTCAAAACAATTATGTAATCCTCCTAATTTTTTTCTTTAAAATCCTTATTTCCCTGAATATGCACACAGTTTACTATGATACATATATTCCAGTTGCAATACCTGATTTCCAAATAAATATATTTTTTCTGTAAAAAAAGAAAAAACATGAAGTAAGGTAGATTAAATGAAATCAAATGGTTGCTTTTTAAGGTTATTACAAATTTAAGATGGCTAGATGCAAATTAGCTGCTTATACAACCATTAATTGCTATTATTAACTGTTAGATGCAATTAATTACTTTATACAATAATCAAGAAAGTTGATGCTATGCATAGCTCCAATATACAGGGGGTTGACAAGTAGAAAATTTTCCTAGAAATAGGAAGGTTATGTCCAAGGTTTACACATTTTTAGTTTTGAAAATTATTGCTAAATTTCCCTCCAAACATATTATTCCCATTTACATATCCAACATTAAGAACTTTTTCAATTTTTTACTAATATGAATCATCAATTTTTTAAATCAAAGTTTAATTACATTTATTTTAATGTTAGTGAGTTTGAGCATTCTTGCCAGTGTCTATCGGCCCTTAATACTTTATTGCTGGGGACCAATTTCAAAGGAGGAAACACAAAGCAGTGAAAATATGGCCAGATCTTTTTATTTATTTATTTTGTCCAATCCTGGTATCATGATTTCACCCGTGAAATTGTGTCATTGCTAAGTGAATATGATAAATTGTCATAAATGACCCCATGAATTGTATTATTAAAACTCAGCATCTAAATATTTCAATGATTATAATTGACTGGGTGTAGTTAATTGAGACTTGAAGAGAAAATACTTTAATGCAATATGATTATTCCAGATCAAAAGTAAGTTGCACTTTTTAAAAAGAAACCCACAAAAAAGAAATATATTGACTCTCCTTTTTATTTTTCTCTAAATGTTCCAAAACTGGAGTTCAGGTTCTGTTCACCTCTGACGAGCAATACCGCTGTGGAAAAATTACTTAACTCTGTGAGGCTAGGCCTTCCTGTTTACAAAACAGAACTAATGAGAGTTCCTATTTCAGAGGATTGAAATAATAATGGGAGGTAATGCTTGTAAAATGCTTATTACATTAAATATTCTCAATAAATAATGCTATTAGTAAGGCTGAAACATCCAGTTTATCAATTTTTTTATTATAAATTGATTTATTATAATCAATTTATCAAGTGATTATAATAAATCACTTATATCTAAGACAAAATATATAATGAAAACTAGAATATGCTGAAATTGAAACAATATAATATGAATTTGAATGGAAATGGAAACTTAATGCTTCTTCAAGTCGTCTTTACTCATTCCAAGTCTTTTACAGTGTCTGATTAGAAGAACAGATAAAATCATGAAGTCCTGTAGAGGTTGTATTCCATTACATAAAAAAAATTACAGAGCAAGGGTGAATTAATTAAATTCAAAACAGGAAAAAAAGAAAAATGCTGTAATTTTGTTTATAAAATATGCATTTCATTTTAACTTGATTTTTTGCCCAAAACTTTAAAAAATCAACATTATTTTACCAGTAATAATTTAAACTCTTGTTAAATATTAATATTACTATCTATAATGTGAATATGTTTGTCACTTTTTAAATAGCCACTTTAATGCTAACATAATTGTTAATACTAACATAATTGGTAATTACGGGGAAAATCTTAAGATAAAAATGAGTCTAAAGAATTGAATGGAAAAGGAACTCACGAAAAATACTTTGAAATGGATTCTAATTACAAAGTGAATTTAAAATTATCCATCCTGAAAACCAAAACAAAGTCAAAATATAACTATAGCTAATTTATGAAAATCAAATTAATTGGCTCTAAGACTAGACTTCATGGCAAGTTTTCTGTCATATTTTTTGAAGGTTACCATATAAAATAAAATTATACATTTTAAGAGGATTGGTGACAAATTTCAGAAGGCAAGTCATGTTGCTAGATGGTTCTTTGCAATGGAAACCACAATTGACTCACTACAATATAATACTGGGTATCCAGGGGAAGAAAGAGCTATCTAAAAAGTACTGTGTTTTAAGAGTTCACATATGTCTGTAATATTTATTTGTAATGAGTAAAACAACAGTCTTAAAATTGCTTATGAAAAATAATCTATAAGAAAGTTACTCAAGGTAACACAGCACATGAGTAGCGAAGCAGCATTTAAACTCATCTCTGTCTAAGACTAGGAGGCACTAGGATGTATGTGTATTAAATGTTTGGGCTTTAACATCAGACACATCAGATGTGTAGTTTACATCAAAATTTCATTTCATTCTAATTCATTAACTATGACTCTAGTACTCTAGTCCTCAATCTTAGTTCTGTTTTCAGACTTTTTTGGAATATTCAATCCATACAGACTGGGTGATCTTCAAGTTCCCTCCTGAGAAGGGTGGTTGTAAAAATATGCAACAATCTGCATGGCTTCAGTACTACCAATCAGAACTTAGACCAGATGCAAACAACCAGATCCTATGAACAGACGATTGATGGATGAATATTAGTATTGCTCCCAGGCATTTTGGACCTGGGCTTTCCTATTGACTCCCTACATACTTCTTCTCCCAGCCCCTCTGTTCACTCACCAGGCTCTACTTCATCCAACATACACAAACTGGGGAGAGGGAAGTTGTGGGCAAAAAAAGTAGAATTGGCAATTTTAAAATAGCTGCTTAAAAGAAAGACAGACTGTTTTCTTGATTTGTATCTTTTATTTAGAAAATTTTTTAACAGAGTATGCACTTAATTGAGAAAATAAGAAATGGATTATGATTTAACTAAAAATATCTAAATTGGAATGAATAATTTGCCTAGTAAACAGAAATATGTTTATTTTCAATATACTGAAATAGGTTTCAATGAATCATTGAATCCTATTGAATCACTGAATCATTGAATAGGTTTCAGTGATCAAAGCTGGTATATTCAACAAAAGACCAAACATTAACCTACTGCAAAATAAATACTGAAATTAGAGGTGAAGCTTTCAAAGAAGGAAAACTAAGTCTTACTTCAGTTAATAAAACTATGATTTTTATATCCAGAATATAGGAATCAAAATGTCTTTAGTCTGACTTGTGTTCTCTGTATTATACCAGGTGGTTTTTACATGCTATTTATGTTTTTCTCTTAACAACTCTAAAAGACTATAAGAAAGAAACTACTAATTCCCATTTTACAGTTGAAGCTCTTAAACTCAGAAAGTCTAAGTAATTTTGCTAGGAATTAAAGTGGCAGAGTGAGGCTGCACTTTTACTTACCCTTCCACAGTAGAGTTCACAGGAGAAATGTGCCTAGAGGAATTGTTTACAGTCCAATGCAGTGGGAAGAAAAGAGCAATTACTAGTGGAAGACAGAACTTGTAGATATAACTAATATCTAAACGTGGTATCTTTTGCCTGAGAAAAAATGAGTCTCAAATGTAGTAAATACAACATATTCTCACCTACAAGCAAACTTCATGTTAAAGATACACATTTAATTGAACTTTTCGCCTTTAAGATCCAAAGTTTCCCCTTCATTTCCATAGCCACATTCTATTGCAATTGCTGGCACTAAAATCGTTCCATTCTAAGGGTTGTAGTTTAATGATGTTTCATTATAAAATGACATTTATATGTTGAAACACTCTGTTTAGCGGAGTTGTGTGTGCATGTGTTTCTGAGAATTATAACATCTGTGGGAAATCCTGTGTTTTGCAGTGTGTGGTCAACCAAATAGGCACTGCTTCCCAAGAGCAAAACGGTCAAATCTCATAGATAAGATTCTTCAATCTTTATTTCATTCCTCTTTTCAGACTGTTATTTCGAAGTCATGGATCTCCATTAATTAAAAATATTAACAAATTCTTAGGCAATGCCCTCAAGCAAGAGCCTCTTTTGAAGACGGTCCCTCTGAGCTTTATATAACATGAGTCCAGTAAAAGGCCTGAAGAGATATTATGTCTCATGAAATGCTTTTTGGCATCATTTGGAGAGTAATGTTTCTAAGCTGTACTAATAATAGTCTATGCATTATGAAGGAAGGCAGCCTACTATAACAGTTACGTAACCAGCATGCCTGGGGCATGTGCTTTGTAAAGAATGCGCCAATGCCAAGCAAAACAATGAGCCTAATTCTCATGCACATCTGTTGCAGGTCTAAAGAGTTTTTCTCTTGACTTTGTTAAAAGAAGGTAAAAAAAAAAAAAAAAGGTGATTTGCACCTTTTGTAAACTGAAATATTAGGAGGGCGATTTTCAGCCTCCAACTTCAACTTCTTTGAAGTATTCGATGTTACTTGTCCAACTTCCTTCTGCCCTTCTGAAGGCTGGGAGACTGAGCCAGATGTTGGCTCATAAAGGAGCGACTTTGAGTTTTGGCAGTGGAGGGTCTGGAATAAGCAGTTACCACTTGAGAAGAACCGATATGTCAAGATCACTGTGATGAGCAGAGAGTGACATCTGTGATCAAATGACTGAGCTTCAACTCGGCAGGACCTAATTCAAAAGAACTAAATAATATAAAGCAAAAACTACAGAGTGAAGAGTGTAAATATAAGAAGAACAAATTAGAGTAAAATAAGTCAAGAATTAGCTAAGATTGATTCTGAGCAATTTCCCTAAACTTGAACTGGAAACAGTGTCAGGATTCCCAGGTGATATTAGCTGGCCTAAAGGACCCTGTTCTGATTGAACAGCCTCTTCTTTGGCATGTGTTCCCAAGCTTTCCTGTATTTCCCTGGAAAAAAACTGAGATATGTGCAGAGCTCTTAGAGTTATTATGACTGCCTTCCAGACAGTTTAACTTTCCAGATATTGAGACTGGTTTTGGTGCACATGGAGTCCAATATGTTCTCTACTGTGTATTCTTGTTTCCACCATGGGCTATTGAGGATAGATGTGGTGTGGTGGTGTGAAAATACGAAACCATTAGTATTCCAACAGAGTTGCTAAGGAACAGTAAAAAAGATTTAAAGGCCTAAGAAAGGGTGCCAGAAATTTGGTGTGCTATCTATGAAGCATTTGGTTTCTCCTCATAGAATAGGCAGTGTTCTGGATGGAAGTACAGGAATGACAGGGCTTAGACCCTCTGAATTGAGTTTTTATGTTTTTCCAAAGCCTCCTGATGCTTTCAAATCTACCACTGTAAAAAAATGAAAAAGCACATGTTAATCACACAGAATTTCCAAATCACACACACATCTACCATTTTCTCTCTTTTATACACAACTGATCTTGAGACAAGCCTTTGATAAAAAATGGACATGGCTAAGCTAAGCTTAGACTTTTATACTTATAAATTGTCAATAATGGGCCCCACTGCTGGTGGTATTTGGAGTGGTGATAACCCCTTACAGGTAATGGCTTCACAATTATTAAGATTATCCCCAATTTTAAGAATTGTGGAGTAGGGTGGTTTCCATTAATGGAATTGGAAATCTTAACCAAGAAAAAAAAGAAGGTGTTGTGAGGATTCATGTGAGATAATATACAGATATACACAAAGTATCTGGCACATAAAAGTGTTCACTGCATCAAAGATCTTCCTTCTTTACCTACTTTTCAAAAATTCACCTCCTAATATGTCTTCATTCCAGTCTTGTGAAAAAATTACATGCACTACCCTACTTACAATTACTTTGTCTTGTCTATTAAAAATACCTTTTAAAACTGTTAATCCCCTTTCCTTCACCATTATCCCTGGGGCTGGGTGCTAGACTTGTGTTTCTATATCTCAGATCTAATCATGTTACTACTTTCCACTTACTTTAGGAAAAACCAAAAATTCTTTATTATAATTTATGTAAATCATTATACATTTTATTTATATAAATCATTGCCCTTTGTGGAAACAATATGGCTATAGTTAACAAATTATTGAGCTATGACAATCAATCAGTAAGCATTTGCTAAAATTTTCAACTGGGTTTATTTCCAGTTTCCACACATTTTATTTTGGGTAATCTCTCTTAAATACATCCCTTTATCCCCTGTATATTAAAACTGTATTAGGAGTCTCCATATACATATATGTATATGTATGCTACAAACAGAAAGACCCAGAAACAATGTAATAATGTTTTACAGGTTATCTGGGCCTCTCTTAGCCCAGTCAAGTTGACACATGAAATTAACCTTCAAAAACACTCAACGAAGAATTATCATGTCGTGAAAATAAAAGAGATAAAATACATGAAGCATCTAGGACATAATGAGTGCCAGATTAACTTTAGATGTACATGTATTCCTCTCTCCAGCTCTATGTCCTGTCATCGCCCATTCAACTCAAGTTGAGAATTACTTCAGGTTTTCCAGTTCCTAAAATTAAGGTATTGGTGAGGCCGTCCAAGCCTATCTAGTTAATATCTGTACAATAATTGTCTTTGGGTATTGATAATGCTGCCCCTTCTCTCTAAAATATCCTAAATTACTTCTTTACTCAGAAAACGCTTGTATTTTATCTAGGCTAATTCCTCAACTGCTCCATTTAAAAGCAGTATTTCCCTTTCCAAATTTTATAGAACTACTACTTCACTTTGTTATAATACTGATCTCATTGTGAAGCAGTTGCATCTGCCATTGCCACCTGTCATTAGAGTGGATATCTTGGAGGAAAATACCCACTTAATTATTTCTATATTCCCCCAAATCTAAGCAGATTTTGGCTCACATGCTCATACTCAATATA
This sequence comes from Homo sapiens, assembly GCF_000001405.40. NCBI lineage: Eukaryota > Metazoa > Chordata > Mammalia > Primates > Hominidae > Homo > Homo sapiens. Next base: position 120,940,147 of record NC_000005.10, on the reverse strand, counting down.
TACACAAATCTGACAAAGTTAATGAAAAAGTCCAAATCGGGAAAAAACTTTCAAAGTCTAATTTGGAAAATAAAGTTTTAAACATTTAATGACAAAGATCTATTGAGCTAAAATTTATGGGAAAAACATCAGGTATACTTTATAAAATCATAAAAAAGGAAATTAATCCTACAAAAATGGAGATCATCATATCAAAAGATATGGCAAATAAATTGTTTAATTATGTTATCTAGGTACTAATGAAGTTTTTTTTCCAAGAACCTCATGAAAATTTAGTATTACATAAGACTAAAAAAATTATGAGATGTGAGGCTTAAAACATTATATTTTAAAATATTTATGTTTGTCACTTTCTAACAAGAAAGAGTTACTCTCTCTTGCTATCTTAGTGCCTCGCGTCCGTATATTCACATTACAGTTAACAAGTCTCCTGTGAGAAGAGATAAGAGTAGAAGCAGAAGTCTGAGATTGGGAGTTATTGTCTGTACTGAGTCCCAGTTTAGAAAAAAATAAGGAGAAAAAGCAAAAGTATTAGAAATAGAAAATATCTTCTGAAGAGACAGACATTATTATCCCTTCAAGTTTTGCTTCCACTTGTTCAGCAAACTCCCTTGGCATTTGATAATCATAAAATAAACTCTTAAAATACACACACACACACACACACACACACACTTAACAGTAGAATGAATTCAATGTTTGAATTATTATGTGAGGCTATTAATACAAAGAAATATATGGCAAAAAGGCACTTTGGGAATTCAGTTAAATGCATTCTTATTAAACATTATACAAAGGATCTGACACAGAGAAATTCTATGGGCCTCTTAAATCAATACATGATAAAGGATCTTCCAGATGTAAAGAAAAATTTAGTTCAAAGTAAAGAAAACACATTGCAAGTGCCCCAAGCATTATGCATATAACAAAATATACAAAGACAGACTTCCAGGTTTTTAGATCATTAACTCCTACAAGCCTAGGTAGTTTGTACAATAGTCTATATTGGGCTTTGAACATCACCTCAGACTTCAAGCAATATTTTAAATGCTAAAAATTAAGAGCAGCATTATAAAAAAATGAAATATCCTAAAGTCACACTTCCATAAGCACACAGAGAAACACACACACACAAATTAAACAAAAAATACATAAATTGTAAATTTTCTAATCTGATCCCCTCCAATTCCAGGAGTAACTGGATCAGTTCCATGATTAAAACATAAGGGCAAAGTGGATTAATATGTCATCTTGTGCTTTCAAATTATGATGTGATTGTGGTTTTGCTTAGAGCTCTCTGAGCAAATTACACAGTCTGCACTTTGATATTTATTTAGGAAGTGTTGCCTACATTAAGCAGGTGCTGACCTCTATAACCCTAACAATCTCAGTCATCAGATCTTCCTTGTATATGTTGTTTTGCGTTGTTTTATCAACTAAGAAGTAGGGAGGAGGCTTTTAAAAATCTCCACTGAACTCTATTAGCACCATGTATAGAACTCCCTCTCTCAGACAACAGATCCTTTTCTTTTTTTGTTGTTCTAAGGGATCCTTTTCTGATTGACATTTAATGATCAATTTTCCCTCTAAATCCCCTGCTCAGTAAATAAATCCATTAGCCATAGACATTCACATTCACTATTTCTTGTGTAAACTCATCTCGATGACTTTTTTCAACCCCTAAGCGTTTTGGAAAAGGTACAATTTCTTTGCTTTTTAATAGCTATTAAGGCCCAGGTACATCTGCACCTTCACACACACAAAAAAAATGGCTTAGATCATCCTTTAAACTATATTTGTAAAACTGATAAGCCTTGAGGCCTGTATTCTGAAAAGCATGTAAACTCAGCTCTAGAATGCATACTGTGTATCTGTCCTTTATAAACGTACAAATTAAATTACCTTGGCCTATCTAACCTACTTGTAGAAAAGCATTATCTGTAAAAGTAAAAAAGACAAGCAGCTCTATTTAAGAGAGGCAAGACCTCCTACCACTATTAGACAATCTTATCAATTTTGGGTCATGTGAGGGGCCTGGTGTTCTGCATATCAGTTCAATAATGAAGGAGAGCATACCTATATCACTGCAATATTCACTACAGTAGTTGCATATTGACACTCAGTAAACTGTGCTGTAAGTCCTAAGACATTCTTGACTCTCTTGAATATTTGTAGAGATACAAAATACTGAGGCAAACCTAGTATACCACAGATGTCTGCCCAAACCCTATTTAAACCGGGATTCTGGACAGTTGAGAGAACCAGAATCACACAAGAATAGTTAAGCACTTAGTGATCCTCCATCTCACTCCAGCGTATGCTGAGATGAGATCCCTGAAAGCCTTCCATGTTTTCCAATATCTGATAGTGATGTTTAACTAGAAAAATTGGTTCATAGTGTGGCCAGAATTGGTGGGTTCTTGGTCTCGCTGACTTCAAGAATGAAGCCACGCGGACCCTCGCAGTGAGTGTTACAGTTCTTAAAGATGGTGTGTCCGGAGTTTGTTCCTTCAGATGTTCAAATGTGTCAGGAGTTTTTTCCTTCTGGCGGGTTCGTGGTTTCACTGACTTCAGGAGTGAAGTTGCAGACCTTTGCAGTGACTGTTACAGCACATAAGGAAGGCCTCCTGGACGCAAAGAGTGAGCAGCAGCCAGATTTATTGCAAACAGCAAACGAACTAAACCACCACCGCGTGGTAGGGAACCCCAGCGGATTGTCGATGCGGGTGGCCTGCTTTTATTCCCTTATCTGGCCCCACCCACATCCTACTGATTGGTCAATTTTACAGAGAGCTGATTGGTCAGTTTTGACAGAGCACTGATTGGTATGTTTACAAACCTTTAGCTAGACACAGAGTGCTGATTGGTGCATTTACAAACCTTTAGCTAGACACAGAGTGCTGATTGGTGCGTTTACAAACCTTTAGCTTGACAGAAAAGCTCTCTAAGTCCCCACAGGTCTCAGAAGCCCAGCTGTCTTCACCTCTCACTGGCACTCGCCTGGGGACTTTGCTGCACCTAGCCCAGGCACTCTCCAGCAGCCCAGAGGGAGCTCCTCCCAGACAACCAAGCGGAAAAGAGGCGAAGCCAGAAAGAGACAGAGACCTGCCATCGTGGCCAAGGACCCCACGAAGAGGGAACAGAGGTCCACGCACGGGACCCAACCTCTGATCAAGCCCAGCAGGCACAGGCCTGCCTCGCGGAGTGCAGGCCAGCCGAGCCTGGGCCGCCCATGCCGAGCCCGGGCCTGCCCATCCCGCACCCATCCGGAAACCGCGCCTGCCAGCGAGCACTCCCCGCAGCCCCAGCTCCCGCCCACGCCTCTCCCTCCACACCTCCCCGCAAGCAGAGGGAGCCGGCTCCAGCCTCGGCCAGCCCCAGAGAGGGGCCCCTACAGCGCAGCGGCGGGCTGAAGGGCTCCTCCAGCGCAGGCAGCGTGGACGCCTAGGCCTAGGAGGCGCTGAGAGCGAGCGAGGGCTGCTAGCACGTTGTCACCTCTCAATAGGAATTCTCTAAGGGTATATACAGACTTTTGGTCCAGCTATAAATAACTTTAAAGAGATGTGCCCAAATTCACATAACATTGCAGAACTCTGATAATTCAGTAGTCTCTTGAAATGTCTTTACTTTTCTGGAGCCTGCCAGATTGAAAAACTCACAGGTACTAAGGTCTGAATTTGAATCAAGTGATACATGATCCTGTAGAGAACTTCATGTGTTAAAACATAAGTAGGATGGAGGAGAAACTCTAGTGTGGGTTCTTTGGTCAGTTTTACTATTAAGGTAATGAGCCATGGTCAGGAAAGTGTTGAGGGCACTATGATTTCCTCATTCTTTAAACTGATGGAACCATTTCTATTATAGTCATTAGACGTTTGCAAATCTGCTGTCTTTAGAACATTGCTGGACTGGTTTACTGAGGAGTCTCAACCCTTTGCATAAACATAAAATGGATTGTGTTTTCCTTCTCTTCTTTCAACCTTGCCTTTTGGAACATATTGAAATTCATCCCCCAACCTCCCATGAAATCCTATTTGTGACCAACTCTTTCTAGTTATTTTTGCTCAATAGAATGTAGTGCAATCTGTATAAAACTTCTCAATTCACATGCAAGCAAAAGCTCTGCAACATTCATGCTCCCTTTTATAGAAACTTGCTTTTCTTGGTGGTTGAGAACAGGAAGAATTAAAAAGGGCAAAAGTCTCTACTTGGTTGCTGATCACTGCTCTTTGGAAGCTGCTTCCTCTTAAGCCATATCCTCTCTGCAGCCAGCAATCAAACATTTTTTCTCTTGCAGGATGCACTATTGGCTTTTCTGGAATGCCCCAGGAGGCCTCAGATCTATACAATTTCCTGACGTGAGTTATCTGGACTCAGATCTTCCTCTTCCATTTGTAGCTGTCCATAGACAGCCCCTCACTGCTGTAGGTTGTTTGCCCAGTGAGCAGCCTTCTTGGGTGGGATACTGGTAATATAACCAATCTGAGTTTTTTTTTTATGATATCGACTGCTCAAAGAATATGCTGCTCATATCCTTGACTCAAATAGCAGCAACGAAGTCTGATCTGTAGCCACATCCCCTTCCATCTCTCTTCATTACCTTTTTTTGGTGCCACTTGAAGATGGGTCAAATCTAAACATATATATATATTATATATATAACATATGATATATGACATGTCACATATATGTCTGTCTCTACTAAAAGGAGATATGTCACATATAATGTCACATATATAACATATACCTCACATATATAACATATATCTCACATATACAACATATACGTCACATATGCAACCTATACGTCACATATATAACATATATGTCACACATATATGTTGTTATTTTTTAAGATGGAGTCTTGCTGTTGTTGTCCAGGCTGGAGTGCAGTGGCACAATCTCGGCTCACTGCAATCTCTGCCTCTCAGGTTCAAGCAATTCTCCTGCCTCAGCCTCCTGAGTAGCTGGGATTACAGGTGCCTGCCACCACGCCTAGCTAATTTTTGTACTTGAAGTAGAGACAGGGATTTGCCATGTTGGCCAGGCTGGTCTCAAACACCTGATCTCAGTTGATCCGCCCTCCTTGGCCTCTCAAAGTGCTGGGATTACAGGAGTGAGCCACCACGCCCAGCCCTAAGCATATTTTTAAAGGGGAATTGCATCCTAATTTCCTCTTCTTATCGACCCTCCCCAAATGTTTACAACTATTTTTTCTAACGTTTTATTTTTTCACTTGGCTTCAAAGAAGGGAAAACCAAGTCCCGTCTTCTTGATTGGAGGAAAAAGTACTTTAGCAATAATCCTCGAGTCAATCCACAAGACTCAAGAAGCTTTCCTCAAGTCCTTTTCTCTGCAATTCAAGTTCTTTCTGTAAACTAGTAGAACGGGTGGAGTAGTGCTGAACTCCAGGAGGAACTTTCGACTGTCTTTAAGAACCTGCACAGAAGTCTTTAACCCCAGTTTCTGACTGCTATGACCTCTTTAGAGTGAAAGACTTGTTTTCACTTGTGGATCCTGATAGCCAATTGTAGGTATCTAGAAGACTCTCCAAAATCCAGTTACATAGGTCTTAAGCAGAAGGACCTTACCACCTCCGCCATGGCTACACCCCATTATTAACCTCACCAGTGAGGAGTTCTGTCTTCCTCTTCATGGTAGCCAAGCAGTACAGAAAAATCCCCAGTCTGATTTAAAATTAACATTTGTATCAGTGAAGGTAATGCATATATTTTGTTCCACTTAATTAAAATCAGATTAACAATGTTTCCAGCTTATTAAAACTTTTTGTGCTTTATTCCCCTGGTAGCAATAGCCACAAGAGTCCCAATGGCACAGAAAAACGATCTTGGGTCTAGAGATCATGCAGTGAATCTTGGCATTGGGCCTTTGCCCATAAAGCTGGTCATTTTGCTCTGTTTTATGTTTTACACCTGCACATTACAAAGATCTACTTGTAATGGGTTGGACTGATGACCCCTTCTCCCTGTTATAAAGAAAGGAATCTGGTTTTAAATACCACATTTATCTCAGATGGCTCAAACAGAGCCATTCAGTGCTTATGTGGTGGCACTTTATAATAAAAGCAATCATAGGAATGAATAAAAATTGTTCTTAACACAATAATGAGGTTTTTTTCAATAAGCAGAATCAAAGATATAAATATAGAAAGCATTTGTGTTTTTCAAGTAATACTATTGTATCTTGAAAAAGTAGGGCAAAGAACCATAAGAACTGCAATGAGGAAATATCTTAAGAGGAAAGTGGTTGCAAATTATACTGATGGAAAGAAGGTCCTGGAGATAGAGCCTCCAACATATATTACCAAGTAAACCCCTTAGTCCAGCTTCGTCGATCTCACAAAAGAGCCGTAAGATATTGCTGTTCCCATTTTGCAATAGCATACTAGCTTTCCTGTGTGTGTGTGTTTGTGAGAGTTACTTTTTTCCTAATTGTCACCAAGAAAACCTTATGAACAGCCTTAGTAAAGCCTGTGCTAAAGAAAGCCTAATTCTGCAGGTCACAAGAAAGGAAAGGGTCTCAGATTCCCTCAGGAAATAGGGAGGGGTAGAGTTTCCTGAGGAGGGAGTTTTTGTTTTTATTTTAGCATTTTTATTCTGTTTTAAAAATTGTGTTTTAATTGACTAAGTAGTGTATGTATTCATCATATACAACATACTGTTTTGAAATATGTATACATCGTGGGATGTCTACATTGAGCTAATTAACTTACGTATTACCTCACATACTTGTCATTTCCTCTGGTGAGAACACTTAACATCTACTTTCTTAGCAAATTGCAATAATAAATATATTGTTATTAACTGTAGTCCTCATGTTGTACAATAGAACTCTAAATTTATTTGTCCTATCTAACTAAAATTTTATATCCTTTGGCCAACATCTCCCCAACCCTGAATATCTCCCCAACCCCGAACATCTCCCCAACCCCGACTGCCCCTGGCTCAGTTTCAGATAACACCATTTTACCCTCCGCTTCTAGGGGTTCAACATTTTTAGATTCCACACATAAGTGAGATCATGTGGTATTTGTCTTTCTGTGCTGGGGTTATTTCACACAATGTCCTCCAAGTTCATACATGTCGCTGCAAAGAAAAGAGATTTTTGATGCTTGAAAGATGAGCATAAGAAGGATATAAGGGAAACTGGAAGAAATAGTGTGTGGTTGTGAGGGACATAATTGGTCACACTTTCCAAAGGCATAAACTCTTGGTGTTCCTTCCACCACCTCTGACTCTTTCTGAAGCACATGGAGATGAGCTAATTATTTTTGTCCCAACTTGTAATTCTTTGTGTGGCTTTGGGATGTTGACTCAACTGTTCACCTAAAAACATCAAGACATACATTAAGCATCTTGCTGAGTTAGAGTCTCTTCTCTCAGCAGAAGCTGAGGAAGAGAGAGTACCTGTCTCTAGTCACCAGGTGAGGGCATATCCTCACAAAGCAGAGGAACAGTGTCTCTCCTCCTCATCTGCATTCCTAGGTGTCAAACACAACAGCAAACACTCCCCAGGTATGGGACAACAGATCACTTGTCTTTGTCTTCTTTTCATATCCTACCTGAGGGCATTCTATTCTGGGAAAGAAAGGATAAGTCCTAACACCAACCCTCTACAGTACTAAAAATAAAACATTGAGAAAAGATTTGGAAAAGGTTATGTTTTCTTTAAGTTACTAAATATAATAAATAAAGCAACCAAGATACACCATCCAGCATATAACTCATCTGACAAGGAGTAGAATCCTCTCTCTGCTTCTTTAATCTTTCCCTTGCTACTGGTTCTTTCCCCAGCATGCGCAGAGCTCGTGTCTCTCCCACTCTGGGTCTTCTGGCTATGTTTGTCTGCCTAACTCTATTTTGCTTGTACTCTGTGCATTTTCTTCTAGGTTTCTTGAAATGATAATCCACATTCCACATTTATCTCCTTTAATCTCTCTTCATTTGGTTGAAAACCCACTATAATCTGGCACCTTCACCTTTCCTGAGTTGCTCTTCTAGCCATGGTCGTCACAGACCTCAATATTATCAAATCTGACAAATATTTTCTGAATTTTATATTTTGTACATACTTTGACTATTATCAAAATTCTCTTAAGTCCAGAGCATCCCAGATTTTTCCTCCTTTTCTGGATAGACAGTGCCAGTGTCCTTTGTGTTTGCTGTGTTCACACTGGGAGCCCAGAGTAGGTCCCCGTCCTGTGGTCTTTGCTCCATAACCACACCCAGCTCAGAGTTTTAACTCAACCACATTTATGCCGATGACTCTTCTAAGTCCTAATATGCCCATTCCACCATCACTGGACTAACTCATCTGAAATATCCTAAGAGACCACACATCAACCAATGTTCAAATTTTTCATTGTTCAGAAAAAATCTTCCTCTCTTCAGTATTCTTGCATGGTCTCTGGTTTACTTCTTATCTTCAACAATGCCACAAATATTTTTAATGCATGAATTCATAATGTTTAATAAAAATCAGAAATAGCCGTCTCAATCATATGATGAAAGTGATTCACACTTTCACTCCAAACAATCAAGTTAATTGAGTATACAACTCCAACAGTTAAAAACTTAAAATCATTCACCATTTTCCTTCCTATTTGAAGCTTTTTTTGTCTCTTTTGTTTCTCTGCCACACCATAATCCATAGACAGCTTGAAATGAAAAATTGTTGTCTGTGTTTCCTACCATATTTACTATATAAAAAGTATCAAGCCGATCACATTGAAATATGTTTATTTGTGTACATGTAATTTTTTACTATAATTTGAGCTTCCTAAAGGCAAAAACTATACCTATATAGTTTTTATTTTATCTGTTTCTGGCATAGTTGACACTTAATATTAAATATTTCTGACAAAAAATAAAATCCATTAGATGTTTTCAATGTAGGATTTTCTTCTTGCTTTAACTTTTACATAAGACTTTATTAGATGATGTAATATACCCTTTGAAACATCTCTTTAATTTTAACTAAATGATCCACTATGCTTACAATAGGGACAGGTAAATAGTAACTGCTTCTGCTTAAAGAAAGCACCATAAAGAAAGATGCTGTCATCTCAGCAGTTTGAGAGGCTGAGGTGGGCAGATTGCTTGAGGCCAGGAGTTTGAGACCAGCCTTGCCAACATGGCGAAACCCCATCTCTACTAAAAATACAGAAAGTAGTCAGGTGTGGTGGCACATGCCTGTAGTCCCAGCTACTTGGAGGATGAGGTAGGAGAATTGCTTGAACCTGGGAGACGGGGGTTGTAGTGAGCCAAGATCACGCCAGTCTGAGTGACAGAGCAAGACTTTTTCAAAAAAAAAAAAAAAAGAAGAAGAAAGAAAAAAAAACCCACCATAATTAATGAATGATAGTCCATAAAACTGTAGTAAATTTACTGCTATTCAATTTGAGACATGTGGATGGAAATCTCAATGATTTGGAGAGTTTTTTCAATTATAATTATACACCACAGACTCAGATTCTTCCAGGCACTAGTTTTCATAGCCCTCCAAAAATCTTTGCCAGAAGGGCTACATTGCTGCTAATTGGATGGTGTCCTATCTTTCAGCTGAATTACAGTAAAAAATTGTCAGAGGAAAAAAAAGTTGGAATCACAATCAAACACTATTTTCTCCATCTCTAAAAAATGGAATGAAGCATATTAGCTATTTTAGAGGAATGTTCCAAAAACGAATGGTCACTGAAAATGTTATTAAACCTTCTATAATTTTCAGAGCATTTTTATGTAATAAGATTACATGTATATAATTATATCATAATTCCTAATTCAGTTTTGAGATTTTGGACTAGAATAATGACAACTTTTAATTAAATGGATCACAATATCATTACTCAATCAGTCTTCTGTACATTGATCTAGGCAAAGAATTTATGACTAAGACTTCAAAAGCACAAGCAACAAAAAACGAAAATAGATGAATGAGAGTTAATTAAACTAAAAATCTTCTGCATAGCAAAAGACTTTACCAACAGAGTGACAGACAATCTACAAGATAGGGAAAAATATTTGTACCCTATGGTTCTAGAGGGGACTGATATCTAGGGTTTACAAGGATCTCAAACAATTCAACAGCAGCAACAAAAGCAGATAACCCATTATAAAGTGGACAAATAATATTAACAGACTTTCTTTAAAAAAAGACATACAAATGGCCACTAAGCGTAGGAAAGCAATGCTCAACATCACTAGTTATCAAAGAAATGTGAATTAAAACCACAATTAGATATCATTTTACACCATTATGAAAAAGACAAAAAAAAAAAACAGATGTTGGCAAGCGTGCAGAGAAAAGGAAATGCTTATACATCATTGGTGGGAATGTAAATTAATACAGCCTCTATGGAAAACAGTATGAAGATTTGTCAAAGAACTAAACATAGAGCAATCTCTATGTTAGTTCAATCCAGCAATCTCACTATTGGGTACCTACCCAAAGGAAAAGAAATCACTATATTAAAAATATAGCCGCACTCATGTTTACTGCAGCACTATTCACAATAGCAAAGATATGGAATTAACCTAAGTGTCTATCAAAGTATAATTGGATTAAAAATGTGTAATAAGATAGATGATAGATAGATACATAGATACATGTGGTGTGTGTGCGTATACATACGTGTGTGTGTGTATATATATATATATATATATATACACACACACCTCATACACAATGGTAAATGAAATAATTCAGAAACAGAAAGTCAGATGTTGCATGTTCTCACTTGTAAGTTGGAGCTAAATAATGTGTACACCTGGCCTAGAATGTGGGATAATAGACATTGAAGACTGGGAAGGGTGGGTGGTAGGATAGGGATGAGAAATTACTTACTGGGTACAATGTACATTATTTGAGTGATGGATACGTTAATAGCCCAGCCTTAACCACTATGCAATATATCCATGTAACAAAATTGCACTTGTAACCCTTAGATTTATGCCAAAAATCTTCTGTAGTTATTTCAAATCAAATTTCAGACCTTAAAAAGATCTCTGCCTAAATGAGTTCTACTTTTAAATCTTCTAAAGAAAATCAAGTTAATTACATAGAAATCTGAAGAGTTGGTCATTAATCCATGATTTCTATGATGAATATATAAAACTGAAAGATGATCTATTGGGTGATGTGGCTTCAATGGTTTTATAGTCTGAAAAGTTTTATTTATATAAAAATTTATATTTGTATAAAAACATTGTTACCTAGAGAGTAAAAAGCTTAATTTGTTGTAGTCAACAACTTGAAAATTATTGTGTCAATGATACAGTAATTTCACAATTTTAACTATAATTTTTTTTTAAAGGATAGGAAAAATAAACTCCAGGAGCATCCGGAGTCTCTTGGACCACACATAAACTCCAGGAGATTCTTGAACAAATGGCGCATAAATTATTTGTTATACAAAAAAACAAAAATAGAAAAGGAAAGAAAGGAAAGTCAATACGTTGTTTGGTAAATAAAACTAAAATTCTATTACTCCAAAAATATATGTTTCACACTATTAAAAATATTTATATCCTCAGAATTCACCTGCCAAAATCATGATAATTCACTGATAGAATTTATTTTTCAAAATTTGTTTCTCAGAATACATATAGGTCTAATTCCCTTGCATTTAAAATGTAAAAGCAATTCCTCCATAGAAACAGTAACTTAAAAGATAAGTAAAAGATATAAAAGGCATAGCTTTATAAAAATTCCTTTATATCTGGTAAGAATTTATCTTGACATGAATTTGGCTGCCAGATTTTCATTTCCTACTGTCTAGACAGCCAGTCTAAATACTACACTCTAAAACCTCCCTGGAGCATAATTCCCCCAAAGACTGCTTAAAGCTCCTAGTAGAGGGAACTACTCTAGAAACTCCCATTTTATTACTTTCCTATGGTACAGTTTATGTCCAGAAAAATAGAATACAGACTTCCTTAGAAGGGGGGAAAAAAACACTCAGTCATTGTTTAACTTGTAAAATCAATAAGACCTTAACAATCAATCACCCACTCAGTCCACAATCCTCCTGGTGGCTTTTAAGCTGTGTTCAGCAGTCAGGCTGAGCAGTTTTTAAAAGAGAAAAACTATTTTCATGAAACAGACAATATGTAAAATGTTTCCTGAGAGAAAAAGAAACCCCAGGAGTTAAAATGAATGCTCTCTATAGATAATTATAACACTCGATTTCTAGACAGATGTTTTGTGAAAAAAAGAGAGAATAAAATAAAATAACTTTGTCTCTAACATCATAGGGAGCAGTGAATCATAATCACTTTAAAATCCAAACAAGAAAAAAGGGGTTAAATCTGAGAATAACTATAAGACTTGGAGAAAGTCAGCCAAATTCAAGCAAGATATCCATAGGGGTGCTTAAAGTAAGAATATAATTTAGCAGTCAGGTACGGAAATTAATCTAAGATCAAAAGTCAATAAAAGACAATGAGGCAGAAGGATGGCAAGGAATACAGGAAATGGACACTATCAAGAAACATTCAGAGAAGAGCAGAAAGATACTAAAATATGTGAGTACTAGTTTGACACAAGAAAAGCTGTATTAAAGAATATATGGAAATTATTATTTTGTATTGGCCTCCTGATATGGTTTGGCTCTGTGTCTCCATCCAAGTCTCATCTGGAATTGTAATCCCCACGTGTGGAGCGAGGGACTTGGTAGGAGATGGTTGGATAATGGGGCAGTTCCCCCATGCTCTTCTTCTGATAATTAGTGAATTCTCACGAGATCTGATGGTTTAAAAGTAGCACTTCCTTCTTTACTCTCTCTTTTTCCTGCCGTCATATGAAGAAGGTCCTTGCTTCCCCTTTGCCTTCCACCATGATTGTAAGTTTCTTCACAAATTACTCAGTCTCAGATATTTCTTTATAGCAGTGTGAAAATAGACTAATACTCCTCCCTACAAAATTGTGATATTCTTACATTGAACAATTTTTAAATAAATTGTTATAAACTGCAGTTCCTGGAACATAACAATATATTCAGAAAAAAAAGTTTATAGAAGATATGGAATGGGGCCGGGCACAGTGGCTCACGCCTGTAACCCCAGCAGTTTGGGAGGCCGAGGCGGTTGGATCACCTGAGGTCAGGAGTTCGACATTAGCCTGACCAACATGGTGAAACCCCATCTCTACTAAATACAAAAAATTAGCCAGGCGTGGTGGCACATGCCTGTAATGCCAGCTACCTGGGAGGCTGAGGCAGGAGAATCGCTTGAACCCGGGAGGTGGAGGTTGCAGTGAGCCAAGATTGTGCCATTGGAATCCAGCCTGGGCACCAAGAGCAAAACTCCGTCTCAGAAAAAAAGAAGTTATGGAATGGAAGGAGACAAGAATGGCAGATATATGCACCAAAGTAGTTCTTGAATAATACCTGGCTCCTCTTACTTGTTAATGTCTAGAACTTACAAATAAACCTTAGCCTGCAGCTGAAGAGAGAAGTAGGTATGTAAAAGTTTATAGCAAGAGAAACAGGATCAGCAACTTACAGCTGGCAGATTGTGACATAAGTTTTTCCATAGAGGGATCTCAGGAAAATAATGACTAAATATCACATTCAAAAGGAACTGAAAATCTAAACATTCAATTATGAGTATCACATTCCTAAATGTGTCTTCTTATTTACATTAGATTAATATGTTCTATTTTTTCCTACATTTTTCTTCATTTATGCTTTAAACATAGGATGGCTTTTTTTTTCCTACAAAGAGCCAGAAAGTAAATATTCTGGGCTTTCAGATAGCATATAGTTTTTCTTACATATATATTTTTTCAGGTGTGTGCATATGTAATGTTTTAAAAATGTGAAAACAACTCTTATCTAGAGGGCTGAAAAGAAACATGCCACAGGCCGTAGTTTACCAACCCCTGTTTCAGAATAAATTGCTTTTTGACATCATTGGGATCTCATCAATTGCTGTTGATCATAAATATATCAAAGGCAAACACAATCAAACAATAATTGGGTATGTGAGCATTCAGTTTGCTTCCTTCTCTCATTTCACCCACATACATATGATGTTAATATTCAAAATCTTGTGCATCTATTAAGCTGGCAAAGAGTAAGGATTGACATGCTGATGTGTCAGTGGTTTTCTTGAGTTCTGGGCTTGGTTTGTACATATTTGTAAGTTAATGGAAAGCAAAAATATTTAGCTAAGCTTGGAAATACAACTATGTTGTATTTGCAGGCATGTTTTATGCTAAATGGAGATGTTTAATTTACATAAGTTTCTGATAAGTTGAAATTCAATATGACCCAAATAAATGTCAGTATAGATATTGTACGATAACACCCCCTTTTTTTTTAAGAAACCAAACCACACACATGATTTTTAAAATTTTCATTGAAGGCATGTTTGGAAAGGCTAATGACAATATTTTCAACGTTTATTTCCATAAAGCACAAATATTTAAAACTGCCTTATCTATCCTCATTTTATTAGGGGGAATGTGTTAGGATTATTATTCATGTATTCAGCAGATGTTTATTGAACAGCTAACTTGTCTACTTAGAATATAATGAGGAACAAGATAGACATGGTCCTTACCATGATAGAGTCTATTTCCTATAAGATTGAGAGGTGATTTTTAAAAAGAAAAAGAAAAAGTAAGGTATAGTCTATGAAAAGTGAAAGATGTAAGCATAACAATCTGGATAAATGTCATAGCCTCTAGAAAGAAGTAATATTAAAGCTTAGAACTAAATATGGAAGAAAAAGAAAAAATTTAAAGAAATGTGGACAAGCATTCCAAGCCTGAAGAGGATCAGTAAAAAAGCATCACACAAAAACAGTTTAGTGTGTTAAAGGAATTATTATGAGGTCAGTTGTCTGAGGTAGTGAACAAGCGGCATGAAATAAAACTGAGGAAGAAACTGAGATTAAGACTCACACTGCTACTCGGAGAGAAGACTGGAGGAGGAAACAGTAGAAGCAGAAAGACCAGTGAAGAACGAATATGCCCCCTTCCCTCTGTGAAGAATCTATATATTTTCCAGGTGATAGATGACAATGGTTCAGAATAAGTTAGTGGCACAAGGATGGAAAGGGATGAATGGACACGGAGATGTGGGGCAAGGGGAAGGTTGAGGCCACAGTCTATTTTCATATCTGTGGGAATTATGCAATAGATAGAGAAAAATTAATTACGCAAAAGCAAGAAGACATAACTAAAAATTCAAAGTTCTTTCGAACTCAATTATATTTTATTTAACATATTTTAAATAATAAAAATAATGGGGGAAATTTGTTTAAACTCATAGAAAAATTTAAAATGGAATTTAAAATGTAACTATGAACTCTTCCCTATGTTCAAGTTTAAACTCATTAAAGATAAATATTTGTCACATGCCAGCCTATCTGCTAGATACTGAGATTAAAAATATATATAAATCTTGACATTTATGAGCTTATATTTCAGGTACTACTTTTCTTTGGTAAACATATTTAAGAGTATTTCATATTTTTTCTTTCTATTTTCTGTTGTATCTTAACCAAGCAAATCAATGAGATGCTTTAAGACTTCACAAGGACTCTGCCTCTGCCTCTTGCTTTTCTTCCTCTCCCTTTCCCTTCCTAAATAATTGATTTGTCAAACCATTAAGTGAAGCAGAGCAGTGTATATCTGCATTGGGGATGGGAAATCTCTGGGTCCAGAGTAGGGTGTTGAAGCCCAAGCAGGGTGATGAGGATATCTACATAGAAACATGGGTGTGGCTGGACAGTTTTGTATGGGGAGTCAGGGCTAGAGCAAGCTGAGGTGGGTATGCATACATTGGGGTGGTCCTGTGCAGGGGGTTGGATCTCAAGCAGGATGTGGAGGAAATGCATCATCCTGCTGCAGGGTTTGGCGTCCAAGTAGGATGAGAAAGGTGTCCATGAAGGCACCTTATGTATGGAGTAAAAGCTCAATCAAGGTAAGGATGGCATCTGTAAAAGAGTCAGCCCAGCATGGGTTATCAGAGTTGCAGCAGGGTGAGGAAGGAATCTATGCATGGGAGCAGACAGGTGTAGAGGTTTGGAGCTCATATATGGCAAGGAGAACATCCATGTGGGCAAGCACTCTACTATGAGAGACTGGAGCTTGAGTGGAGTGGGGAAGGCATCCATGAGGCAACATGCCCCAGTGCCATAGAAGCCGAAGCCATGAAGAGGATCTAGTTAGAGTGGGGTTCAGAGGGCATCTACCTGGTGGAGGAGTGGTCATGGAGATGGGAGATTTGTTACTCTCAATCTCCCAGAGGAATCAATTGACTAAATATATATAAAGTGTAATGGGAGCTAGGATTCTCACTATCAAAGAAGGAATGGAAAGGAAAAACTGGAATGCATGCTGAGGTGTTGAATTGGAATTAGAAGTGTCATTGTGAGCCAGGTATGGTGGCTCATGCCCACAATCCCAGCTATTCTGGAGACTGAGGCAGGAGGATTGCTTGAACTCAGGAGTTCAAGGCTGCCATGAGCTATGATTGTGCTGCTGCACTCCAGCCTGGGCCAAAGAGTGAGACACTATACCAAAAAATAAATAAATAAATAAATAAATAATAAAGAAATATTATTGTGAATTTATACTACATAATACTTATAGATAAAAATATAATACAGTGTATATCAATATATATAAGATAATACTATATATATAAAATATTTTCTGTAGCTCTGTCTACTGAGAGGGCCTGGGAGTAGCAACACCCCAATGGCAATAAGCATATGTAGTATATAAATTGTGGCTTCTGAACACAGTCTTCTCTAACAGAAACTAGGGTTCCTTGGAGATTCAGTGAATTCCAGTGCTGGGGCAGGAAAAGTACAGAATAAACCTGGAACTTACTGCTGGGCCGGAAACTAAGAAAAGCTGAAAGTAAGGTGGAGACGTGCTAAAAGAATACAGAAACCAGCTTCAAGAGGCTCCCACTTCTCAGGCCAGCAACCATATGAGTAGCATTAAAAGCAAACAAAACAAAGTGTTAGCACTAGATTATAAATTGGCTAACAAAATAAGAAACCATAATCTATATAGATATAAGCTAACAAATACATGAAAGTATATCAATTTAAAGCTTTAAAACGGAAGAGGTATCTATATAGTTTTAAAGTATCTTCCATAAAATTCATATTGTTTTGAAAGTAGAAAAGAGACTCTTTTAAATGGAGGAGTCAGGCAGATACACGTTTAATTAAAAATCAAGTACTATTATTTTCATTAGTAGGACAAATCAAAATTATGCATCACCTGATAGGTTGGACTGGTGAAAACAAAGTGTCACTTTTGTGGTATTTCTGCCAAAGGTGCATAAAATGAATCTAATCATGAGAAAATATCAGAAAGAACAAAATTGGAAGACATTCTAAGGAAGAACAAACAACAAATGAACAACAAACTAGCCTGTAATATTTTAAAATGTGAAAAATATGAAAGTCAAAGAAATGCTAAGAAACCCTTTCAGACTGAGGAAACTAAAGACACATTACAACTAAATGCAATGCTTGATTCTAAACTGGATCATTTTGAATTAAGAGATTTTTATTAAAACTATTGGTGAAACTTGAATGGGGTCTATGGATTGGATTATAGTAATGAATCAATGTAAATTTCCCTGATTTGGGTTGTTATATTGTGCCTGCATACGTATATTCTAAGACATCGGGCATTAGATCAGTAGTTACTTTCTAGTGGTTATAAAAACAAACATTCTTCTACAATATTTAAAACATTTCTGTAATTTGAAATTGTTTCAAAATTTAAAATTAAAATACAATTTTTTAAAATTAAAAATACAAATCTACTTTGCTTTAATAATGGTCTCTGTTCATTTATTCAGTTAATTCATGTATTCATTTACTTTCATTTAGTCATGCAGAAATTTGTGTTAAAACTATTCTGTGACAGGCTTAGCATGAGAAGTTCAAACATTTGATATCCATGTTTCATTTAATCATAACATCCTTGCAGCGTATGAATAGTTACTCTAATTTGTACACAGAAATAATGTTTGGCTAGTTGTGAAAAAACCCACATACAATATAGGAGAGCCTGAGTTCAATTCCAAGCCTTATAGATTCCAGTCAGAACCTAATATTTAACTCAATGAAAGACATTTTAGATAAGTCATGTATCCTTTTGATTAAGTAGTCAATTAACAAATAATTGTGGTATAATTTAAACTCACCTTAAAACCACAGTATCATTTTTCTACCTTACTATTACTGTTTTACAATAACTTCTAACAAGGAAAGAGAAATAACAGGTGAAAATATAATTAGGAAAAGACATGAAGGAAACAAATGTATATTACACAGTGAAAAAAGCCAACCTGGAAAAATTACATACAGTACAATTTCAACTGTATGACATTCTAGAAAAGGCAAAACTATGGAGACAATAGAATGATGAGTGATTGCCAGGGGTTGGGGAGAGGCAGAGATGAATAGGCAAGCACACAGGATTTTAAGGCAGTGAAACTATTTTGTGTGACACTATAATAGTGGGTACATGTCATTGTACCTTTGTACAAACCCATGTAGTGCACAACACCAAGAATGAATGAATGTGATTGAAGAATTTTTGAAATTTTTATCACATGCAGTTTGTGCAATGAAATTATTGAACATCACCTAATATCAATATGATTATATATATATATCATACACATATATACTACCACACATATGTGTTTCATGATTTATTTTTACACATGTGTATGTATACCCACATGTTGTAGGTATATACATACACAGTAAAGAGAGAAAACATACCCAATAAAGTTTTGCTTTATAATGAGTTTGGTTCCACAATGAAGAGTCAAAGGCTCTTGGAAATACTTTAGGAAAATGCCTGATTTAAAACACACTCCCAGCCACTTTTATTAATTACGGAACAACAACATTTCCTCCATTAGAAATAGGTCATTATTTCTTTGATTGAGAACCATATAAAATTGGTTGACATTTGTGTGTCTTTCAACAGAATTACATGTAGCACTGTGAGTTTACACTGACAGATGATTTTCAGAACTGAGACTAAGGGGCAGCAGATTCCTAACGCCTATGCCTCACTCACCCATTAAGGGAACTTGGAAGACAGTAAACTGTAGAATTTAATTTATAAGCATGTTTTGTTTGTGAAACGAGTATTTAAGTGTAGATTCACATAGGTTTAATATATAAGACAATACTCCATGAATGTGTGTCTGTAGGTATGGATTCTGTTATAAGTCATAGAGTAGGCTCTGAAATTTATGAAGAAAACCTGTAAAAATACACCAGGAGAAAAATTGGTTAAAAAAAAAAGTTTTACTTGGTCAGCCACTTCAACAAATAGTTATCTGTTGCTAGTTCAATACTGCATGCTAAGTAGTGTGAGATGTTTCTGTCCCAAAGAAGTATTTTCGATGTGAGAACAAATTGAGTGAGAAGAAGAGTAGGAAAAGGGAGAGAGGACAAAGAAAGAAATTTTATAATTTTAAAAAACATACCTTAACTTTACAATATTTATATATTATACTAATCAATTTTGAATCATAGAATGTTTCTTAATTTAACAAACTAGAAATTTGTACGCCCATTAAGCATCAATAGAAATAAAAAATCTGGACAAAGAACTACATTAGAAAATTGAAAGCATAGGCAATGGGTTAAATACAATTTGATTGAGCATGTCTGACTGCAAGATTGATGAACAAAATAAGTTCATTGCTAAAAGTGTGTGTGTGTGTGAGAGAGAGAGAGAGAAAGAGAGAGAGAGACAGAGAGAGAGAGACAGAAATATAATATTATTACTATCCAAGCAGCCTTGTATATTGGAAAAATATAACTTTGAAATCAAACTATAGAAACAAAAACTTTATTTAATATCTGAAAGTGGACTAAAAATACAAAAATAAAGAAAAAATGTGACTGCTCTATAAAATCTATCCTTTTCTCTTTTCTTCCCCTGTAGGCCCATAGGGCAATTCCCCATGCAACAGCTCCATTGCTGATGTCTGTGTGGCAGCAAGTGACATTACTGGCTCATATAAATTATCCTAAGGGTGGATTGATGGTTGTTAAATCACTACTGAGTCACATCTATGTTCATCCTATAGAGTTGCAGAGGCAAGTATTACAACCAGTAACTGTGTGTAAGTTGCTGGCTCTGGTTCAGTAACTCCACAAAAGTCAAATCCATCTTGTTTCTTGCGGAGAATATCATAGAATGAGGGAAACCTCTCCTGCAGCAGGCACATGGGCACATGAGTGCAGCCTAAATGTCTTCTGGGGCCTCTCCAGCCCTCAAGAGCAAAGTAAGTTTACTATGAAGCTGCATAGAACAACAACAACAAAAAAAACTCACTAAGTTAAATTTCTGCTAATTCCTGAGAATTACCTCCTATCTCCATTTCTGTGGTTTCACACATGCTACTCTTTCACATCATTACTTTTATTCTTCCCAAATATGGGTGTCCACAAAGCTCTCAATAAGTATATCATGAATTTTAGTAAATTTCACTAGAAATGAAAAATAGAGAGTGGGCTTACAGCCACATGACCTCTAAATTGCATACATTCCCCTCATTTCTCTTTCTTATACCCTTCTCCCGTTTTCAAAAAAAATACAAATAGTCAAAACATATTCAAAACAAAACACCTTGTCATTTGGAATGCAGATTAACTCCCTTCTCTATAAATGTCAGTATTATCTGACACTCAGGCTCACAATGATTCAAATTCCATCTTAAATGAACCTATCAAGAAATCACTCAAATATTACATGTACTATCAGAAGAATTCTAGTAAATGGGACATTCTCAACTTTATCACCTGTAGTACATATTGATATACAGCTCACATGTACTCAACACAAGTATAAAAATCTGTACACACATGACAGCCACTAAGTGTTTTCTGGGAAACCAGATGATTTCGCAAGAGGTTGAAGAGTCAAGAAAGACATTTACCTCCCAGTGTCTGCCTCTAATAAGATTACTCACTTTTTGATGTGGGAGAACTGGCCCAAGTTTGGTCCTCTGCTTTTCTCAATATATTTATTCCCTTTTGAAGCTAAATTTATTCAGCCTTTGATTTTCAGAAATATTGCAGACTAAATAACCCAAGACCGCTGCCTCTGAACAAAATCTATTTGTAAAGATCGCTAATACATGGCTCTCACATGATAGTAAAGGAAAACCTGTAATAGCTTTGATGTTCAGATGCCAACACTGATATTCAAATATATCTAAAATATGGTATCAATTTGTCTTCTAGCTCTAGGATTGCTTCTTTTGTAGCAATGGCCGCCAAATAGAATAGGTGTCATGTTACAGGGTAATCACCATTACTTTGGGATTGTGCTTTCTTGAGATTTCTTCTAAAATGCACTATTGGCCTCTCTTTGCCTGCCTCTCCAAACCCCTGTTTCTGCCCAGGGCTGGCAAATTTGGAAGAGGAAACTGAATATACCCCGAATGCAGCTAAAAATCCTATGAAATATTTCAATTAACCTTATACATAAAGAGTAGAAAGCGGTTGCCCATCTTTATTGATGTGTTCAAAACTGTGGGCACAAGGATAGAGTGTAAAAACAAGAGTTGGTTATTGCTCTCTCCAAAATGCCAGCAAGATGTAATGTAGAGTCATGAAAAACACCTAATTTCCAATCACTATGAACTCATCAGTAAACTGATGACTGGTTTGCAGTACTCTGCAGGTTCCCAAGTCTATAGGCTGTGTAAAATACATCTTATTTACATCATAATCCTAATTTCATAAAATCTCCCACTGTAAACTTTCTCTAGTGAATAGTTGTCATGTTTTAATTGTCCAGGGTATTTAGATAATCCATTTTCTGTTTAGAGAATTCTTGAAATTCTAAGCTATGGAGTTAGCTATCTCTTTGTTGATTAACCAACACCATTAGCCTCTAAGCCTGACTTGAACCCTCCTGAAATTGTGTAACTTTCTCAATAACCTTTAGTTGATGCCTTTTCTACTTCAATGGCTGTGGATACTGTTAAATATATCTGAAAATCTGAATAAATCCTCTGAACTTCTTTTAGGCAAAGTTAGGCAGAACTGCCTGCTCCCACTCTCCCACCTATACTGGTTGCAATGGTCTTTGTTAACCTGTGGCTTTGCTCCTAATAATATCATTAAATTCAAGAGAGGAGCTTTAACGAAAGTTCAGTGTACATCAGAGGTAGTTGTGCTTTTCAAGTCTTAGGAGAACTGTCCTTAATGTTCAAAAACTTTCTCTAAATACATCAGCCCCTCATTTGTTTCTTTTTTGAACTCTAAAAATACAAACTGCCTGTATAATGCAATTACCTTTTCTGAACTTAGATTCCTTTTTCAAGAGAGCAGAGAAAGCTAATTTTATCGAATTTGTACTATGGATAATGCACTGAGATAAATGCTTTATGTAATCATGTCCTTTGACTTTCCCTTCCTGACTACAAAAGCTACATCAGTTCTCTACTTTTACATTACAGAAAAGGAAAGCAAGGCTCACAACAATTATACAACTTGCTGACAGTCACACAGTCAGGACTCAAACACAAGTCTGTAAGATTCCAGCTATTTTCTTTCACTACACTTAGCAACACAGATCTCAGTTTTAGATCCAGCTTATAAAATATTGAAGACCATGTCAGGTATAATACTTTGTATTTCAGGGAAAAAAAGCCTCAGGGGATGATGGTTCCCATGGAAACATGGGAAAGCAGTAAAGAAGGGAATTGAAACTAGATTGAGCTCACACTCTTGGATAGGACAATCCTAGTTGGTAGGTCCTTAGGAGCAGGCTCCTAGGTGAACCTCTCAAAACACAGCAGCTTCATTTGCATCGTAGAAAATGGTTTACATTATTTAATGATGGCCAAAAGAGAAATTTCTATAGTGGCTAACCCCAGGAAACCAGGATTATGCCATTCATAAGCCATAACTGGACTCCGAGTCAGTTCTGCTCGTTTGTTATTGAGTGTCTGATATATACTAGTCATTATTAGGTATGGAAAATACAGAAGATAAGTGATTTTTGCAAAAATTAGCAACAACACAATCCAAAACCTAAGACATATACCCCTCCTTGCTATATACAAAACTCTAATTTTATGATGGATTTTATTATAAAATGATGATGATAGTGATAAACTAAAGAATATACATTCAGAAATTATTTAGACCAGGAATTGGCAAACATTTCTATAGAGGTTCAGATAATAAACATATTAGGCTTGTGGAAGATACAGTCATTGTTGCAAAAACTCAACTTTGTTGTTGTAACATAAAAGCACCCAAAGACAGTAAACAAATGAGTGTGACTATGTTTCAATAAAAGCAGTTGGCAAGCAGATTTGGTCTATGGGGCATAGTTTGCTGACCTCTGATTTATATACTGTTTACAAGAATGCTATAATTTATTTAACAGTAAAAATTAAAATTATAGAATGTTTTTGAGCAAAGCTCAAAGATTGAAGTCAAAGGTACAATTATTCTCACATTTAAAAATTGCAAAAAAAAAAAAAAAAAAAAAAACTGAGCCAGACACAATTCCTGAGGGCTTAGCGTCCTTAAAATCTTACCACTGCCACATTCCACTCCTGGCTAACTTAAAGAGAGGAGAAAAAATGGGACAGGAGAGAGGGTTTTTCAACATAAATATACAAGCTTTCTATTTTATGAGAAATAAATGTTAGTAATGGGAACAAAAGTTCTTCTGCTAAAGGAACAAGAATGTCTTCTGCCCCCAAGTCAAGTTTCATGGCAGAAAGTTTTAGCTCAACCACAACCAAAGATTTGAGAAGGGAAGGTGATCACTTCATTCCTTGGGTGGATAACTCATGAGCTGTAGGATCCTGAGTTTCATCCTTGTGCCACAATTAGAATGAAATTAATCATAGGGAGGTAGTTATTAGGTGCATTTGACATATAACCTCTGCAATTTGAGGCAGTGTTTACACATTAAGATTGGTATCCATTTCTAGTCTATGGGTTTCTAAGAACTTGAAACTTGCTAGAAAATCTTGTATCAAAAGAAAGAGCAACAAACCAGTTACAATATTTTGGTGAAGAAGTATAATCCTAGTTCTTGGACACCTTCCCTTAAAAGCAGTAGAAGAAGAAGTTGGCATTTTTCATGAAGGGGTACAAACATTCAAATAGATGTCAGGCACTAGGAAACACCCAGGGACATCAAGTCTCTTGCGTGGACAATTTACCAAGAAAGACTTGGGGACATGAACCACTGATGAGATTAAAGGAGAACCATCTGACTTTTTCTTAAAGGTTCTTCAGTAATGAAAAAGAATTAGATGAAACTGATCACTCCTCCCAAGGAAACTTGTGCAAATCCCATAAAAGACAATCACATTGGTGGAGCTGTGTTCCACCAGCAGAAGATGACCTCAGACAAATTGACACTGCCCTGTGACCAATACAAACTTGCTTATAATAGAAATTATTATCTCTCATGTCTGTGTGACTACAACACTTGTAATAGCTCAAAAATGTTAAAGATGTGTTTAGCATGGTTGCCCACGTCTTCCCCCTTTACTCCAAACAGAAATACAACTCAAGCCTATGATGGAGAGAAGAAGGTTACATTTAAATTGAGTTTGAGGTGGAACTTTCAAAATGACTTAGAATTTTATTAACTAAAGGATAAGTGAAAATTGTGGAAACTTCAGAAGTTAAGAGATGTGAAAGGAGTACTTTGCAGGTTATGCCTGGAAACAGTAAAATTAAAATATTTCTTATTCATTAATAACAGAACAACTCAAAATATGACACACAGAATGGTGGTTAGTTTGCTCAAAATATTTAAACAGATGATAGGATGGTTCAGGGAAACGTGTTTTAAAATTAGAAAGAACTTAGAAATTACTATATATGTATAAATTTTAACTAGACCACCCATCCGTGATATTGATCCCCAATTATGTCTATTGTTTAAGTTTATTCATTCAGGAAAAGAAGAAAATGCTGATTCCGCTCCTATTCCACCCATTTTTCATGGATTCTAGAACATACAGGGGAAATTTCTCTGGAAATAATTTATTTACATGGGTCACCTACACCTCAAGTAAGAGTCAAGGAGCAGTATTTGGATCCTGGGCATGTTTGAAGTAGCACTGCATTTTCAAATTGTAATTGAAGCTTGTTCTGTGACCATGTAATAAAGGCAAAAATATTATCATGTATCAATGGGATGAATATACAATAACCCACTGGATATTCACTATGTGCTAATTCATAACAAGATGTTCGCAGTTACTACAGTATTAGTTACTCAGTATGAATGCAGTAAAATAACCAGGCCTTTTATTTATTTATTTTTATTTTTTATTTTTTCAAGTGGCTAACCTTTTTTTTATTATACTTTAAGTTCTAGGGCACATGTGCACAACGTGCAGGTTTGTTACATATGTATACATGTGCTGTGTTGGTAACCAGGCCTTTTAAATATCATGTGATGATTAAATACCTTGTCTCACAAGATCCTCTAACAAAATAGCTCTGCTTTCACTAACAATGTTAATTCCAAATTTAAACATCCCCCAAATATAACTGTTTTGAAAATACGGGAGAGTTAAGTTTCACTTAATACGAGAGAAATAAATTGTCATTTTCCATTTTCCTATAAGTAAGTCAATATACATTGACCAAAATTGAAAATTCAAAAAATATTAGAAAGCATATCATTAAGCAAACAGTTGAAGGTACTGCCTCTGGAAAATGAAACACAAAATTGTGTTACAGTGAGTGTGTAAGCTGGGTCTCTGTAAAGATCCAAATCCTTGGTGATTAAGAGTTCAGAATTCAGTAATTTTCAATTTAGAGAGGCAATAGAGTGCAAAAAATAATATGTATTATGTAACACTTCCAAAGGAGTATTGGGCAGCACCCTATAATCAATCACATTTATTCATATTTCTGATGTGAAACATTTGAAAGTTCATAGTTCATAGATTACAAAAAACAAAGATTCTAAATAGCCTTATGTAACTTTAGGTACGGTTTTACAACAAATATGTTTTATCTTTTATTTTTCAAAGCTTTCTAAAAACTTGAATTGTAGATAAGGAATATTTTTACCTGTTTGAAATTTTTGGTTTTAAAACCATGTACATGTTATTTAATTAAAATACAGACACTTTTTTAAAAAGGTAAATAGGTAAAGAGTAAACCAATGTACAATTAGGAAAAACTGAAGATTGTTTATAAACATGCAGTAAATTAAACATAAAAATAATCAACATGATCAATATATATAGAATATTTGAATGACTTTACAATGGCATCAAAAATGTTTCTTCACTTAATGATTTTATTGGTTCCACATTGAAATTCTACAGTGTACAAGAAAGGATTAAATTAGTAGGACGGGGTTGTTGAAACCCCACAGGTTCCCAAGAGAGACCTTTTTTTCAGGACTAGGCCTTGACTGGCTCCTGACAGCTGAGCTCTGAGCCCTTGGAAGGTTTTGTCTAACAAAATGTTTCTGTATGCAGGCAGGCTTGGACCATGCTAACGATTTGACCAAATAGCTTATGCTAACAATGTGGTTTATGCTGAACAATTGTTCTTTTCTCTGGTAGTCTGGGGTCTGAGTAGCAGAATGGCTGAGCATTAAGTAATATGCAGTGCTTTACTGACTGACCCCCCAGTAGAAACCCTGGGAGCCAAGGCTCAAGTGAGCTTTTCTGGCCTGCTGGCCAGAAGAGTTGCTACTCTTCACACATGTTGGCCCACATCATTGCTGGGAAAATTAGGTTTCTCCTATGAGACTGCACTGTACTTGGCCCATGTACCTTTTTTTTTTTTGGCTGATTTTAATCTGTATCTTTTCACTCTTTTCACTGTCATAAACTGTAATCCTGAGTATAAGACCTTTTGAATCCTGTGAGTCCACTTAGTGAATAACTGAAACTGAGGACAGTCTTAGGGACCACCACATGTGGTGTTAAAGATTATCTTAAAATAGTAACATTTGGCATCAATTATGTATTTCTGATGCCAGAAATTAGGTTACCAGGACTTCTTTGTTTTGTTAAGTTGGCCAGCGATTGTTACACTTATGTACTATACATTTCTTTTAACTTTTGATCTTATGTTTTGTTGTTGTTTTGCATATTAATAGCCTCTCTGAAGTCTAAAATTCTGTCATTTGAGTAGGAGCAATCAATGGCCACTACCTTACGTTCTGATGCCTTCTCAGGAGATGCATTACACCAATTTTTCAGGTAAAATTTAATCCTGAGTTTTGGTATGAGCCATAACAAGTAATATGTGCCATGTGGGAGAAACTATTGATCCTTTCAGCTGGGTTCACACAAGCCAATATAGCAGAATCTCATTTAAGCTACAAGTAATGTAAAATTGCTAGCAACAAGTACCAAGAACAAATACACGTTGCTTCCACCTAACTCATACTTGCTGTTTAGAAGATGGCCCGAAATAATGTATATGGGAAGGGCATTGTAAATTCAATAAAGATGCTAGTTCCTACCTTTACTATGCATTTATAGATTAAAGCAGTTGCCAAATTGCTCAGTTTCTTTTCCTCAAGATAGATAGATACCCTCTTCAGCTCCGTAAAGAAGTAGTCTTGTAAGATTGCTGGTGTCTGGATGATGTCCCAGTGAGAAGGGAAAGGATTTCAGAGTAATATCCTGCTTAACAAGGTAGGATAGAATCTGCAATGAGGCTTCTCCAAAATCAGGGATAATAAATTTCTCTTGAGTGATCTATTATCAGATAGCTGGAATGGACCACATTCCCAAAGGAATTTCTAACTTGAAGAATAATTACAGCAGATTCTTTCTGACTAATGAGCCTGTTTTTTCAAGGTTGAGCACAAAATATTCGAAGACTAAAGGTTTTGTGTAAACCAAGTTTCATCTGCTGTGATCATTAACTGAACACCCTTCTCTAACACATAACTGATGTTTTATATCTTGTTTTATATCTTTTGTCTTTGAGCTGTATTTTTCTGCCAAGCATGCCCTGCCGCTTGCTGTGTTGTCGGGTCCTTCCACTTCTAGTCACAGTAAAAAGAAGCAAACCTGCAGAGAGAGAGCATCAGATATTTTCTTTCCTGCTGTGCTTTCAAAAATGTTCATATAAAAATATGTCAAATGTAGAAAATTGTTACTGTAACCTGTGAAAAGCATACCTTGAAAATAAATTTCAAATACAAATGTTTTATTTTCCTAGAGAAAAAGACATAATACATTGTAATTTGGAAAGAAAAGAAAGATTCTCTGTCCTCCACAAGTCTATTCCTTTCATTTTCTTCACTTTGCCTCTCATACAGAAGTCCACTGACATTAAGTAGAGTAGAATTCAGCCCATATTCCTCAGCACCCCATTGAAAGACAGAAAAGAAAGTATTGACGTAACTGAAAAGGCAGAAAGGAGTATAGTATGAGTCTGATCTATACCCATTCTCTTTCTATTTTCTGCTTCTTAACACTTCTATCTATTTCACATCCCTTAGGATTTGATTTTAGAAGAATGAAGTTATGAATGTGAAGGGACGGACTATTACCAATGCAAATTCAGCGAATACATATGATCATGGTTATTTACATCATCAAGGACTATCTATTAAAATGAAGAGTATCTCAAGTAAAACAAAACAAAGTCAGGTATCTAATTATACATAAATAAAAGGACAATAGCTAATCAAAAATCCACTGATTTTACTTTCCAATGTTTAAAGTCTTTGATAAATTTAGGATCTCATTTTGCTTCCAAAACAAATCGCCATCATTTAATTGGTATTAAATTTACTCATGCCAGATACTTTTCTAGGCACTCAGGATATAGCATTTAACAAAACAGACAAAAATCTGTCATGACAGAATTTATGCTGCAACGGAAAAGATTAGACAACACACAAAGTAAATGAATACATTAGATAATTTACTGGAAAGTAATAAGTGCCTTGGATAGAAAGAAAGCAAGTTGGTGTGGCTGGGGAGAGCAAGGGAAAGAAAGGGGAAAAGCAACAGGACCTGTGGTGAGAGAGGCAACTGGGCCAGGCTCACCATGGACTTCGCATAATTCATAATGACTCTGGCTTTTAGTTTGAATGAAAAGAAGGGTCACTAGGTTGTTAAACAGATGAGTAACATGTCTCAATTAAGAATTTTTAAAATCACTGTGACATGAAATCACAGAAAGAAAGAAAATAATTTGTAACCTCAATTTCTTCTTTTTAGAAAGCTGGGGAATCAGATTGTTTATGTCATTAACTGGAAAGTTATGAAATGAGCCAGAAGACTGGATTTACAATTCTTGGGGACAAGAAATAGATCCAAAAATGAAAATGCTGAGGGAAGCAAATCATTTAGAAAAAATGTCCCTGGGATATCAAGAAATTTCTTGGGAAATAAAACAAGTGGAATCATTCCATCCCTCTTTTTTTTCTTGAGAAATCCTCCATTATTGTCAACTCCTGGCTCTCACTTCACTCATCACCCTGGTGGCTGCAGTCCATCCGGTCCTCCTGGCTTGAATGCACCTGCCATCCTGAACATTCTGTGATCAGGCTACTTCACAGACACATTATCCACCTACCTCTGCCATAGCCTAATTCACTTCACTTATTGAAGTTCCCTTTGATGTAATGTTTCTAAACTGCTGTTTCAGAGGCTTTACTCACATTAATCTCACAAGCCTTCTGAAGTACATTTTGTACTTTAACCCCTTCATGTTCTTCAAAGCAGAAGGGATCTTAAGAAAGTGCAATGTAAGTTGTTAACATCTAGGATAAAGACATGCAGGGCAACTTACAGGAAACAAACCATATTAATTAAGTATTTAAAAATTATTTATTTTGTTCAGGAAATGAATAATTCTGAATAACAATAATAAAGATAGGTTAAAGACAGAGCAAGTTCCGTGAGTCATCAGACAGCTTAAAAGTGTTACAGACTGAATTATGCCACCCACCCCCTTCCCCAAATTAATAGATTGAATCCCTATCTTTCCCACAATGTGACTGTATTTGGAGAAAGGGTCTTTAAAGAGGTAATTAACAATTAGCAATATGAGACCATAAGGATGGGACCCTAATCTAATAAGACTGGTGACACAATAAGAAAATGAAGAGATACCAGGGTCTTGTGCTCATACATGGAAAGAACCCTGTGAGGACACAATGAGAAGGTGATTCTTTGCAAACCAAGGAAAGGGGCCTTAGGAGAAAATCAACTTGCTAGTGCCTTGATTTCAGACTTCTAGCCTCTATAACTGTGACAAAATAAATTTCTGTTTTTTAACCCCCAAAATACCAGTCTGCAGCAGACTATCATGTGCAACACAAACTGACTAATACAAAGAGATTGAAGAAAGGCAGGACTTCAGTAAATAAGACTAGAGGTTAGGATGTGGGAAAGGGTTAAAAAATAGGGATTGGCGGCCGGGCGCGGTGGCTCATGCCTGTAATCCCAGCACTTTGGAAGGCCGAGACGGGCGGATAACGAGGTCAGGAGATCGAGAACATCCTGGCTAACACGGTGAAACCCGGTCTCTACTAAAACTACAAAAAAATTAGCGGGCATGGTGGCGGGCGCCTGTAGTCCCAGCTACTCGGGAGGCTGAGGCAGGAGAATGGCGTGAACCCGGGAGGTGGAGCTTGCAGTGAGCGGAGATCTTACCACTGCACTCCAGCCTGGGCGACAGATGGAGACTCCATCTCAAAAAAAAGAAAAAAAAAAAGGGATTGGCTTGTCTTAACTGTGGAGAGATTAGTAGTTATATGACCATGAAGATGATCTCTAAGTTTGAGCTGAAGCCCTAGAGAGAAATCAGACCTACACAGGTATAGAAAATGCATACAAGTTACTTGCAACTTGTTAAAGACTGCATGTTTGTGTCCCCGCGTAATTCATATGTTGAAACCCTGACCCCTAATGGGATGGTATTAGGAGGTGGGCCGCTGAGAGGTAACTGGGTTTAGATGAAATCATGAGGGTGGAGTCCCACAATGGGTTTAGTGTCCTTATATGAAAAGGAAGAGATTAGAGCTAGTGCTCTATGCCATGTGAGGATATAACTAGAAGGAGGATGTCTACAAGACAGGAATTAGGCACTAACCAGACACTACATCTGCCAGTGCCTTGATCTTAAACTTCAGTTTCCTTGAATAATGGATTGTTGTTTAAACCACCCAGTCTATGGTATTTTAATTATAGCAGCCTGAGTTAACAACGACTATTTCTAAAAAGTAGACTTTTTTTTGATAATATAGTTCTGCCTGAACTGTGCTCAAATGGATAAAACAATGAATTGCAGTGAATTGTAACCCTATGTAATAAATGTAGATTTTCTCATTATGAAATATGAAAAAATTTAATATTTTACAATTTTGATTTTTTAACTCTACTAGTTATCACAAAGGTTTTATTACACTCTCATTTTTATATGACTCTATTATCTCCATGACAATAGGTAAAAGAATATGTCTAGTGGACAATAAACAATTATGCTTAAAAATTGGAGAATTATACAAATAAGATACAGACTTATAGAACACTCTGACAAGAAACATTGGAATCATTTGGTGTAGTTCTCTCATTTTACAAATAATATAAGTGAGGTTTATGTAAGATAATAGGTTAAAGACTTCCTTATGATGGCCGTGCAGAGGAGTCGTTAGAGCCCAGGGTTTATGCTTCCTACAGCAGTGTTAATGTCTATCTCCAAACATGGGCTTCATAAACACAAACACATTCCAACATTCCTTATTGCTAAATGCTAAGTAGTTGCATTTTAGAGCTTGAATTTCAGGAATTGTGTAATCTGATTGTCTTTATTTTGCAGGTGAGGGAATTGAAACACAGATATTTAGTGGATGGAGCATAACATCACACATCATTCTCCTTACAGACACAGAGCTACAACTGAGTTACTGACTTACAGCTCTGTTAGCTAACAGACTCCCTTGTGCTGAAACTAGTGGCATGCCAATGATTGAGCAGCCAAAGCAGGCAATAAGATAATTCATTGTCTGTAGAGAAATTAAAAACAATAATAAAACAGACTCATTTGGTCTGTTTTTAATTATCCCATGCACCAGTAATTACAAAGAATTTCAGTGATAAAATGTTTCTCTCTGAAAAAAATGTTATTAGTGAATATCCTAAACAATTGTTGAAGACATCGTTTAATAATATACATGTAAGCTTCAAATTCGCACATATTTATTATTTATCCATTATAAACATTATCTTATATATGAAAGTAAATTTGGAGAATTTCCAGATATGCAGCTACACAATGAATCCCTGATGTACCTGAACTCATTTTATTTACTGAAAGCAATGTAGTCTATGTTTAGCTATCAGGATAGTTTTGTTCAGCCTTAGAGAGAAATCAGACCTACACAGATGTAGAAAATGCATACAAGTTACTAGCAACTTGTTATATAAAAGGACACATTTTGTTCAACAACTTGCCTATAAAGAGAATTTGAGTATATTCACTCCTGCTTTTAAATCAGTTCTCAACACCCAGAAATGAAGCAAATGGTCATACACAACATACATTCATATGTTCAACAAGAAATTAAAAAGTTCCATCCAAATGAAAGAAAAATCAAAAACAAGAAGTGACAGCTTTTCAGATGAGAAAGAATCAGTGCAAGATCTCTGTCAATACAAAAATAGAGTGCTTTGACACCCCTAAAGCATCATACTAGCTCTTTAGCAATAGACTGTAACCAAAATGAAAATTCTGAAATGACAGGTAAAGATTCAAAACATGGGATTCAAGTAAGTTCAGTGATTAAAAAAAAAAAGAGGGAGAAAATTTAAAACCAACACAAAGAAATCAGAAAAACAAGTAGGGATATGAAAGTCAAGATGGATATATTTTAAAAACAACAACAACAGAAATTCTAGAAATAAAAACATCTCTGAAGCTATTTTGAAATATTGTTGAAAGCATTAAAGATAGGTTAGATGAAGCAGAAGAAAGAATTTCAGGTCTTGAAAACTGGTCTCTCAAATGAACTCGGAATAAAATAAAGAAAAAATAATGTTAACAAATGAAAAAATCTTAGGAAATTTGGGACTACGTGAAGTGAACAAACCTATGCCTTATAGGCGTTCTTGAGTGAAAAGAAGAAAAAGTTTAAAAAAATTGACAACCTATTTGAGGAAATAATTCAAGAAAATTTCCTCAAGCTTGCTAGAGATGTAGAGATTCATATATAAGAAATTTGGAGAATACCTGGAAGAAACTCTATGAGATGAACATCAGCAAGGCATATAGTCATCAGACTATCCAAGGTCATTGTGAAAGAAAAAATCTTAACGGCAACTAGAGAAAAGGATCAAATCACCAATAAGGAAAATCATATAAGTCTACAATAAACTGTTCAGTAGAAACCTTACAAACTGGAAGAGATTATGAGCCTATCTTTAGTTTTCATTCAACTTATTTCCAAAAAGTCATTCAACAATTTTATACCATGCCAAAGTAAACTTCATAAATGATGGAGAAATAAAGACTTTCCTAGACAAGAAAATGCTAAGGGAATTTGTCACCATTCTCAAAGGAATTTTAAACATGGAAATAAAAGGATGATACTTGCCATTATAAAAGCACATGCCAAAATAAAGTTCATAGATTCTATAAAGCAGTTATACAACTGAGATTACAAAAGAAATAGCTGACAACAACACTATGACAGAAACAAAACTTCACATATTCATATCAACCTCGAACATAAATAGCCTAGATACTCCACTTAAATGATCTAAGCTGTAAAACTGGATAAAAACAAGACCTAACCATCTGAAGAAATACACAGGCTCAAAGTAAAGTGGTGCAAAAATAGATATGAAGCACATAGAAAACAAAAGCAAGAAGGAATAACTATTTTTATATCAGATAAAACAGACTTTAAGTTAACAACAGTATAAAAAGACAAAGAAGGTCATAATATAGTGATAAAATATTCAACAAGAAGATTTAACTGTCCTAAATATATATATATATATACATATATACATACACAAACACCAAAGCGAACAGATTTATAAAACAAATACTACTAGACCTGTGAAAATAGATAGCAATACAATAATAGTGGAGGACTTTGAAACCCCACTGACAGCACTAAACAGATCATTGAGGTAGAAAATCAACAAAGAGACTCTGGACTTAAAGTGGACCCTATACCTAATGGACCTAATAGACATTTACAAAAAATTCTACCCAACAGCAGCAGAATATACATTTTGTCATCTGCACATAGAACAGTCTCCAAAATTGGCAATATACTTGGCCATATAGCAAGTCTTAATAAATTTATAAAAATCAAAATCATATCAAGTATCTTCTCAGACTACAGTGCAATAAAACTAGAAATCAATGTCAACAGGAACTCTCAAAAATATACAAGTACATGGACATTAAACAACTTTCTTTTGAATGACTTTTGGGTAAACAATGAAATTAAACAGAACTCAAAATAGTGTTTGAAATGAATGAAAATAGAGACACACAATAGTAAAATTTCTGGGATACACCAAAAGCAGTGCTAAGAGGAAGGTTTATAGTATTAAATGCCTACATCAAAAAGATGGCAAGATCTCAAATTAACAGGCTAAAATTGTGTGTCAAGGAACTAGAAAAATAAGAACAAACCAAACCAAAGGCAAGCAAAAGGAAACGAATAACAAAGATCGGAACAGAACTAAATGAGATTGACACCAAAAAATGATACAAAGTATCAATTAAATGAGAAGTTAGCTCTTTAGAAAGATAAACAAAATTGATAGACCACTGTCTGGATTAACCAATAAAATAAGAGAAAAAATTCAAATAAGCACAATCTAAAATAATAAAGGTGACATTACAACTGATACCACAGAAATACAAAGACCGTCAGAGACTACTGTGAGCATCTGTACAATCACAAACTACAAAACCTAGAGAAAATGAGTACATTTCTTGAAACATACAGGCTCCCAAGATTGAACCAGGAAGAAATAGACACCCTGAACAGACCAGTAATGAGTAGTGATATTGAATCAATAATAATAAATTTCCCCAAAACCAAAGCCCAGGACCAGAAAGATTCATAGATGAATTTTACCAGATGTACAAAGAAAAGCTTTTACCAATCTGCAACTATTAAAAAAAAAATGAGGTGAAAGGACTCCTCGTTAAATTATTCTAGGAAATCAGTATTATCCTGATACCAAAATCCACAAGGACACACAAAAAAGAAAACTACAGGCCAACATTCCTGATGAACATAGATGCAAGAATCCTCAACTATATACTAGTAAACAGAATCCAATAGAACATCAACAAGATAATACATCATGATCAAGTGGGCTTTAATCAAGAGATGCAAGGATAGTTCAACATGCACAAATCCATAAATGGGATTCACCACATAAGCAGAATTAAAAAGAAAAACTATGTGACCATCTCAATAGATGCAGAAATAATTCATTAAAATTCAACATTCCCTTCATGATAAAAAAAATTTCAACATATTAGACATTAAAGGAACATACCCTATAATAATAAGAGCTATATATGACAAACCCATAGTCAACATTACACTGAATGAAGAAATGTTGAAAGCATTCTGCCTAGGAACTGGGACAAGGCAAAGATGTCCACACTCAATACTCCTATTTAACGTAGTTTTAGAAGTTCTACCAGATCAATCAGGCAACAAGGCATCCAAATGGAAAAAAGAAAATACAATTATCTCTGTTCACTGATGACATGATCTTACACCTAGAAAACCCTGAAGACTCCTCTAAAAGACTCCTAAACCTGATAAATTACTTCAGTAAAGTTTCAGCATATAAAAGTCAATGTACAAAAATTAATAGAATTTCTATACGCCAATAACCATTTCCATACAACATTGCTTATTGGTGTATGGAAATCCTACTGATTTTTATACGTTGGTTATTGGTATATAGAATAATTGGTTATTGGTATATAGAATAATTGGTTATTGGTATATAGAATAATTTGTTATTGGTGTATAGAAATCCTATCCAATAATTGGTTTTTGGGGTATAGAAATCCTATAATCTAATAATTTGGTTCTCAAGCTGAGAACCAAATCAAGAACTCAACCCAATTTATAATAGCTACAAAAAATATATATCTAAGAATATATTTTACCAAGAAGGTGAAAAATCTCTGCAAGAACTACCATAAAACATGGATGAAAAAATTTTAGATGACACAAGCAAATGGAAAAACCTCCCACACTCAAGTATTGGATGAATTATTATCATTAAGATGACCATACTGCCCAAAGCAATCTATAGATTCAATGCAATTCCTATCAAATTACCAACACCGTTTTTCACAGAATTGGAAAAACAATTCTAAAATTCCCTTGGAGCCAAAAAAATGCCTAAATATCCAAAACAATCCTAAGCAAAAAGCACTAAGCTAGAGGCATCACATTACCTAACTTCAAACAATATAATAAGGCAACCAAAACAACATGGCGTTGGTACAAAAATAAACACATAGATCAATGGAACAGAATATGTGATGCAGAAACAAAGCCACGCACCTACAACAAACTGATCTTTGACCAGGTTGACAAAAATGAACAATAAGGAAAGCACACCAAATTCATTAAATCGTTCTGGGGTTGGGCACGGTGGCTCACATCTGTCATCCCAGCACTTCGGGAGGCCAAGGCTGGTGGCTCACTTGAGGTCAGGAGTTCAAGACCAGACTGGCCAACATGGTGAAACCCCGTCTCTACTAAAAATACAAAAATTAGCCAGGGATGGTGGTGGGCACCTGTAATCCCAGCATTTTGGGAGACCAAGGCAGGTGGATCACTTAAGGTAAAGAGTTCTAGACCAGCCTCGCCAGTATGGTGAACCCTGTCTCTACTAAAAATAGAAAAATTAGCTGAGTGTGATGGTGGGTGTCTGTACTCCTAGTTCCTCGGGAGGCTGAGGCAGGAGAATCACTTGAACCCAGGACTAAATTAGAACCACTATTCAACCTAGCCATCTCACTACTGAGTATCTACCCAAAGGTAAAGAAACAATTATATATATATTATATATAAAGACACTTGCACTCATATGTTTACCACAGAACTATTCACAATAGTGACATCATGGAATCAACCTAAGTGTCCATCAGTTGATGATTAGATAAAGAAAATGTGGTGTATATATACACTATGGAATAATATGCCGCCGTAAAATAAATAAAATAACATCCTTTGCAGCAACATGGATGAAGCTAGAAGCCATTATCATAAGTGAAAATACTCAGAAACAGAAAATCAAATACCACATGTTCTCACTTATGTTTAAGAACTAAACATTGGGTAAACATGGAAATAAAAGTGAAAATAATAGGCACTGGGCACTCCAAAAGGGAAGAGGGTGGGAGGGGGATGAGAGCTGAAAAATTATGTTGGGTACAATATTCACAATTTGCATGATGAGTACACTATAAGCTCAAACCTTACCATTATGTAATACATCAATGTAACAAACCTGGACATGTACCCTCTGGATCTAACACAGTAATAACTAATTAGCTAATTAATTGGCTTTCATTATAGAATAAGTGACTCATATTTGGGAAGTCAAATTCAACTAATCTGAAATGTTTACTGAAAAGTAAACATTTTTTGAGGTAGCAAAATTGTATTATATAATATTGAAAAAAATACAACTTTATTTAAAAATACCTATTCACCTTTATTTCCTTTG
Organism: Homo sapiens; assembly: GCF_000001405.40. Taxonomy (NCBI): domain Eukaryota; kingdom Metazoa; phylum Chordata; class Mammalia; order Primates; family Hominidae; genus Homo; species Homo sapiens. The sequence continues at coordinate 120,902,394 of NC_000005.10, read as the reverse complement.
TGTTTCCCACAGTGGCTTAATGTAGAAACTATGGTGGCTTAACTGAGCTGAACATGATAGAAGAGATGTATTTTCACCTCTACTCTCCCTAGTTTTCGTAGTCTATAAGAGGATACCCTCAAATAACTTGTGCACACACGCACACGCACACACGCACACACATGACAGTGTTGCACACTACTTGCAACAAGTTTCTGGATTTTATTTTAGTACCAAGAAGTTACTTGAAATGATATAACTAGTTATTCAAACAATATTTTTAAATTATCTCAGTTATTTTAAAATTCTATAATTTTGAATCTTGATTTTCTAAACAACCGGCTGCCTTGTATTATTACGGACTCACTTATGTTTTATAAAATAATTGTGTCTATGGAAGCTCTGAAGTTTATTCACAATAGTTAATCCAGAAAAGGTTCTTTTTATAGCACAAGTTCTTACCTTGGACTTTGGACAATTCATAAACACTCTGATATGGGATATAACATTTCATACATGTGCAAATTTTTCTGAGAGAGAATTCATAGCTGTCATCAGCTTTCTCAAAGAAGCTGGAAGTCTAGATGAGTTGAGAAGTTGAAGCCTCGTAAGTGCTATTAACTACTGGATTCCAAGAATTAAAAAGTCTCATTTTAAAAATCTGGGTGAGAGACATACAGACGTTTGAAATAATATTTTCTCTAAATGTCTGATTGCTTAAAATAGTTCATAACCAAGTGTAATGCATTTATAAAGAATGAATTTCCTAAAGACAAAAACGATCAATAAATTTTTCTTTAATCAAAACATTGTATCATTGTTGCAGAGTAAGTATTTGATATATAAATACAAGCAGATAGACAGATAGGTATGATTCCAAAAGGTTTGTATTAAAAGAAGTCTTGATCTATTTGCTAACCTCTTACAGAATACTGGAGAATTGAAAAAGCTTTAACTATTTTATTGTGAAAGAGCTGTCATTAAACCCTGAGGCATTGTTGAGGCATTGAGCGTGGCCATTGGGATCTCTATGATGTCACCTTCTCACCACAGTGTAAAACCTATGCTCTAGAGGAAGTTCTGGCAGGGAGTGTCAGTTCAAAGCTGTTTGAATTACAGATACAATTTGTTTACTGTTTTTGAAAATTAAAATTATTCTTTCTCTTGTTTTGATAAGTACCATTTGGTACCAGGGCAATTTTACTTACTTTGTACCACTGGAAGCTGAGAGAGAGAGAGAGAGAAAGAAAGAAAGCATTTTTCTTATTGAAAAAAGCAAAATTAAATATTCTATAAAATAAAACCATCACTATTGTTCTATGTTTAATCAACATAATTGAATTTACTAATTATTTGTTTTATACAAATTAGGAAAATTTTAAAAGGTATCTTAAATGTCAAATTCACTTAAATTATTATAAGTCTTAAATTCACAACTTAAAAACTTTCCAATTCAATGCAGTATGGAATTAGAAATAGCTATTATTTGCAAATTGCTGGGTTAAACAAGGGTAACAATGCAAAAATGAATATGACATCATTTCTTCCCTCTAAAAGACTACATTCTAGTGAAAAAAACAGAAATTTAAGAAATTAATCACAATTTTAGCAAAAGTAAAGACAGAAACATTTAAATTTAAAGAACTGTTTCTTTTTCTTTCAGAGGTTAACCTTGTGTCATATGTATTTGTTTTTTAAAAATAAGATATTAGATATGTTATTGCTCCACCACCACTATCCTTTACTTCCTCCGACTCAAACCCTTCCCCAAATCACCACCTTGAAGTTGTGCTTATCATTGTGTAAATGCACCTATAGCAATATACAGTATTGTTTTGTGCAGATTTAAAATATTCCATGAAAAGCATAGCTCCACTTAATTTTCTAAAGAAAGTAGTCTAGCTTCTGTCTTATCCTTTATTCTGCATCTATTACCAAAATTTCAATATTTGTTAAAATTTTCTCATTTGGAAAATAAGAATCTTTTCTTACCTGTGAAAAACCGATATAGATACAAGTTAGTCCGCATAAGATGGACAAAAATCCTGTGAATAACTGATATAGATACAAGTTAGTCCACATCAAATGGACAAAAATCCCTGTGAATATTAATGGTAAGCAAAATGATTAATAAGATCTTTACATTTACAAATGAAACTAACATTAGGAAAATATGCTTATCTTGCATTGATTATATTAAATCTTTATGTTATTTTTTAAAATAATGGTTCAATTACTTATATTTATGGTATCTTTTTCTGGCAATTTATGTGATAGCATAAATCTACATTAATGATTTTGCATTTGACTTTATTTTCACTATGTTTTTGTTAATCATTTTTATTAAATTTTCAAGTCTTCCTTAATCTATTGATATTTTAATTATTCTCTACTGAAGCCCAATTATGTCAACACTCTTGCCAATTTTCTTTTTCAATGGTTAGTTGGCCTATCTCTGTTATAATTTTTTTTTTTTTGAGATGGAGTTTCGCTCTTATTGCCCAGGCTCACTGCAACCTCCACCTCCCAGCTTCAAGCGATTCTCCTTCCTCAGCCTTTTGAGTAGCTGAGATTACAGATGCCCACCACAATGTCCAGCTAATTTTTATATTTTTGGTAAAGACAGGGTTTCATCATGTTGGCCAGGCTGGTCTTGAACTCCTGACCTCAAGCGATCCACTCGCCGTGGCCTCCCAAAGTGCTGGGACTACAGGCCTGAGCCACTGAGCCTAGCCTCTACTATAATTTTGTCAGTGCCTTTTTAGCTTGAGCTTAATACCACCTTCATTAAGTAAAATTATTTAATTTGCAATTAGTTTGCATTGTCTTTTCATTGTGTCCTCAGATATTTAGCACATCAGATTATCAGGAAAGACAGATCAACAAGGATATTGACAGAAAATATATTATGATAGAAAAGAGGGTTGAAATCAGATTCCCTTTGTAGTATACAATTCATTGGCAAATAATGTCATTTATACAAGTTTGTGTTATGAAATACCAAGATAACCTTAATGCTTCCTCAGCTTTACTAAATTTCAGTTAAATTTCTTTCTAAATATAGGCCCCTGACTTTCCTTTTCTTACAGCATTTACTCTAGATTACTTAATTGCAAATTTTTTACCTGCCTTCTTGTGCATATAAATTTCTTTAACAGATTTGCCATAGTTAAGCTTCTTGGCATCTTTAAGACAGAGGGAATGTCATATTCAAGTATCTAGGAACCACCTATTTGAAATGTAATTTTTCATGAAGATAAGTCTTTTACATCTCAGTATCTTAGAAAGGGTGGGTGCCTAACTTTGGTAGGCACCTTGCTTCAGTCTTCATTAAGATATTAGAAAGTTTTCTTTTGGGCAAGACCCTGTTAGTGAATACAGGTGGCCTAAGATTTTCCCCTCACTCCACCACAATTCATAGAACTTTAGACCTTTGATGCAATGGTATGATGTTCAATCTCTTTCCCAGTTGGAATATCTTGAATAAAGTCTTTCTTGCCCATTTAACTTTGCCCACTGCAATTTTTCTTTGACAATGTTTTCTCTAATTCATTGACCTAATTACTAGGACTCATATAATGGATTCTAAAGTAACCATATGTATTTCAAAATTTGGCAGTTGGTAGAGGGTTACTGTTTTCTACAGGAAGTCAAGAAACTTTGAAATGAATAAATTATCTTTATTAGCATGTTTACAGTTTATCCTTAAGAGATATATTGTATCTTTATTAATCAAATTGCAAGGTTTGATTCTAAAGAGCAAGGGCTCTGCCTTATGTTCTTTTAATTTCTGTAATGCCTAACACAATATCTACCACATAAAGAGAACCACAAAAATATCATGTTACATGAATATAGTCATTTGTTTCAAAAATTAATATCTCAAAACAGTTAAGACATAATCACAAGTTATATTTTAATTTCAGTGTACCTACTTACATTTCAGAGAACACAAATATAAAACAAGTGAAAATAATCTAAATGTCCAATTGTAGAGAATTAGTTCAATAAATAATAATAATTATGTATGAAATGGAATAATGGGCAAAATGTATATCACAATATGTGATTGGAGGAATGGCTGATTACAGACCTGGGATAAGAAATAGACAAGATCAGACTGTGATGTTCTGTTATTACTGAGAAAAGAAGCTATCAAGTAATTTGGCTCTGGTGAAAATGGCATAGAGCCAACATGAAAGGGCCGTGAACAATTCAGTGTACAAATAAATAATAAATTAATGAATACAACTGATCAAACACATTAATATTTTAAAGACCTAGGAGTTCATAGTGCTATTTTTAACAAGGAAGGAAGGAAGGAATGAAGGAAGGAAGGAAGGAGTAAAAAAGGAAAGGAAGGAAAAAAAGGAAGGAAGGAAGAAATCTGACTAATTTTACACCATCAGGATAACCATAGCACCAACTCCTTATTCTAAAACTTGACATTTAAAAGAAAAAAAAAGATATTGATTGTGATCTTCTGCACAAATTATTTTAGTTTTACCAAATCATCTGAGTTGATAGAAGAAAATTCTTTAAGTTAAATTCTAACAAATAAATATGGAATGATGAAATTTTAAAAATCAATATTTACAATTGCTGTTAAAATCATTGATTCAGGCAGTGTTTATTAATAAAATGTTAATTGGGAACCTTATAATGAAAGAATAAAGTTGCCACCACTTGAACCGAATGATCAGTCTCAGCCCTCCTAAGCGTACGAAATGTAGACATTTAACATTGTATGACTGTATGCACTATAAAACTGAAAACACCACCTGTGATGTGTTTTCCAGGAAAAGAAATGTCTAATCTAAATGCACTCAAGCTTCTAGAGCTAAAATATATTACAATAAATACAAATAAAGAGGAAAAGTTCATCAACATCACAAAGAAACAAACTAACTCACAGTGGAATACTTTGTCAGTCAACTGTACTGATTTTCTATGGGCAGCATATTACAAAAGATTTAGTGACCAACACAAACTTTGTTGTCTTACAGTTCTGTAGGTTAGAAGTTTGAAATGAGTCTCACTGGGCAAAAATCAAGGTATTGTCAGGGCTATAACTCTTTTTGGAGTCTCTATTGAAAAAATCTGTTTCTTTGTTTTATCCATGTAATAGAGACCACTCACATTCCTTGATTCATGATCCACTTCCTTTATCTTCAAAGCCAGAAAAGTTGCATCCCTCTGACCATTCTACTGCAATCTCATTTCTCTCTAACTTTCCTCTTGTGTCTTTCTCTTTCACTTTAGGACTCTTGTGATTAATTATATTGGGCCCATCTGGATAATCCAGGATAATCTCCACCTGAAGGTTTTTAATTTTATCACATCTAAAAAATCCATTTCTTATGTAATGTAACATATTCACAGGTTCTGAGAATTAGGATAGAACATCTTTCAGGGCCATTAATCTGCCAACCTCAACAACTGACCAATTTTCTTTAGTAAATCAATGACATTGAAAAGTTAAAGGTAAAGATCATTGTGCTAGGTTTAAATATACATAAGAGACACAAAAAATTGTTACATTGGTTATTTTCAATACTAATTCAAACTTTAAAAGGTAATTTTGTTAGGTGTAATGCTTCGTTTATGATGATGTGAGAAAATGTCCTGGTATTTTAGAGATACATACTGAAGTATACAGGGGATTATATAATTTTTGGACTGTCTTTAAAATACCTCAGCTACAAACAAAAAATAAAAGTGAGGCAGGGTAAGAGAACCAAAATGTAGCTATACCTATATATTAGTGAATATATTACAGGGATCCATTATACTGTCTCTTTATTTTTATGTATACTTGTGAATTTGCATACTAAATATTATATACATGTATATTTGTTGAAAATAGATTATAAAGTTCTATGTACAATATAAACCTATTCTTGCTTTTTTTTAAACAAACAAGTGTGGGTGTGGGTGTGTGTCAATACTATGTGGAAAGGTATATAATACATTAACTAGGTTATTTCCTAAAGAAGCAAATATGGATAACAATCCCCCTTTATTTTTTTTTGACTTGCCTATATTTTATAACTACAATGAGTATGTATTTTGGGATAATTAGAGTTAATGATAAAAATGAGAGGCAACAGAGGCATAGATTTATATCTTCCCAGGTTCAGAAAAACAGAAACACAACATGTTGACCACACACTTTCTGCCAGACATTGTACCCGAAGCTATAGTATATATTTCACAGGATCCTTCTGGTAGTCTCAATAGCTTCATACCATTTTCCCCATAAAGTAAATCCTTCAGTGGCATACAGCAAGCAAATAATGATTTGAGATTTAAATCCATATCTGTCTGATGTTAAATCCTATTGTTTTTTGAAATGCCATGCTAGCACTACTCTTTTTCCCTATGCTCAGCACAAACAGGCTCATGCATACATTTATCAGAGAGAGTTCAAGTTCCAGCTATTTGTTGATCTGGAAAACTGGGTCATTTCCTTTCAAACCCAGCTTGCACTAGGCGTCTCAATAAGCAAAACTGCCATCCACTTGAGAAATAAGTACCACTTAAATGGCATTGCCATACTTACTCCTACTATTCTAGAGCCTCTTGGGATTATTTTTAATTTCCTCATCCCTGCTGGAACTCTGTAACTGCATTCCACACAGCTATAATTCTAAGAGAGGTCCACTGTAGAAAATTCTGTCCTTCCCACAAGGCATCATACGTGGTTCCCTAAAGGTCCACTCAGTACTCCACCACTATGGTTTTGGACATGAAGCATCTAAGTCACGTCTTATTTGTCATCATAATGTTCAGTAGAAAAAGTGGTATTTGTTTTACCTAAACATAAGGAAGGTGAATACTGCATGGCAAAAACAGTGTTATTTACAGAAAGAGAGCAGATCGCTTTTACTTACTTTCAATGCAACTCACAACCCTGCCTTACAAAAGCAGCATCCATCCAAAATGCCTATGACGTGACTGTAGAAATAAATATCAATAAATTTATTAAATTGAGTCTATCAAAATAAAGGCAGGACTAGATTGTGGAAATCTAGCATTAAGCTTTCCTCACTAAAAGCTAAAATTTGAAAAGCTTAATGCTAAAAAAGGTGTGGATGCTCTCTGATTTGGGAATTTATTAGAGGATTTATGTGATTTATCCTTGGTCTTTTAGAATAAAATAAATTAATTCTATTTAAAATCCAAGTTCTTAATAAGCCTGATGTCTTTTGCACTGATTGTACAACAAAAAGAGACTACATCCCTAGCAACAAACATGCTTAGCAGCACACAAATTTCCAACCTGTTATTCTCTAAGCTCTGCTTTTTTCTGCCTCATAACATGTATGTCATCCACCCACATCCTTTGGAGCCCTCCCACCAGAATTTTAGTTGTATTATCTTTCACTAGAGCTATAGATGTAGACCCCAGTGGATCCAACTGCTTCCAGTCTTACCCTTCTTCAAACCACCTTGCACAGTAAAGCCAGTGGTTTTCCAAAAAGCAAATATACTTCCAATATGCCAGTTATAATCTCAGTTATTTAGCATGATGTATACAGTCCTTCACAGTTTTAGCCTTTGCCAACTTTTCAACTTCATCTCCTATTATTTCTCAGTCTTCACACTGCATTAAATCAAAAATCATTTGTATTTTCTTCAAAAAAAAAAAACTAGGTTCTATCTTAAACCTCAGAAAGGACACCTTTCCACCCACACTTTTGCAGCTTTTTTCCCTACCCATAGACAAAAAAAATTGATCTGTTTCTATTCAGCAATGGCCTTTGGGAGTATCTCCAGATACTTTAGGAAAACTACATTCTGTTTTCCTAAACCGACTGCCTTAATGACCCTACAATAGGCCTTTGACGCTCCTCTCACTTTTCTCTTCTTCTCTATATGTCTCCCCCAACTAGGCGTTGCCTTATTCCCAAATTCTGTGCAAGTTAAAAACATTGATCTGGACAAAACAGAGAGATTCCTCAAAATAAAACTGCCATCTTAAATGTCACCTTAATGGGATATGCCTCCCACAAACTCTTGGTTGGAGTTAAAATATTTCACAACTTTCACAGGATTTTTGTCTAAATTTAACAAATATTTTCAAAGTAGTCATAGTCAAAAATACTCTTAAAATTTCTCAGAAGGGTGCCACTTTAGAGGATAATAGACTATCTCTCAGTATGTCTTTCATCATTAGGAGAGACCACTAATCAACATCTGAGCACCAGTGAAGGGATTTCTAGGACTGTGCTGTTCAATACAGGAGCCACCAGTCATATGTGGGTATTGAGCACACGCAGTGAGGCTAGTACTACAAGTTAAAATGATGACATGTGAATAACTTGGTTAATAATAAGATATATTATTAAAATGATTTAACCACTTTCAGCTTCCAGTCTGGCATGTAAGGAGCTTAGAAGTTGCCACTCTAACAACAAGTAAAAAGTTGAACAAACTGAAAAATCAACAATTCTCAAATCCATCAGAGAAATGAAGCCACAAGTCAAATCACCACCTCCAAAATTGGAGAGACCAATAGTTGAACACAGAGAATCACAACTCACTAGAGCAGAAACTCTTGACCATAAATCTCTGTAAGAATCAGTGCCAGATTAGAAAAAACTGACCTGTAATTGATGAATTACTGGAGGTTCCGTGCGGGCAGATCTGTGTGTGAAAAACAACAAGCAGATCTCGCCATAGAGAGGTCCTCACAGTTTTGTGAGGTTCACCTCCAGGAACTCTACTGTTAGGTTCTCACAGAAAATATCAGGAAAGTCTCCCCTGTGCTTCCGGCAGGGAGAAGGGAAAATCAATCATTCTGGAATAATCCAGAGAATTCTGTTTCATGAAAAAAAAAAAAAGGTCTGCCCTCAGGAGCCTCAGGAGAAACTATTCTACCAGAGCCTAACCTGTTAGAGTTTTATCAGAGCCTAGAAGAAAGGCGAAGGAAATATTTAACTCCAGGACCCTCAAGCCATCCTCTCGCACCTAAGGTGTGTTTGAGGCAAGGGTAGAACTGAGTAGTGCTGATGAAGTTTTAGTCTGGGGCACAGGCTCACCGACAGACTGAGGCCTAATGATAGGACTATAGAATACCTGCTTTCCCCATACTACCACGACATTATTAAAGACTTAATTACTACAGTTATTTTCACCCTGTAAATTATGCCAACTTTTAACAAAAAATTACAAGCCATAATAAAGGGCAAAAATAACACAGTTTGGAGAGACTGAACAAGCATCAGAAGCAAAGTAAGAAGATCTCGCAAGAATGTTGGAATTATCAAACCAGGAATTTAAAATAACTTGCTGGGCCATGTGCGGTGGCTCATGTCTGTAATCCTAGCACTTTGGGAGGCTGAGGCAGGTGGATCACTTGAAGTCAGGAGTTCGAGACCACCCTGGCCAACATGGTGAAACCCCATCTCTATTAAAAATACAAAAATTAACTGGGCATGGTGGCTCGTACCTGTAATCCCAGCTATTCTGATGGCGGAGGCACAAGAATCACCTGAACCCTGGAGGCAGAGGTTGCAGTGAGCTGAGATCACACTACTGTACTCCAGCTTGGGCCACAAAGCAAGGCTTTGTCTCAATAAATAAATTAGTTAATTAAATTAAATAATTTGCTAAGTGTTTGGGGTTTTTTCCTGCAAGATGGCTGACTGGAGACATCAGCCACCAGTTCTCCTCAGAAAGTAGAACCAAAGTTACAGGTGAAAAATCATGACCCAAGTGGCATACTGAGTGAAGAGTGCTAGAATATATCGGAGAACCTAAAGGAAGAAGTTGGAGAAGTTGGGGAACATACAAAGGAGGGTAGAGTTTGGCAGAAATCTATCCCTGAACATCTTGTAGTCCCAGAGAAAGGGTAGGTGGAGGCATTTTACTGCTTCACCCATCCCTGTGGCAGACTGCTGACTTTCAAACTGTCAGAGAGACCTCTACTGTCATGAGCCCAAGCCTTGAGAAATTTGGGAGCTCCTTCAGGGCGGAGTCCTGGTCTGGTGGTTTACACAGTTTCATTCACCCTCCCCCCAGAATTGAGCTGAGACCATGAGTGCCATGCTGGATGTACACTCACTGTGCATCCCCCCTATCCTGTCCAGGCATTGTCAACCCTTGTATCACCACACCACTAGTCTTCCTGCAAACTTTCCCCAGAATCTGCTCAGCCTGCAGCAATCACAAAGGACTAGCAGGACCCAGGAGATCCGTGGGATTCCCAGAGATCTAATCTGTAGGGTGGGCTGCTCCTAGGGGAAGAGAGAGTGCAGCATACCAAAGTGACCCTTAGGACAAAGGAAGCCAGAGCATGTGCTCTCCTCTGCTTGAGAGCGCCCCACTTGTGAACTGAAAGTGATTGTGCTCCTCCCAGCAGAGACACAGGTGTGGCACTAGGCTCGGTAAAGGAAGAATATGATTCCATCCCAGTGGCCAAGCAGCACAATTACCTGGGAATGAACAAGGAGAGGGGGATGTCTCTTGTCACCCCCAATGGTATGGATGCAGCCACAGCTGTTTCCAAGGGGGTTAGTGCAGGTACACCAAAGGCTGGACATTCTAGGGCTATTATGCATGGCTGCACTCGCACTGATGGTGTGTTCACTGGCCCAGGCCTGCACAAAGGCGAGAGCCCCTTCTGCCTCCCTACATGGAGCAGCAGCATTCCTGCAGTGGAACACAGGTGAGCCACAAAGTTGCTGTTTTGGGCTGATGGAAAAGGTTCCACCCTGAAGCCATTTTGGCAGTAGCCACAGGATAGGCATTTTTCACAGCCATCAGTTATATTGCGATCTGGAGATAAATGACAGTGTCTATCTGAACCAAAAAATTACAAGCTCTTGGGAAAGAGTGTGATAGGGAGATATACTATATTTGTCTGAGCAGGATGTGTAGCTGGTACAGTACCCTCAGCAGGGACCTGGGTACACTTCACCATGAGCTCTCCTGGCCACCCCTATAAGGGCAGGTGCTTTGGCTCATCATTGGGATATCCAAGAAAGAGCTTAGTGATCCATCTCCACCCAGCTTTGTCCCCCACCAGGTACTGAGCAGAGAACTCAGGACATTGAGCATTCTGCAGACAAGCTCATCATCTATGACAACAGAGGTTCCCTCCCAGAAAAAAAGATCAAGCACATACCCATCAGATTCTGCCACAGCCAGCAGCTCTTACCCATAAGCACCACCTACTGGATTGGAGGTTAAACTATACAACCAAATAAAAAATCTGGGCCAGGCGTGGTAGCTCACAACAGTAATCCCAGAACTTTGGGAGGCCGAGACGAGCACATCACGAGGTCAAGAGATGGAGACCATCCTGGCCAACATGGTGAATCCCTGTCTTTACTAAAAATGCAGAAATTAGCCGGGAGTAGTGGCACACACTTGTAATCCCAGCTACCCAGGAGTCTGAGGCAGGAGAATCTCTTGAACCTTGCGGGTGGAGGTTGCAGTGAGCCGAGATTCGGAGATTCGTCATTGCACTCCAGCCTGGGCAACAAGAGCAAAACTTCATCTCAGAGAAAAAAAAAAAAAAAAAAAGTTTCCAAAATTGACCATATGCTTGGCCATAACGCAAATCTCAATAAATTTTTTAAAAAGATCATATCAAGTAACTTTTCAGATCATGGTGGAACAAAACTAGAAATTAATATCAAGAGGAACTCTTAAAACATACAAACACATGGAAATTAAACAACCTGCTCCAGAATGATCTTTAGGTAAATGAAAAAATTAAGGCAGAATTTAAAAGTTTATTGAAATGAATGACAATAGAGATGCAACATACCCTAACTTCTTGGATACAGCAAAAACAATGTTAAGAGAAAGTTTAAAGCATTAAATGCCTACATGAAAAAGAAAGATCTCAAATTAACAACTTTATGCTGCACCCCTAGGAACTAGAAAAATAAAACTAAACCAAACTCAAAGCTAGTAGAAGAGAAAAATAACAAAGACCAGAGCAGAACTAAATGAGATTGAGACCAACAACAACAAAAGCAAAAATACAAAGGATTAACATTTTTTTCTTTGAAGCAGTAAAACTGATAAACCATTAGTCAGATTAAAAAAGAATTAAGGAAAGAAGATTCAAATAAACACTTAAAAGATAAAGGTGACAATACAACGGATACCAGAGAAATATAAAGATTACTATAGACTACTTTGAGCATCTGTGTGCTCCCAAACTAAAAAATCTAGGTGAAATAAATTCCTATAAATATGCAAGCTTCCCAGATTGAACTAGGAGAAGTAGACATCCTGAGTACAGCAATAATGGGCAATGAAATTGAATCAGTAATAAAATAATCTCACAGTTCAAAAAAAAAAGCCCGGGACTTTTTGGACAGGCTTTTAAATTACAGCCAAAATTTACCAGATGTATATAGAACTGGTACATCTACATTCCAATCCCACTGAAACTAAGGAACCCTTCCTAACTCATTTTTTGAAGCAGTATCACCCTAATAACAACCCAGGAAAGGACACAACACCAAAAAGAAAACCGTAGGTCAATATCCCTGATAAACATAGATGCCAAAATTCTCAGCAATATAATAGCAAACAGAATCCAGGAGCACATCACAAAGATAATACACCACGACCAAGTAGGTTTTGTTCTGGGGATTCAAGGATGGTTCAACATATACAAATAAAAAATGTGATTTATCACGTAAACAGTATTAAAAGCAAAAACCATTTGATTATCTCAATAGATGTAGAGAAAGCATTCGATAAAATCTAGCATTGCCTCATGATAAAAACCCTCAACAAATTAGGCATCAAAGGAACATACATCAAAATAATAAAGGCCACATATGACAAACCCTCAGCCAACATCATACTGAATGAGGAAAAGTTGACAGCATTCCACAAGACAAGGATGCTCACTCTCACAAATTGATCTATAGATTCAATGCAATCTCAAGAAAAATCCCTGCAAGTTATTTTGTGAATATTGACAAACTTATTCTAAAATTTATATGGAAAGATAAAAGACTTAGAATAGCCAACTCAGTGCAGAAAGAAAAGAACAAAGTCAGAGGACTGAATCTATCCTACTTCAAAACTTACTATAAAGCTGCGGTAGTTAAGATATTGTGCTATTTGCAAAAGCACAAGAATGGACAAATAGATCAATGGAACAAATAGGGAGCCCAGAAACAGACCCACATAAATAAAGTCAATTAATTTTTGACAAAGGCACAAAGGCAATACAATGAAGCAAAGATAGTCTTTTCAACAGATGGTGCTGGAATAACTAGACATTGAGATTCCATAAAATAAATCTAGACACAGATCTTACTCACTTAGCAAAAATTAAGTCAAAATTACCACAGACTTAAACATAAAACACAAAAATAAAACTCCTAAGAGATAATTGTGTTAGTCTATTTTGCATTGCTGTAAGGGAATACTTGAGACTGGGCAATGTATAAAGAAGAGAGGTTTATTAGGCTCAGGGTTCTGAAGGCTGTACAAGCATGGCATCAGTATCTGCTTGTCTTCTGATAAGAGACAGGAAGCTTCACTCAGGGCAGAAGGCAAAGTGGAAGCAGGCATCTCACATGGTGAGAGAGGGAACAAGAGAGAGATAATAAGGTTCCAGGTTATTTTTAACAATAAGTTCTCTTGTGAACTAATAGAACAACCAAACTTACTCATTAACAGGGGGTGGAGGCCGGGAACAGTGGCTCATGCCTGTAATCCCAGCACTTTGGGAAGCCGAGACAGGCGGATCACCTGAGGTCGGGAGTTCAAGACCAGCCTGACCGACATGGAGAAACCCTGTCTCTACTAAAAATACAAAATTAGCTGGGCATGGTGGTGCATGCCTGTAATCCCAGCTACTTGGGAGGCTGGGGCAGGAGAATGACTTGAACTCAGGAGGCAGAGGTTGCAGTGAGCCAAGATCACGCCATTGTACTCCAACCTGGGGAACAAGAGTGAAACTCCATCTCAAAACACACACACACACACACACACACACACACACACACAGACACACACAAAGAAAGAAAAAAAAAAAGCAAGGGGTAGCACCAAGCCATTCGTGAAGAATCTGCCTCCACTTTCCAGCACTTCCCACAATGCTTCACATCCAAAATTGGGGATCACAGTTCAACATGATATTTGAAGGAGACAAGACATCCAAATCTTATTGATAACATAGATAACTTTGGGTATGGCCATGACTATGTAAAACATGAAAGGCTTGTTACATAAAAGAAATAATTGACAAGCTGGATTACATAAAAATTAAAAACTTCTTGTCTAAGAAAGGCAATGACAAGGAGAACACAAGCCATATATTAGGATAAAATAACTGCTTAAGACCCATCTTATGAAGGATGTTATCCAAAACATACAAAGAACTTCTAAAACTTAATAAGAAAACAATCAATCCAATTAAAAAATGGGCAAAAGACTTGAACATACAGCTCACTAAAGAAAATGTATGAATGATAAGTAAACATATGGAAAATGTTCAGCATCATGTGTCATAAGAGAACCAGAAATTAAAATAATAATGAGATACCACTATACATCTATTGGAATGGCTGAAATCTGAAACTGATGAGTGTGAAGCAACACGAACTTTCATTCATTGCTGAAAAGAATGCAAAACTGATGGTAGTGGGAAAAGATAGGTTCCTAGGCAGGAAGGGGCAGGTCCTTGGTGAAACCCTACCTTCAAGCCAGGGAGGGCCTGAAGCCTGGGGACTGGACTGCCAGTTCCAGGTGAAGTCTATGAACTGGAGTGAGAAATTCCTTGATGTCATTCAAGCAGTACTTTTTCTGGGCCCACCCATGGACCAATTAGCACATACTTCCTCCTGCTCATGGATCAATCATCACACACTTCATTCTGAGCTCATAAAAACCCTGGTTTCAGCCAGCCTCCGATTCTCATCACGACTACCTACCTGCAGATAGGAGCTACACATTTCATGTCTCCTCTCCTCAGAGAGCTGTTCAATCACCCAGTAAAATTCTTCTCCACCTTGCTCACCCTCCAGTTGTCAGCATAACCTCATTCTTTCTGGATACAGGACAAGAACTCAGGACCCTCCAAAAGGCAGGAGCAAAAGGAACTGTAACACTTTCCTGGATGGCTCACGGAGCTGTGGGCCGGAACTAAAGGGGCTGTAATATGTTCCTGGCTGGCTCACTGAACTGCAGGTGGTGACATGCTCCCGACCTGTGGGAGTGAAGAGTGGTGACCATTCTGGGGGCTCAGGCCTCAGGATTCCCTGAGCCAGAGCAGTAACACTATAGTCCTTCTACCCTCTGCTGGTGCTGAGTGGCCACCCCACACAATGGGAAGCAGCAGTGGGGCTGCGCTAGCCCAGGAGCTGTGGGCCAGAGTGGGGCAGCAGGACTGAAAAAGCGGTGACACAAATGGGCTGAAACATACCCCCCCGAAATACGCTCCCCCATTTTGCCACACTGTGGGCAATGAAAAGGAGAGAAGAGCTGCAGCCCTTCTGGGAGCCCAGATATCAGGGCTCCCTGAGCCAGGGCTGTGACACACTGTAACAGCCTCTTTGGGGCTCTGCAGTTCCTGGTGTCTCCAAGCTTTTGGGCACCACCACGTTCCCTTCATCCAGATGCTGGTGCCCACGGTGGAAGCCTGTTGTGGCACATCTGGTCCAGCTGTAGCCTTGCACAGAGCTAGAACCTATGCCAGTGCCAGGAGCTGCCCACCCCACAGCAGCAGCTGGTGTACCTGACTGTGTGTAGTGGCCAGACCCTGCACTCACTTGCTCACACACCCCTCACCACTCTGCACCTGGCTCGCTCTTTGCAGGTGTGGGATCTGGGCTGGTAGCATGAGCCAAGCACAGACTGCCTGGCCGAGTGTGCAAAATGAGTTCAGCAGGCAGGAGCAAAAGTCAAGCAGAGGTGCTGCCAACCACAAAAGTTTCCGGTTGGCGAAGCAACACCCAAAGGATCCTGTGACGAAATGGTACAGCCAATCTGGAAGACAGTTAGCAGTTTCTTGTAAAATGAAACATACTTTTAACATAGGTTCCACCATTGCTCTCATTGGTATTTATCTAGAAGAGTTGAAAACTTTGAAAACTTAAGTCCACATGAAAATCTTCACATAGATGTCTATAGCTGCTTTATTTATAAGCGCCAAAACTTGGAAGCAACCAAAATGTTATTTTGTAGGTGAATGGGTAAATAAACTGTGGTACATTCAGAAAATGAAATGTTGTTCTTTGCTAAAAAGAAATGATCAAGTCAGGAAAACACATGGAGGAAACTTGAATGCATATTACTAAGTGAAAGAACCCAGTCTGAAAAAGCAACATACTGTGTGATTCCAATGATATGTCATTTAGAAAAAAATAAAACTATAGAGGGAGTAAGTCAGCAGCTGTATAGGTTGGAGTGGGGGAAAGAATGAATAGATGCATCACAGAAGATTTAGGGGACAGTAAAAATATTCTGTACGTACACTTTAATGGATACATGTTAGTGTATGTTTGTCCAAATCTATGAAATGAATGTACAATACTCAAAGTGAACCCTAATGTAAACTATGGAATTTGGGTGATTATATATCAATGTTTAGAGATTTTAATACATGTATCATTATGGTGCAGGATGTCAGTACTAAAAGAGATTGTGGATATGTGTAGAAAAGAGGTATATGGGAACTCTGTGAGTTCTGCTCACTTTGGCCATGAACCTAAAACTGTTTTTAAAAAATAAAGTTTATTAATTTTTAAATATTCATGTTCACAAAGAAAATCAGAAAGGTCTTTTTTGATGTTTTAATTATTTACATTCTCAGATAACTGACCCATATTTTCAAATCTACATGGATGGTATTGCAATATTTTAAAACATTTTTATCAAAAATTACCTATTTATTTTACTTTTTAAACATATTCAGTAAAATATTTAAAATTACTTATGTGGCCAATATAATACTTCTTTTGGACGGTGCTTCTCTAGAAAAATAGCAGATTTGTATTTCCCATGTCAAGCTACCCCCAACTGTAAGATTCATTGAAATAAATGGTGGATTCTTTTTCTCTTTTGGTTAAATTGTAAAGTTAATTTAGTAAATAAATGTGTGAAGGAGATCTGGTCTATTATTTCTACTCTGTTCATTACGCACATACTTTCTAATGTTTCTCAAATAAGACTTTTAGTCCTTCCTTCTCTTCATCTCATCTCTTTTTATTATTATGTGTTGTGGGTATGTTTTATAACATCATGTATATTTTTCAGGAAGCAATTTAAGGGCATAGGCCTTTACTCCAATAACATCTGGCATGAGGAGAAATATATATATTATAAATATGTATATTATAATATATATAAAGTCTATTATAATATATAAGATATATAATGCTTAATATATTAACTGTACATTATATTATAAATATAAGTATATATGTATATGTGTGCATGTAATATTTTATATAAATATAAAGTGAATAAAATTACAAGTTTATTTATGGCCAGTTTCTTAGACAATGCCAGTGACTTGAAAGAATAAACAAATGTCACATAAATAACTATTTCAAAAGTAATTTATTTTATTAAAAAGATACTAAATTTCCACTATAGACATTTATTTTTGTATGTGTGATTGAATTTAAAAGGAAAAATCATATATTTACATTTTAACTACCTACATTAAGATTGGATGTTTCCAAACCAAAATTATCATTTTTGTGTGATTCTTTGGAGCAAAGAAATTTTGCCATTGTCTTCTAGAAGTCCTTCTTAAAAACCAGCAACCTGGCTGAATGTCACATAATAATAATTTTTGATAGGCTACTGTGAAAGCAGAACATTTATAGGTGTAAATGTGTATCTGTTTGTGATGCATTGATTGATTGACGTTTTTAAAAAATATGTCATTTACTCATTTGATAGTTCAGACTATAAATTAATTGAATTGAACTTCTTTTGATAGCTGTAAGATAGCTTGTAGAAAAGACGCTTTCCCCAAAAAATAGCTAGGAAACATCTACCAAGGCAACTAGGATTTGACAGGTCAGAATTCTGAAGAGAATGAAAGCTCACTGAAGTGAGCTCAGCATTAAAGTACGCTATACTTTTCCTATAAGTTATATACCAAATCATAAGCTACACATGGAAGAGAGGTGGCCTGAGGCATCAGCTAGAAAAATCAGAATATGAGATGAGGGTTCAGCAGTCACATGTGGTTGGCAACCTAAACTCAAGAATTCAGGTGTACTGAGCATACAAGGCCTCTGGGGCAACAATCCCAAAGAGAAAGTGCATTAAGGTGAACACACATATTGTGTTGCTTTCCCCAATATGCTCTTTACAAATATCTAAGTAGCTTCATGGCCAAAGGCTAATAAACTAAGTAAAATGCTGGGAAAGCTCAAAACTTTTGGAAGTTTCATAGATTAGAGGTAATAGAGTTAGAATTCAGTCTGTCAACGGAGAATGACCCTGGCAAACACACCAGCCTTCCACATGGGATTCTACTATTGATGTAAGTTAGGAATAAGTAAATCTGAACATGAATTTACCCTAATAAAATATTTGAGTCCAATTCTGCATGAATTTAATCCCAAATTGAATTATGGTAATTTATCCCTACTCTAGCTGCATGGCAGAAAGCAATTTTAATTCATTGTTCACTGTGGCTAATAATCTCGACAAGGCTTTATAAACAATGTCTGATAGTCGATCAAGGATAACTATTATATCAAATAAAAAAGACCATATGACTGAAAACCCAGGGGGAAGAAAAAACAAGAGAGACAGACCCAAAGATTATCTAGATGTTAGATCTTACATATGGATTTTAAAATAACTGTGATTGACATATTTTTAAAAGATGAAAAGATTGAAATATAACCTGAGAACTGAATATATTTTAAAAGATAATTACATGGAAATTTGAAAAACTAAAAATATTATGTCTAAAATTAAGATACCAAAAGATTGGTTTAATAGGAGATTGGATATAGAAGAAGAGAGAAGGTAAACAGAGAATGCAGATCAATAAAAATATTCAGATTGATTCATGGGAAGCAATAAAGGATGGAAAATATATAGCATAGCTAAGAGAAATTTAATAATAAACTTGTATAATTGGAGACTAAGTAGAAGAGGGAGATAGAGAAGTGATAATTATTTGGAGATACCAGTGAAAAATTTTCAAAAGCGATAAAAAATATAAAGCTACAGATGTAGGACTCTTTAAGAACCAAAAATGGCAAATGCAAAGAGAATCACACCTAGAGACAACATAGTAAGACTTTTGAAAACCAAATTTCAAGAGAAGATCTTCAATAACAACAAGAAAAAAAACATATCCTACTGTCAAAGAAGCAACAATCAGACTGATAGTTTTCTTTTCAACAGAAACAATAAAATCCAGAAGACTATTAAGTGACAATTTAAAAGTGCTAAAATAAAATAACTGTCAACCTAGAACTCTGTATTTTGTGAAATCAGATGGTGAAATGATAACTTTTTTTAAAAGTTAGAATTTGTCACTAACAGGTTGACACTGGAAAACACTTAAAGGAGACTATTAGTTGGAGAAAAAATAATTACAAATGAAAGCAAAAAATTTCAGAAAATAATAGACATAATTAGAAAGCACATGCTTGTCTAAAATAAAGATAATTGTTGCAGGCCAATTTCCCAGGTGACCTTGGATCGACAAAGCTCCTCCCCTTTTCTTGCTTATAGTACTCCAGAGTACCCACAGAATGTACTGGGAATGCAACATCTGAGATAGGAAGGAGCTGGCTGAAAGAGGCCAGGCTTTGTTCCGCTCCATTCCTCCAAAACAGGATGTCTTTCAACAGTTTACCCCAGCAAGTCACAATGCCCTTGGGCATAAACCCCAGAGCAGGCTGCTTTCCTGGTCCCTCAGCTGCAATGCAAGTGGGTCATGTGCAGATGAGATTCCAGCCACCTTAGAAAGCTTTCCTGAGCCTTAGGGAACCAGCTTGTGATGAATTCTTGGCTTCTGTTGTTCCTTGCTACCTAGCTGTAAGTAATAAATTTACTTCATGTAACTTGGTATGTGTGTGGGGGTGGTGGGGCATGTTCTGTCTTACCAGATTCAGACAAGTTGGTAATCAATCAATAGAACCTGCCTCGCAATGATAATGATGATGATGATGATGATGGTGATGGTGATGATGATGACAACCATGATGGCAATAATGATGATGTTGCATTTTGGGGTTTAAAATATAGAACTGTAATATTCATTTCAACAATAGCACAAGAGGCTAGATCTTAAAAGAAGACAAATTGTATAGGAAGTGGTAAAAGTATTAAATGATATTAGATTGTATTAAAGAATCCACGTTGTAACTTCCTGGGTAACCATTAATGATTAATAAAATAATATTTTTCAAAAAGTCATTAAAGGGAAAAATGGAATGATTGATGACAACAACAACAAAAGTCCCAGATTGATCCAAAAGTAAGAAAGGAAAGAGAAGCAGAACACAGAGAAATTGAAGGGGAATTTGAAGGGGGAATTTGAAGGTAATAGACTTAAATTCTAATATAGCAGTATTTTATTCATAAAAAGCCAAAAGATTTCCAATTATTTGTTAGGTATTACTGAAGCTAGACATAGGCATGGCCGATGAACTAGTAATTGCACTCCCAGTCCTATAGCCCACAGAATGCATATGTACCTGTGTCAAGACAATTACAAGAATCTTATAGCAGCATTATTTAGTAATAGCTGAAAACTGAAAACAATCCAAATATCTATCAACTACCAATCTACTAAAATAGATAAATTGTATATTTTCAATAAATTACTATACAGTAGAGAAAATTTAATTACTACTAAAGGAATCACTTAAATGAATTACATAAACAAAATGCTAAGTGTAAAAAGCAAGACATAAAAGAGTATATAATCCATGAATATACTTAATTCAAAAAGAGTGAAAACTAATAGATTGTTTTAAAATCAGGATAATGTTAATCCTTGGAAAGATGAAGAGGTACTAAATGAAAAAGTGCCGTGGGTTTACAGTATGTTGGTAACGGTCTTTCTTTTTTATTCTTGATATTGGTCATTTTTTGAAAATCTATTAAGCCATACACTTACAATTGATGTACTTTTCTGAATGATGTTACAAGTGAATAAATAAAATAATTTAATGTAAATAGGTAATGAGAGCTCTCCATATAAGGCAAATTTTAATATGTGGTATTTTGTAAGTTAAATAAAATGAATTATGAAAATATTTAGCCAATATGCAAACTTTATTATTCTGAAAATATTATTTCTTGCTTGTCATCAAAATAATAAAAAATAGATTAGGCCTATTTTTTAGTATAGTCTCAACCCAGCAAAACAGATGTGTAAGTAACTTTCTCTTTATCTAATCCTTTAGCCAGTACTCACTGTCTAATCTATGTGTAACTTTATGTACTTTGAAGAATATAAATATATAAATAGCATAGTAGCACTCTAGTTTATGTGAAGTGTGAATGAGAGAAAAATTTGCTTCCTGGTTAATTTTCTGTTCTAGTCTAGCTTACTACCATAGCAAGCATCTCCTCCAAGGATGGTAACTTTTGTTTAGTCTAGGAAATTATGTCCAAAGCAGTCAGCAAGTTTTGTTAGTTGTTCTTGAGTCATATAATCACTTTTGGAGATGTATAAAAAATGTAAAAGGTTTATTTTTTGTATTTAAAATACACTTTACTGGAACAAATCTATCATGATTTCCCCTGTTAATAACATTTGGGAAGAGCAAATACAAATAAAAATGTGTGGTTTAGAGCTCACATGTCAGGAGAAATATTCTAGAGCACTCTTCATGAACTGCTTAACCAGATTTTGTCTCAAACTTCAGGGGCTGGTGTGAATTTAAGTTCAGGACTAACACCAGAATGATTATTTGATGGCAGCCTGAAGGGGTTCTTCTGAGAGGTCAGAGGTAATGCTGCATTTCCAGTGCAACGTCTTTCACAAGAGATATTAAATTCAAATTATCCCAGGGAAACATTAAGTCACTTGTTCCACTGTTGATAAATAGAAAAGGTATGTGTACCATCTCTAAACAATACCCTTTCTAAACTTCAAGGTCAGCTTCTGGCCCTTGGTGAGTCTTAAAGTGCTGCTACATCTGCTATAAATCCCCAAAATTATATAATGCATCTCTTTATAGGGTGAGAAAAGCATGCGGGTTTGTAGATGAGGAAATGTGCTACTCTGAAACTTGAAATCTATTAGAAATTGATTTAAAACTCTTGCCAAATTATTCCTGAAGTAAACTGAAATCTGGAATTATGTATTTATGAAGCTTTGAGGATTAATTTGGAAAAGAACTTCTGTTTTGCTCAGGAAAGTATGTGCTCTCTCAGTCTACACATATACTCTGCAATAGTGTTTACATTTCATACCTAAAATTTCCATCTTATTTCCAATAAGCAAATTAAACAACATTGGTTAAGAGCTTAGTCTCTGCTGCTTTCACGTTGCTGGGTCAGTAAGGGGCTCATAAATTTGTGGGAGTTATGAAACAGAAAAAGCAGTATCAGTGTAATCAATATAGAACCAAATGCCAGACAATCAACACTAAGGAAAGCATGGTTAAGGAACATTCCAGGCAGGATAAAGAGTATAACTAAAGATCAAAACATTAAAAAGGTACCTGCTGTATTTGGGAGACAGAAAGGTGAAAGCCTGAGGGAGTAGAAGTTATCAGTTTGAGAAATAAGTAGTAAAGTATAATGAAAGCTAATAAAGTGCAGGGGATGGCAAAATTTGAATGCCAGAACAAGCATTAGGGACTCACCATTGACTCATTTCTTTGGACAAGACTTGCAGCAAAATATTAAATAGACTAAAAAGAGATGGAAGGAGTTTGAAACAGATGAGCCAGCTACAACATTTGCTGAGTTAGCCCAGCATGTGGTCTACAACAGTATTAACAAGAATGGAGAAAACAGAACCATTGAAACTTCATGACAAAATATATACAGCAGGTGAAAGGAAACAGAGGGATTCCAGTATATTAAACATGCATATTGTCCTTCATTTGTGTTGTAATAATACTAATTCATAATATCAGTCTAGATTGTTTTAATTCTAATGACTAGTTCAACACATTTGACTGATAAGACTGAGTTGTTCACATAATTGTCTGTTTACTGATAGTTTAAATTACATAGATTAATAGGAAATCTCAAGGGGTAGGAAATCAGAGAGTATCTAAAATCTTAATTTCAGGCCTTCTATTGAGATAAGCTATTTTCAAAGGCTCGCAGCTTATTTTTTAGCATGTTCTAAAGAGAAAACAACAATCATAAACAATGACAAAAAATATTTATGCAGCACTTAGCATGTGCCAATCACCACGCTAAGCATTAAAATAAATTTTTCCATTTGCTCCTCACAAAATCTTTATTTATCACCATATTATAAGACATAAGCAACATAACCATTACTCCCTGTTGACAAAACTCTGTCCTTACTATATGTACAGTCCTAAAATAATTTTTTTTTTTTTTTGAGATGGAGTCTCCCTCTGTCGCCCAGGCTGGAGTGCAGTGGTGTGATCTCGGCCCACTGCCAGCTCCACCTCCAAAGCAATTCTCCTGCCTCAGCCTCCCAAGTAGCTGGGACTAAAGGCACATGCCACCACGCCCAGCTAATTTTTGTATTCTTAGTAAAGGTGGGGTTTCACCATATTGGTCAGTTTGGTCTCAAACTCCTGACCTCAGGTGATCCGCCTGCCTTGGCCTCCCAAAGTACTGGGATTACAGCTGTGAGCCATCACGCCCAGCCTAAAATAATCTTTTATAGCACACTCTGCTTGGTACAGTTGAAAAATCACATCACAAGAGTGAGTTAAGATATCTGTTTTGAAAACTTTGGTCTGTTAATAACTGGTTGTGTGACTTTGGGTAGGTGAATTAATCTTATTGGCTTACAATTTCCCCATATATAAAACGAGAAGATTGGGGTACCATGATTCCTTTAAGCAAGACAATTATATGACTAAATGATATACCATATAGCATGTTATTAAGTTTGCAGCACTGAAAGAATTTATAATGGGCACTTACTCTTGTGTTGATATTCACAGCAATAATGATCTCTTCTTTTTCTCTATAGTCAGAGAGTTAAGGATCCTGGCTGCTTGCAACCTCAACTTTTAATTACTCAGCTTTGTAGATGATGATAAATACTGTTTTTGAAGAACATTATTTTGCTCTGCTCAGTCCACATGTTTTATTTTACTCTACATTTCATTATGTAGAAGAGCTTTGCATCTTTACTCTCAGCATTAATATTCAATTATGAGTTATCATTGATGCTAGTGATATTATAATGTTAAACCCGCTTAATGCATAGATACATTTAGAAAGGACATATTTAGCATGAATTGCACTGGCACTTTACAATTAAGGTTCAGTCCCTTCCAGAAAGTTATAACTATGAGCATTGTGCATGGGGAAGTTGGGAAACGAGATTAAATTATTTTTTAAATTTTAAAATCGCAGATATGCATGTACACACACATATAGAAAATATATTTTTGCTACTCAACATCTGTTAGTAATCTGAATCACAACTTGCACTTGCTTGAGTTTGGCAGTAACTGTTTTCTTTAAATGTTAAGCATAATCTCTATGGATTTGTTCCAAAAGCAAATATCAAATTCATTTAGACAAATTTTTAACTAATTTGTCTAAACTAATTAACTAATGTATAAATAAATTATTAAGATTAAAGCAAATCTCATTGTATTCAGTTAATTATAATAAAAATAAGAAGTGACACATTTTATATGTACTGACTTTTAAAAAAAAGAAAACAAATTGATTCAAGTCTTCCCAAAATATCAAGAATAATGAAATTTTATTCTTATCAAACATGAATTTCCAGTGTGTTTCATTATGACACACCGTAAGTGTGGGATTCTTCAATTACATGCAAGTTGGTAGAATTTTTCAAAATCTAACTTAAAACATAGGAAGCAAACTGGCATCAAGCTGAACACACATTTCACTTGTACTAACTCAACACTGCATTTCAAAAAGATGTGAATGGGACTAAAATATCAATTTAAATAGTTGGAAAAATCACTCCCTTTTTGCATAAGCTTAGGCATGAGATGGGAGACACAAATTTGCTATCTTCCAAATGAGTCTTCATCCCCTTGTGCATTTCAGCATGAGCATCTTCCTGTGTTTAGCATAATCCTGTTGGTTAAAGGTGTATATTTTACAACGTGACCCCAAATAGTAGCCAAATGACTTCAACATGTTTTTAACCAAAACAAAACCAAAGAACGTTAATGTGTTCTCCCAATGGGGAAACATCAACTAGTTTTGCTGGAGTTATTAAAAGACTGTATGTCACCAACATAGTGCTTTCCCAAGGAATTTTCAATGGCAAGTTTGCTAACATATCATTTTTTATTTATTTTGTCTACTGGACTTCATAAAAAAATTAAACTATAGTATATTTTTAAATTTTGAACACACCTGTGCATTTCATTTGACACTTTCTATAGCAGTATGATCATACATTATCATTGATCTTTTTTCTCCCATCCTTTACTGCAGTACCACACAACTAAAATGATCTTTTTGATAAATTCTAGAGACGATATCTGTTGTTCTGAAGACAAAATCTCTCCAGGGTACAGCTGCCATATTTTATCTTAGAGAAATAAGAAATATGAATTAGATTTTGAGGCAAAATATTGCAAATTCCCAGCCTGTGCAGACCAGAGAACACCTAATGTCTATAGAGAATTAAAGTACTTGCCTCTCTCCTGAATTTAGCCATTTTGGAAGACTTTTGGAAGACTTTTTGGAGACTTTTGGAAGGCCACTGGATCCAACTGGGCATCAGCAGCTCTGATGAGCAAAATTTCTCCCAGGTCATGTGGTTGGGAGAGAATGGCCTCTCCTCTGCTCTCATCCAAAGAGACCTCAAAAACAGAGGTCTCCGTGTCTTTCCACTACTTTCACACTCACCTTATTCCTAATGTTTGCTTCCATGTATAACTATTTAAAAATTATACAATTAGGCCAGACGTGGTGACTCACACCTGCATTCCAGCACTTTGGGAGGCCAAGGTGGGCAGATCACCTGAGGTCAGGAGTTTGAGACCAGCCTGGCCAACATGGTGAAATCCTGTCTCTACTAAAAATCAAAAAATGAGCCAGATGTGGTGGTGCACACCTGTAATCCCAGCTACTCAGTAGGCTGAGGCAGGAGAATCTCTTTAACCTGGGAGGTGGAGGTTGCAATGAGCCAATATTGTACCACTGCACTCCAGCCTGGGAGACAGTGTTAAAATCTGTCTCAAAAAATATATATATATATATCCAATTGGAAATTGAGACTTTTCAAAATAATTCATCCATCAAAGAGGAAATCAAAACAAATTACAGATTACTTGAAATTAACAAAAATAAAACTATTTCATATCAAGAGGTAAGACCACGTTGGTCTATGTTTATTAAGAACCTTGGACTTACTCAGTAATTGGAGACAACAGATACCTCTGGAGGCAAGTAACTACAGCAGAGTTCAAAAGTGAGGACTTTTAAAGTCTTAAACCTGGAACATTCTAACTCTTCTTGGACTCCAAAAGGATTCTGGAAGAAAGTTGATTATTTCTGGAGAAGTTGATGAAAAGTGTTTTGACCTTGGGGATACCAGAAAGGTTGATAGAGAAAGTGGAGACAATTATGGAAAGTAGATTGAATGATCGCTTCATACTTAATGGTGGACTCCAATCAAGCCAAGAAAAATAAATTTTATGAAATATATGTTTATATGATAATCTATAAATTTTACAGGATTATATTTTGGTATTAAAATTATTGGAGCATCAACATGTAAAATAATACTTAAATACAGTCACCTTTGGCATTTTGCTGACTTTTAGTCATATAAAAACCAGAGCTTTTACACATATTTTTTATTCTGTCAATACAAAAGTATTTTCGTTGAGGGAGAAAGATAAAACATATTTTATGTAGTAGTTTGTTGGCTAGTCTTGTAAATTTTAAGTATTTAGACATTTGAAATGTGGGCCTCCATTTGTACTTTTGTCACAAGTCTTGTAGATATGAGTAATGGACCTGTTTTTCATATGCTACTTTTTAGATAAAATCTGCTCAGATAAAGTATAAATATGTGTATTTTGAATGGATCACAGGTCATATTTTAACTGAAGTAAGAGCTTCTCTTAGCACCACTACTATTACCACAACACAACTCAGAATACCAAGTCAATAAGAGATATAATAAAGGTGATATCAGAAGTCAGTGTTTGGTCTTTATTTTTATTTAAATTTTTATCTTTAGAGTTTATTCATATTGATAGGATTTCTCATATAATTATAATGAAAGAAAAATTTATTTAAGTTAAAAACATTTCTTCAAAATAAAATTTATATGAACCAAACAATATTGGCAAATGGGCTTTACTGAGTATAGATTCCAAAAATGAGATCTTAATGGTATGTATTACCCATTAAAACAATTTTCATTTTACACGTGATGTTTTAAAGAAGCAATTACGATTGTAGGGTAATTTTACCATAATTGTATTATTGGCAGTTTTTTAGGAAGCTGAAGCTACACTAAAATCTTTAACATGCTCTCTGTGAAAAAATGTGTTGAAGGAGCCTCATGCATACATAATTTAATGTGTCCATAAAGATAAATTCATTAAAAAACCCTATCTTGAAAATCAGAAGAGCCTCATGGTCTTCAATCATAGAGATTACAGCCTTTCTAAGCCATATGTGGAAGTAACATCTGGTTCATAAATTGATTAGCATTCCTTAGGACATCAGAAATTGCCTATGGTAAGAAGTCCAGTATGCCAGTATCCATGTCCACTAAATATTTAGTGACAAAGCAACTTTACATATGTCCCACAATACTGATTCTATAAATTTCATCTACACTTACAATTTAGAAAGGAAACAAATTTTTAAATCACCTTGTGTAGAACTCAACTATTAATAGATATAATAAAAAGCACATTTGGTTTATTTCCATCAGCATTCATTTGAGAGGTAACAGTTTGTCTCAGAATTAAGTGGCAAAATAAACATCAGTTACAGGAATTGCCTAATCACAGATTCCTTTGTGGAATACAAATACTACTTTATATTTTGGCTATAACTGGATGGCACATTCTTAGTAGCTACTTCATAAATCACACTTTTTCTCTTTAAAATGTTTTGGTCAAACTGGAAGCTTGCATTGTTCCACTGCCTAACTGTAGCACCCCCTAAAAAAAGCATAAGTTCAAGAGAGCACAGCACAGCTGATGCATGTAAACAGTAGCCTTCTCTTTGTATAATATATTGATAGAGGGTAATTATCTGCCATAGCTCTGTGCTTAAAGACAGGTTGGAAGATGAATAATGGATGCTTGCTTTTGGAAAGATTGATTCTTAGCAATACATTTATAAGAAATTCTACAAAATGAATATGACCAATATATAATTACATATAGCAAATGGAAAGAACGGCTTGAATAAAGCCACATACAGGAACATGTCTCATGTCTGAAATGGTGAAAAGCAACACAAAGTCCAATGTAAACACCTCATATTTCTAGTGAATCTGATTTAATTTAATTTAATTTTTAACATTTAGAAAGTGTTTGTTTTCTTCCTCACCAGTTTGCTAAAAGTTGAAGAAAAATGAGTGCTATCCTTGTGTAAATGTGCACACGCTTTTTATTCTGTTAACAGTAGGCTTATTCTTGTATTCCTGTAAAATACTGGTAGTCTCTTTAATCTTGATATTGTTTAGTTAAAGGAATAACAGATGGTTAAAATTTTATGTATACATTTGTTGCTGGCTACAACATTGCTTCCTTGGAAAAAGTAGGGAATATACTTGTATACTTGGATAAAAGCACATAAATGTTTAAACAAAAAACAAAACCTTGGTTTCAATCTACTTTTTGATGTAACAAAAATAAAATGAACAAATACCACCTACAAATAATAGCTCAGGCCACCCTCATGAACTTCGCCTGAGGAGAGCCCATGCCTTTGGCATGAAAGATGCAGCTACACTGTGAGAAGACTTTGGTTGGTAGATAAATAGTGCTGCCTTAAATAACCTGCCAGACTCAGGAACTGAAGCCAGGGACAGAACACCACAGTCAATCCTGTGAGTCACTCTGTAAGAGGAAAATATTGCAGAGAAGTATAGATGTTATCTAAAAATAAGTGGGAATGATAGAAAAAAAAAGTTAGTGAGTATAGAACATGTAGTGCCATTTAAAGAAAATATTTGTATAGATATAGAGAATGTGTGTGCATATTCATGTTTATATCTGTGGGTATGTGTGCTTGGTTTGTGTGAGTCTGTCAGGTGTGTGTTAGATGTGTTTTCTGTGAATTATCTTTCCTAATGTAAAAAACATATTGGGGATATGTGGGTATGCTGTCTTTTAGTAATATCATATTAATCTTAATGTTTAAGTATGTGTGTTTGAGGCTATTCTTTGTGATAATATGATATTGCTATCCGGAAATGAATGTCTTTCAATACTTACTTATAAAGAAAACAGAAGCCTCTTTATCTTTTCAGAAGTCAATGTACGTATCTGCTAGAATTTTCTCATTTATACTCAGTGTAATTATACATGCTCTCTACAAACATCTGGGACTCTTTTTCCTTCCATTTATTTCATTTCTATGAAAAAAAAAACAGAACAAAGTATTTTGTTCAGGGTTTTCTTTTTTCAGGCAGGCATTTTCTTAAAATGGACATGAATATTTTTTCAATTAAAGTGCATGTAATAAAGTATGTGCAAAAAAAGACCTGAATCAATGTATTTCTTCCAAGAAAGAAAGAGAAATGAACTTATGGTTGTGCAATTTGGAAGGCAGAAACTGGGTTAGAGCCACGTAATAGAGAACAATGTCAGAGAGGCATTTTGGGAAGAAGCGTAGAAAGGCCAGGCTGCTGGGCATTGTGTAAGAAAAAGGAGCTAACAGGCCAAAATGTCTTGGGCAAGTAGGAGAAAAAAGAAATTTAGGGGAAATAAAAGGTATCATACTATTTTTAGGTTGATACACACACTATGTCAGGCTGTTCTTACATTGCTGTAAAGAAATACCTAAGACTGGGTAATTTATAAAGAAAATATGTTTAATTGGCTCACAGTTCTGCAGGCTATACAGGAAGCATAGTAGCAGCTGCTTACGGTGAGACCTCATGAAGCTTCCAATCATGACAGAAGGTGAAGGGGGGAGCAGGCACATCTTATGGTGAAAGCAGGAACGAGAGAGAGAGGAGAGGAGCTACACACTTTTAAATGACCAGATCTCCTGAGAACTCATTCACTATTGCAAGGACAGTACCAACAAGATGGTACTAAAACAATCATGAGAAATTTGCTCCCACTAGGCCCTATCTCCAATACTGGGGATGACTATTCAACATGTGATTTGGCTGGGGACACGTGTGTGTGTGTGTGTGTGTGTGTGTATATTCACTCACACATATATACATACACTGGTTCTAAATTTGGAATATGGATTTATAGAGGAAGAAAGGCAGAAAAAGAACAATAAGATAGCAGATATTCAGAACACATACGTTATATGATAATATTTAGTGCACTCTGTCCTAAATGAACTTGAATTTACTCTAGTAGAAGAGAATTATAAAAAGGTAGGGGGTTCTTTTAATGCACTGGTGAATCACCTAAAGTCAGGAGTTTGAGACCAGCCTGGCCAACATGGTGAAACCCCATCTCTACTAAAAACACAAAAATAAATTAGCAGGGCAGGTGGTGCATGCCTGTAATCTCAGCTACTTGGGAGGCTGAGCCAGGAGAATCACTTCTACCCAAGAGGTGGAGGTTACAGTGAGCTGAGATCGCTCCATTGCACTCCAGGCTGGGTAACAAGAGTGAAACTCTTGTCTCAAAAAAAAAAAAAAAAATCTTCAAATAGAGTTCTGTCTCCTGGGGCCATTTATACCAGTGGACTAACACAAGGCAAAATTACAGGTTTATCAGTTGACTTTATTTAGTGCTGCACTGGGAAGTAAATCCCTTTTTTTTTCTTTTTTTTTTCCGACAAAAGCCCAGGCTGGAGTGCAGTGATGCAATCTTGGTTCACTGCAACCTCCCCCTCCTGGGTTCAAGCAATTCTCCTGCCTCAGCCTCCCAAGTAGCTGGGATTACAGGTGCCCGCCACCATGCCCGGCTACTTTTTTGCATTTTTAGTAGAGACAGGGTTTTGCCATGTTGGGCAGGCTGGTCTCGAACTCCTTACTTCAGGTGAAATCCTCTCTCTTATATCTACCTACTATCCATTCTAACAAGAGGTATGTGGATAAATTCAACCTAGATATGTGGAAAAAAATTAAGGCTGAAACATTATTAAATTACATTACATTACAAATTGCAACAAGACACAACTTTTGATTAGACAATTTTGAATATTGTTTCACAGGTGTTAACAAGACTTTTAAAAAATTTGACACTATTGAAATTTTGGACCATATTTCTTGTTCAAATATTGGATCATATTCATTGTATGGGTTTGTCCTGTACATTGTAATGTACAGCAGTGTCCCTGTCCTCCACCCAACAACTTCAAGGCATGACAATCAAAAGGTATGTCTTAAGATATTGCCCAATGTCTCTGGGCTAGAGAGTAAAATTATCCCTAAAATTGATAGCCACTGGTTTAAACTAAGTAAGTTTAAACTCAGCACTAAAATTTTGGGGAACAGAATTTTACCAGAAAAAAATAAACTTTAGTGCCTATTGTTCCAAGGTAAAAATAATGTCTTCTAAATAGTCACTAAATAGTTTCAGTAATGTCAAATTTTCAAGTGTGCAATTGAAATTTGTGTGTTTCTATGCACCACAAAGTAACTGATACACATGAATCCTAATGCAGTAGGTCATAATACAATATTTTGGGCAAAGAGTAGCTTGAATACTGTTTGAATAACAACTATGTTGGATATCTAATTAAGATGTCACCATCTATCCACACCCTCAATATATATTACCGGTGTTCAAAAGACATGCTAATCATAAGCAAAATATTAAAAGAGAAAACCAGAAACAAAACTAGAATCAGATATTAAATAAAAATTTTTTGTAGTTTCCAAAGACAGAAGAGAAACTCAAAGCAGAGAATGGAGCTGTACTCACAGATTCATCCTCATAACTTGCTGGAATCCAGGTGCAGAATCAGGAAAGAATGGCTGGAAGGTGAAAGTGATAAGGGAGACTGAGGTTTGGCTCAATGATGGAAGTCAGTAGTTAGATTAGTATCTTTCTGTTCAACAAGCTTTAAAAAAAATAGCCATTGTGAAACTCTGCCCAAGGCTTCAATTTACGTATAGAGAGAAACTTCCTCTCTTTCATTTGAGACATTCCTTATGAGATGATTTTATTTCTTCCTAAAGTTTATCTTATAGAAAAGAGCTTCCCACTAGGGGTGTCAAGAATGGCTTACAGATGTACATGAGATACTGATATCCTCAGCCCTTAGCATAGCTGTTGGAGATTAGAACAGGGGTAGCCTTGGGGCTGATCTCTGGCCATGAGTATCCTCACCTACTTAAGCCAACACACTGCAAAAATATTATCATTTTATATGTGTGCTGTGATCTGAAAATGTTTAGGAGTCAAAGCATTAGTACTTCCCTTTATAAGGGTCTGTATTATTTTGTTAGGGCTGCCACAACAAAATACCAACACTGGGTGAATTAACAGAAATTTATTTCTCACAGTTCTGGGAACTATAAGTTCAAGACCACGGTGTTGGTAGGTTTGGTTTCTTCTGAAATCTCTCCCCTGGTGTGCAGATGGCCATCTTTTTTGCTGTGTCTTCACATGATCTTCTCTGTGAATGTCTATTTCTGATGTCCATTTTGTGTCCATATTTCCAGTTTTCTTTTTTTTTTTTTTTTTTTTTAAGACAGAGTCTCGCCCTGTCACCCAGACTGGAGAACAGTGGCACGATCTCAGCTCACTGCAACCTCTGCCTACTGGGTTCAAGCGATTTTCCTGCCTCAGCCTCCTGAGTAGCTGGGATTAAAGACGTGTGCCACCACGCCCCGCTAATTTTTGTATTTTCAGTAGAAACGGGGTTTCACTATGTGTGCCAGGCTGGTCTAGAACTCCCGAACTCAGGTGATCCGCCTGCCTTGCCCTCCCAAAGTACTGGGCAGAATTCCATTTTTTATAAGGACTCCAGTCAAACTGTATTAGGGCCCATCCAAATGGCCTCAGTTTAATGTAATCACCTCTTTAAAAGCCCTCTCTCCAAATACAGTCACATTCAAAGGTACTGAGGATTAGGGCTTTAACATGAATTTGGGAGAAACACAATTCAACTATAACAGGATCTACTGTTGGTAAACCCTGTTAGTATTTTATCTGAAAATGTCTTTCTTTCACCCTCAATATTAAATGATAATTCAATTGGATATGAAATTGTCAGCTAGAGTTTTAGCCTTCACTAATAATGAACTAAGAAATTTGGATAAATCTTCACGCAAGTTACAATTTTTTAAAAAAGCAGAGAAAAGAAAAACCTGCACATAAAGGCACTGCAGAACTAGTAAGGAAGTGGAGATAAATGGGGCCAAGATCTAGGAGAAGGAGCTCTAGAAAGATGACCTTGATGCTCCCCTGTAAGCATTTGACAATTCTGAAAGAGGTGGCTGAGATGCGGAGAGGCTGAGCAGTGATTTCCACAGGCTGACAGGCAAATGGTACAATACAAAGTAAAAAGCCTCATAAAGAAGGCAGTGTCTGGTAAAGCCTCTCTCCAGATTTGGGGCTAGAAAAACCCAAAAGTAATTGAAATTTGACCTTTGATGATACTGAAGCCCAGCTTTAAGTCATTTCATTCTCTGATTGGTTTATAGTAATTTGCCATTGCTGATGCCACTCAGTGCCCCTTCTGCTCCTGAAAAAGGAAAAATGAATCCGTTTTGGAGGAAGATACCATCATTGCAGACTTCAAATCATCTTTCATATATATATATAATATCTAGCATATATATATACATATATATGTAGTATCTAGCATATATATATACATATATATATAGAGAGAGAGAGAATCTAGCATACATTTTTAAATGACTAGACATTTGAAGATAAAAAACAATGTGAACAAAATTTGTAAGAAATAAAAGGTAACAGAACAGATTGCAAGGGCTTCCAGATAATACAGTTATCAGATACAAATTTTAAAGTAATTATTATTCTGTTCAAGAAAATAAACAAAAAGATAAAATATTTATGAACCGAACATTTTAAAAGATCTAACAGAATTTTTAAAAATAAATATATATAATGACTGAACTGACCATTTTATAAATATATTTACTAGTAAATTTTACATAATAAAGGAATTAATGAGTTGGGATGGGTCAGAGAAAATATGTTAAATAAGCACAGAGGAAAACATTAAAATGTGAAATGCTGAAAGAATGTAAAGGTTCAGTCAAAGATATGCATAGGAATTCCAAAGGAGAAAAGACAGAACATAAAATAAAAAGCAATAGTTGAATAAATAATAGCTGACAATTATCCAAAACTGATTAAAAAAAAATCAAGCATCTGATTTAAGAATTCTCAGGCAAGATAAATATAAACAAAACTGAAACTAAACACATAGTTATAAAACTACCGAAAATCAAAGACAAAGATAAAATCTTATATGTAGGCAGAAAGAGAAGAAAAATAACTTTGAAAAGAACATCAAAAGAAGGTTAATTTGCAGCAAACACATTGGGAGTCAGAAGACAATATTATATCCTTCTGGGTCCTTTGGGACTCTTTGCAAGGAAGAGGCAGGGGTTGGGAGATTGCTAACAAATGTTATAACCACAAAAATATCAATCAAAAATGGAAGAGAAAGGTTTTGGAAAGAGATAGAGGTGGTGGTTGCACAACATTTTGAATGTACTAAAAGTTACAGAGTTGTTCATTTTCAAATGGCTAATTTTGTCCAGTCACAGTGGCTCACACCTGTAATACCAGCACTTTGGGAGGCCAAGATGGGTGGATCACTTGAGGTCAGGAGTTTGAGACCAGCCTGGCGAACATGGCGAAACCCTGTCTCTACTAAAAATCAAAAAATGACCCAGGCGTGATGGCGTGTATCTGTAATCCCAGCTACTGGGGAGGCTGCAGCAGGAAAATTGCTTGAACCCAGGAGGCGGAGGTTGTAGTGAACCAAGGTGGCGCCACTGCACTCCAGCCTGAACTACAGAACGAGACCCTGTCTCAAAAGAAATAAAAAATAAAAATAAAATGGTGAATTTTATGTTATGTTTATTTCACCTTAAAAAAAATAAAAAGAAGTTAAAATAAATCTCCAATAATTAAAATTAGAGAGGTTTCATCATCAGCAAATTCATATTAAAAATATTTAATTATCTTAAAAGATTAAGTGATTATACCTGTAAAGATTCAATGACTGTTCATGATATAATCTTTTAGCACACTAGCAAGTAACCTCCCTAAGTTAGAGTAACATCATGCTAAATGGGAAAATTTTGAAAGCTTTCCCTCTCAGTTTGATAAGGAAACATCATTGTAATAGAGGTTACTGTCAAATAAATTCAAGAACAGAATATAACTATAATTGTACACAGACATTTAGTAGATTTTTTTAATTTTTGAAAGCAAGTCTCAAAATACAGTCACTAGAGGAACTTGTGAAGTTTTTATGTTCATTAGTAAGAATAATTAGTAACATCTCAAAGTGTTTACATCCGCTTTTGAAGCTATATAATTGAAAAAAGACAGTATATGTGAAAGTAGAGTTTTGGACCTAATGGGGAGGAAAAAGATAGGTAATCTTTTTGCGTTAGTACGCACACAAAAGTGTTTATAAAGAGACAAACTTCATCTGCATTATATGCATTTTTCTGACAGACTTAACAAGTAGATAAAATTATGTGATATAAGATTTATATCACATAATTTATATATTAATACCAGATTTATACTGGTATTAATTTCGGAAAAGAGAGGGGAAGCTATTGAAATTAGGTTTTAATTTTTCTTCATTTTTAATTTTTTATTCTAATCTTTAAAAATTTTACATACAAAAGCTAAACCAATAATATCATTTTAATGAGAAGGCGTGTTTCTTTTGGAAGCATATGGAGTATGAAAGCATTTGTTTTATGTGATTCCCCTTTATTTGTTCTTGATGAAAGCCTAATTAGATGTTCAAATTTGTATCAAGCTCAAGGTGATAACTCTTAGACATTAGAAAATTTTTAATCATTAATGAACTTCAGCAAATTTGATACATATAAAAATACTTTTTCAAATGTTTTTAAATATTAAAACATATAAGAAATCCATCCAAAATAACTCTATATATCAGGAGTGAGGATTTATGAAAATGAGTATACCCAGACCAGTAACGTTCATGCCTTCACTTCTCCATCTCCCTTGGAATTGCAATGTGAGGAGATAATATTCTTACAGTAATGTTTCTTTCAAGATTATATAGGGGAATTTGGGACCAGAGAGGTTTCTTCATAGTACAGCAGCAAATGAGATTCTTGGGTCCTCTTTTGTGGATTTATATTTTTCTCTTTCTCTAAAGTCACTTGCAGGGACAAAAATTATGTCCAAATATGAGCTCAGAAACCAAAAATAAGTACACATATGAGAAGTACGATTCTATAAAACAAGAGAAACAAAATGGACAAACACCATACATGATGCAAAATTTCTACAAAAAAAAAATGGTCAAGAGCTTTTCATAAAAATAATAAAATATCCTAAATCATATTAGAAAATGTACAGTAGTATACTTATGATATATTACAGTAGCAACATGTGAAGTCAAGATCCCATCCAGAATAATAACTGTAAAAGATGTGGATAAGTATAGTTTTGAGCTTTCCATTGTTGCTGTACTCCAAAGCAGGCCAGAACATATAGAAAATAGGTATTGAATGAGTTCATTTGTAGTGTTTACTACAAAAAAAATCAGCTGCAGAGTAGATAAATAATTTCTGGTGTAGTCATATGCTACATTACTATAGAGTATGGAAATAAATTATGTATTCACACATCAAATGGATTAATCTTCAGAATAGAATGGTAAAAGTAAAAAACAAGTCAGTAGATTTGATATGATATAATTTTTGTAAAGTTCAAAACCATGAAAAAGGAAACAACATTCTGTTTAGGGATACTCCTATATGTGGTAAAGATATTTGCAAAAATTAATTGAATTATAGGCTTTGATTATTTACATCTGTGAATACAGAAAGAGAATGGGATCTGGAATAGGCCTTCAGAAGCCTCAAAAATTTAGTAGATTTCTGGTATTTTTCCCCTGAGGTAGAAAGTGAGTAAAGGGATGTTTGTTTTGTTGTTATTATCTATATTTGAATAATATGCTAAATATGTTATTTTGTGTATATTCAATTTTCATAGAAACAATTTTGAAAATGAAAAGAAAAAGTAAAAAATCAGCCATCATAACTAGAAGAAAATTAGTATGTAAATTTTTAAATTGCTGGAGGAGTGGGGAAGCTCAAAGAACTCACTCAATCTAGCGAATTCAGGAGAACAAATTTGAAGAATGAATACAGGGATACAATCTCAGCAAGTGGAAAGGGAAAGTGCACACTTGGAAAAGGGAACAACTGTCTAGGGAATGGCAAGGAAACTGGTGATTTTGCTCCAGAGGAGAGGTAACCAAATATGTGAGGTTAACCTAAAAACATAGGTGACAGCCCAAAGGAACCTCAATGCCTGGTTAATGAGTTTGTGAGGTTTATTTTTGTTCTATATGTAAAAAGCACTGGGAGTCTGCTAAAGATTTTTAGATAAATAGTGTATCCTCAATACATTATGTTGGAAAGCTAAGCTGTTTGTCCTGAAGAAGATGAATTGCAAAGAACAGATAAGAAATAGACAGCAGAGTAAAGGTCTTGAAATCATCGAATCAAGGCTTGACTGTTACTTTTTGGCATTTAATGCAAGCATTGATTTTTGGTATTTATGCTTAGACCTTTTAAAGAAAGTACATTTCCGCAGTGTGACTTGCTATGTACCTTTGCTTCACGGATACAGGCAATTGGTCTGCATTTTATATGCTTGTAGTCCAAATGTTTATTGCAGTAAACAAACATTATTGGTTTCTTTCCCCCAGAAAGCACAGTGAAAAAAGGCTAAGATAAATAAACAAAGCAAAAGTCAGGTAAGAAGAAAAAAAAAAAAAAGAGGAAGATAAAGAGGGAGGGAGAGAGAGAACACAGTAAAGAGGGCATAAACAGTGGGCTGGGGACCAGAAAACCAAGTTCAGAGAAGGTGGCTGGCCTTAAGCAAAGCACTTAACCTTTCTTGCCTTCAGTTTTCTCATCTGTTAAAAAAAGGAGTTCAGCTAGATGACCCAAATTCCCTCCAGATAAGTGTGTGGCATTATTCTATTACAGTTTATGATTCCATTACAGAGTTTACAGTCATTCTTAGAGAGTTTTCTTTGAAGATACTGAGGCAAGAATTCAAAAATGTTAAAACTGTATTACATAATTTTATATATATAGACATAAATTTCTTCAGTTTCAGAGTTTTACATTTTTTCAAGAGCTTAATTTGTATTTAGGAACAAAATGAGGACATTAAGGACAGTGTTCCAGCCTCCTAGCAAATTGTTGTTACTTTGTTGATAGAGAGCAAGAGGAGAAATCCAGTGATCTGCCCAGAACTGCTCATTATCACATGTTGTTTTCAAAACCAGAATTTAATTATCTTTTTGCCTTTGCTGTTTTAAAATGATGGTATTTTCAGCAACATATGCAGAGCTTTTAATTCTGTAAAGATTTGCCTTTTTAAGGTACCCAACCCTTGATCCCTAATAAGTATTCCAAAAAGAATAATTGTACTAAAAAGCAGCAGAACAATTAGAAGATTTGATGATTAAGAAATTCAAATTAATCAAAATGAATACCATTAATAAGCTAATAATGGAATTACTATTATAGTAATCACAATTATAAAGGATAGGGGACCAAGAAAGCTATTCATAGAAAGTCAGTATCAAGTAGATTAACTTATTTTTGTCTTTTCATTTCAACTCAGAAGCAGAGAAAAATATTGGTTGTCCGGTCTAATGTGTCTTTGTTTATATATTTTATGTTTCCTTACTGTAGTGTCTTTTCTACTGGTGACTCGCTAACAAATTTACATAGGTAAAAAAAATGCTAATAAAGTAAATCAGCAAGTGTGATTTAAGATAGCAAATATTTCGGGGAGCTTATTTGTATCAAAATTTTTGCATAAAAATTTTGGGTACATTAGTACAATTAATTCTTAAACTGATGACAAAGATCTTCTCCTTGACCAAACTGTAGCCAGGCTCCTCTGAACATTTTCTTGACTAGGCCTCAATCTTGCCCTATAAAAACCTGATCAAAACACTAACATAGTTTCCAGTAGTGAGGTCACTTTCCTAGGATGACCCTAGCCCCCACTTAAAGTGCCTATCTGTCACTCCTTTGGAGCCCATCATAGTACTCGAAATGCACTCCCATATTACAAAGCATTCATTCTTTTAAACGTCTCATCTTTTTCTCTTAACAACAGAGGTAAGAAGTAGATTATGAGGTCCCATTTTAATTACCACCATTTTTTAAATTAATTTCAAGACTATCTGGGGAAAAAATAAACCTTTACTATTGTCCTAAATTCCTCAGTTTCTCTTTTTTCTACTCAAAATTTTCACATTCAATTTTTAAATATTAAAAGAATTCTCACATGCAGCCACCTTTTTAAAGCTACACTCACGTGGATGGGTAATTTCTGTTGCAGAGCAGCATTTTAGTTAGAATCTCTCAGCTACAAATTAATGAATACTTAACTAAGGTTGTTTAAACAATAAATATATTTATTTATTCCACACAAAAAAGTTAAAAATAGACTTTTATTTAGCAGTCAGAAACTAGATTCTTTCCAATTTCTGTTGTGCCATTATCAGTTGTTGGTAAAGGTTTTTCTTGGCACAAAATGGCAGTTGCAGTACCAACGACCATATTCTTTTTTTTTTTTTTTTTTTTTTTTGAGACGGAGTCAGGCTCTGTCGCCCAGGCTGGAGTGCAGTGGCGCCATCTGGGCTCACTTGCAAGCTCCGCCTCTCGGGTTCACACCATTCTCCTGCCTCAGCCTCCCGAGTAGCTGGGACTACAGGTGCCCGCCGCTACGCCCGGCTAATTTTTGTATTTTTAGTACAGAAGGGGTTTCACCGTGTTAGCCAGGATGGTCTGGATCTCCTGACCTCGCGATCCGCCCGCCTCGGCCTTCCAAAGTGCTGGGATTACAGGCTTGAGCCACCGCGCCCGGCCGCCCAACCACCATATTCTTAAACGATAGCACCCCAGGCAAGGAAATGAGTGATGGCATAAAGACCTTTACTATATGCTGTTCTTTCTTTTATCATAAGTTAAACCTTGAAAAATTAAAAAAAAAAAAAAAAAGGCACTCCAACCAAGACTCCCGTTTTAGCTAAAATGCAATTCCAAAATTGTTGGCAATTAAGTGGACTATGGTTGGCACAGACAAACACAACTTATTTGCCAGAGCTAGACATGGTTGCCACTCAAACACATTAAAATGTCTCAACTTAGAAATATGGATAAATGGCTATTTCCTGAACTAACAACAATTACCACAAAAAGAAACTTTT
Source organism: Homo sapiens (assembly GCF_000001405.40). NCBI lineage: Eukaryota > Metazoa > Chordata > Mammalia > Primates > Hominidae > Homo > Homo sapiens. Next base: position 120,861,714 of record NC_000005.10, on the reverse strand, counting down.
TCTCAATGTTGTGCAAATTGCGGCTGTTTTTAGTCACTATTTGCCTTTCACTAGGGCTTGGAATAAATTTTATAAAATTCTATGATAATATGGATTAAGGAATGGCTTTACTGAGAAAAGGAGAAACATAAAACATAAAGGCTAAGTCTGTAAGGTAAGAGAACGTAACTATTCTACATTCTCTATTTTTTTCCATAAAATTGTATGTTGGGGCCTGGAATAAATTACAAGTTTCTATTTCAGTGAAGCGATCCTATTACCCCATAACTCTTTATTCTTATACTTAGTTAGAAGATGCACAGACTCTGAACAGCAGGGATTGGGTATCCACGTTTTTGAGGAGTTTTATGGGAATGACATAAAGACAATGTCACCTGAAGATAATGGGTCTTATAAAAACTTGTAATCTATGTGTCAACAGGAGGCCATTGCTCCTATGGAAACTTGCAGCCCTTCCAATAGAAAAGTTGAACAGAGCTGTTACAGCCAGCTCATTTTTCAGGCAATTCAGAATGACAATATATAATCATTTTCAGAAAATTCTTCCCCGTGGTCTCATCACGTATGAATTTTTCCAACATGAGAATTGGCCTGTCTGGATACTGAATAGGAAGAGAATGAAAGTGGTGTTACTTTTTATCTCTTCATCCTAATCTCCCATTCCCTGTTTGACTCTGGGGTCCAATTAATTGGAGTTCATCTTAGTTAGTCCAGGTTGCCATAATATAGCATGTATACAGTCACACACAATCAGTCATCCCTTGGTATACCTGGAGGATTGGTTCCAGACACTCCCACTATGTCCCCTAGTATACCATGTATACTCAAGCTCTGCAGTCAGTCAACCCTGCAGAACCCACATATATAAAAAGTTGCACCCTCAATATATGGGGGGTTTTTCATCCCACCAATAATGTATTTTTTAATCTACTTTTGTTGAAAAAAATCCAAATGTAAGTGGACCTGTATAGTTCAAACCCATGTTGTTCAAGGGTCAACTGTTTAAGGAGGCTAGAAAGTCCAAGGTCAAGGTGCCTGTTGATTAGCTTCCTGGTAAGGGCTCTCTTTCTAGTTTGCAGACAAGCATCTTACTGTATCCTCAGATGGAGGAGAAAGAGAACATCTCCTGTTTTTGTTATAAGAGCACTAATCCCTTAATGAGGGCTCCACCTTCATGATCTAATTACCTCCCAAAATCCCCACTTCCAAATACAGTCATGTTGGAAATTAGGGACTCCACATATGAATTTTGGGAGGATCCAAACATTAACTCCATAGCAGAATTTATTCTTCTCCTTGGGAGTGAGTCAGATTATCTATTTTTTGTTTTGTTTTGTTGTGCTATTGTTGCTTAATAAGTTCTGTGAGGGTAGAAAAGTTGAATTTTGTCACCTTTAGTGACCTCAAAGGACAAGTGAGCATGGGTTAGTACCACCAAAGGCAAAGCCCGTGTCTCTCTTGGCTCATTTAAACATAACCTGCCATTTTCTCACTAAGGTCAAGGTAGTAAAAGTACAAGGATTATTATTTCTTCTTGCCCATTCCTCACAGATTTGTGATCCTGCAAAGGGTCCAGAGCCTTCAGTACATCAACCAGCAGGAATCACTTGATAAGGTTTGTCTGTGTGCCCATCCAAATCTCATCTTGAATTGTAGTTCCCATAATCCCCACATGTCATGAGGGGGCCCAGTGAGAGGTAATTGAATCATGGGGGTAGTTTCCTCCATGCTATTCTCATGATAGTAAGTTCTCACAAGATCTGATGGTTTTATAAGGAGCTTCCCCTTTATTCAGCTCTCATTCTTCTCTTTCCTGCCATCATGTGAAGAAGGACATGTTTTCTTCCCCTTCTGCCATTATTGTAAGTTTCCTGAGGCCTCCCCAGCCATGTAGAACTACGAGTCAATTAAACCTCTTTCTTTTATAATTATCCAGTCTCGGGCAGTTCTTTATAGCAGTGTGAAAATGGACTAATACAATCATCAACTCAATCAATCTCAAAGTACCAGCTGTTGGTAATCTCAGGAATGCAGGGGTGGAAAGGGCATGATACATTTTCTCCCCATCATAAGAGTGATAGTCAATACTCCTGTAAGAACATACAGGCTAAGAAAAAAAGCATAACAAATTTATCTAAAATTTTATGTGCCATGGAAACCTTCACAATGAGGAACCAAAGATACAAAGAAAACTATCCATTTTTATGCTTAGGTTTGATGAAGAATGGACAGCTATGTAGAAATAATAATATGATTGGACAAAAGGGTATAATCTAATGCTAATAGACTGAATTGGGAAACCCAGAAAGGATGTCAGTTTAGATTCTTCTTGACCCCTCTGTATAATATTCCTTTCTCCTGGGAATCGGGTAGGACCCATCTGGAACAAGGGTCTCATGACTTATTATCAGGCAAGAGTAGGTCAGAGAATTTCTTTATAGAAAGCTCCTAGATAGGCAGAAGATTAATAATACTGGTTAGTATGACTGACTTTGGAGAAAATGGATTGTAGTTTCTATGACTTGCCTTGAATAAAAGGAATTCTGGTTTCTATGACTGGCTTTGGGGGAGAATGAGAGGCAGGTGGCAGGAGGGCAGAAGAAGGTCAAAGAGACCTTGGTTCTGAGGCTGCTTCTGAGGCTTTCCAACATCTTTTCATTCATCACATTTAGCATGCCAAGGGGCCATACTTTGGGGTATTATTTTCTGAGCTACAACAGGATCCATGGCTACTTACACAGAGGATGATTTCTGAAGTCACAATTACTATTGTGGTGTCAAGCATGGATGACACTGCTGTCTGTGTTGGTCAGAACAGTGGTCATCACCTCTATCCCCTTAGGCAGTGTCAGTGTTGATGACGATTCCAGCTCCTGAGCTGCCGATGGCCACATGGATGTTATAAATGTCAAGGTTCAGGTGCTAATTTATACACAAAAACCAATGACCCCTTGCTGTTGACTTTTCTACACAAATTCTACAAATATCTGTCATGACTTAAGTCCTAAGCCCCTTTATTTCCTATTTCACCATCTTAAGGTTTTTGTCATAACGTACAGGAAGATAATGAGTAAATTGCCCTTTACTGCCATTGTAATACTCTATATCAATGACCTGTCTGCTTCAACCAACTTCCCTTATAATCAGTTCTTATTAGAAGTTCCCTGATTGTCTCACATAAATACATAAATCCCTGCCTTAAATCACTAGTCTTCCAAATATGCCTGAATGATAGGATGAACACAGCATAGGCTCAATTTAATCTCCTCCCTCCTTCCACCTCCCAACATTAGAATCTGGAATCATTATCCCTTTCTATATTTGCTGTTTTTATCTGTTTCCCTATGAGGATTGTCAGTGAAGATCCTTAAAAGTAAATAAGCTTAAGTGATTATTTCTAAGATCATCAAATAAAAAAATGACTTTAATGCTCCCCAATTGTATTTCTTGCATTGCTTAAAGGTTTTTAAATAGTAATTCCTGTTTTTACAGTTTAAAAAAAATTAAAGATAAACAAAAAACACAAAGATCAGCTATCTAGAAATAAAGAGAAAAACAATGTTTACAAAATAGGCAGTTCAGCGATAGCTACTGAGATAAAAGAAAGAAGGCAGAATGTTGGAACTAAACAGAGATTCTTCCTAAGCGATCTGGGCAGAGGTCTGTGGTCAGTTGACAGAAGCGCCCCTGTGCATTCCCTTACAGCTCCCTCCCCACTTCCTCAGCCTTTTAATACACTTTTCAAACCAAAGTCTCTATATTCTGTGACTAGTATCTCAATTCTGGCCCTGTGTTCTGTTTTTATTTTATTATTATTATTATTATTATTATTATTATTATTATTATTATTATTATTTTGAGACAGAGCCTCACTCCGTCATCCAGGCTGGAGTGCAGTAATGCGATCTCAGCTCACTTCAATGTCCACTTCGCTGGTTCAAGAAATTCTTCTGCCTCAGCCTCCCCAGTAGCTGGGATTACAGGTGCTTGCCACCACGCCTGGCTAATTTTTGTATTTTTAGTAGACACAGGGTTTCACCATATTGGCCAGGCTGGTCTCAAACTCCTAACCTCAGGCTATCTGCCCACCTCAGCCTCCCAAAGTACTGGGATTACAGGTGTGAGCCACCATGCTTGGCCCCTGTGTTCTGCTTTTTACATGTATCTGTATGAACCCTGTAACCATATATACAATGCAGAGAATGTAGTATTCCAACCTCATGTGAAACTATAATTAAATATCATTTTCTGGAACAATATGATCAGAGAACAAGATTAATTCACACACACACGCACACACCCACATGCGCACACACACAAATCACAGAATGGCAAATTGACCTGAGTTTTCTGCCTTCCACTGAAATCGTGTTTGCCCTTGGCAATTTGAAAAACATTACAAAAGAAAATGAGGAAGAGACTCTGACAGACAAATTAATTGGAAGAAAATCAAAATATGCTGGAACTAAAAGAAATCTTAACACTTTAAGTACATTACATTAACATCCTCAATTGATCACTCTCTCCTAATCCACATTCTTTGCCATATGATGTGGCTGTTCCTCATCCCATGAAAGAAACAGAGATATCCCTTGCTTTTGAGTTTGTCAAATGATCTGTTGTGGTTAATGGAATGTTAACAGAAGCTTGTGCTGTTGTACCTGCTCTCTTTTACATCTGCCATAGCATGAGAAGAATAAGCCTATGGTCTCCCAGGAGGAGAACCGAGACAAATGGAGCAGAGCCATCCACAGAAGTACTCAGCCTGAATCAGCTGACCCTCAGCTGACCTGCAGATTTGTGAGTTAGGCAAATGCACATCACTATATGCCACTGAGAATGTGTAGTTGATTGTTACACATCTTTTTTGTGGCCATAAATTAACTGACACTGAGCCCACCAACTTCAACTCCTCTAATTTAAAGAGGATAAAATTGGACCCCAAAAGTGGAACAGACTCACAGTAGTGGCAGGACTGAAAGTTAGGCCTTGAAATAGAACCATAAAGATCTGGGTTTTACCATAGGCTCATATACTTGCTGACCACATTGGCCTTAGAAAGCCAGTTAGCTTGCCTGAATTTCACCATTTCATTTTTAAATGGAAATAATGAAATGGGAAAAGTTCCCTTATCCCCCTTGCAGGGCATGCGACAGGGGTGAGACTCACTTCCTCAGTGCCCCTCTGCTCAAACGCCTAAGGAGAGCATGCAGTCATGCAGTTTGTGGGGAGCATTTTGGGCTCCAACCCCATGGAATCGTCTAAGGTTGAGTGTTTACAGCTCCCAAAGCCCCGATGGGCTTGTGTTACATCGTGCTATTTCAGTTTTGCTGTCTGCAAGCAGCTTGTGTCAATAAGCTCAATTAGACCTTCTGTCTTATCACAAGGACTAGGGCTTTCTGTATCCCATGTTCTTGCCTTCGTGTAAGGATCACACGTGGGCTTGGAGAATGGCTGCAAGGTTTTACTGAGTAGAGGTAGCTCTCATCAAGGTGGATAGGGAAGCCAGAAGGGGGATGGAGTGGGTTGGTGGTGTTCCCCCGGCATCGGGCCGCTCAGCGGCTGGTATCTCCTCCGACCACCCCCGACTAAATTCCACATTGTCCCACTGTCAATGTCCCGTTGATGTCTGCTGGTGCCTGTCAGTGTGCTCTTCTGTTCCTCTACTCCTCTTGATGTCTGGCCACCTGTGTGTGTGCCCACCAGCGTCTTGGGGTTTTTATAGGTTCAGGATGGGGAGTGTGGTGGGCCAGAGTGGTCTTGGAAAGTGAAACATTTGGGTGCAAAAACAGGAGTGCCTGTCCTCACTTAGGTCTGTGGGCACAGGTCTGAGGGTGGAAGAGCCCTCACCAGGGTTCCTGCCCTTCTCTACCCAGCACCTCCCTGTCCCCTACTGTATCAATAATATATACAGTACCCTGCATAAACAATTATAAATTACATGGCCTAAATAAGATAATCAATGTGAAAACACTTTGTGGAAGAGAGAGAAAGAAGCTAATGTGAATTTAGTGCTTACTTTATGCCAAGTACATGATTAAACATTTATTTATATTATACCAAATTATCTCCTTTAGTCCTATTAATACCTATCTATTAGTAAGGTAGGTGCTCATTCATTTGGTCAACAACAGCTGATTATTACATGCTTACTCAGAGCCATTATTTAATGAATGAGTAAATTAAGGCTAAGGGAACTGGTGTAACTTACCAAGTAACTTAACCTATAGTACTTGGGATGATTTTATTAATCAGTAGGTAGCCTACTAGTTGTAGCTCAGGAAAACTGTTAACCATTGCTAAATAAATACATTTTTGCTATTGGTGACCTAAAAACATTACAAAGTTATTCAAATTAGAATGTCTGTTTTTATATCTTTTAATCTCAGATTGTATTAGAAAAATCTTTAGTTTTGGTATCCAAGGTGTCATGATCTATACATTATATCTCCTCCCATTAACAGTCACTCTGTTCTCTAATTATAACTCCATTTCACCTACACTGGAAGATGACTGCCCTTCTCTCTGAGGTGCTCCTAAAAGCATAAGGTGCATTTCAAATGTGCCACATGGCCTATATTATTATTCAAACTACACCAAACAAAACTTCCAAAGTCATTAACAATAAATAGATTTAACTTCTCTGGATGAGGATTGCCTATTTTTTCAGGTTTCTCCTAAGAGCTTTCAAAATGAAATATATCAAGATATGTACCGCAAATTGGGAGAAAAACATAAGAGAAAAACAATTTTTATTTATACCAATAAATATTATTTGAGGAAATATGAAGTCAGTTCTCTAAATTACTGGGAATGCTTATTAGCAGTACAGAATCTTGCCTTGAGTGAGACTTAACAGAAAGCCATAAGAAGATTGAACATTGTATGAGGGCACATAAACTCTCTGACTTTTTTCTCAGCTTCAAGAGTATTGAGTTAAAACTCCTTCTCTATTACATAGTGGTTTTACATATGAGAAGAGCTTTTTTTGAGATGAAATCTTATGCAATTTCTTAGGGTCTTCAGGCCTTTTTGTTAATCCAGATTAAAGTAAATCACTCAGAATCTGAGAGGATTAAATAATATAATTTTATTCTACCTCAAAATCTCTTCCCCAATAAAATTTATTTGACATAGATTCTATTAGCAGGTCTTAAAATTTAACAATATTCTAAAGAAAATGAGGGAGGACACCAGAGGGAAGTGGTGGAACCCTGACAGAATCTGAGATGGCTTGCCTCTTGGCTAGGTTTCATTCTGATTATTTTCATTGCACTGAGTCAAAATCTTCAGAACACAAAGAAATGAAGGGACAAGCAATGAGGGCTTCCTCTTCACCTCCCAATAAAGCTTTGCAAGTCCATTCAGCTCTTTATTTTTGAATAGAAACCTTCAACTCATAATTTCTGAACAAAAATGGGCTATGGACAAGAACTGTGTAAACATTTCCTATTCTTTTCATTGATGAAAGAATTTTATTCATATTTTGGAAGGGAGCATGCAGTTGGAAATAATCTTATATAAATTGTTTAATAATAATAGTTAACTGACTTAATAATAATAAATAACGGCCGGGTGTGGTGGATCACACCTGTAATCCCAGCACTTTGGGAGGCCGAGGCGGGTGGATCACGAGGTAATGAAATCGAGACCGTCCTGGCTAACACGGTGAAACCCCGTCTCTACTAAAAATACAAAAAAATTAGGTGGGCGTGGTGGTGGGCGCCTGTAGTCCCAGCTGCTTGGGAGGCTAAGGCAGGAGAATTGCGTGAACCTGGGAGGCGGAGCTTACAGTGAGCCGAGATCGCGCCACTGCACTCCAGCCTGGGCGACAGAGCGAGACTCTGTCTCAAAATAATAAATAAATAAATAAATAAATAACTAGTTTAATAGTATATATATGTATATGTAAAGTGGCAGGGCAGTCTTTCATTTCACGAAGGGACTATTAACTTAAAGGTCTTCTTTAATTAGGAAAACATGCAGTATTTTCAGTAGAAAAATATTAATGTATACTGTGGAAGATGCAGGTGGCTTTGTGGTAGTATCCTTTCTGCAGTCCACATGGGATAAACTCTAGTAAGTGCTTCCTTATTTCCTGTCTGCATTTCAAACAATGCTTAAAACTGACTATGTCAGATTTAAATTATAATGTATATTTGCAAATCCAAAAGTGCTCTTGAAAAAAAATTTTTATTTCAAATGGAATTCATCCCTGGGTAAAGTGAGTTTTGTGTTTGTTGTTTTTAATCCCTACCCAAATCAATTTCCTTTTTATTTGGGGTTCAGGAAGAGGAATGTGTAAAGCTTTTATATCTTTTAAGTGGGCTTTTGCTTAAAGATAATAATAGATAGTATCTACACCAAAACACCTCCCCCATAGCCAAACTATTTATGTCAATATGCATATGGTGGCATGATATTTTGAAATATTGTCAGAGATTCTCTTAATTTTTTTGTAATACTTGGCCTTTCTTTCATTCGAACACCTAAACTGTGGGATCTGCTTTAGGGTAATGATTTCATAAGTACAGAAAAGAAATTTGAGATTTTAGGGGCAAAAAATAAAAAGCCTAAATCAGAGCCTTAATAAATTTGTAAGATGAGGAGTCTCTGCCTCCTACCATGATAGCCAAAGATTTGATTGGCATGGGGGGTAGGAAGATGGCATAGGTCAGGAAAGAGCAGCAAGGAGTCAAAGTGCGGAGGAAATAAGGAATGATTAGAACCTACAGTTCCCTAAGATAGGTGGATTTTGGGCTCTGTCCAGTAGTCTGATAATTGAGGGGTACTTGAAACGCCAATTTGTTTGGGGATAGTGATGGATGTACCCGGAAATCACTAGATTTATATCAAATAACATTTCAAAGGCAGGTGAGGAAAGAGAAAGTATTCTAAGAACCCACAATTCTTAATGCCATCATGAGATTGAGACCCATTTTTTTGAAACACTCAGTCTTATCTGTTGGCCTGAGCTGCTCCAGAAGCAATTCTCAGCCATGAAGGCCTTAGCTAGTAAAAAGGAAGGAGACAGAGAGAAAGTAAGCCATTTGCAGCTTCTACTAAACTTCCTGGCAACTGGTCTGCAATCCACAGAGTCATACCTGGTGTGTGAAGGTGGAGGGACAATTTAATGAGAAAGCAGCAGTAGGCATAAATATTAAACATTAAAGGGGAAATTTACATTTTAAAGGGATTGGTAAAGCAATATGCACACAAGTGAAATATGTTGAAGCACTATTAGGCAGGTCTGTGTTATGCCTCCCTTGGTGGTAGTGTGAAGGTGCATACGTGCCTGGCAACCAGGAATGTACTGACTTTGCTTATGCTAATTATGGGCAAGAGCATGGAGTTCACTGCCCCAGAGAATCTGCTAAATAACAATGGTTGTTTGCCTCTCATAAAGCACAGCTATGTGACATAACTTGCAAAAATGGATAAAAGTTTGGAGAACTAAAAGGGAATAACTTTATTTTTTAATATATACTTTGCAAATAGTGCTTTTGTATTTACAAAAATTCAAATGACTAAGTTCATTTTCAATGACACCAATAAAACTAACCTGGGGTTCTCTATAAAATCAATCTGCCTTCTTTCTAATCATAGAACAAAGTAAGAATATCTAATACATGAGCAAAGAGCTTGATAGCTAAGAATCACCTCATGTTAAAGTGGTATTTGAAACAAGAGGCATGTACCTACAGATTGATGTTGCAAAGAAACTGGGAATGAGCAAGTGTCAAAGAAAAACTGTACCAACAGTTAAACAAGACAGACTTTGTCCAAGACTATTGCAGTAAGAGGGGAAAGATTGAACTCAACTTTGTTAAAATAGAAAGTGGGAGAGTTTTTAAGCTACTGTGAGCTCCAGTGAGCTACTGGAAAAGTCCTGAAGGCCCTTAGGGTCACAGGAGAGCTATTCAATGTGATTAGTACATGTGTGTTTGCTAATTGGTGCTTATGGAAGTTAGGCTCCTACCCTCCCTCAGAGACGGTAGAGAGGGACCCTATCTTTCTTGTTGATTGTTTTTCAAAGAGATAGCTCCTATGACCTTGAGAAAGACATTATTGGGTTGTAAAACTAGCAAGAGGCTAGGAGAAAATGCACATCACAAAGGGGCAGAGAAATAATTTGCAATAAGTTTTCTAAAGTAAATGCTCTAAAGAAAGGGAGATAAGGGGTTTATAGTCAGGAAGAAACCTGTTTTAAAGTCTAGCCAAGATAAAAGGAATGATAAGGCTGCCCTCATCAGAAGGTGGAACTGGGTTTGGGATGGATTTGGAGATACTATCACCTCCTAACAGTAAGACATAGCCATGAGGACATGGGGACTCAGGACTAGCAGTCTCCTATGCTGTTATTGGGACTAGAAGAAGGAGGCACATCTCTGTTTCTTTCTAGGCTCTTTTCACCACTAGTAGGCTAGTGAATGTTTCCAGAACAAAAAAAAGTTTATTTTGTAGCATTTGCTAATTTCCATAGTGTAAATACTTTCACCATGGCTTGTCTCAAGCTACCAATCTGATCACATTGAAAAGTGAATTTGGGAGGAGATATGCATAATTGGCTCTTCCAAGGCTGAAGACCAGTCTGCTCAAGCATGCCTCTGCTCTTCAGCCACACATACTAGAAAAAAATAGGAAGGGCAGACACCGAGAAATGAAAATAATATATGCTAAGACTCAAACTCCTAGTTAGTGAGATTTTAGACAACTTCATATAGATAAGTTTAAGGTATGCATAGCTTAAGAATTATAACAGACTTACTGACTTATAACACCTTATAAATTACAGCTGACTTGATTCTCATTATTGATTTCAGATGAAAAACCTGAGGCTCTCACCTTCTTATAACTAGTAAATAGCCACACTGGTAATGAACCAAAGGATGAACCTGCTTCCCAAAGCCTCTCTCTCTCTGTGCTATGTAGAGTACAACCTGTGTGTTAAGTGGCACCCATAAGCTTGACCACGAATGACATTTACAAACCGTTTTCCCAAGGTCCACACCCTCAAGAATATGCTTTATTATTTAACTGAAGATCTCACAATTTCTACAGATTGATACCCCCTTTAAGGGTAAACGTTCAGAATATTTGTCTGCGAGGTGTATCATTACTCCATCGGCTGCCTTTGCAAACTAGCAGTGGATATTCTGATATTACTCGATAGGTTAAAGAGGAAAGACATTCTTTTATTTGGGAGGAGAAAGGTACAGGAAATCTTTGTTATATTTTTTGTATGTATGTATCTTTTTAGAAGCAGGGTCTTACTCTGTCACCCAGGCTGGAGAGCAGTGGCACAACCCTAGCTCACTGCACACTCAAAATTCCATCTTAAGCAACCCTCCTGCCTCACCCTCCCCAGTAGCTAGGACAACAAGTGTGTGCCACCAGGCTAGGCCTTTATTTTGTTATGATTATTTTCTTTTTTGGTAGAGACCAGGTCTCACTATATTGCCCAGGCTAACCTCAGACTCCTGCCTTCAAGCAATCTTCCTGCCCAAGCCTCACAGATAGTAAATTTTAATAGTTTGATGCTCTATTATAATAAGTTGGAAAGCAAATACAAGTCTAAATGGAAGAGAAACAAAAATAAAGGCTTTTGGAAACCATAATCAGTAGACATTCATCTTTGTATTCTTAGTTTTCTGCATGTTGCTTGATATGGTTGGGCTCTGTGTCCCCACTCAAATCACACCTTGTAGCTCCTATAATTCCCATATATTATGGGAGGCACCTGGTGAGAGATGATTGAACCATGGGGGTGGGTCTTTCCCAGGCTATTCTCATGATAGTCAATGGGTCTCGTGAGATCTGACGGTTTTAAAAACAGGAGTTTCTCTGCACAAGCTCTCTTTCTGCCTGCTGCCATCCACATAAGACGTGAGTTCCTCCTCCTTGCCTTCCGCCATGATTGTGAAGCATCTGCAGTTATGTGGAACCGTAAGTCCAATAAACCTTTCTTTTGTAAATTGCCCAGTCTCTGGTATCTCTTTATCAGGAGCATAAAAATGGACTAATACAGTAAACTGGTACCAGTAGAGTGGTGCGCTGCTGAAAACATACCTGAAAATGTGGAAGTGACTTTGGAACTGGGTAACAGGCAGAGGTTGGAACAGTTTGGAGGGCTCAGAAGACAGGAAAATGTGGGACAGTTTGGAACTTCCTAGAGACTTGTTGAATGTCTTTGACCGTGATGTTGATAATAATATGGACGATGAAACCCAGGCTGAAGTGGTCTCAGATAGAGATGAGGAACTTGTTGGGAACTGGAGCAAAGGTGACTCTTGTTATGTTTTAGCGAAGAGACTGGGCATATTTTGCCTCTGCCCTAGAGATTTGTGGAACTTAGAACTTGAGAGAGATGATTTAGAAGAATGGTAGATTTAGAGTATCTGGTAGAAGAAATTTCTAAGCAGCAAAGCATTCCAGAGGTGGCTTGGGTGCTGTTAAAAGCATTGTTTTAAAAGAGAACAGAGCATAAAAGTTTGGAAAATTTGCAGCCTGACAATTCAATAGAAAAGAAAATAAAATCACATTTTCAAGGAGAAATTCAAGCCAGCTGCAGCAATTTGCATAAGTAACAAGGAGTGGAATGTTAATCACCGAAACAGTGGGGAAAATGCCTCCAGGGCATGTCAGAGACATCTGTAGCAGCCTCTCTCATCACAGGCCTGGAGATTTAGGAGGAAACCATGGTTTCATAGGCCAGGCCCAGGGTCCCTCTGCTGTGTGCTGTCTAGGGACTTGGTGCCCTGCGTTCCATCCACTCCAGCTGTGACTAAAAGGGGCCAAGATATAGCTGAGGCTGTTGCTTCAGAGGGTGGAAGCCCAAGCCTTGGCAGCTTCCACGTGGTGTTGAGCCTGTGGGTGCACTGAAGTCAAGAATTGAGGTTTAGGGACTCGGCCTAGATTTCAGAGGATGTACGGAAATGCCTCAATGCCCAGGCAGAAGTTTGCTTCAGGGGTGGGGCTCTCTTGGAGAACATCTGCTAGGGCAGTGCATAAGGGAAATGTGGGATTGGAGCCCCCACACAGAGTCCCTACTGGGGCACCACTTAGTGGAGCTGAGAGAAGAGGGCCACCATTCTCCAAACCCCAGAATTGTAGATCCGCTGACAGCTTGCACTGTGCACCTGGAATAGCCAGGAGGAAGGCTGTATACTCTAAAGCCAGCCCATGAAAACAGCCAAGAGGGAGGCTGTACCCTACAAAGCCACAGGGACGGAGCTGCCCAAGACCATGGGAACCCACCTCTTGCATCAGCATGACTTGTATGTGAGACTTGGAGTCAAAGGAGATCATTTTGGAGCTTTAAGAATTGACTGCCGGGCCAGTAGCCCCCCATGTTTTGGGCTAATTTCTTCTATTTGAAATGGCTGTATTTACCCAATGACTGTACCCCCATTGTATCTAGGAAATGACTAACTTGCTTTTGATATTACAGGCTCATAGGTGGAAGGGACTTGCCTTGTCTCAGATGACACTTTGGACTGTGGACTTCTGAGTCAATGCTGAAATGAGTTAAGACTTTGGGGAACTGTTGGAAAGACATGATTGGTTTTGAAATGTGAGGACATGAGATTTGGGAGGGTCCAGGGGCGAAATGATATGGTTTGGCTCTGTGTCTTCACCCAAATCTCATCTTGCAGCTCACATAATCCCCATATGTTGTGGGAGAGACCTGGTGGGAGATGATTGAATCATGGGGGCAGGTCTTTCCTATGCTGTTCTTGTGATAGTGAATGGGTCTCACGAGATCTGATCATTTTCAAAATGGGAGATAACCTGCACAAGCTCTCTCTTTGTCTACTGCCATCCACATACGATGTGACTTGCTCCTCCTTGCCTTCTGCCATGATTGTGAGGCCTCCCCAGCCATGTGGAACTGTAAGTCCAATAAATCTCTTTCTTTTGTAAATTGCCCAGTCTCGGGTATGTCTTAATCAGCAGCATGAAAATGGACTAATGCCTTGCTGAACTCATGGTAGGTGCTTGATACTAGTTTGAAGGAAGGAGAGATAATTGGAAGGGAGGATGGGTGGAAGGAAGAATGGAAAGACAGAGAAGGAGAAAGGCCAGAAAGTGGGGAGAGGCACTTGGTGGTTTACACCCTTTAAGGATCTTGAAGAATGAAAAAGCTGTCATAGCAGGGAAAGTAGACATATTTTGACATTGAACTATGTGCTGGCTTCTATAGGCTTCCTAAAATTAAGTGAATTTTATTTAAAATATTTAACTTGCCAAAACATAAAATTCCCGTAGTCAGTCTTATTTGTAGGGCGTGCTTGTTAACTTTTATACTGGACAAAGGGAGGGCTATTTTCATTGAAAATAATTTCAATGAAAAGTATATATATTTGTATTTCAAATTGCATATACATTGTATGTGTATTTTTTTACTGTGGAAAATAAGAGAGTTTATTTTATTCAAATTGCATAGCCATAAGGAATCAAATAAAAGTGCTAGAAAGCATTCCCTCTTTATTTAATAAAGTCAATGAACTGCCTAACTGGAGGGTATAGTTTTTATTGGCATCGCTGTTGTAGATTAATAGCTTCTCTGATGCAGCCACTGATAAAAAGTATTTTTTTTTGGTTTTTAATGGAATACTGTTCTATGGGGAATATTATAATCTTCCATTGCAGTTATTTGTAGAGTAGTTTATTTTCTCCCATTTGCAAAATTTTCATTTGCTATCTAGACAATACTACAGTTAGATAACACTGTACACTTAGGATTAATGGATTTTGTCATAGTTTTCTTTTTTTAATTAAGCAATTATCAAGCATTAAATACTTACCTGTTAATAAGTACTCGTTGACTAGACAATAGTATTTATGTTATGAACACTTACATTACAAAAGAATGTAAGGCCTCTCGAATTCTCTATACAACCTAATGTTATTAGTCGATAACTTTTCCAAGACCCTAGGTAAATAAACCATGCTATACTACAACTATAATCATCAGGATCAGCTGCTCATTAAATTGGAGAAATTAGTTTGCAGAAGCAGAATCTGATTTTGATTAAGTTGCAAACTATAATTTGTTTGTTGGTTTAAAATCAGTAAGAAGTCTTTCATGTGTTTTCTTCTTCTTTATCTCTATCTATTCAGAAGAAAAATGATTATTGTCAGGAGGCACTAAGCACCTCAGGAAAAGTAGAACCTCTTGATAGAAAGTGCTTCTGCCAGATAAGAGAAGATGATGAACTAAGGTCATTTAAGGTTAAGCTTCAAAAATAAACCAGAAGAAGACACCCAAGATGTATTGGATGAGCTGTTGTGATGATAAGGCTAGCTCTAGGCCTTAGAGAAATGAGGCCTGGTAGAAAAGACAGTAGGCAAACAAGATTTAAAGAATTTATCAATTTCTACCTTAGGAACTCTAAAGATACTGAAAAGACACCAAAATGGCTGTATTTTATTAATATTTAATTTAATAATATTTCCAAGATTTTTGCTGATTAACATATTTAAATATACATGCACATTGGGGTAATGCTCGGCAGGGCACCCACCATCAGAAAGAACAATGGTGACACTGATGTAGGGTCCTGGAGGAGCCCTGCTGGACCAGGTATTAACCCTTTAGGTCTTGGATTATGGAGACCTGGTAGATCCCTGGTAGAGAAATGTCTTAGTCCATTCAGGCTGCTCTAGCAAAGTACCCTAGACTGGGTGTCTTATAAACAACAGAAATTTGTTTTTCCTAGTTCTGGAGGTTAGAAAGTCCAACTTCAAGACCCTGGCAAATTCAGTGTCTAGCGGAGGCCTGCTTCATGTTTTATAGATGGTGATTTCTTGCTGTGTCCTCACATGGTGGAAGGTAAAGGGCAGCTCTTTGAAGCCTCTTTTGTAAGGCACTAATCCCATTCATGAAGGCTCTATCTTCATAATGTAATCACCTCCCTAAGGCCCCATTCCAAATACCATTATATTGTTGATTTCATTTCAACATATGAATCCTAGGAGGACACAAATATTGTGTTCTATAGCAAAGAAGTTAGTGAATATATACAAGTTTCAGCATTTTATTATCAATGTGTTCTAATTTAATATAAGCACCTTCACATGTTTAATTCTATGGGTATTTATTTCTGCTAGTAGGTGTTCTCCAGGGTCTTTTGACTAATATACATTCCTTCATACCCTCCAAACCCTGACACACTTTTAATTATGCAATATTTCATCATGCCATCCAATCATGATTTTTAAATACTGTGCCCTTATGTTTTCCTCTCACTCTATGTTTTAAGAGTAACTTGCACAATGACACCAATATCATGAAATAAATAGTGAGGCCCTTATAGGTTGAATTTTTTTCCTGATTTCACTCATTCTCCCCAGTAAGTTTGCTAATCGCTACCCTCTTCATCCTGCAAATGAGAACTATTAAACTCAAAGAAAATGTATAATCAACTTATCTCGTGAGCCAGAAATATGCATCTTATGCAGAAATATATGTAACAGCCACAAAAAAAATCAACATATAGATATTTATAGTCCCTTCTTCCTCCCCATACACACATCTCATGGAAGATTTTCATCAGCATTGTTTATCCCTTGCCAGCTTATTATGCAAAGAAAATAATGGGAAATAGTACTTGGGGGTCAGGAAGGGAACACAAATATTAATACTCATGTCATAATTCTTGTTACACACACAAACACGCACACCCCTTGAATGTGATTATCTTGTCTAACCGAAATAGTAATATCTAAAGGGATCTTGCACATCGCACCTTCTGAATGATGGATTTAACCAAATGAACAAATGAACAAGTGACTATCCAACCAGAAAGTAGTTCTTTCTAGGAAGAGTTCTTTATTTGATATCTCTGTTCTTCCCAGATCATCAGTATTATATTTCACTGCGCAGTCAGCCATGAGTATAACCAAATATCAGAATTTGAAAGAAATCTTTAATCAAATTCTTTTAGACTCACCAATGTTCATTACCCACATTCTGGCAATGTCACTATCTTTTTTTCATTTACTGAGTCCCTTGAGATGGTACGGTCAGTGCAAAACTAGGGGGAAAAAAAGAGTTTTATTAATTCACTGAGCATTTTTATAGTACTTAATACGTACTGGCACCAAATCACTCAATATCTCTTTTAAAAGTATGTAAAGTATAACTGCATCAGACACAGGCCTTAAATTTTAGAAAATTCCAGGGCATTAGTAAGTCCAGATAAGCATACAGAATAATAATACAGGATTAAAAGTACCATGATAAATGGAGAAATGTACTATAGTAGCTATAAGATCAACACAGGATGGCAGCCCATGGAAGGGCAGTGGATAGTGACAGGGGAGGACCAATGAGTCTCTAAAAGAAAAAGAGAACAGGTGTTTCAAGCAATTTAACAAAATTATAAAGGGAACAGGCTATAAAGTTGTAAATGATTCAGAAAGATGTGAGTTTGTGTTTCATGGTTTAATAACTATAGGACCTAGGCTGACAACTTTTCTTCTAAGAAACTGTTTACTCAATCTATTTACACCTTAGAGAGTGAGAGAGCAAAAGAGAAAAATAGCACTCAGCAGCATGTAAGTACTCAAAAAAATCGTGTTTTTTATCTGCAAATTTATGGTGACAAATCCAGGTGACTGTAAATTATTTCTGGGTATCTAGAGTGAAAAGCAGCTTAGATAATGATAAGGCAGAAAGAGTTCGGAGTTAAAGGAATTTCTGGTAGAAATTACTAGTTGTTGCAGGTTGAGATTTCTGGAAGCAGATGTAGAGGGACAGGTGGCTCAAAATATTTATAAGGGATTAAAACCTACGACAAGAGGGAACAGAAAACAAGAGAGAGCAGAGAAAGAAGTCAAACTGAGACAGAAGCTTGACAAAGCCTCAGCCACCCATATAGAAAGTGGAGGCTTATTGCATGGGCTAAAATGGCCAGGCCTTTATACTCCTACCTCCCTCAGTCACTAAATAGGGGCTCCCTCTGGAAGGGCATGGCCTTGAACAAGGAAGCTCTTCACAGCTGAGATAAACTGCTGGAATATGTTTGCTAACCAAACTTCCAGCAGCTTGGCAGCAAGAATAATTTGGGTAGTACATCACTTCAGCAGCCCACCCGTGTTGGCCAATAGGCTGTATTCTCCCGCTTCTGGGGGGAGTCAGCCCTTCTAAGTTCCCTTGGAGGTGATCTGAGCAAATGACTCAGTGATTCTTTGTAGACAATAGAAATCCCAGGTGTGAGTCTTCCATTTCTTTTGTAAATGTGGCATTGTTAGAGACTGTTAAGGAAGACAGCTACAAGATCAGATTTGCCTTAAGAAAGATCAATCTGGAAACAATATACAAATGTTTTGAAAGAGGATGAGGCTGGAGGCATAACTAATTAGTTGCTGCTTGGGTGAGACAAATAGGATGACCAAGGAAAAGGATTTAGAGTAAAGGAAAGCAATTAAAACTACAATTAAGGGTTAACTACACTATTTAATAACAGATTGGTTGTAGGGCAGAGTATGCAGTCTGGAGTAAGATTAGTGTAATGCTGGTGTTGTTTTATTTCCCATCAGAGTGGCTCTGATAGAGCAACAATAGCAGGTAATATTTACTAAATGCTTCTGTGCACCTGCTACTCTGCTCATCACGTTTCACACATTGCCCTATCTTCTGGATAGTCACTAGTTATCTCTTCTACCTTGCTGACAGAACCCTGGCTTTATGTAGTAACTAGTCATTCATGTATATTTATGGGGCTTCCCTCTCCCCAGGGGGCAAATGTTCATTAGTCTATGCCAATCATAATAATTCTATTTCTCTTATCAATGATTTATTAGATATGATCATGTGACAGGAAA
Organism: Homo sapiens; assembly: GCF_000001405.40. Lineage (NCBI taxonomy): Eukaryota > Metazoa > Chordata > Mammalia > Primates > Hominidae > Homo > Homo sapiens. The sequence continues at coordinate 120,842,883 of NC_000005.10, read as the reverse complement.
ACAAGAGAACGAGAAAAGCCAAATCAGAGGCTTCTGGGATTGCTTTCTCCTCATAATTAAGAAAGGGAGAACTAAGGTAGGGACTTGGTTACTGGTTTGGGCCACTACCAGGTGAAGCCCAATGCCAGCAGTTTCCCCTTTTTGTGGTCAAGAGACTACCAGAGAGACCGACACAGGCCCTTCACATCCCAGCTCCGGACTTACTTGTTTAACCACTTGGGGTGTCTTCAGTTACTTGCAGCTTATTTTTCTCATTGTTTAAACCACATTTGGTGTATTCAGTTACTTGCACCTAAGAATTCTAACTAATATTAATGTGTTTAGCATTATCTGTGTATAGAGGAGGAAGGAAAAGGAGCAAGCAAAAGCCCCAGGCTTCCCAAATCTTCCAGGGAGAGTGGAAGGCCCTCTAACATATTTGGAAGTCATGCCAATGAAAACATTAAAATCTTAAATGCTAGTGTTTGAAAAAATAATTTCCTTTTTGACTTTTTCCTACAACCTGACCTCAGGCTTTCACAGTCTTGAGGTTTCTTCTCAAATGTTAAACATCTTTATTTCATAAGATTTCAACATCCCAGCTGTTTTTCCTCACTTCATACTATGACCCTTAAACATTGACTGCCACCCACGCCCCACCTTACCAAAGTAAATGAAAAGTGTCATTAGCTCTGAATAGTTGTTAGTGGCTCCTAAAGAACTGACTATACAAATTCAACTTTTCATTAGTAACTGTGTGTGCAGTTTTACAACATCTAATAGGGCACTATGCTCTGCAGATCCAAGGACTAGGAGTGGCTGTTTCTGTAGCTGTATATTTTTCAAGGACTGTATTACTTAGAACAGAAGATGCTGCTACCAAATTCTCAGGTGGTGTCTTCTGGTTTCACAGTCTCATTAGTGGCTAGGGTGAAACTATACTTTACATCAGGATAAAATTGTCTATGTTTTCTTCCTTCAGTAAAAATAACTTCAGTCAGTAACACCTTTAGAATTGTATTCTTTTTATTTTAATTTTAAAGTGTTTTTCTAATGAAGGCAAGGATAATCCTGAAGGGTAAACATGACTGGAAAAAGCATGTGTTCTAAACCAAAAGAGGAATTAGAGAATGTTAAGCATTATAATAACTGTAACCAAATCTTATCTTTATGATTTTCTAAAGGAAGGTTTAGTTCTAAATTGAGTATTTAAGTATAGACAATAATAATACATTATCTTAATAAGATGCTATATTTCCCAAAAATGAAATTTGGTATTAAATGCCAATTCCTCCACTTGTGGTTTAGATTTTGTCTTATCTCCTTCTCAAAGACTTTCCTCAAACACATCTCTTTCTTGCATCAACAATTTCTCAATTATTTATAGAATATTACACCAGCTGAAAAACAAGCATTATTTTTTTCCTTGAAACAAAACCTCCACATCTTTTGAACTCCACATCATCTTTCTACTGCTGCCCCATTTCTTTCTGCCCAATTCATTGTAAACCATCTTGACAAACTTAGAATCACCTCATATGATCTTCTAAATCCACTATAATCAGCTTTTTATTCTCTTTCCAGCAGAGAAAAATGTTGTCATGGTAACAAAAAGTTTGCTCAGTGGTCACTACTCTTTCCTCATCTTATTTAGACACTTCAATTCCTTTAAGCATAGGTGAGCACCTCCCTTCCTAAAACCCTCCCATTTCTTGGTGTCTAGAACCCCACAAGCTTCTGATTGAGTGCCTACCTTGTAACTGCTTCATCTCAGTCTCCTTTGTGGGTTCCTTTTTCCTTCTGAGCCACAAAATGTCCTTGGCTCCGTTATCTTCCTTAAACATGCTTTCCCTCTTAGCAATATTTTGTGAGTCTATGGCTTTAAATATAACCTGTTTGCTATGGCTTCCACATCTATAACTTAAGATTCAAACTTGCCCTAAAACTTCAGACTTATATCCAACACACTTGATATTTGATTTATTAAATGTTATTCAATAAACATTTTAAAATTAACACAACCAAAACAGAACTCTTGATTCTCCACAGGACCCAACCCCCTAACCGGCTTCTATCTCAGACTAATTAGGGTTTATTTTATTATTATTTTTAAATAAACAACTCCATCTGGTTTCTTTTTCTGTTTTGAGACACGGTCTCACTCTGTTGCCCAGGATAAAGGCTGGAGTGTGGTGGTGCAGTCTCAGCTCACAACAGCCTCTACCTCCTCAGCCCAAGTGATCCTCCCACCTCAGCCTCCTGAGTAGCTAGGACCACAGGCACATACCACCACATCCAGCTAATTTTTGTATTTTTTGTAGAGATGGGTTTTTGCCATGTTGTCCAGGCTGGTCTCAAATTCCTGGGCTCAAGCAATCTGCCCAGCTCAGCCTCCCAAAGCACTGGGATTGCAGGTGTGAACCACTGCACCCGGTTTATCTGGTTTCTTAAGCCATACACTGGGAATTTTCCTTGATTTCTCTCTATCCATCAGATATTCTTGTTATTGGTGGCAGAGATTCAAGTTACTGGGAGCTGCCAGTTGTGTATCTGTATGGCTCCATAGCAACTTTAATTCTTGCCTCCTCAGATGAAAGAATTCCACTGAGGGGCATAAAGCAGAAAGAGACCAAGGCAAGTTTCAGAGCAGGAGTGGAAGTTTATTTTAAAAGGCTTTAGAATAGGAAAGAAAGGAAAATTCACGTGGAAGAGACCCAAGTGGGCGCCTGAAGGTCAAAGAGAGAGAGAAAGAGAGAGAGAAAAAAAGGACTTTTAACCTTGATCCTTGGAGTTTGTAGGCTCACCGCTTTCCCATGATTCTTCCCTTAGGGTGGGCTTCCCACATGCCCAGTGCTTTCTTTGCCCTTTGGAGTTGAGCAGCTGCAGTGTGTTTAGGGAGTAATAAACAGAGGCTTTCTTTCCTCTTCTGATGACATGTAGCTGGAGATCATACATTGCCATTTTTGTCTCTTAACACCCATGTCCAGGAAGTTGCTTCTCCCAGGGGCTGGCATTCAATTAATATTTTAAATGTTAACAGTAGGTTCCATCAGGAGATTGTCACTCCCTGGCTGCCAAATTATCTTTTTAGAGAGGCAATGCAATAATTGCCAGTCTATCACCCGACATTCCTAGTGGGTTGTGACAGGGAGCCCTCTCCTGCCCCACTCATGCCTATCTCTGCCTATATCATCCTCACCCTCATATATGCATATCTAAATCATCAACATATCATATGCAATTTGCTTCCTAGATAGATCCCACATCTGTCTTCTTGTCCTACATTTCCTCTATTATAACCATCATTACCTATTCAAATTATTCACAGTACCTTACCTAGCCTCCCTGCCTCAATTCTTGTCCCACCTCGATAGTGTTTGGTCCACTTGTTTTTCTACTTATGCAGTTAACATCACTGAAGTATGAGTTACATGCATGAAAAACCACCTATTTTAAGTTTACATTTGATGAGTTTATATACCCCCTCACACCAATCAAGCAATGAAATATTTCTATCACCCCCCCAAATTGTTCCTTTTGTCATTTGCATTTTACGCTTGCTTACCTATGGCCCAGAAAACAACTGATACACTCTCTGCTACTATAGATTAGTTTTACCTGTTCTGGAATTAGTTCTACATGAATTCATATTGTGTATGCTCTTTAATGTCTTTGGTAGCTCAGCATAATGTGAAATTCATCAATGTTTTATGTCTAAATAGTTTGTTCCATTTTATTGCCGAGTAGTATACCATTATTTGCATATATCACAGCTTGTTTATCCATTCATCTATTAAGGATCCTTGTTTTGTTTACAGCTTAATGCTATTATGAATAAAGATGCTATTAACATTTGCATGCAAATCTTTTTGAAGACATGTTTTCATTTCTCTAGGGTAGATAACTAATAGCAAAATTGCTGGAACTCATGCTGACAAACTCTTTCCCATGGTTATACTATTAAACACTCTTACTAGCAAGTATGAAGTTCTTTTTCCACATTCTCACCAATCCTTGCTATTTTCACTCTTTTCAACTGTTACCGTTCTCATGGATATGCAATGGTATCTCACTGGAAATTTTAACTGGCATTTCACTGATGACTAATGGTGTTGAGCATCTTTTTCTCTGCTTAGTAGAAAGGATATCTTATGTATGAATTTTAGTAACATAACATTTATGTTACGTTATGTTAAATGCAATGTTTGGTAACATTTTTTGCCCTTTACATATCATATATATCATATATAAAAAACATACATATGATATATATATAAAACATATATATGATATATATATGTTTTATATATATGATATATACAAAACATACATATGATTTATATATGTTTTGTATATATGATATATACATAAAACAAAAGGGTTATAAATACATATAAAAGGGTTTTATATATGTAAAAACAAAACATATATATAAGTATATATATATATATATATATATACACATACTTCTTAAGTCACACTCTGGGAATTTTCCTTGATTTCTCTCTATTCATCAAATATCCTCACTCTCAAAAGTACATATCAAAATAATCAACATATCATACACAATTTGCCTTCTATGTATATATAGAAGAATATCTACCATTTTGTAGTTTGCCTTTTCATTTCGAGTGTTTTAAAGAATAGAAATGTATAATTTTGATAAAATTTTAATTGACTTTTTTCTTGTATATTTAGTGAGTTTTGTATCATTTCACTAAGCTCTCTCTGCCCCAAAGTAACAAAGATTCTTTTATGTATTTTCTTTTTTTTATTATTATTATACTTTAAGTTTTAGGGTACATGTGCACAATGTGCAGGTTAGTTACATATGTATACATGTGATATGCTGGTGTGCTACACCCACTAACTCGTCATCTAGCATTAGGTATATCTCCCAATGCTATCCCTCCCCCCTCCCCCCACCCCACAAAAGCCCCCAGTGTGTGATGTTCCCCTTCCTGTGTCCATGTGTTCTCATTGTTCAATTCCCATCTCTGAGTGAGTATATGCGGTGTTTGGTTTTTTGTTCTTGCGATAGTTTACTGAGAATGATGATTTCCAATTTCATCCATGTCCCTACAAAAGACATGAACTCATCATTTTTTATGGCTGCATAGTATTCCATGGTGTATATGTGCCACATTTTCTTAATCCAGTCTATCATTGTTGGACATTTGGGTTGGTTCCAAGTCTTTGCTATAGTGAATAAGGCTGCAATAAACATACGTGTGCATGTGTCTTTATAGCAGCATGATTTATAGTCCTTTGGGCATATACCCAGTAATGGGATTGCTGGGTCAAATAGTATTTCTAGTTCTAGATCCCTGAGGAATCGCCACACTGACTTCCACAATGGTTGAACTAGTTTACAGTCCCACCAACAGTGTAAAAGTGTTCCTATTTGACCCAGCCATCCCATTACTGGGTATATACCCAAATGACTATAAATCATGCTGCTATAAAGACACATGCACACGTATGTTTATTGCGGCATTATTCACAATAGCAAAGACTTGGAACCAACCCAAATGTCCAACAATGATAGACTGGATTAAGAAAATGTGCCACATATACACCATGGAATACTATGCAGCCATAAAAAATGATGAGTTCATGTCCTTTGTAGGGACATGGATGAAATTGGAAATCATCATTCTCAGTAAACTATCGCAAGATCAAAAAACCAAACACCGCATATTCTCACTCATAGGTGGGAACTGAACAATGAGATCACATGGACACAGGAAGGGGAATATCACACTCTGGGGACTGTGGTGGGGTGGGGGGAGGGGGGAGGGATAGCATTGGGAGATATACCTAATGCTAGATGACGAGTTAGTGGGTGCAGCGCACCAGCATGGCACATGTATACATATGTAACTAACTTGCACAATGTGCACATGTACCCTAAAACTTAGAGTATAATAATAAAAAAAAAGTGTTCCTGTTTCTCCACATCCTCTCCAGCACCTGTTGTTTCCTGACTTTTTAATGATTGCCATTCTAACTGGTGTGAGATGGTATCTCATTGTGGTTTTGATTTGCATTTCTCTGATGGCCAGTGATGGTGAGCATTTTTTCATGTGTTTTTTGGCTGCATAAATGTCTTCTTTTGAGAAGTGGCTGTTCATGTTCTTCACCCACTTTTTGATGGGGTTGTTTGTTTTTTTCTTGTAAATTTGTTTGAGTTCATTGTAGATTCTGGATATTAGCCCATCTGATATTAGTCAGATGAGTAGGTTGTGAAAATTTTCTCCCATTTTGTAGGTTGCCTGTTCACTCTGATGGTAGTTTCTTTTGCTGTGCAGAAGCTCTTTAGTTTAATTAGATCCCATTTGTCAACTTTGGCTTTTGTTGCCATTGCTTTTGGTGTTTTAGACATGAAGTCCTTGCCCATGCCTATGTCCTGAATGGTAATGCCTAGGTTTTCTTGGAGGGTTTTTATGGTTTTAGGTCTAACGTTTAAGTCTTTAATCCATCTTGAATTAATTTTTGTATAAGGTGTAAGGAAGGGATCCACTTTCAGCTTTCTACATATGGGTAGCCAGTTTTCCCAGCACCATTTAGTAAATAGGGAATCCTTTCCCCATTGCTTGTTTTTCCCAGGTTTGTCAAAGATCAGATAGGTGTAGATATGTGGCATTATTTCTGAGGGCTCTGTTCTGTTCCATTGATCTATATCTCTGTTTTGGTACCAGTACCATGCTGTTTTGGTTACTGTAGTCTTGTAGTATAGTTTGAAGTCAGGTAGTGTGATGCCTCCAGCTTTGTTCTTTTGGCTTAGGATTGACTTGGCGATGTGGGCTCTTTTTTAGTTCCATATGAACTTTAAAGTAGTTTTTTCCAATTCTGTGAAGAAAGTCATTGGTAGCTTGAGGGGGATGGCATTGAATCTGTAAATTACCTTGGGCAGTATGGCCATTTTCACGATATTGATTCTTCCTACCCATGAGCATGGAATGTTCTTCAATTTGTTTGTATCCTCTTTTATTTCCTTGAGCAGTGGTTTGTAGTTCTCCTTGAAGAGGTCCTTCACATCCCTTGTAAATTGGATTCCTAGGTATTTTATTCTCTTTGAAGCAATTGTGAATGGGAGTTCACTCATGATTTGGCTCTCTGTTTGTCTGTTATTGGTGTATAAGAATGCTTGTGATTTCTGTACATTGATTTTGTATCCTGAGACTTTGCTGAAGTTGCTTATCAGCTTAAGGAGATTTTGGGCTGAAACAACGGGGTTTTCTAGATATACAATCATGTCGTCTGCAAACAGGGACAATTTGACTTCCTCTTTTCCTAATTGAATACCCTTTATTTCCTTCTCTTGTCTAATTGCCCTGGCCAGAACTTCCAACACTATGTTGCATAGGAGTGGTGAGAGAGGGCATCCCTGTCTTGTGCCAGTTTTCAAAGGGAATGCTTCCAGTTTTTGCCCATTCAGTATGATATTGGCTGTGGGTTTGTCATAGATAGCTCTTATTATTTTGAGATATGTCTCATCAATATCTAATTTATTGAGAGTTTTTAGCATGAAGGGCTGTTGAATTTTGTCAAAGGCCTTTTCTGCATCTTTTGAGATAATCGTGTGGTTTTTGTCTTTGGTTCTGTTTATGTGTTGGATTACATTTATTGATTTGCGTATATTGAACCAGCCTTGCATCCCAGGGATGAAGCCCACTTGATCATGGTGGATAAGCTTTTTGAGGTGCTGCTGGATTCGGTTTGCCTGTATTTTATTGAGGATTTTTGCATCAATGTTCATCAAGGATATTGGTCTAAAATTCTCTTTTTTGGTTGTGTCTCTGCCAGGCTTTGGTATCAGGATGATGCTGGCCTCATAAAATGAGTTAGGGAGGATTCCCTCTTTTTCTATTGATTGGAATAGTTTCAGAAGGAATGGTACCAGCTCCTCCTTGTACCTCTGGTAGAATTCGGCTGTGAATCCATCTGGTCCTGGACTCTTTTTGGTTGGTAAGCTATTGATTATTGACACAATTTCAGCTCCTGTTATTGGTCTATTCAGAGATTCAACTTCTTCCTGGTTTAGTCTTGGGAGAGTGTATGTGTTGATGAATTTATCCATTTCTTCTAGATTTTCTAGTTTATTTGCATAGAGGTGTTTGTAGTATTCTCTGATGGTAGTTTGTATTTCTGTGGGATCAGTGGTGATATCCCCTTTGTCATTTTTTATTGCATGTATTTGATTCTTCTCTCTCTTTTTCTTTATTAGTCTTGCTAGCGGTCTATCTATTTTGTTGATCCTTTCAAAAAACCAGCTCCTGGATTCATTAATTTTTTGAAGGGTTTTTTGTGTCTCTATTTCCTTCAGTTCTGCTCTGATTTTAGTTATTTCTTGCCTTCTGCTAGCTTTTGAATGTGTTTCTCTTGCTTTTCTAGTTCTTTTAATTGTGATGTTAGGGTGTCAATTTTGGATTTTTCCTGCTTTCTCTTGTGGGCATTTAGTGCTATAAATTTCCCTCTACACACTGCTTTGAATGTGTCCCAGAGATTCTGGTATGTTGTGTCTTTGTTCTTGTTGGTTTCAAAGAACATCTTTATTTCTGCCTTCATTTCGTTATGTACCCAGTAGTCATTCAGGAGCAGATTGTTCAGTTTCCATGTAGTTGAGTGGTTTTGAGTGAGTTTCTTAATCCTGAGTTCTAGTTTGATTGCACTGTGGTCTGAGAGACCGTTTGTTATAATCTCTGTTCTTTTACATTTGCTGAGGAGAGCTTTACTTCCAACTATGTGGTCAATTTTTGAATAGGTGTGGTGTGGTGCTGAAAAAAATGTATATTCTGTTGATTTGGGGTGGAGAGTTCTGTAGATGTCTATTAGGTCCACTTGGTGCAGAGCTGAGTTCAATTCCTGGGTATCCTTGTTGATTTTCTGTCTCGTTGATCTGTCTAATGTTGACAGTGGGGTGTTAAAGTCTCCCTTTATTAATGTGTGGGAGTCTAAGTCTCTTTGTAGGTCACTCAGGACTTGCTTTATGAATCTGGGTGCTCCTGTATTGGGTGCATATATATTTAGGATAGTTAGCTCTTCTTGTTGAATTGATCCCTTTACCATTATGTAATGGCCTTCTTTTGTCTCTTTTGATCTTTGCTGGTTTAAAGTCTGTTTTATCAGAGACTAAGATTGCAACCCCTGCCTTTTTTTGTTTTCCATTTGCTTGGTAGATCTTCCTCCATCCTTTTATTTTGAGCCTATGTGTGTCTCTGCACGTGAGATGGGTTTCCTGAATACAACACACTGATGGGTCTTGACTCTTTATCCAATTTGCCAGCCTGTGTCTTTTAATTGGAGCATTTAGTCCATTTACATTTAAAGTTAATATTATTATATGTGTATTTGAAGCTGTCATTATGATGTTAGCTGGTTATTTTGCTCGTTAGTTGATGGAGTTTCTTCCTAGTCTCCATGGTCTTTACATTTTGGCATGATTTTGCAGCAGCTGGTACTGGTTGTTCCTTTCCATGTTTAGTGCTTCCTTCAGGAGCTCTTTTAGGGCAGGTCTGGTGGTGACAAAATCTCTCAGCATTTTCTTGTCTGTAAAGTATTTTATTTCTCCTTCACTTATGAAGCTTAGTTTGGCTGGATATGAAATTCTGGGTTGAAAATTCTTTTCTTTAAGAATGTTGAATATTGGCCCCCACTCTCTTCTGGCTTGTAGAGTTTCTGCTGAGAGACCAGCTGTTAGTCTGATGGGCTTCCCTTTGTGGGTAACATGACCTTTCTCTCTGGCTGCCCTTAACATTTTTTCCTTCATTTCAACTTTGGTGAATCTGACAATTATGTGTCTTGGAGTTGCTCTTCTCGAGGAGTATCTTTGTGGTGTTCTCTGTATTTCCTGAATCTGAATGTTGGCCTGCTTTGCTAGATTGGGGAAGTTCTCCTGGATAATATCCTGCAGAGTGTTTTCCAACTTGGTTCCATTCTCCCCGTCACTTTCAGGTACACCAATCAGACGTAGATTTGGTCTTTTCACATAGTCCCATATTTCTTGGAGGCTTTGCTCATTTCTTTTTATTCTTTTTTCTCTAAACTTCCCTTCTCGCTTCATTTCATTCATTTCATCTTCCATCGCTGATACCCTTTCTTCCAGTTGATTGCATCGGCTCCTGAGGCTTCTGCATTCTTGATGTAGTTCTCGTGTCTTGGCTTTCAGCTCCATCCGCTCCTTTAAGCACTTCTCTGTATTGGTTATTCTAGTTATACATTCTTCTAAATTTTTTTCAAAGTTTTTAACTTCTTTGCCTTTGGTTTGAATTTCCTCCTGTAGCTCGTAGTTTGATCATCTGAGGCCTTCTTCTCTCAACTCGTCAAAGTCATTCTCTGTCCAGCTTTGTTCCATTGCTGGTGAGGAACTGCGTTCCTTTGGAGGAGGAGAGGTGCTCTGCTTTTTAGAGTTTCCAGTTTTTCTGCTCTGTTTTTTCCCCATCTTTGTGGTTTTATCTACTTTTGGTCTTTGATGATGGTGATGTACAGATGGGTTTTTGGTGTGCATGTCCTTTCTGTTTGTTAGTTTTCCTTCCAACAGACAGGACCCTCAGCTGCAGGTCTGTTGGAGTTTGCTCGAGGTCCACTCCAGACCCTGTTTGCCTGGGTATCAGCAGTGGTGTCTGCAGAACAGTGGTTTCTCGTGAACCGCGAATGCTGCTGTCTGATCATTCCTCTGGAAGTTTTGTCTCAGAGGAGTACCCGGCCTTGTGAGGTGTCAGTCTGCCCCTGCTGGGGGGTGCCTCCCAATTAGGCTGCTCAGGGGTCAGGGGTCAGGGACCCACTTGAGGAGGCAGTCTGCCCGTTCTCAGATCTCCAGCTGCGTGCTGGGAGAACCACTGCTCTCTTCAAAGCTGTCAGACGGGGACATTTAAGTCTGCAGAGGTTACTGTTGTCTTTTTGTTTGTCTGTGCCCTGCCCCCAGAGGTAGAGCCTACGGAGGCAGGCAGGCCTCCTTGAGCTGTGGTGGGCTGCACCCAGTTGGAGCTTTCCGGCTGCTTTGTTTACCTAAGCAACCCTAGGCAGTGGAGGGCGCCCCTCCCCCAACCTCGCTGCCGCCTTGCAGTTTGATCTCAGACTACTGTGCTAGCAATCAGCAAGACTCCATGGGCGTAGGACCCTCCTAGCCACGTGCGGGATATAGTCTCCTAGTGCGCTGTTTTTTAAGAGTGTCGGAAAAGCGCAGTATTCAGGTGGGAATGACACGATTTTCCAGGTGCTGTCTGTCACCCCTTTCTTTGCCTAGGAAGGGGAACTCCCTGACCCCTTGCGCTTCCCGAGTGAGGCAGTACCTCGCCCTGCTTCAGCTCGCACATGGTGTGCTGCACCCACTGACCTGCGCCCACTGTCTGGCACTCCCTACTGAGATGAACCCGGTACCTCAGATGGAAATGTAGAAATCACCCGTCTTCTGCGTCGCTCACGTGGGAGCTGTAGACCAGAGCTGTTCCTATTCGGCCATCTTGGCTCTTCCCCCTCTTTTATGTATTTTCTTTAAATTTTAGTTTAAATTACTCTTTTACTATACTTTAAATAACTGCAGGACCTTTCATTCTGTCACTGTCAAATTGTGTTTCTTTTTTCCTCTCTCTCTTTCTTTCTGTCTCTCTCATCAATCTAGCTGGGGGTTTAACAATGTATTTTAATATTTTCAAAGAACTAACTTTTGGTTTGATCTACCTTTTATATTATTTGTCCATTTTCTAATTTATTTATCTTTAGCCTTATCTTTAGTGTTCCTTTCCTTTTGCTCTTTTGGGATTTGTTTATTCTTTTTCTAGTTTCTTTGGGTCCATGCATAGATCTTTGACTTGAAACAATTATTCTTTTCTAATATAAGTATTTGTTGCTAAAAATTTCCTCTTATGTACTATTTTCAGTACATCCAACAAAGTTCAATGTGTAATGCTTTTCTTTACTTTCAGTTCAAAATACATTTAAATTACTTTTATAATTTCTTTTTCAACCTATCAATTTTTCAGAAGGGTAATTTCTCAAAAGTTTGAGATACGCAGATTTTTTGTTATAAATTCCTCATATAATTTTGTTGGTTAAGGTATCTTCTATGATTTTAATACTTTTGAAGATATTGAGATGTTTTTTCAAAGTAATTACATTTGAACACAGAAAAGCCTCCCCTCTTACATCCAGAAAACTTTTTACAAGATTTTTTTTTAATTTCCACTTAGTTGAAGGTCTTATAAGAACCCATTTCTCACACAATCCCTGAGGCATAATTAGGAGAAAATTTTTATCAAATGCTATTTAGAAATGGCAGAAAATTATTCTATCAATAAAACCAATAAATAGGTCATAATAAAAACTAAACACTTGGAAATATAATGCTAGAAAATTCACCAAATGAAATAGCCATTTAAAAAATCATATAATCAAGGGGATATATGCATATAAGCTCATTCTGTAATGGGAAGTACTAATGTACAGTAAGTAGTTTAAACATAGTGAAAGAACAGTGAGTTTATGTGAAAACAGGCTACATTTTTCTGGGATAATAATGTACCAGGTTATTTGTGCTAAAATAGAATAAAATATTTTGACCACTTGGAACTCCTTACATCAAATAGCCAGGAATATGAAGCATCAGCATTAAAAACAGTTTTTTTCTTCTCAAGATAGGAAATGGGAAATTAGTTGTAGGATATTTCATCCTACAACTAATTGAAATCGTTATCCTACAACTAATTTCCCATTGTATTCCATGGGAATTAGTATTGACTACATCATCAATATAATGATGTATATTCCCAACTAATTTTACATTAGTATTGACTACAATGTAATAGTAAGTAGTAATGACTACAATGATGTATTTGGCCTATGAGACACCTGATTTCACATTGAAGGGAGGCATATTTTGGAAATGACTTCCTAGTTGTTACATAGACTTCAAAAGTGTACCCATCATTTGTTAAAATTGGTAGCAATTTCAATTCTGAAAGCAGGCCTTTATTCCCAACTAATATTACATTAGTACTGACTACATAGTTGTAGTAAAAAAAAAAAAAAAAAAAAAAAAAAAAAGGCCTGCTAAATAAAAAATTTGGATAAAAAATTAGCCAGGCATGATGGGACTCTCCTCTAGTCCTAGCTGCCTCAGGAAGGTGAGGCAGGAGGATTGCTTGAGTCACAATTTTGAGGTACAGTGAGCAATGATCACACCGTTGCACTGCAGCCTGAGTAACTGAGTGAGAACCTATCTCTAAAAATAATAATCGTAATAATAATCATAATGAAATAAAACATACTTCTTCTAGATGACACACAATTGTATTTAGCCTTTTAATTAAGTGTAATAGTCTCTGGATTTATTTGGAAAGTTTTGATTATTTATAATTAATCTATTTATATGGTTGTTTTGGGGTATATCTGGCTATTGGTTTTCAATTTGTCTCATACATTTTTTGTTCGTTTACTCTGCATTTGACTATTTAAATATTTTAATTATTCATTTTTCTCTATTATGGCCTTACTAGCTATAACTCTTAAATTTTATATAGTAGGAGCTCCAAAGTTTGCAGTGTGCATCTTAACTTATCATAGTCTATTTTCAAGTATGTTATTCCACTTCAGATAAATGTTAGAAATGTATAATCATATACTTCTATTTCACCTTTCTCTTCTTTTTACTATTATTGATGTGAGAGCTACATCTACTTATGTCATAAACCCAACAGATATATTATTTTTTATTTAAATAGGAAAAGATATTTTAAATAAATTGAAAAATGAAAGAATTAAAAAAAAATCACATAGCTACTATTAACACCTCATTCCTTACTACAATTCTTGATGAATGTTTGTTTAGCCAGAAAAAACTTTCTTTAAACTTTCTTAAAGTGCTAGTCTTCTGATGAGGAATTCTCCCAGCTTTTCTTTTTCTGAAAATGTATTTATTTTACCTCCATTTCTGAAGAATATTTTTTTCTGAAAACAGAATTCTAGGTTGGTAGGCTTTTTTCTAGGAATTTAAAGGTATTGTTCCAGTATATTCTGGTTTGTATTGCCTGTGGTGAAAAGTCAGTGTTAGGTTTATTTCCTTGCATTTAATCCCTCTTTTTTCTCTTATTGCTGTTCTCTTTAACAATAATTTTATGAGATTTGAATTGCATGCCTCAGCTTCTTTTGTTTGTTTCCCTGGTTGGAATTTGTTGAACTTTCTAGAACATGTGAGCAAATTTAGAAAATGTTAGCCCATTTTTCCTTCAATTTTTTGTCACCACCTTTCTGGAAGTTCAATGGCACTCTTGTTCAACTTCTTAGGATTATCTTATAGTTTACTGAACATATTTAATGTTAATATAAATATATGTCTTATTATTTTCAATATTTTTTCTAGTGGTGCTTCTGTATGGATAATTTCTATCACTATATTTTTTAAGTGCACTGATCATTCTTCTGGAATGTTTAATCTGCATAAAGTTTAGAAACACATAAAATGTATTTTCTAAATGTCTGGAAACTTTCCTTTTCCTGTGGCCCTAGAGCCGGTGTCCACGGTAGGGGCTCTCTCACGGTTTCTGAGCCCACAGTACAATCTGTGATGACACACAGCTTGTTCTGTTTAATGCACATGTAACACAAAAGAAAGAAACTTCCTATACCATCTCTTCAGAAGTCGTGGAAACTTGCTTCCTTTGGTTCCTCAGAGGGAGCTATCTGCTTGGAGCAAATTCCCCGATGCCCTTGACCACATTTACCTTGTGCAAAAATCACACCTGGCCAATGAGTTCAAAAAGCACGTTTGCAAAGCTTCCTGAAAGCCGTCGAGGCATGGCTTCATGAGGGCCATCGCGGGCACCCCGATGTCTCTGTGATTCCCTGGCAGGGTGCGTTTCTCAATACTGAGACCCTAGTTTGCTCAGGCATTTTGTCTCCAGGGCTCCCGCTGGATAGGCGCATACTGCCCTGGGGAGTAAATGCGGGGAGTTCACAAACTGTGCCCGACGCATGTTTTAGCCAGGGTCCTACTAACTACTCAGTAAAAGAACGTATTGTATTCCTCCAGTGTTAAGCTATAGCCATGTTAAAAGTCACTGTGTATTTTTTTCTCAGCATCAAATAGCTTATAAGTTCTTCTCTGCCTTGTTAGTGCATATTTTTACATTTCTGATACTGTAAAGAATATATCCAGTATGTAAATGAATGTTCTATAAATCCTTTGTATAGTCATTTTCTCTGCTCTTTAAATATCATCTCTATTCAGAGTATAATAAAATTATGAACTTGGTAAAAAAAATGTATTTTCTAGAGGGTCCTAGAGGTTCTATCTGGTTCCTTTTTAATATATTTTATTTTTCTGCTTACTACATTCATGTTTATATCGATCTTTGAAAGACTGGATATTTTCCTTTCCCAGTGCTCAGGTTACCATAATGAACATTTGTGGGTCGTTCTGGTGAAGCATGGAGAGTTACTACTAGTTATTTGTCATAGTGGAAAATTACCCTTTATCATAGGCCTAGACTCTATTTTAGTCAATGAGGTTATGGTCTGAGCAATGGACAGATCTGGAACCTGGGGAAAGGATAGTGATTTTTCAGTGGACAGTTTTCCTGTTTCCTGATCATCCGTCTTTGATTTGCTTTGATTTTATAAATTAAATAAAACCCTAGTTGACTGCCTGTTAATTTTTCCTCAAGGACTGACATAAACTGCTGTTTTCATATCTCACTGTGAGTAAAGACTCCTCTGCCTGCCACTCAGATGTTGCCAGTCACTGTACTTACCTTGCTTCTGATAGCTAAGCAACACCATCTTGTCTTTGTTATTTTGAGGTCCAATCATTCTAATAACTATCACTCAGTTCTGTAACAGCATCTCTTGTGTTCTCTAGACCTTCTATGCAACACTGTCAGCAGTTTATCAAGACTTACTGTGTATATTCAATTTAGCATGCCCACCTCTCTGATGCTTTTTTTTCCCCACTATCTGCCTGGCAACTCTAGCATTTCTACTTAATTTATTTGGGGTCAGCAATTTTTTCATGTTCCAAAAACTATCCTAGAAGATTAGTATGATCTCACAGGGTAGATGCATTAAATTAGGTTTCCTAGGATGATACTCACATTTTGATAAACTCTCACCTCCCTAACTTCCTGTTCTGTTCTGTTCCCTATGATTCAGGATTCTCAGCAGCAATCTCATGCACACAGGCTCATCTAATGATGGAAAATTGATACATATTGGTCAGATTCTACAGTAACTTCTGTATATTTTAACCGTTTTCCTCCTTAGCCAACCTAACAGGTGTCCATATGGATGTTTTGAAATTTATGCTGGTACCATCTTAGGCTGAGTTCTCTGGAAATGGGGATTTGAAATGAGAAGGTTAATTGAACAGTGTTTTTAAATTTGCCTGTAAGAATGTGAGAAAGGCAGGATTTGGCAGTAGAAGAAGCTAATCCACAGTGCAGTTGCAGTTGAGTGATCAGCCAACTTACAGAAAGTTTTGGAACTTGGGGTACCCTTTAGAGTTTTCCCAAAATAAGATAGTGATGACAGATCTTCAAACCCTGCATCACCCAGTTATCTATCACCCAGATACCAGATCTTCAAACTGCATCACCCAGTTGTCCACAGGCATCCTCCTTCATCTTCTCACTTTACCACAAGAAGGAATATAATTTTAAACAATGCAGCTTTTTGATGAAGGAAAATCCATTGGCTTTGTGTTATTCTGTCAGCAGTTGGCAGATAGATGCATTGGCCCTGAAGAGGTGATCTGAGAGGAAATCATAATATCTACTGCAGATATATGAAATGTTGAAAGCAAGTTTTCTAGTTTTTTCTCTTACTATTTCTACACTTACATTCAGCAATTGTTTAATGCTAATTAATCATCTTGGTCAAGTTTAGTTTCATGTTATAACTTAGTAAAATCTACCTTTTTATGTTTTCTATTTTCTATTTCAGTTTGTGGCATTACTATTCACCTCATTTAATGAGGTAAAACTCTGGGATTCATCTTTGAATCCCTTATTTTTCTGTCCCTGGTCTTGCTTTTTCTGCTTACAATGCCGTTTCACCCTCTTCTCTACATAGTGAAATCACATGCATCCTTCAAGGGTGAGCTTTAATATATCTTCTTTTTTGGAGTCTTCTTTAATTGCTCTAGGTAGCATTAATTATTCTTCCCTCTGTGCTACTAATATAGTTTCTACATCCTATTAGTCAGCTTGGGTTGCTATAACAAAATGCCCTAGATTGGGTAGCTTCAACAATAAAAATTTATTTTTTTATAGTTCTGGGGGCTGATAGTTTAAAATTGGCATGCCAGCATGATTAGGTTCTGGTAAGGACTTTCTTCCTGGCTTGAAGACAACTGCCTCCTTGCTATGTCCTCACATGGCAGAGAGTAAGAGGAAGCTCTCTGGTGTCTCTTATTATAAAGGCACTAATCCTATCCTGAGGGTGCCATCCTCACAACCTCAGCTAACTCTGATTACCTCTCAAAGTTTGCATCTCCAAGTACCATTATATCGGGTTTCACTTCCACATATGAATTTTGAGGAAACATAATTTCATCTGTAGCATACTTTATTCTATAAAAGGTCTTACCACATTGTGTTGGTGTAAACAGTATATATGTGTAACTTCTCTTTAAATGAGATTCTAAAAAGCAGGCACAGTCTCATTTTCTTTTTTCTCTTTTTTTTTTTTTTTTCTCTTAGAGACAGACTATGGTTTTTGCTCAATCACCCAGGCTGGAGTTCAGTGGTATGATCATAGTTCATTGTAACCCTAAACCCTTGGGCTCAGGCAGTCCATCCACCTCAGTCTCCCAAGTAGCTGGAACTACAGAAACACACCACCAAGCTTGGCTAATTTTATTTTTATTTTTGTGGAGACAGGGTCTCTCTATGTTGCACAGGCTGGTCCCAAACTCCTGGCCTCAAGCAGTCCTCCTGCCTTGGCCTCCAAAGTGCTGAAATTACAAGCATGAGCTACCACACCCAGTCTCATTTTCTTTTGATCTCCAGTGGCTAGCACAGAGACAACTATTGGGATACGTCTAAGGCCTATTTGCTAAATTTTGAAATAATCTATATTATGCATGTGCCATATTTAATATAAAATGACAAGCCAATATCTCTAATCATATGGTTTTTTATTAATGCTGGTATATTGACAATATTAATATTGCGGTAGTGATGAATTAGTTATGCTTAGGTGGTAAACCTTATTTTGCATTCATAGAACATTGTACTTGCACTTCATAGCACTTTTCACAAATGTAACGAATTAGATGTATAATGAACTCTTTAGCATTTTTACTATAGTTGCACAAGGATGGGGAATATATATGTCCTTTTTACCTACATATCTTATGCGGAGTGCAATGCCTTACACTGAAAAGGAACTCAATAATTTTTTTTTTTTTTTTTTAAGACAGAGTCTCACTCTGTCGCCCAGGCTGGAGTGCAGTGGCACGATCTCGGCTCACTGCAAGCTCTGCCTCCCTGGCCTGGAACTCAATAATTTGTATCAAATTATAGGCATAAAAGTATTGAGCTTGCAACTGTGGAAAACATGGCTATGGAAAAATAGAACATTTCAAATATTCACTAAGGAAGAAAATTTTACACAGGTTAGCCTGGGTATTGATTGCCAGTGTTAAATAATAATAATAATAATAGTAGTCGCACTTAGAAAAGAAAAAGCCAGCTTTCTTTGAGAGTAATTATGAAGATTTTGAGGCTAAACTTCTGAACTAAAAGAACAATCTTTGTAAGGAATAACTGTAGTAACTAACCAGTTGATAAAGCTTTGAAAATTCCAGATATTGAAAGCCCTGAATGCCCAAATCACAATTTAGTCACAGGTAAACACATGGGTAGAAAAGATGTAAATTCCAAAGAAAGTGTGGTGATACATATAGTGTTTTCGGAAACAATAACTTAGTCTACACTAAGGTAAAAAGTTATGTAAAGGAATATTAGGGTACACATATTTGGTGAAATTTATACATGAGATGTTTACAAACTGACACAGTAAATGACTAGAATGCTAAACTGTCAGTGATTAAGAAATGGTAAGGATTATTATTTCTATATGTTTTATTAAATATTTTACATAACATCTATTTTTCAAAAATGTGAAAGAATATTTAAAATTTCAAAAATTTGGTAAACTTATTATTGCTAATCTTGAAAATCAACTGAGTGCAGAATTGTCCATTTCATCTCATGTATCCCTCTGATGACTCTCTCCTTCAGTTGACTACAAACACTACCATAATACTGGCTCTTTTGAAGAGCACATTCAGTGGAAGTAACTGGGGCTTATAAACTAAAATTGACATTTGGCTTAAACTATGATATGAACCCATTAGCCAAAGGACAGTAATAAATACAAAAAGCACATATGGGACCCTGAAAATTGATGACTCAATAGGCTGATTTAAATAAGGATGACTCACATTCCAGTAAATCTTCATTACTCTGAGGAAACTAGGTTGTAACCTTTTAGTGTTCTAAGAATAAATTGGTTATTGATCATAAACAAAAGTCAGAATTTGATGCACGCATAATGGAATAAGAAACAGGGAAATATTCTTCATGATAATGGCAGTTAACACTTCCATGGACCTTCTGTTGAAGTAATCCAAATCTACTTTAATGAGCTTTTCTCCCACAAGAAACATTTTCTAACTTGTGTTCCTTCTGTGTGCCGGATGGCAGGATTTATTTTCTAGAGTAATGGCATCGAGCCCATAGAGCTTTCTTGTTTTGGACTTATAACCTCCTCATTCTCATTTCTTTCTTAGTTTATAATTAAATGGAACAGCACATATACATCTATGCAATTAATCATTAATATTGTAGCATTTTTCCTATGCAGTCTCTGAAAGTAATTTTCAGATATGTAGTTTTAAGTGTATCAGCAATTTGTCTTGGAGAAACACTGAGCAAAATGTGTTTTTACCTTATGTCTGAAATTACGGATGATTGTTTGTGTTTTTATAAAATTTCTTTTTGTGTTAGCTGTTCCACATAAAATAACAATAAAAATTTCAATATTAATACAAGAAGTTGGAAAATGACATTTTAAAATAACTTATTTTTAATAATTATTAATTATAAAAATGGCTTAATACAGTCTGAGCCATAAATGGGATTTAACTTTTTACTAAGTTAAAAAGGAGATATTATGAATAAAAATCCTTAGTAGGAAAGAATAATTACTTTATCAATGACTACAAACACTGTATGTGAGTTTAAGGAATAATTTATGTGCCAGGCACGGTGGCTCACACCTGTAATCCAAGCACATTGAGAGGCCGAAGTGAGCAGATTGTCTGAGCTGAGGAATTTGAGACCAGCCTTGGCAACATAACGAGACCCCATCTCTATTAAAAATTAAAAAAAAAATAGCCAGGCGTGGTGGCGTGTGCCTGTGGTCCCAGCTACTTGGGAAGCTGAGGTGGGAGGGCCATTTGAGCCTGGGAGCAGAGGTTGCTATGAGCCAGATTGCATTACTGCATTCCAGCCTGGGTGACAGAGCAAAAATGACAAATTACACTTTAGGCAGAAATATATCTATATGAAAATATAAGCTTAAATTTTGGTTGCTACATTAAAACAGAAATATATTGCCATGTTAATTATCAATAAATATTAACACTTTAAGCAAGATACTGTTTAAGCTGATAAATTCTATGAATGGGTCAATGATTATTCATTACTTTGTACATTTTCAGAACTATGTACATTATTAGAATTAACATGTTTATTTGCAATGACACACAAGGAATCTGATTTAACCTTTCATACATTTGTACAGTAATTACATCAGTTGATCTTTTAAATGTATTATTTTAATTACTTAATGTATTACTTTAAAATATCATCTGAAATTATATGGTACTCTTTTACCAGAATGAGATAAACAAGATTAATAAAATTAATGTGACTTTAGTAAAAAGTGATCAAGAAAAAGTAGAGAAAACACGAATTATTAATATTTGAAATAGAATAGGGATGTTTTATAGATCATTTGTACTTAAAAAATTAAGAGTCTATTATAATCAACTTTATGCTAATAAACTTGACAACATAGATGAAATGGAAAATCCTTTAGAAAACACAACTTGCCAAAATTGATAAAAGACATAGAAAGTTTTAATTTCGTCTTAAATGCTGTAGAAATTTAGTTAATTTTCAGAATCTTATTACAAAAACTGAAATAGTTACATTGTTGAATTCTATCAAACACATAATGAATAAATCATGCAACTTCACAAAAACGCTTTTAAAGATATAAGAGGAGAAAAGCCTTTACAATTTATTTTATGAGGCAATCATAACTGTAACACCGAAATTTGACAAAGTCATTCTAAGAGAAGGTTATATAAATTGAAAAAAACCTTGAATACAAATTGAATCTGACAACGTATAGAAAGACAATATATTATTAAGTTGAGGTTACCCCTGTAATAAAAAGTTGGCTTAACATTTGAAAAATAACCAACAGAAATAACATATTAACAGAATACAGGAGAAAATGTCTTTATTTCAATAGTCTCAGAAAAAAACATTCAACCCACATGGGTAATAAAAAAGAGCAACTTTTATTCAACCTACAACCTACAAAAAGGCACCTAAAAATACAACTAAGATGATTTATATGATGAAATATTGAACTTTTCCCCCTAAAGTTCCCCCTGCATGTGAATTATACTGTAGGTTGTTCTAGGTGGTGAAAGAAGACAATAAGAATTAACTAAATATAAGGCATTAAGATCAGAAAGAAAGAACAATTCTGTTTATTTGTAAGTGACATGATTATCTTTGCAGAAAATTCTTACTAATTTCCAAAGCAACTATTAGGTTGGTGCAACAGTAAATGACAAAAACTGCAATTACTTTTGCACTGACATAATAAGTAACAGTAAGTAGCAAGGTTTTTTGGTACAACATCAATATACAAGAGTGTTTTGCCTTTCTAGATATTGCGGAAAACAATTGAGAGATGAAATTTTGAAAGCTTTATTTTTAATAATGTCAAATAACATGTAAAAAGAAATTTATCAAAAAATACAAGATCTGTGCACTAAAACGTTGCTAAGACAAATTAAAGAAAACAAAAAAGAAATGGGAAGATATGCTTTTTATGTATTAGAATATTCAGTATGATTAAAAATGCAGATTATTTCAAAAATTGACCTAAGATATGATACATCCCTAATCAATATCCCAAGTAACTGCTTTATAAAACCGACAAGCTAATTCTAAAATTTACATTAAACATTGTCAAGGGGGATGGAAAGGATTTTCAGTAGCCTAATTTTGCAAATAAATAAATAAATAAATAAAGGTCCAAGTTGGAGGATTTACCATGCCTAAATTTAGGGATAAATATATAAATATAGATCCAGTGATCAAGACGTATTGACATAAATAGGGCAAACAGATCAACAGTACAGAGTCCAGAAATGTAGCTATACTATACCGTAATTCAAGAGGGTCAGTAAAATTTTTAAAACAAATGATATTTAAACAGTTAACTGTATATTAACTATAAAACTAACTCAATATTTTGAAGGAGGGATGGTAAAAATTCTTGACTCTTACCGATACAGGAGTTAAGAAGAAATCACTTAGGCAGATAGTAAGGGTATGGGAGTCCTCGTAAGGCTTTTCTTTTTAAGGAAAAGCAGCCCCAAATCATTTTCTACCGAAGAGCAGCCTGTAAAGTCAAGCTGCAGACATAGGCAAGCAAGCTGGGAGCTTGCACTGGTGAATACCAGCAGGAACTAGGGACTAGACATGTTCAACATGGCGGCTCCACCTTCCCTTCTCTTTCTCAGCCACGTGTCCTGTAAGGAACAGACAAGATAGCCCTGATCAACTGGAAAGTCTATTTGCATAATAAGACTAGGGGGGGGCCACCAGCCTTTCTTGGGCACTATGTAAATGTCATACCTGATTGAACCAATTTGTGAGCCCTATGTAAATCAGACACCACCTCTTCAAACTGGACTATAAAATCAGGTGCTTTTCCTGCCAGCCAGTCCTTGCGGCTTGGAGATCCCTTTCTCTGTGGAGAGAGCTGTTTCTCTTTCTCTTCTCTTCTGCCTATTAAACCTTGGCACCTAAACTTTTTGTGTATGCCCTGTCCTAATTTTTCCTGGCACACAATGGTGAACCCCAGGGTATATACCCCAGACAACGTAGCTGCTTCATTACCTCACAGCAAACATAAAATACACGTTGGAGAAGGATTATTATAGTCCATAACTTTTGAGGTAAAATTATAATGCTGTCAATGAAATCATAGGAGAATATCTTTGTGACATACAAGTAAGCAAATACATCTTTGGCAGGACACAGAAATAATTCTAGAAGAAAGAAAATAAAGTATCAAAACTTTTAAAAATCTGTAAATCAAAGGACAGTATGAAAAAGGATAGGAGCCAGGGGTGGTGGCTTATGCCTGTAATCCCAGCACTTTGGGAGGCCAAGGCAGGCCGATCGCCTGAGGTCAGGAGGTCAAGACCAGCCTGGCCAACACAGCGAAACCCTGTCTCCACTAAAAATACAAAAATTAGCCAGGTGCAGTGGCGTGGGCCCGTAGTCCCAGCTACCCGGGAGGCTAAGGCAGGGGAAGTGCTTGAACCCTGGAGGCGAAGGTTACAGTGAGCCAAGATCGCACCACTGCACTCCATCCTGGGCGACAGAGCAAGATAGTCTCAAAAAATAAAAAAGGATAAGGGTTCTGGTTCAAGATGGCTGACTAGCAGCAGCTAGTGCATACCTCTCCCACAGAGAGGAAATAAAATCACGTAAATACTCTTCACATGGATCATTAAGGAGATCATTCTGAGATTCATAAGAGAAGTGACAGGACCCACAGAAAGCAGAGAAGAATGAAGCCAAGAAGCTGAGTAGTGGCTGACTGAGGACCAGCGCAAAGCCAGAGGAGGCTAATGCATAGAAAAGATGAGTGATAGTTAGATGCCCAGGGATCCACACCTCTGCCATGGACCTTTACATTCCTATTCATGGAACCTCCACATTGACACAGAAGACCACCTGGAGAATTCAAAGGCACCACCCAACCTTACTTGTAATCCTGTAGGTCTTTGATCTGTAAGCAGCACAGTGCCAGCTGCCACTGTGTCTGGAATTTATTCCTTCCAGTGGGTTCTTGGTCTCGCGGACTTCAGGAATGAAGCCATGGACCCTCACGGTGAGCGTTACAGTTCTTAAAAATGGTGTGGCTGGAGTTTGTTCCTTCAGATGTTCAGATGTGTCCGGAATTTCTTCCTTCTGGTGGGTTCGTGGTCTCGCTGACTTCAGGAGTGAAGCCGCAGACCTTTGCAGTGAGTGTTACAGCTCTTAAAGGTGGCAAGTCCAGAGTTGTTTGTTCCTCCCCGTGGGTTTGTGATCTTGCCGGCTTCAGGAATGAAGCCTCAGAACCTGGAAGTGAGTGTTACAGCTCATAAAGGCATTGCAGACCCAGAGTGAGCAGCAGCAAGATTTATTGTGAAGAGCCAAAGAACAAAGCTGCCAGAGAGTGGAAGGCGACCCCTAGCTGCAAGCTAGGGTGGCCAGCTTTTACTCCCTTATTTGGTCCCGCCCACATCCTGCTGATTGGTCCATTTCACACAGCGCTGATTGGTCCATTTTACAGAGTGCTGATTGGTGTGATTACAATACTTCAGCTAGACACAGAGTGCTGATTGGTGCATTTACAATCCTTTAGCTAGATACTAAAGTTCTCTAAGTCCCCATCCGGCCCAGAAGCTCAGCTGGTTTCACCTCTCACCACCACCCTGCCAAGAAAGGAAGCCAGGCACTTCCGTGTGCTCCTGGTGTAGTTTCTGCAGCCATGGTACGGGAAACAGCCAGAATATGTACCACAGGACTCTACATGCTGCTTCTGCCCCTGTAGTTCCTGGACCAGGGAGGGTTGGGGGAGGCTGGGCAATATCACGTGCCTCCAGCACAGATACCGCAGCTGAGGTGTAGAGGAGTAGGGGGCAGACTAGGTGACCCACGACACCCTGCCTTGGCTTCTCCTTACCAAAAGAGGTTTGCTGGCTTCAGTGACAGGAACCCAATGCAGCTGCCACCCCTACATTGACCGAAAGGCAGTGCTCACCTCCGCCCCCCACACGGAGCCGCAGTGTTTACTGCCTTAGAGAACAGACAAAACATAAAGCTGTCTGTACTGCGCTGAGTGACTATGTTCTGCCTCACAAACTACAATCATGGAGAGTTGCAAGACAGGCATTTTCCATGGATCTCAGTCACACCGTGACCTGGAGATAGAGCATAGTGTGGATCTGAACCGAATGTCCTGAGCCTCAACACATGGATAGAAAAGGGAAATAGATCATGTTCCTGCCTCTAGGATGTGGAGCTGATGTAGACCCCTCACCCCCCCAACAGAGACCACAGTGCATTTCACATTTCACCAGGAGCTCCCCACAACCACCCGTATCGGGACTTTTGCCTGTGCTCATCACTGAGTCATTCATGGGCAACCCAGGGTGTCCAGTTCTACCAAATTGGGTTCACCCACCCAAGCTGAACAGGAAGCTCTGCACACAGGGCACTCTACTGTCCAGACCATCACCTGAAACAAGAGAGAGTACCTCATAGTAAACAAAGATTAAGTATATACTCATCTGCTTTTGCTGCAACTGGCTCTTCCCCATCAGCACCACCTACTGGCTTGCAGGTTAAACCACACAGCTCAATATAAAATGTGCTGACAGAAGTGTACACAGCTATAGAAGCTAAGCCAAAAAGACTCTATCCAACATATTCTACAATTCCATTCCCTGTAGAGGGTGAGAAAAGGGAAAGAAAAAAATAGCAAAAGAAAACAAAATCATGTTCAAATGAAAATAATTTCAAAAAGTAGAAGTTACAGCCTCTGAGAAAAAATCAGTGCAAGAATTCCAGCACCATGAAAAATCTGAATGTTGTGGCACCACCAAGGGATCACACTAGCTTTCTAGCAATGGACTCTTACCAAAATGGAAACTCAGAAATAAAAGATAAAGAAGTCAAAGTATGGATTGCAAGGAAACTCAACAAGAGCCAAGAAAAGATTGAAAATTAACAATGAAAAAATACTAAAGCAATTCAGGAAATGAAAAAGATAAATTTCAAATAATCAGACAGAAATTCTGGAAATAAAATAAATTTACTTAAGAATTTAAAAATGCAATTGAAGGCTTTAACAGTAGACTAGACCAAGAAGAAAGTTTCAGAGCTTAAAGACATGTCTTTTGAACTAACCCAATCAGACAGAAATAAGGAAAGAAGAATTTTAACATGAACAAAGCCTTAGAGAAACAAAGTATTACGTAAAGTGACTACAACTACATCTATGAATTATTGAAAGTCCTGAGAGAGGAAGAAGAAGAAATAAGCAACATGAAAAACATATTTGAGATAATAATTCAAGAAAATTTCCCTAATCTTGCTAGAGATGTAGACATCCAGACACAAGAAATGGAGAGAACATCTGTGAGACAGTATGCAAGACAAACATCATTAAGGCGTATAGCCTTCAGACTATCCAAAGTCAATGCTTTAAAAACAAAATATTAAAGGCAGCTAGAGCAAAGGGTCAAATCAGAGAACCAATCAGATTAACAATAGACTTCTCAACAGAAGCAATACAACCCCAAAGAAGGGGCCTATTTTTACCCTTCTTAAAGAAAACAGGTGCCAGCCAAGAATTTTATATCCTGCCAAATTAAGCTTCATAAATAAAGGAAAAATAAGGTCTTTCCAAGACAAAAGAGAATGTTTTCCCACTACACTGCTCCTACAAGAAATTCTCAGTGGATTTCTAAACATGGAAATGAAAGGACAATACTTACCATCAGAAAAGAAAAAATAAGTACAAAGCTCACAGATCCTATAAAGCAGCTAAATAATGGAAAATAAAAAAACTACTCAATAAGAACATTATGTCAGGCACAAAACCTCACATGTTAATATTAACCTTGAATGTAAATGGCCTAAATGCCCCAATTAAAAGTTACAGAGTGGTAAACTGAATAAAAACAAAACAAAACCCAACCACTTGCTGTCTACAAGAGACCTACCTACTGGGTAAAAACACATTCAGACTCAAAGTAAAAGAGTAGAAAAATATATACCACACAAATGAAAAACAAAAGTGAGCAGGAGTAGCCATTCTCATATCAGATAAAACAGACTTTAAATAAACAAGCATAATAAAAGACAAGGGCACTACATAGTGATAAAAGATTCCATAAAATAAGATTTAACTATCCTAAATATATATGCACCCACTACTGGAACACCCAGATTCATGAAACGAATACTACTAGACCTAAGAAAACAGACAGGAATACAATGACAATGGGGGACTTCGGTACCCCCACTGACATGACTATAGATCACTGACATGGTTTGGCTGTGTCCCCACCCAAATTTCGTCTTAAATTATAGCTCCCATAATTCCCACACCTTCTGCCATGTTTGTGAGGCCTCCCCAGCCACATGGAACTGTGAGTCCCTTACACCTCTTTTTCTTAATAAATTATCCAGTCTTGGATATATCTTTATCAACAGTGTGAAAACAAACCAATGCAATCATCAAGGCAGGAAACCAACGGAAAAATTCTATATTTAAACTGTTGTCTAGGCCAAATGTAACTGATAGACATTTACAGAGTATCGTGCCCAAAACTGCACAATATACATTCTCATCTGCTCAAGGAACATTCTCCAAAATTGACCATTTGTTTGGCCATAAGGCAAGTCGCAATAAAGCAAAAAAACAACAACAACAACAACAAAAATTATATCTAGTATTTTCTCAGGCCACAGTGGAATAAAATTAGAAATCAATACAAAGAGAACACTCAAAACTACACAAGGGCATGGAAACTAAACAACTTGCTCTGGGACAACTTGTGAGTAAACAATGAAATTCAAGCAAAAATTAAAAAGTTCTTTGAAACGAATGAAGATAGAGACACAACACACCAAAACCTCCGGGTACAGCAAAAGCAGTCTGAACAGGAAAGTTTATGGGATAAAATGCCCTAGATAAAAAAGGTAGAAAGCTCTCAAGTTAAGCAAACCTAAAGTTGCACCTAAAGGGACTAAAAAAACAATAAACTAGACCCAAAGATAGCAGAAGAAAATAAGTAATGAAGACCAGAACAAAACTTAATTAGATTAAGATGAAAAGAATCATACAAAGTATGAATTTAAAAAAATGGTTCCTTAAAAGGATAAATAAAATTGACAGCCCACTAGCTAGGCTAAGAAAAAAAGAAGATTCAAACAAACAATCAGAGATGATAAAGGTGACATTACAACTGATAACAGAGAAACAGAAAAGATCATCAGAGACTACTATAAACACCTTTACACTCACAAATCAGAAAACCTTGAAGAAATGGACAAATTCCTGGAAACATACAACCTCCCAAGAATGGAACAAAAATAAATCAAAACCATGAACAGACCAATAATGAGTAATGAAATTTAATTAGTAATAAAAACCTTTCACCAGCAGAAAATGCCCAGGATAGATGGATTCACAGCCAAATTTTATCAGATGTACAAAGAACTGGTAACAATATTACTAAAAGTATTCCAAAAAATTGAGATGGGATTTATCCCTAACTAATTCTACAAGTCCAGTATCATACTGATACCAAAATCAGGCAAGGACACAACAATAATTGAAAACTACAAGCCAATATCCCCGATGAATATAGATGCAAAAACCCTCAACACTATACTGGGGAACGGATCCAACAATGCATCACAAAGATAATTCATCACAATCAAATGGGTTTTATTCCAGAGATGCAAGGTTGGTTCAACATATACAAATCAATAAAGATCATCTATCACATAAACAGAACTAAAAAGTCATATGATCATCTCAATAGATGCAGGAAAACATTTGAAAAAATTCAACAATTCATGATAAAAACCCCAATGAACTAAACATAGACAGAAATACCTCAGCAAAATAAGAGCCATATGTGACAAGCCCACAGGAAACAGCATAGCAAATGGGGAAAATTTGAAAACATTCCCCCTAAGAACTGGAATAAGACAAGGATGTCCACTCTCACGATTCTTATTCAACATAGTCCTGGAAGTCCTAATCAGGTGAGGGAGGGAAATAAAGTGCATCCTAATTGGAAAAGAGGAAGTTAAATTGACTCTGTTCACTGAAGACATGATCATATATTTAGACACTTAGACTTGATAAGCCCCTTCAGTAAAGTCTCAGTATACCAAATCAACATAGAAAAATCAGTAACATTTCTGTACATCAGTAACGTTGAAGCTGAGAACCAAATTCAGAGACCAATCCCATTTACAACAGCCACTCAAAAAAATAAAACACCTAAGAATACATTTAGCCAAGAAAGTGAAAGATATCTACAACAACTACAAACACTGCTGAATGAAGCCATAGATGACACAAGCAAATGGAAAAACATTCCATTCTCATGAATTGGTAAAATGAATATTGTTAAAATGACCTTATTACCCAAAGCAATTGACAGATTCGACACAATTACTATCACATTTCCAATGTCATTTTTCACAGAATTAGTAAAAACAATCCTAAAGTTCAACCAAAAACAAAAAACAACAACAACAACAAAAAAAGACCAAGCTGGGCTCAATGGCTCACACCTGTAATCTAAGCACTTTGGGAGGCTGAGGCATGCGGATCAACTGAGGTCAGGAGTTCGAGACCAGCCTGGTCAACATAGTAAAAACCCATCTCTACTAATAATGCAAAAATGAGCCAGGCATGGTGGCAGGCACCTGTGATCTCAGCTACTCGGGAGGCTGAGGCAGGAGAATCTCTTGAACCTGGGAAGCAAGAGGTTGCAGAGAGCCAATATTGTGCCCCACTGCACTCCAGCCTTGGTGACAGAGCCAGACTCCATCTCAAACAAACAAACAAACAAAAGCAATTCCAATAGCCAAATCATTCCTAAGTGAAAATAACAAATCTGGAAGCATCATATTTCATTTCCTTTCTTCAAATTACAGTACAAAGCTATAGTAACTAAAGCAGCATGCTACTGACAAAAATAGACACATAGAGCAATAGAAGAGGAAAGAGCACCCAGAAATAAAACTACATACTTATAACCAACTCATCTTTAATAAACTTGACTTAAATAAACAATGAAGAAAGGATACTCTATTCAATAAATTGTGCTAGGAAAACTGGCTAGCCATATGCCAAAGAATGAAACTGGACCTCTATCTCTCACCATAAACAAAAACTAACTGATGGATTAAATATCCATATGTAAGACTAGAAACTATAAAATTACAAGAGGAGAACCTAGGAAAAACTCCTCTGGATATCGGTGTAGTCAAACAATTTATGAGGAAGACTTCACCAGCAAGTGGAATAAAAACAAAAATACACAATCAGAAGTTAATTTAACTAAAATGCTTCTGCACAGCAAAATACATAATCAACAGAATAAACAGCCTACAAAATGGGAGAAAACATTTGCAAATGATACCTCTGGCAAAGGATTAATATCCAGAATCTGTAAGGAACTCAAACAACAAGAAAAAAACAATTCCATTAGAAATTGGGGAAAGGCCATAAACAGATATTTCTCAAAAAAAGAAATACAAGCAACCAACAAAGATGAAAAAACTCTCAACATCAGTAATCACCAAAGAAAAGCAAATTAAAACCACACTGAGATATCACATTTCACCAGCAGAATGGCTTTTATTTAAAAAGTAAAAAACCCCACAGATATTGATGTAGATACAGAGAAAAAGGAATGCTCATACACTGTTAGCTGGAAAGTAAATTAATTCAGCATCTATAGGAAACAATATGGAGATTTCTCAAAGAACTAAAAATAGAACTACCATTCCACCCTGCAATCCCACTGCTGGATATCTACCAAAAGGAAAGGAAATCATTAAATTAAAATGATATCTACACTCTTATGTTTATTAATAGTGTTATTTACAATAGTAAAGTCCTAGAACCAACCTAAGTGTCCATCAACACATGATTAAATAAAGAGAATGTGGTATATATACATATATATATGCACCATGTAATACTATGCAACCATAAAAAGAATCAAATCATGTCCTTGGCAGCAACATGCATAGGACTGGGTGATGGGTACACTAGAAACACAACCCCCACCATTACACATGTAATTCTCAAGTTACAAACAAGTACATGCACCCCCTGAATCTAAAATGAAATAAAATTAAGAGGGATAAGTAATTATCATCTGGGAGAAAATGTAGCAAATATTTATCTAACAAATAATTTGTATCCATAGTACATTAAATAATTCTACAACTCAGTATAACTGACATAAATAATTCAATATAAAATGAACAAATACTTGACATTTCACAAGGAAATAAAAATAAAAGTAAATAAACGTATTGAAACATGCTTAACATCATTAGTCATTAAGAAAATTTAAATTAAAACCAGAGAAAATATCATGACACACCCACTATAATGGTTGAGCTGCGTTTAAAAAAACAAAAACAGAACACTAACAACCCAAGTGTTTACCAGAATGGGAAACACCAAGAACTCTCATAATGTACTATGGGAATGTATACAATAAAAGAATTTTGAAAAACTGCTTAAAAAATTCAGCATATACCTTATTCATTACCCGGAAATTCTAATCCTAGGTATTTGTGCAAGAGAAATGAAAACACACAAAGCCTTGTACAAAATACACACAGCAATACTCAGAAGCAAAAACTAAAAACAACTGAAATATTCATCAAGAGAAAAATGAATAAATGTATTTGATTGTAATATAATTATATTTTAGAATATTGCTCAGCAGCAAAAAGGAATACAATTCTTACATATACGACAATATAGTTGAATCTCATAGACAAGCTGAGGAAAAGAAGTTGGACATGAGAATATACACTTGATGATTCCATTTATGTAAAGATATAGAAAAGTCAAAACTAATGTGAAACAAATAGTCGCCCCAGAGTGAGTAGACATTGAGTGTTAGGGACACATGAGAATTTCCATAGTGATGGAAATTTATATCTTGACAGAGTTGTACAAACATCTATCAAACTCATTAAATTTCACATTTTAGATCGGTTCATTCTTAATGTATCTAAAATTTACCAAAAAATAACTTTAAGCAGATATTGAATTTTAGTTACTAGGTTTGCTTTTCTTGATATTATAAGTTGGCAATTTTGAAACTATTCTGTCTATATTCTAGAGTTGAGCAAATGAATATAAATTTTGGGAATAGTGGGAGCCATATTTTTCACTGTTGGGGAAATAAATTACAAATATGGAAAAGGGAATGTCCAAAGAGTATATTGTGTTGTTGATTTTGAAAGAGAACCATCAGTATTAACTCATGGCTTTTAATATATAGGTAAAACAAAGAAACAAATACAAATAAAGAAATAAATACAGTGTGTATATGTATATATACCTTAATATCTTGTGTATATATATATTTTCACTCTGCCTAGAAGCAATAAATTACCAGTAGCAATGAATACATTTAGCACTCAGAAGCTTGGTTACTAAATACTATTTTTCATTTGAAAGGAGCTAGACTTTCTTAGAGAAGACTGATTCCAGATCTTGGGCAAGGAAAATGCAAAATAAGCCTATAACATATTTGCCAGAAAGTAATAATATTTTTGAAGAATTACAGTAATACATAAAAAGTCAAATTGAAGGGGTTCCTAATTCCCAAATCTGTATGAATTTGACTATTATCCAAAATACATAATTATAATATTACATTATAACCCATAGTGTAAATTAAGAATCCATTATTCCATTCTAATATAAATTAACAAGCAAGTAGGACAATTTCTTACAGAAAAATGTCAAATGACAAAGAAGGAATCACTGAATTAGGGAATCATCAATGGATGCTAAAACTAGTCAGTAAACGTTTGACTGATAGTTGAATATCTACATATTAAACTCCTCCAGACTACTGATTAGTTGCAAGTGAAAAATAGCCACATTACAGTGGAGAAGAATAGTAGTCTCCACCTTAAGTAATCAAAGTTAATATGAGCAATATAGGTATAAAACAAACTCATGGGCCTCCTGATATTCACTAAAAAGTCTATATCAATTTTGTGATACATCTGACACAAATGCGTAACCCGGGTCTATCCATCACAAAAACAAATCAGAATAACCCAAATTAAGAGACATTCCACAAAATAACTATTTTGTACTCTTTAAAAATGTTAATATCAAGTAAGAAAAGAGAGTCATTTTCAGATTAAACTGAAGAGATATGACACATAAGTGCAATGTGGGATCTTAGGCTGGATCCTGGACTGGGAGCAGGAGATGGAATTTAGCCATTTTGAGATATTTGATAACATTTGTACATGGGCTTTCAGTAGGACCATATTGTTTTAACAACGTAAAATTTTCTGATCTTGATTATTGTGCTGTTGTGTAAGAAAATATCAGTGTTTAACAAATGCAATTAGAAATCTTTAGAGGTAAAGAGACATAATATCTACAACTAACAAATGGTTGAGGGGTAGAAAGAGAATGAGAACAAGTGACTGCAACTGGGGCAAAAAGTAAACAAGTGAGAAACATACATATGGGAATTCTCAATATTATTGCAACTTTTCAATAACTTTATATATAGAAATAAAAAGTTGCAAAAATTAAAAGAGAGGCTGAGAAGTAGTAACTAGTAATGTTGAATATAAAAAATATATATATAGCCCTGGAATCTAAGTGCAGAGAGTGTGTCAAGGATGAGAAAATGTGATCAATTGTGTCAAACGATGATGACAGCCCAAGTAAGATGAGAATGAGAAATAACCACAGATTTTTTTTTTTGACCAAGTTTTTATGCTGCTGATGGGAATAAGTCAGGAGATAACAAAAACAAAATAATGATCCAGGATAGAGAGGGGACAGTCACTGGAGGGATATACTTAAGTAGGTGAGAATGTACTCTAGTGCATAAGTAGATGAATTAGTTTTAGACATAAGCTTGGGTGGATCATCTTGTGACAGATGGGAAGGCAGAGTCAGCCAATGCAGATACTTGTAGATGGGTAAAACTGGGGGTGGGAGTTTGTGGAAACTTTCTTCCTTCAGTTTAAATGTTCAGTCATCAGTTAAGAATGAGGATATGAAGAGACATAATAGTGATTAGAAAAGAAAGAATATATATAATTTGAGTAGAAAAATAAAGGAAGACTTCTAAAGAGCATTAAAGACACAAACTCTTCTTGTTCATGATTTTATAGTGGAATGGAGGAGCGAGTTTATTGTTCTTTCCAGACTTATCCAATTTTATGGATATATATCTACATCAATTTTATGGATATATATCTACATCTATATATGGGTATTTGAAGAGTTAGATTTAACCATAGCTCTAGTTTAGCCTACAACTAGCCTAGAAGGGAGGGATAAAGGAATTGAAGTTTTATCAAAAGGAGTGTTTATAATAACTAAGTGAATAATTTAAGCTATGTAAGGAAGGAAAAATGTTAAGAATGTAAGTGGCTGTGGCTGCAATTGATTGAAGTGTGGGACAGGCTTTTGGAATGGGAAATGAGGCACTAAAGGAAGGGGAGGAGAAAGAGAAGAGGTATTCAAAGTGAAATACAGAAAATAATGAATAATGTAGAGTTTGGGGTAAAAATAAGATCTAGAGTATGGTCAGAAATGGTTGATGAAAGATTGAAGTCAAGATGAGAGGTACTCAAGAAATAAGGGGGAAAGATACTGGAAGATCCATCTATGTGTATATCTTTACATTGTCAAGAATTAAGACAATGGAAGTGTTGAAGATAGCAACAAACAGCCAGGAGCTAAATATTCAAGAAAGGAAGAGGAATAGCCAGGGCATAGGCAAATGACAGAAAGAATGAAAGATAAAGGTTACTGTAATCTTTTATCATAAGATTTAAGTCTAGGTGGTGGGGAGGTTTCCAGAGGATCAGACAAGAACGGTCTGAAATGGCCTGAAAGCAAATTGCATTATAGATGACACCAACCCTCTCTTAAAGCTCAGTGATAAAGACAACTAGGGGTGAAAAAGCAGCCAGTGATTGGACGCTTCAGGGGAAATTGATTCTTTCAGGAGAATTCTGGATTTTTTTTTAAGAACTGGGAAGTGAAGGGAAGTTTAGAAAAGAGTTTGTGAATGCATTTTTTTTTTTTTTGGTATTGATAATGTACTGTGAATTCCAAAGAGTATGTTAAACCTTTCTGAGAAAGGGATAGAACAAGAGATAGAAAGGGTAATTAGAGTGAGGTGACCATGATAGAGAAATCTAAGGTTCTTGGTGGTAATTATATAAAGACGAAGGGAAAGTTTAATAAAATTACTTGTTTTGGATTTAAGACAAATAGAGATAGCAAGGTTGTGAATGTAGGGAATAGGGAGTGATGAGTATCTGGTGCACCATCTTGACCCAGTTGATTGAGGAAAGCAAATCTGGGAACTTACGTCTTACTCACTCTGTGAAAACCTATTTATGGCTGGAATTTTAGGAGTTCAAAACCTGAAGAGATCTTAGACCAGTGGGTGTGTTTACCCCTGAATCCTATTGACAAAGGGGCAATTTTACGTCAAATTCAATCCAACTTAAAGATTTTTATATTCTGTAAAATAAAAAGTTACACATTCTAGCTAATATTAATATTTGTTTAGTACTAGTACTATGCTATGTACTGTAAATGTATACTAAGTGTGTACGTGTTTTAATTCAATTAATCCAGACAACATTAAGAAATAGGTACAATTATTTATTTTAGAAATAAAGAAACTGAGGTAGGGAAGTTTAAGTAGCTTATCAAGATCACAAATCCAGAATTGTTTTTAAGCCAGGATTTTATCCCAAGGAATTCAGCTCTATAATCCATATATTTATGTAAATGACAACAAATGAAAATACAATGCTCCTTTATAGTCTCTCCTAGTAGAACTTCATTTTTATATGTTAAAAGCTCACCTACAGGACTTCCAAACCAGTGCAATGGAATGAGAAAACTATGTTGTTCCATTTCAATTCCTACCTTTAATAGAACACCTGGAATCATCATCTTTTATATTTGGTGATGAAAGTTATGTTTAATGGATTCACTTATTTCCTCTTTGCAAATTTTAACTATTGAACTATTAAAAACATTCGTTTTTTATGTTAATTACAGCTATTAGGTAACATAGAAACACGTTCCACCTCAGGAAGAGACATTTAAGAAGTATTTTTAACAACAACAATGCTTCCAAGACTGTTCCTTCTCTTTGGCTAGAGAACAGTCATCAGAGATACAGCTGTGAAAGCAGCACAGAAGTGGAAGTATCACTAGAAAAAAAAACTGTAAATAGCTCCTCAAGGAACAAGGCAATAGAGAGGTCAATTATTTGGAAAGCCGTTAGACAAGAGCCTGTTCTGATTTGCATGTCCCAAGACTCTGCATTTGGGAATCTAGGGTGATAAGTGTGATCAAACATTATTTTAAGCAGCAGCCAGATGGATGCTCAAATTACATGCTTTGGCTTCCAGCAGTTTTCATGATAGGTTGATTGTGCAATGTTTCCTACACTTAGCGGGTGCCTTACTGTCCACTCTATGCAATTCAAATTGATGGCAAGCCAACAGTCATCAAACTAAACATAATATTGTC
Organism: Homo sapiens; assembly: GCF_000001405.40. Lineage (NCBI taxonomy): Eukaryota > Metazoa > Chordata > Mammalia > Primates > Hominidae > Homo > Homo sapiens. The sequence goes on along the minus strand of NC_000005.10, from coordinate 120,806,208 downwards.
TTGGATTAATATTTTCTACAAATTTTATGAGTTTGTAGCAGTAATTATAAAATATATCCTCAATTTTGCAAATTTAAAATTTATTCTATTAAATTTGGGGGCTATATGGGGTAAGGGGCACACAGGCACATACTTCTATTTTATCATATTTAATTTTTCCTTGCTATGAGTTATTATTAATTTTATTACTCTGAACAGAAATGGAACATAAATGTCCACAAGTGCTTCCCCAGTTTCTAGATGGGAGAAACTAGACTAAAAATCAATAAATGCCAGACCGAAGAAAAATCAGTAAACCGAGGTTTAATACAGTACGCATGACCAGGAGAATTTTATCTTTACTTTTAAAAAATGTACTTAATAAGGCTTAATTATGCCAGTTTATTTTTACTTTGTCTTCATGGAAACTAAGTGCTTAATAATCTTTTCTTTGTAAGCATTATTCACACATTTGAAAATTATTTGTCGATTTTTCCCTGACTTGTTTCTTCTCTAAGTTAAATCATGTCCAATTCTTTTGTTATCAATCTTCTTATCTAACCCTGTAACCACTTCTGTATGTTTTTGGCATTATAACTAACGAGTCCTTTAATGTTCTCCAGAGTAATAGTTTAACATATGAAGACTTCAAGAGTAAAAAATAAAGAAATAAACTAAATGGAAGGTGAAAAATACATCAACCACTCCTATTACCTATTATCCTGCTGATGATCCAGGACTATCTTCCACTTCCTAAGATATAGTAATTACCAGATGCACTTTCTATATGTACATAGTGTTCTTGATACTCAGAATTCAAAGCTTATTTGCTGTTTGCCAGTAGTGATGGTAAAGTTAAATCAAACAAATCTATTTCCTTGCTGTCTCCCTTGAGTAGTAAACGTTGCTAAGAAAGCTGGAACAGATCCTGGAACCATGGATACTTGCATGTTGAAGTGTTTTCCTCTTTCGCAGGAAACCTTGAGGCTTTCAGCTACTCACACCCTAGATACAGGTTCTATGCATGCAGAAGAGCATATTATTTGATGCTTCCAAGCTACTGGGAAAGCTGAAGGAAGACCTGACTACAACTGAGCCAGCTGAGCACTACTCATCCCAGACTGACAACTAGAAGTTTTGCACAGAAAAAGAGGGATGAACTGGGATAGGAAGGCAGGCTCAGGGAAAGCAGCATGGTATCAGGGATCTGGAGTGAGAATGAGTACCAAAGGAACATGGTTGAGATCTTCACATTTGTTCCAACAAAGAAGCGTGATTGGTCATCCATTATCAATGCCGCCTTGGTAAAAGAGTCTTTATAGCCCACTCCATTCACATCCCCAAGTTTTTACATAAATCAATCATACAACCTTTCATTTGGGACCCTAAGCTCTGAGCGTGACATCTCTCCCCTATTGTGTTACCTACCAATTATCATGAGGCCCTCTCCCTGTCCAGATGAGCACCACAGTAACAGCCCTGCAGAACACACCAGTCCCTGAGTAACACTGCATCTAATCATCAATTATTGGATGCTCCTTGTTGCCCCTTTCTACTTTGTCTCTTATAATAAATTAGTTTTGGTTGCTTTTTTAAAAAAATTAACACTACAGTCTTGGCCTCAGACTTAATAGTAATGCAAGCTGCCTGGATGTCTGTTCTTTCACCCTTCCAAAGCAGGTGTAATATAACTCATAATAGAGTGGCTCACAAATATCACGTGAATTGAATTTGTTGATGGTTGGTGAAGCTGCAGAGTTAAATGTGATTACTCACCATGTCTAGTTCTAGACCAGCATCACTATTGCATGCATAGCCAGATAGAATATGAGCCATCATCATGATCACCACGTGTAACCCTTGTAGCCTTGCCTATAAGAAGCTAATTTGCTCCTAACACATAGTTGAATATTAAGTATATAAATAGATTGCCCTTTGATTGACTACTATGCTTTTTGCTAAAATGAGGTTAGTCATTTTCATGTTATTTGGGATTTGACCTCTTAAAATACATTTTTATAATTTTTCATTTATCTTAGTTTTTTTTTTTTCTATTTTACTAGCCCAATCAATGTTCACATAGCTCCTTGGTGTTTCCTCCTCATCTCTCTGACTTCCAAATAACGGACTGTCCTAGGATTCTATTCTTGTATACTGCTTTATATAAAATATTGTTTTAATAACACTTACTTTCCCAATCTTCATCATTTTCTATTCACCACACACTGCTGTATTTTTCTTTATATTTCTTATTAGCATTGGACATATTCTGTATTTGCTATTACATTTGTGTTTACTGATCATCTAACTATTTTCATTATAATACAAGCTCTATTGTTTTTCTTGCGTTATTTTATCCCAGTTCTTAAAATCATGCCTCAGTCTAGTAGACACTGATTAAATATTTGTAGAGTGTTAGTATCAATCCTGGATTTCTAACATATTTGTTTCTTGTATAATTAATACATTTGTAAAGTAATTAAACATACTGTATTCCCTCAAATGATTTCTGCCCTACCAAGTTGATAGAATTATAGAAATATTTGATTATTATGTTTTGTAACTACCAGTACAGATGATAACTTAAGCCATTAATGTGAACAGAAAATAAGACAGGCCTTTACATTTTTTTTCTCTCTCTCTCTTTCTCAAATAAAATATAGGAACAAACAACAAAAAGAACAAGTTTAATGGTAAGTTTAATGGTTAAGTTAATCATTTTACCACAAGAGGGCATAAGTTCATTTATAAAAATCTATGACAGTGCTCCATGTAATTGGAGAAAAACAAAACACAAAAAATGAAACATCCACAGTGAAATCGTCAATCCTTCTCCTACAACTTCTGAGGAATTTCTTTGGACAGATGAAAAAAATAAATATTTCTATTTATTTTCTATCCTACCAGGTGCCTGCCTAAGAATTTCATTGTTTTAAGAAGCACTCTTTTAATTTCAAGCTTTTAGTGGAAAGCATTATATAGATGGGAGTTTATTGAAGAAATTATCTCAAAGAGTTTTCTTGGCTTTGCAAAAGAAGGTCTTAATGATAAAGTGCTTTATTTAAGAAAGTGACAATAATTGGGGTTTGAAGGCAGTTAAAGACAGAATGGTCTGAAAATGTGGTCAGCTGAGAAGATGGCTGTACTTTGGATATGAAAGACGACAATGCGTAGGATATGAACAAAGAAAACCTCACATTCTGCAATGCAAAATGTGAAAATTTAGATTAATACTATTAATCTAAACACATTAAAATGAGTGCTGGCCCTTGAGCTAGGCTATCATCCTCCCGTATTTCTCTTGTTTCAGTAAAATTTGCTAGACCCAGAAAAGCCATGTGCTATTTGTGCTTTGGTGAAGGAGAATAGAGGTGGTGTTCAGTCTGAGGAGAAACAGTGTGGAGAAGGACACCAAGTCCAAGGGGTGACCTGAGGAACCGAGCAATCAGTGGCAACAGGCAAGTGGAGCAGTTGGGGAAGGGAGAAAAGAACATTCTGCAGAGAGGCTGAGAAGGAACTGGTTTATCCTACAGTTGTGACAAGCAGGGGAAGAGGGAGTTTACTCAATGTGGAAAAAAACAGATATTTAGAGGATTTGGGAACTCCAAAGTAGCAAAAAATTGGCTTATACAGAAGAAAGGCTTTTACATCCAGTCATCTAGTTATTTCAAATTCTAGTCTTGAAAAAATAAGAAACAACAAACAGAATGCATTAGCATGCTCACTTACAAAACTTCTTTTACTGAAATGTACAGTACTTCATTGTTAAGCTCTTGGCTTTTATTGCATTTCTTGGCACTTTGTTTTCTTCTTTCTAGTGAATTAATTATATAGCTTAATATTCTTCAGTTTTGCCCTGATTTCTAGGAAGTTAAATTTTATGCTTTGCAATGCAAATGTATTAACCCTTACAGTAAAAGCATCTGCTTTATCTCCTGTCTTTTGCTACTAGGTTCGTGTTTGTGACCATGAATTATTTTGCATGAATTGCCTTTGGTATAGGCTTCCTCAAGTCCTTTTTGGAAGGGAGCATCATAAAATAAATCATTTCAGAATACCACAGGTCAGGAACATATCACCCGATGGGCAATCCAGAAAGGACTCTACCTTCCATGCCCAGTTGGTGGAGTATTGACAGAAGATGCTTCTTTCGGTGATGTGCCACTCCAAGTGGTGACTTTAGATATAGTAGTTTATTTAGAAATGGAATGGCTTCCTTTAAAGCAATCTTAATTTCTCTCTAAGAAAATATATATGCTTTCTGGCATCTAAATTCAATGACATCAAGGAAATGGTTTGAGTATGAGTGAGCTCTACCATCCGTACCAAAGGTCTTCTCAGTCTGTATTTTAATTGCCAGATTCCTTGTCTCTCTCTAAAATAGATTCTAGGTTCCATGAGGGCAAGCTCTCTATTTGGTTCTTCATTCAATCCCTATTCACCTGATAAAATTTGGAACATATCTGCTCAGTATTTGTTAAATGAGTAAAGGAGAATAGTGAAGAGCAAGATTTTAAATTGGACCTAGCCTAAATTCAAGGATTATGAGTTTCCTGGAAGAAGGGTTGATGACTTTAAAGTGTAGTATTTCATGAAGACTCTTAGAAGTTAAAGCCGCCAGTAGGTTGAGATAATTTGCCTCTAGAAAAGGCTGAAGAGAACTACTTTGGGGCTTCCTTTGGTAATTTAATATTCATGTTATTTTTGTCAGTATTTGCAGCAGGTAATGTTGATAGATCTTTTCTGCTTTGAAAAACCTATATCTAAAAGAGCCTTCTCACAAAAACGGGAGGCTGCTTCTCAAATCTCAAGTGAAAGCAAACTTTTATCTCTTCCCTCTTTTGCTTTTAGTTTTGCTTCAGTTATTTTAATTTTCTTAGCAAATTGAATTATTTAGGAAAACATCAGTGTCCAGTTTATATCACATATGCTGAAGAAAATAAACCATGCCAATAAAAATCCATTGGCAAAGGCAATTTCCACTTCAGCACCTCTCAGTATTCTCTCGAATGGTCTACATGGAAGGAGTAGTTTAGAACTATTTCCTTTTTCTTGGGGGATGGGAGTGTTTTTCTCTGAGAAAAATAAATGATTTTAACTTCTTAACCATCTGCTAATTGTTCATGACAATACAACTTTAATACCTACATACATTAGTTAATATTTGGTAGAGTATTAATATTTTTAATGTGCAAATAGAATATTCTGACATTTGAAATTCAAATGGATACTTTTTATTTCCTTTAAAATAACTGTTAGGCTACATAGTGGACATTTTTATTTGTTCTACATTAATTACTATGTACATTCTCCTGTTGAAAGTGTTGAATTTCTAAGAGAAGCAATTTTGTGACTAAGCCACAATGATTGTAAGAACACATCTCCTATTTTATGCCATAATTAAACAACTGTTTGTTTGTTATTCTTAAAAGTATGATTTCATTCCAGAGGGGGATAATATTTAATGGTATCTTTAAACAGAAGCCTTAACATTAATTGACATCACACAGCAAATAAAATTTAACAAACATAGTATTTTCTGATGTTTTGTAAATATCCCTAAGGAGGATGCTTTGCTTTTTGAGATATATTTATCTTATTTCCTTGTGTTTCCTTAACTAATGTCTACATCTGTACTTTTGGAAAATAATAATTACTGCACCAAAGGCCATTTCTCCAGTGAACGTTCCTATTATCTCTCAAACTTAGGTTTTTCTCCCTTCTTAATTTCATTTCTTGTTAATTGAGTAGAATTTCCTGAAATGAATGAAAGACTTTTCATACATCACTATCATTATTATCAAATAATAAGAATATAGTTCAAAAATCTATAGCATTTATAAATGCTATAACACTGGCTATGGATATTCTTGAAGAAAGAGGTGCTCTCAGTTTCTACACTGGAATATACACAAGTGCATGGAAAATCAACTACACCAGTGGCCCATGCAGTGTTGATTGTAAGAGCAGAAAATAACCTAAATACCCCATGACTGAGAAATGAGTGATTACATTCTCATTTAAGATAGATAAAGCATTATCATGAGATACAAGTAACAATTTAAAATATATATATAATATATATTTTATATATATATATCTTTTCATATATAGACAAAAAGATCTCCAAGATTTATTCTTTTTAATTTTTTTAACTTTTAATTTTGTGGGTACATGGTAGGATGTATATTTATATATTTATGGGGACATGAGATATTTTGACCAGGTATGTAATGCATAATAATCACATCAGGATAAATAGGGTATTCATTACCTCAAGCATTTATGCTTCGTATTTCAAACAATCCAATTACACTCTTTTAGTTATTTTAAAGTGAACAATTGCGATTTTTTTTTTTTACTATAGTCACCCTGTTGTGCTAGCAAATACTAGGTCTCATTTATTTTTACAACTATATTTCTGTACCCATTAACCAACCCCACTTCCCTGCTACCTTCACTGACTACCCTTCCCAGTGTCTGGTAACCATCATTCTACTCTCTAAGTCCATGAGTTCATTCATTTTAATTTTTAGCTCTCAGAGATGCATGAGAACGTGTAATGTTTGTCTTTCTGTGCCTGGTTTATTTCACTTAACAAAGTGACCTCCATCCATATTGCTGCAAATGACAGGATCTCATTCCTTTATAATGACTGAATAGTACTCCATTGTATGTTAAGTTTCACGTTTTCTTTATCCACTCATCTGTTGATGGACACTTAGGTTGCTTCCAAATCTTGGCTATTGTGAATAGTGCTGCAATAAACACGGGAGTGCAGATATCTCTTTGATATACTGATTTCCTTTCTTTGGAGTATACAGCTAGGAGTAGGATTGCTAGCTCATATGGTAGCTCTATTTTTAGTTTTTCAGGAATCTCCAAACTATTCTCAATAGTGGTTGTACTAATTTACATTCCCACCATCAGAGTGTGAGAGGTCTCTATTCTCTGCATCCTCAGCAGCATTTGTTATTGCCTGTCTTTTGGATATAAGCCATTTTAACTGGAGTGGGATGAAATCTCATTGTAGTTTTGGTTTGCATTTCTCTGATGCTTAATGACGTTGAGCACACGGCCTCCTGTAACCATGCCCTGGGCTACTGCCTATGTTAGCTCAAGGCCCTGGAGCTCTACAATTAGCAAGTGGCAAAGTTAGCAAGGTCTGTTACCTTTCCTTCAGGACAGTTATCTCCCCCTGGCCAAGGCTGGGGCCAGAGGTGCTGTCTGGGAACCAAGGACTAGAGTAAAAAAACATAAAAGTCTACCTGACGTTCTATTGCACTGCAGCTGAGCTGGCTCTCAAAGTACAGGATGCAGTTATTCCCACTCTTCCCTACCCTTGTCAAAAGTAGAGGAGCCTTGCCTCATGGCCACTGCCACCACAGACCCATGGGGAGTACTGCCAGGCTACTTCCAATGTTCCCTTAAGGCACGAGGGCTCTTTAGTCCACTTGTGGTGAATGCTGCCTGGCCTGGGACTCACCCTTCAGGACAGTGGGCTCTCCTCTGTCCCAGGGAAGGTATAGAAATGCCATCTAAGAGCCAAGTCCTGGAATCAGGAACCTCAAGAGCTCTCATTTTGTTCTATACCCCTGTGGCAGAGCTGGTACCTTTGGTACAAGACAAAGTCTACTTTATTTTTTCCTTCATTTTTCTCAATCAGAAGGAGTTCTCCTTATAGCCACCACTGCTGGGAATGTGCTGAGACTCACCTGAAGAAATCAAGTCTCAGAATATCACCCAAGGCCCACAATGTGCTACCTGGTAGGGCTGTTGGTTATTTCAGGCCCAAGGGCTCTTTAGTTAACAGTTGATGAATGCTGCCAAGAATAGTCCTTTCCTGCAAGGTAGTGGGTTCCCTTCTATCCAAGGGTGTGTCTAGAAATGTTACCTGTGAGCTAGATCCTGCAAAGGGGGCCTTACAACTATGATCAGTGCCTTACCCTGCTGTGCCTGAGCTGGTATCCAAGATGCAAGACAAAGTCCTCCTCACTCTTCCCTCTCCTCTCCTCAAGCAGAAGGAAGGGATCTCTTTTGGAGCCACAAGCCATGCTACCTGGGGCTAGGGGAGGGATGGTGACAGCTCTCTCCCAGCCACCCTGGTGGTGTCTCAGTAGGTCATGTGCCACCACCACCCCCCACCACACACACACACACTGGCTCTGAACCGAGTTCATCCCTGGGACTTGTCTAGGAGTTGCAGTTCTTGTGACCTAGACGAACTTTGAAGTTTATTTAGGGCCCCAGAGCACTCCAGCCCAACGTGGCAAGGCTTGCAGGAAGTCAAGTTTCAATCGCTGGGATAAGTGATTCCCCTCTGTCTAGGGCCGCTGTAATCACTCCCTCTGTGGTTGGGCATCAGCTGTGTTCAGTCCAGTTTTGCTTTCTGAGATCAATGCACTGTCTCACAATTACTTTTCTCTCCCTCTCCCAATGGCACAGATTCTCTCTGTGCAGGGTAAGGCTGCTGCTGGGGGATGGGGATGGGTGGCATTGGTGATTCAAGACTGTTTCTCCTACCTCTTCAGTGCCTCTTTCAGCAATATCAAGTTAAAACCAGGTACTGTAAGTGCTCACCTGATTTTTGGTTCTTACAGTGGTGCTTTTTATTTGTAGTTAGTTGTTAAATTAGTATCCTTTCTGGGGCTACGATTGGTGTAGACTTCTATTCTGCTATCTTGCTCTACCCCTCTCTCCCAAGATCCATTTTTCAGTGGAACAAATTTAAGTGGTAAAGCATTATATAAATTATGATTCTATGAATGTAAAGCATGTATGTACTCATATTCATATACACACAATACTATTTTTCTGTTGACATTTATATTTACATCAAAGATGACAGTGATTCCCTCTAGAGAAGAGCGTGCAAATGGTGGCATACGGGGACTTTTGTTTTATATGTATTATTTTTATTTTTATAATAATAATGAATTTAAAATATTTCTTATGTAAAGTGAAAACTTGAATTTAAAGTAATGTAAGACACTATGTATCTTTCTCATATCATGGTCAAGCTTTTTTCCCTCAATTTCTAGTTATTTCAAGTTAAAGTATATTTCCTTTAAATATGATAAAGTACTGCATATTTCCTGCTTCCTAATTTTCCAAAGGAACTGTTGTTAGTGCACTAAATATTATTCATTTTTGCAGTCTTTCATGTTTCACTAAAAATTTACTATATATTTTATTTGGATTCAATTATAGAAACATGGAAATTATTCAGAAATAGATTCGTTAGCAAATTGCAGATTCAATTTGTACATTAAATAATATAAGAATAAACACTATTGAAATATTTAGATACTTTTCCAAATACACTGTAGAGCATCCTCAGGGAAATTGACTGGTGCTTGCACAACATATGTGTCCATGGCTTAGAACACTCATTTTGATTATAAGCATTGGTTAAATTAGTCTTCCAAGGATTAGCTTTAGATTATGATTAAAAAGACCGCAGTGTCTTTAATTCTGTGGACTTCCTTCTCTCTGATGGATCACACTGCATGCCATAATGGGTTCTATTTTTTCACTTCTAAATCTCAAATATTTCGATTGATGTAGTTGTTTTATAAATTCATAGCTGGCAAAAGACTAAAGAAAGTATATAACTGGTTAGGCAAGTGCTTATAACTGTGGAGACCTGCGTTTTCTGTGGAACCCATGGATCTCCTTTACATAATTACTTTTAAATTTTGAGTGTTTTTGTTTCCTCAATCAAAGCCTCAGGAATACCTGAATACTTTGACTATCCTCAATAAACAATCACTTCTTTAGACATGCCCAAACCAAAAAGTATGAGGGATGCTTTCATAGAATCAGCATAAAATGTGCCCCGACATGTTAAGTACTTGTTGAGTAAATACAATGTTATACTACTTTAGTGTTCCTTTTTCCAAAAAACAAGCGATAAAAACACCATACTAAAATGTGCACGTCAGTTATTGATAAAATATATCTACCAATACATTAAACTATCATGATGGAGTGTGAATGCCCATAGTTACAATTTCCCTTACAATCCCTTTTGTCACCTATAAAGTGTATTGTGCATTATGAACCAGAACTGCAGTGTGATGAGCTGTTCACAACAGGAGATATGAGTCTCACCAACTGACCACTCTTGTGCACATATTTACAGAAACGAATAAACATTAGTGTAGTAGAATCCTCGAAGATTAAATGTGCATATGCTGTGACTCCACTTTATCAATTTGCTCTTGAAAATACACGCTGAAAATTTTATTTTCTCATGTTTGCATATAATTTAATGCCTGAAATCCTCAATATTCAAACTAGTGCATGATGAATTAGTGTCACATTTTGAAAGTCTTGTGGCAGAGTTAGATGGTTGTGTATACCATCATTTATTTTCTGCAGCTTCTTTAGTGTCAGAATGCCAAATTCATTCAACGTGGCCAGCCAAAAGACTAAATTCCTTAATTCTCCTTGTGCTTCAGATTTGAACAATGCCAAACATACCAAAATATTGTATGAGTAGTTTTCAGTAAGTTTTCTTTAAAAGAAGAAAATAGCTGTCTCCTCATCCTACTGCCTGGAACATGCATACAATGTCTGGAGTTCCATCTACTGTTGTGCATCATGAGGAAAAACATTATAGTTTAAGGATGTCAGAGCAGAAAGTTGAAAGAAGCCTGATTCCTGATGATTTCATAGAGTTTCCTTTTCAGGTATAAACAGACACTTACTTATTATTTTAAGTTTTCTGGCAAACATAGGCAAACAATTTAATGCAAGTTAGTTTCAACACATTTTTATATATGTTTATTGTAAGTCTATCTGCAGTTGCTGAAGTCATTATGAATTAATACAGGCCTACTGAATAAACTTTTTATCTCCATTGAGTATTATATCCTATAAAAGTTTGAAAATGCTTCCAAGGCCATTCTTAATTTTTTAATTTAGAATTTTGCTCTCTTTGGTATAGACATACCTCAAAGATGTTGCTGGTTCCAGGCCATTGCATGAAGTGAATATCTCAACAAAGCCAGTCACACAATTTTATTTTGTTTGTCAGTACATATAAAAGTTATTTTTATAATATACTATGGTCCATTAATTGTGCTATAGCATTATGTCTAAAAAATATATATATGAATTTAAAAGTACTTTATTAGTAAGAAGTGCTAACAATCATCTGAGCCTTCATGAGTCATCTTTTTGCTGGTGGAGGATATTGTCTCTATGTTGAGGGCCTTGCTCTGGATTAGATTTTGGATTAAGGGAATGTTGTGGATGGTTTGATCTTCTATCTAGACCACTCAAACTTTCTCCATGTCAGCAATAAGGCTGCTTCACTTTTTTGTTTTATCATTTGTGTTTTTACTAGAGCAGTTTTAATTTTCTTCAAGAACATTTCCTTTGCATTCACAACTTGGCAAACCATTTGGCACAAGAAGTCTAGTTTTCAGCCTATCTCAGCTCTCAATATGCCTTCCTCACCAAACTTAACCATTTCTAGCCTTTGATTTAAAATGAGAAACATGCAACTCTTTCTTTCATTAAACACTTAGGGGACATTGTAGGGTTATTAATTGGCCTAATTTCAATATTCTTGTGTCTTAGGGAATAGGGAGGCCTAAGGACAGAAGAGAAATAGGGGAACGGCTGCTTGATGAAACAGTCAAAACACACACATTTATTGATTAAGTTCGCCATCTTATATGGGCGTCATCCTTGGCACCCAAAAACAATTACAACAGTAACATCAAAAATCACATATTACCATAACACATATAATAATATGAATATCAATATACTAATGATGCATATGCTTGAAATAGCGTAAGAATTACCAAAACATGACATAGAGACACAAAGTAAATGCATGCTGTTGGAACATGATGCTGATAGACTTGCCCCATATAGGCCACAAACCTTCAATTTGTAAAAACCACAACATCTGTCTGAAGCACAACAAAGCAAAGCACAATAATATGAGTCATGATTGTATTCATTTTGAGCCTCTTTTTCTTATAGTTTATACTCAGTCAGATATATTTTAACCTATTGTTTCAAATATGTAACTTTCTGCATCTCTTTGTTTTGGCAGTGCAAGTAAATCTTTCCTGTTGATGAGTGAGAGAGATTATAGTGGACTTGGTGGTGGGAGGAAAATGTCATCTTAGTCTTTTCAGGAGTTAAACATACCTACATTTGTTGTACTGGATACATTCAGCACATAACCACATTCTATTAACAAGGAACCACGTATATTATACAATGGTGGTCCCACAAGGTAATACCACATTTTCAATGTATCTTTTCTATGTTTAGGTATGTTTAGATTCACAATTATCATTGTGTTACCACTGCTTACAGTATTCAATACAGTAATTTGTTGTACAGGTTTGTGCCCTGCAAGCAAAATAGGCTATAGCATCTAGGTTCATGTAAGTACATTATATGATGTTAGAACAATAATGAAATCACCTAACTCCTCATTTTTCAGAAAGTATCCCTGTTTTTAAGCAATACATGACTATACTTCTGTCATTTCTGCATACTTAACTGTTTTTACCCTTCTTATTGTTTTACTCTTCGTACTGTTTTATTCTTTATATTGTTTTTACTCTTCATATTTTTGTTTCTTTACCTAGGATGTAGATAGGTGAGATCTGATTTCCATCTAACCAGTCTTCTCTGCACTACTCTCTTTTTTCTCTTTGCACAACTCTAGATTTTTTCAGGTCTTCTGATGTCTTACCTTCTTCCTCTTTGCAGTGCTTTGCACATGATTTTTCCCTTTTTATCCACTAGTCACCCTTCAGATCTCAGTTCAAAGCTTTCTCTACCCACTGGGTTAGAGCCACTGGACATGTGATATCTCCAAACCATATACCTTTTTTTTTCTTTTTATTTTATTTTTTTCTGAGGCAGGGTCTTAATCTTTTCAGGAGTTAAACATGCCTACATTTGTTGTACTGGATACATTCAGCACATAACCACATTCCATTAACAAGGAACTACGTATATTATACAATGGTGGTCCCACAAGGTTATACCATATTGTCACTGTGTCTTTTATATGTTTAGGTATGTTTAGATACACAACTTCTGAAGGTCTTGCTCTGTCATCTGGGCTGGAGTGCAGTGGCACAATCTTGGTTCGCTGCAAACTCCTTCTCCTGGGCTCAAGCCATCCTCCCACCTCAGCTAACCAAGTAGCTGGAACTACAGGCACCCACCACCGTAGCCACCTAATTTTTTATTTTTTGTAGAGACAGGATTTCACCATGTTGTCCAGGTTGGTCTCGAACTCCTAAGCTCAAGTGATCCCCCTGGCCTCGGCCTCTCGAAGTTCTGGATTAACAGGCGTGAGCCACCACGCCCAGCCCACATCCTTTTCTTTATAGAATTTAGCATATTGTAATTTTTTTGTTAACGTGTAATTAAATGTTTAATGTAGTTCTCTCCAACTAGATTTTAGACTCTATTAAAATAGTCTATGTATTTTTTCTTACCCTTTTGTTCCTAATGACCTGCATAATTCATGTCCCATAGTGAGCACTCAGTAAATAAGCAAGATTATCTTACCTAAGTAAACATAATAATTATGTGAATAGGGGCCAGCAAGGAGAGACTTGCATGTTATGTGTAAGACACCAGCACTCTAAAAGAAAATGTTAAGAAGTGAAGATTATCTACATTGGCATTTCGAGATAAAAATGAAACCTGTTAAGTAGTACTTCTCAGTGGGAACTGGCAATTGTTTAATAGATTTGTAAAAGTAATACTGACTTGTGAGAATAGCAGGTTTAAAAGTTGAAGATGAAAGAAGAAACAGTGATGGACAAGTGAAATAACTAAGAAAGTAAATATAATCAAAACTTAAGAGAAAAAACAGACTAAATTCAAAGAAAATTTTAGACACTTTTTCTAGTCTGGCCACCTCCAGTCTCTAACTCACTTTATAAACTACTACTGGAGTTATCCTGCTGAAGAGCAGGCCTGATCATTTCACATATTTGCAGTCTTTTAGACATTCGTGAGAGAGTACAGCTGGTAAAGTGCTGCTTATCACTGAGTATATGCACAAAATAAAGAACTATATTTTTTATCACATATGCTTGATTAATTTTATTGTCAAATATTTTTGGGAAAGTTGGCTTTCCTATTTATAAGTTCAAATAATTTACAGATTGAAGCAATCAGCATGGATTGCTTCATGGATGAGTTCAGGCATCTATACTTCAATGCCTATCATCTCACAGGAACTGGCAATTTGATTCCTTGCTTGATTATTTTAATGTACAATATATTACTTTTCAGAGGTTCAAATCATGCAAAACAAACTAATTTTCTTCATTACATTGCAAGGTATTCTAAGTACCAGGAGATATTGCAGAGTGTAAACCAATTTAAGTGTACAGAACAACATGTTGGGAGTTTGATTTTATATCATAGTTTGGGAATAAGCCTAATGACCTATTCTTTTAATTGTTATAAGCAATTTGTTTGAATTGTACACTACAAACAGCCCTTTTTGATTGAGTTCCATTTTTGCTCCAGTATGATTACCTACTCATAGGTAGATGATAGATAGATGATAGATAGATAGATAGATAGATGATAGATGGATGGATAGATAGATAGATAGATAGATAGATAGATAGATAGATGATAGAAGTTCTTAGCAGACTTCTGGATAACAATAATGAGAACACTTAGGATTAGTGACCTTTTTTTTTAATCTAATTATTATGTTCTAAACAGAATTCCAGAAACAAAACTTAGAAAAAATCCTTACTGATACAATACCTGAGCTTTCTGTTTTCTAGCAATGTTCCCTTGTATTAAAATTAATTCTCAATAGTTATAACTATAATGTTAAAATAGCCCTTCACAAGAAAGTCATAGTGAAAAATATACCATGTTTTTCAGAGCTTAGAAAACAGAAAGCACAATTTTATACTACAAAAATACTTGAAATATCAATCTTCCATTAGTTCTGAATTAATATGACAAAAGCTTGCCAATAAACCAAAAGAAACTTGTTTTCTTGGTAATGAAAACCAAATCAAATAAGCAACTACAAACAATACAAACAACAGATTTATTTAGAAAAATAAACTGAAAATGCTGTTTGGCTATAAAAACTGTTATATGCCAAATACAAATTACAAATGACTTTTTAATTAAGAGAACAAATAGATGTTCAACACAAATGCTTAGTGTGCATTTCACTGTATTTGACTTCTTGGTTTTTAATGATATCAAATGATGGTCATTAAAAACTTTGGATCCCTTTTGGATTCATTTGACCACACTGATGCTTTTTCATTGTTATTCTGTAGATGTTTTTAAATTTGTTTTAAAATCAAATCCATTTTTTATTAGATAACTGATTTTTTTTTTTTGAAAGAAGAAAAATCAATGTCTTGAGAATTCTTACATTTTTCCATTTTGGATTCCTGCAAAAAACTGCTTGCTGTGGTCTCAAAACTCATGGGACCATCTGTGCAAATAACAGCACACATCATTACCCTGAATGGAAGTGACAGTGCAAATATTAGAAGTTCACTGAGAAGTAATCAGTAAGAACTGACTTCCCTCCTCTTCCAACCAATATAGCATGAAGGATTGAATGTGAAAATTTTTCAAGCAATTGACAACAATGCTATTATCTCAGTATGGCTTTGAGGCTATACACAAGATGGCAAACATTCTCTGTCTGCAAACAGCAACATTCGTCCTAAGACTGTGCATTGCTGCAATGTTTCTCTGTTCATTCAGTTTTCTTTTTGTCTACATATTTTGAAATGATGTGTAATTCTGGCTACAGGTACCTCATCTCTCTGTACTTTAAACTTCCCAAATGATAAATCAGTTTATAATTTACTGGTTTAATTGCTTAATATTAATTTTGTTGGTCTCACATCTGGGAACAGTTTATTTCCAAAGTGAAACAAGATGAGTTGGTTTGGTGTTTATGTTTTGTTGGCTTCTTGATAGTCCTTTCCATTTATTTATTTTATCTTCATGGTAATTTCTGAGTGAAGAGATTTAAGGCTGTGGCTTTTTTTACCCCCAAGGCTCTGCTCATGGCTGTCAGATAGAGGAAGATGATTTTATGCAGACTCTATCAGCGATCATTTGTGCTCCAAGGTTGAGGGATTTGCTGCTCTGAGATGGCCAGGCTTCTGGTTACTTTAGAATTAGATCTGTCCTCAGGAAGTCATAAAGATGAATCAAGTGAGAAAAACGAATTGACATGCCCCCAAGTAAAGGTATTCCTTCCAACCTGAAGGAGCTGTCAGAAGAAGGAAAACAAAATATAAATATGATCAGTTTAAACATAAGTATGGTTTAACAAAAACACACAAAGATTATTAAAAATGAAGCAATCATTTGCTAATAATAATCTTAGATTATTTACATTGTCAAGCATTTTATTTTAAATGTCTAAACATACTTTAAATAAATATTCCATTTAAATTGTATATATTATTTTATAACTTAGTTATCAAAATTTAAGTACAGTAGTATGATTATACCTAAATTAAAAGATCTTCCCTTATTCCTAACAGTGTTTAGAACTTCAGATAAATTTGTCATTAAGTATAATAAGTTCTCAAAATAGTTAAGAAATGCTTTTCCATTGAGGTAGATCTTTCATTTGAAATAATAACCACAAAGTGCATTTTCACAACACTGTATAATGTAAGAATGATGTAATTTTTATTGCAGTCTATACAGTTTAAACTTATTACCAGATTAAAAAAGGGTTATTTTTTCCTTGATATAGCAGAGAATTAGCCATATAATTAATCTTCCTTCACTTTAGGAATATCTGCAATACTTTTAAATAAGTACATTAAAATATATCCATATCTCTAATTAATGATTTTTTGGAAAACAAAAAGAAATGCCACAATTATCACCCTGACAACCCAACATCAGACATGTTTAGCACCACTTAATGTGGAGTGTGTCTGTGGTCTTCTATTTAAGTTAAGATGTAGTAAAGAATATTGATGCTTACACTCACAATAATAGGTTCAGAATGTTATTACTATAAACCTAGTATAATGATTAATTGATTTATAAGTTATCAGAAAAGTCAGAGACAGAGGAATGCCTTTAAGTGTATTTTTTTAATCTTAAAGTCCATCTGAGAACCCCCTGTTTTAACCCTTTCATTTGGGGTTAGGCAAACCCCAAAGAGAATGTGGTTTTCTCCCATGTAGACACACGAACATACATACAGGCAGCACAGTAAATAATTTAGTCATTCTGTGACAAAATTACTAGTCACTATTCTATTAGATTAATAAGTGATAATTTTCATTATGTTACCCAACTACCAAGACAATGTTTTAGTACTAAATGATCTAAATGAACAATCAAAAAGGAAAAAAAATCAGTAACTCTGCTATCTCCAAGATTAAAACCAGAAAAATCACTGAACACAGGTCAGTGAGACTCGAGGGCTTACTCTGAGTCATTACTAAAGGTGTTCATGAAAGATAAAGAAATAGTAAAAAACAATCTTTCATCATGGAGTTGCTTAAGAAGATGCAAGAACTTATCTGTACAAGAAAGTGGAAAAGCCTGTTTGGAACTGGCCTAACTTTATATAATCCCAGCAGCATTGCTTGCCTCTATTGGTGCCATTTTTGTATCATCTAGAAATATAAGTCTCTATGTATGTAAAGGAAACCAGCACTCAAGCTGTTATTAATGAACAAGCAATAGTCCCACAATAATATTTTTGTTTTACTATTAAATAAAAATCTTAAATAGTATGAAAAACACACAAAGCCGACTTTCCACAAATGTGTGGGTACATAATTCATGGATTTGAAACAAAGATAATTAAATGTGCCAATTATAGTTTTAACGGTTATGTAATATGGGAGTCTTCAGCAGCCTTTGATAAGCTGCTACAGCTTATTAAAACTTCAATCTATTATTTGTTTAAAAATATTGATTCATCACCTACTGTGTACTACTCTAGAGTCCATGGATACAAAAAACTTATTTCTTGCTCTCCAAGGAGATTAGTATCTGAAAGTTAAAAAAGCAAACATTCATAGTAAAAAATTGGTGACACAATATATGTAAATATAATATGTTAAAATGAACACGGCGGTAGTGAGCCTACAAAAGGTGGCATTTGAATTGAAATTTAAGGGGTAGGTTGGAATTTTCAAAAATAGTAAAATGTTACTAGTTATGAAATAAGGGTATTTCAAGCAGAGGGAGAAGCATGATCAAAGGCATAGAAGCAAGAGAGAGAGTAAGACCTTTAATATTGCATAGCATAAAATTATAAAGAGAAAATATAAGTTTCTGAAGAGCTTGACAGAGGACAGGGTGTCCTTTTATACTATGTAAAAGTAGATATTTATGCTAATGGTACTGGAAAATGTTGAAAAATTTTGATGAGGAGCGTGCCTAGAAGTGTGGAAAGTACAACGGAGGAGGAGGAAGTACTTACGCTCCATATTTTCAGTAAAGACATGGCGAAGACACCGGCTGAAAGCAATTAACTATGAGTACAGTTGCAGATGCTTTCTTAATGGTAAATTGAAGTGAGCAAACTAACCCATTCCTTCTTCCTAAATTAAGAGATCGTTTTATTCAATTACCATGCATTCAAGATAAGAGCAAACATTATTATAGGCGTTTCTTGTTCCACCAAATTTTTAGGTATCTTATGGAAGCGGATATTTGCCTCTCAGCCCTCAGTGGCCATAAGTTAAAAGTAGAAAACAAAATCATCTTACCATTAGAAGTCTATATCTCCTGATTAGATTCTAAGATTGGATATTAAAGGAATGTATTTTAAAATATCACTGAATTTTGAAGATTTGTTACATATATCCAGGCTTCTCACTGGTTGGTATGAGATACCACATTTGATCCATTACCTCAGACCCACTAAACAAAGCCTCAAATTGCTTTTCATGTAAAATTTTGCCTATTTAATAATTTTATGAACTTCCATTATTGTTAGTTATAAAATACACAAATTTTTAAACCACATTTTTTTGCATGTTTACTTCAAATATAGAGACATAATATACCATCACTGTTATACAAGTTAAATAAGTCTACTCCACATTGAAATAATAAAAAATAAATGATCAACAGAAAGATCTTGTACAATCAAAAATGAATTGAAGCATTCTCTATGGAAATGCCTTCTGACCCATTCTTCATATCAACGGGTTAATTGCTCTATTCTGTTTGAAATGACTTGGCTTAAAACCATATAAGTTTTACTCACTTTTTGGATGGAATAGGTCAAAGTTTTCAAGCACTTCAAGGGTCATATTCTCATTCTTGTAAATGTTTGGAGGCCCAAATGCAATATGCAAAATGTGAATGATGCTAGATAATTTTTAGTCTTGAAGCATTAAATGTCAAGTTAATTAATTTATGTAAGTAACATATTAAGTGACTGAGAACATTTCTATGCAGTAAGGGCAGTATGATTTAAAAATGCCAAAGACAGCAAGCAAAGCTAAGGACATGCTAAAAATAATACAAAAAATTTTTCTAAACAGACATGTCTCATAATTATATATTTATTTGCATTTTGGTAAAATTTTTATAATTTTCTTCTTTATAATCTATATTTATATATTTTAATTACACACATTTTTGTATATTATAGTTTTGAAATATATTTTATAAAATATATGATACTTAATTTAAAATAATATATATAATATACAATTTAAAATATTTTAAACTATAGGACAATGTGTCATGTGTCTGTTGCATTATAAGAAGTAGTAACTGTTAAGAGACCAAAATCATGTTAAAAAAAATCTGTCTTATTTCTCCTGACTGTTAAAAGCAGCCCTCCCAAACCAGATACAGTTTATCCATTCTGCTTTATTCTTATTATAGGCAATGTTGTCTAGTAATATGGCTGACAATCTACCAGTATCTGGTTTCCATGAAAATAAAACTTGAAAGTTAACCCAGGGTAATTTTTATTTTTATGGAAAAGAAGAATATGTTTTGCTATCCCTCTATTCACATTAAGAAACAGAAATATTTGGGAATTTAGATTACCAAACAGACAAGATTTTGTGACTCATAAAACAATAAAATTCAACATAACAGGTATGCATTTAACCCAAGAAACCAAAAAAAAAAAACAAAAGCTTTCTTCCACAAACTGTGAAATACTAATGAAAATTTAAAAATTAATAAAAACTAGCAAAGCTACAAAAAATGAAAAACTTGATTTTTTAAAATCTTTTTTTTTTAAAGAATGACTAAAATATATATATTGCCATGGAAGAATAAAAAGAAAAACATAAAAAGCAAATGGGTAACTTTAGAAATCAGGAAAAAAGAGCATTTAAGAGACTTCTAGGCCAGGCGCGGTAGCTCACATCTGTAATCCCAGCACTTTGGGAGTCCGAGGCGGACGGATCACAGGTCAGGAGTTCGAGACCAGCCTGCCCAATATGGTGAAACCCCGCCTCTACTAAAAATACAAAAACTAGCCAGGCATGGTAGCAGGTCCTGTAGTCCCAGCTACTGAGAAGGCTGAGGCAGGAGAATTGCTTGAACCTGGAAGGAGGAGGTTGCAGTGAGCTGAGATCGCGCCACTGCACTCCAGCCTGGGTGACAGAGAAAGACTCTGTCTCAAAAAAAAAAAAAAACAACAACAACAAAACACACACACACATACACAGAGACTTCTATGTGTACAAGTAAATCAAATAATTAATCTGATAGAAAAATATAAATTACTAACTTTGCCTTAGGAAACATTTAATCAATACCAACAAAAGAAAATGAAAGGCAGTCAAAGCTTTCCCACTGAAATAAGGCGTCATGATGAGATGAGCTTTCTTGATGCTGGGCATTCTTGTAATTGGTCATGTTCTTTGCTTATGGGCTGTTATAATAGATACTGATTCCTATTTGGGACCTAAGTGTCAGCCAGGATAACTCTCATACCCACGTATGGTCTCCATCTTTCATACTTGTCACTTTGCAGAGTTAGAAAAAGGTTGTAGCCCTAGACACTTGTCAAAACTCTCATGGAAAAAAAATAACCAATACTGCCTTACTGGCAAGCTTTGTTTATGATATTTGTATTATTCTAATGAAGCCATTAGCAAGTGTGGCCTACTGTAGTCATGTGAGATTGTTCAGTTGAGCCTACAACTACTGGATGTTATACACAGGGAGAGATTCCTTTTATTTGCACTTATCAAAATGTTACTGGTTTCATCTAATAGCAGCGGGTGGTCAGGCTAGGTGTGGAGTAGCCTGTGTAGCACCTGCAACTAGTTACATAGTTTAAAGATACACCTAACACCTGAGAACCATTAGGATGGTGCCATGGATATTCCTGTCCTGGTCATAATGAGCCCATGGTTTTGTGATTCTAAGAGAAGAGAGAATTTTGAATAAGATGTTCAATGTCATTCTTCTAGGAAGAATTAGCAAAAAATGTAAAACGTGCTATAATAGAGAGTTGAGCAAAAGTTTCCTTGAGACCTGGGAAAAAAGTTTCAAAGAGCTTTCATGGATAAAAATTATATTTAATCTAGCTCTTAAGACAGGTATTTCGTCTTTGAGAAATGTCTACTCCGATCTCTTGCCCATTTTTATTCAGATTTTTTTGCTATTGAGTTTTTTGAGTTTCTTACATATTCTGGTTATTGAGTTCCTTATAGATTATTGTGAGTTGAATAGTTTGCAAATATTTTCTCCCATTCTATAGGTTGTCTCTTTGCCAACAGGCATATACAAAATATGCTCAACATATATAATCATCAGAGAAATGCAAATTAAAACCACAATGAGATATCATTTCACTCCAGTTAAAAATGGTTTTTATGAAATAGAGAAAATAATAAATGCTAGCAAAGATGTAGATAAAGTAAAGCTCGTACACTGTTGGTAGGAATGTAAATTGGTATAGCCATTATGAAAAATAGTATGAAGAATCCTCAAAAAACTAACAGTAGAACTACCACATGATCCAGCAATTCCACTGCTGTGTATATAGCTCCAAAAGAAAGAAATTCAGTATATTAAGAGATATCTGCACTCCCATGTTTATTGCAGCACTACTCACAATAGCCAAGATATGAAATAAATATAAATGTCCATCAACCAATGAATGGATAAGAAAAAGTAGAACATATATACAATGAAATATTATTCAGCCATAAAGTAGAAAGATATCCTTTGTAATTACATGGTTGGAACTGGAGGACATTATGTCAAGTGAAATAAGCCAGCCACAGCAAGACAAATACACATGTTCTCGTTCATAGGTGGGAGCTTAAAAAATTATCTTATGAAGGTGGAAAGTAGAATGATGATTACCAGAGGCTGGTATGGGTAGTGGGAATGGGGGGAAAAAGGGGTTGGTAAATGGGTACAAAAATTCAGTTAGATTGTAAGAATAAGATCTAGTGTTTGGTAGCACAGTAGAGTGACTATAGTTAACAATAAATTATTGTATATTTCCAAATAACTAGAGTGGGTTTGGAATGTTCCCAACACAAAAACATGATAAATGTTTTAGGTGATGGGTGTCCAGATACCCTAATTTGAGCATAATACATTGTACACTTCTATCAAAATATTTCACATACCCCTTAAATACATACAACTATTATGTACTCATAAAAATTAAAACAATTTAAATTTTTTTAAAAGATAGATAGGCAGCATATTACCAGTTTGAAAAAAGAAAGTTGAGGGAAGCATCCTAGGTAGACAGAGAAAATGATCTCAATGCAGTTTTTAAAACATGATGCCATTCTACCTATCTAGTACGTTCTACTTTCTGCCCATGTATCAGTTCTAAGTTTTGAGAAGTTTGTTTTGGCTATTATGTGGATATATATAGAATTAAATACCTATGATTGAATTAGAAAAAGTCATTTATGGGTGCACTTCATTGTAATCTTTAAGTCTGATTAAATAGCTGCTTTAGAAAAAACGTTTCATTTCATGCTTCGCAAACTATGAATACTGAGTAAATCACATTGAAAATGATTATTGTAATGTGAAGAAAATGATATTACTAATTCTATCATTGGTTCTAAGTTAACACAAATAATTCTTTCTTATGAATTATATATGACATTTTCTAAAATGCAATTGTGATTCTGATGGCTGCACCTGTTTTCCTGAGTCTGAGAGCAGTGCGAGCACTGCCTAAGGAATCTGTACATCCACCAGCAAGACATACTGCATGAACTTTGAGTAAGTTCTTCTTATATTGAGGATATTTAGTAAGTGTGCATCTGCCTGACAAGCAACAACTTAGAGAGATGACAATTTAAATCTTTAAGATTAGATGGTCATTTTCTAAAGTAAGCACCTGATACCCTGAAAAATAATGCACTTCAGAATTGCCCTTCTCATCTGAACTGGTGGGTTCAGACAGTTATATACATTAACATTAGTTCCAAATTACCAGGACCAGCCACAAAATTTGCAGGGCCCAAAGAAAAATAAAATTCAGGGCTCTGTTTGTTTGAAAAAGCAGGATAAAAGCTCTTTCTTTCTCATCCAGTCTCTCTAGATGTACCACTTAATGCCTGTTCCACTGGACACAGGGATGCTTACAGAGTGAACACAGACCTTCACAATCCCTGGAGCCCTACCTTGTAACTTATGACTGCAGTGCTTTGGTCCCCACTGAGATAGAGGGAAGCAGCATATGGGAGGGAAAATAGGTAGCCAGGAACTTATCCAGGGAAATGTGGAACCAACCCCGAGGGGAAGCGCTGAGATCCTAGTCACGTGTCACTGTCCCATCAGGCTTCACTTTTAAAACACAATTTGAAAGATAAAACAATTAAAATCATCAAGATGGTGACTGTAGACCTTAATAAAACCCCAAGTGCCATGGGGTGCAGTTATGAGGGTGGGCTGCATGTATGGAGGGATTGTGGTTTTGGAGGGGGGTACTTCTGAACACTGAGCACAGGGGCCTGTGCAAATGCACTGGTCAACTGGTCACACACTTAATGAAGCTAATCCTGCAAGTCTGTTGCAAATTGATGGTTTAATCTGTCCCACTCCAAACTTTTACATTAAAGTCCAAAATAACACCAACCACACACTCAGTTTAGATTGGTATTATGGTTTATTGTGGGTGTTTTTTCATTCAAGAGTCACTACAGAAGAACAATGTGCATGAAAGAAAAGTAGTAATATGAACAATAGTAGAAAGAATGCCTTGAACTATTTATATGCAAATCACTGTTTTTATTAGTAAATTACAAATACCCACTTGTTAAAGTTTTTACAATTTTACCTAGAAAAATAGAATTTTTATCAATTCTTGCAACCTTTTCCCTTTAAAATAAGGACATAATTTGTAAGGTCTATCTACAATATTCAAATACTTGAAAAATGAATTTGGTGAAATTCCCTAAGAAAATAAGCTATAGATATTAATGAAGATATAGAAGCTCTGTTGTCCATGAAACATCAGTATTCGCACAAGAAAAAAACTGCTTTTATTACTATCTGAAACTGTATCTCTTTTTTCACATATGTATATTGACGGGGTTGAGAACATGGTACTCCAAAATATGGCTCCTTGTCATACTGGGTATTTTAAGCTTAAGAAATGTGAGAAAACCACAGAAGCAGGAAGGTGTCCCTGACCTTCTCCTGATCTCCCTGAAGCAGATCATAAAATCCTTATGTGAGAGATGCCTCCCATACACCAAGGAAAGGAGCACTTACCTCTGAAGACAAAGCATCACAGAGAAGAATCTGAACAGACTTTGCTCTGTTTCCTCTAGTTTATTACCATTAGATCATATTTTTTTATTCACTCATGCGTCTCCAAAAGCATTCCCATTTTCATCAAAAGTAGCATAAAAATACCCAGGTCTACCCGTTTCTTCTGGTCTTCTTTTCTTTATAAATGCTTCTATGTCACATACAACTTATATTTTAAAAATTTGTATGTTTTTCTCTTGTTAATCTCGTTAGTCTTGTTAGTCTTGTTTCAGACGCTTCAGCCATGAATCTGAGAAAGCGGATAGAAAAGAATATTTTCCTGTCTATGATATGCCCATGTAGAATATCATCAGTTTGAAAAAAAAATTGTCAATTATTTTGCCAATTAATTCAGTTGAAATAAATGTTAACATAATATTTAATAATTATGAAAATTAGATAGATACATAGATATTTCTGAGATGGAGTCTCGCTCTGTTGCCAGGCTGAAGGGCAGTGGCGCGATCTCGGCTCACTGCAACTTCCGCCTCCCAAGTTCAAGGAATTCTCCTGCCTCAGCCTCCCAAGTAG
This sequence comes from Homo sapiens, assembly GCF_000001405.40. NCBI lineage: Eukaryota > Metazoa > Chordata > Mammalia > Primates > Hominidae > Homo > Homo sapiens. The sequence goes on along the minus strand of NC_000005.10, from coordinate 120,780,936 downwards.
CTGGGATTACAGGTGCCTGCCACCACGCCCAACTAATTTTTGTATTTTTAGTAGCGATGGGGTTTCACCATGTTGGCCAGGATGCTCTCGATCTCCTGACCTCGCGATTCCCCCCGCCTCGGCCTCCCAGAGCGCCGGGATTACAGGCTTGAGCCCGCCCGGCCGGAAATTATATTTCATGAAGGATGTCATTAAGGTTACTACGATGTAGTAACTTTTTAACATACTGATAATATCCTTATACAATTATTCGATATGTGTATTGTAAAAAAACGTTGAAAAGCTTATCTTAGAAGCCTAGCTCAGACTTAATTTGGGATTTTTTGACAACCTATTGAAAAAATTGTAATATTATTATATACATTTTAGGATTAAATATCAAAGTCAAATTCTAGCACAGAAAAGGAGTAAATGATGTAAAACGAAAATGTTTTTCCGTCTCTTAGATCCAAGTTGAAAATATTATCATGAAAAATGTTTTCTAGAAATCCCTTTCTACTGCCTGTTATGGGCACAAATAAACAATTAAATTAGTTAAGATCACCACCAGCTTCTTATAATTAAGTGTAAATTCCAATCACTTACACAGTACTCCTTCTACAGGAATTAAGCAATATTAATTAAATCATTTATTTTATGTGCAATTCTATAGTACTTCCTTAGTTATAGGCTAACATTGAACTTTTTATATAAATTGGTTAATTAGCAAATGCTGATGAACTCTAAATACAGTGCCTGGTAGGATGTGATGTTTTTGGAGTCTGGGGCTCATAAGTAAGTTCCATCCCATGGTAGGTCTGAGAATCTGTACAAGATAGTTTTTGAGACTCAGTTTTCCTTTCTGTAAACAACAACAACAAAAAGGATAGACATTAATATCTAGCTCCCAAGGTTGATGACAAAAGTAAATGAGAGCATAGGTACAAATGAATATGCAATGTTCATTTATTTCCCCTTTATAAAGAGACATAAACAGTCAACAGATATAAATTTTTGTAGATCACTCCACAGGAATGCTGAACAAGCTACCCAAGAGCTTGATTCTTGAAAAGGACCCAAGGCTACTTGGCACACGTCGATGGGAGAGCTGTCATACACCCTGAGTCCAATCTCTGACAACTGAAGGAGGTGGCAGTAGCAGATATGCCAAGAAATGAAACTAGAATCAAAGTAATTCTCTTGCTTTTTCCTTTGCTGTTATTAAGAATATCAGCATGTGCCATTTTTGCAATCAGAGAGTTGTAAATACCCTCTAATATTTAATTATTTTGGGGTAATACAATACAGAGCATAAAAAGTACTACAGTATAAATGCTAAAAGACCCAATTTAGAAAGTCACCAGAATACTGTGTCATTTTGCACGAACACAGAAAAGCACACGAAATGCGAACATTTACTGCATCATCTGAGGAAGTGGGGGATTCAGCTATATAAAACAAGGATGTTTTCTCTAGGATGTTTCTTGATCCTAACTAATGGTGTTCAGAGGATAGTTTGTTGTGTTTTTTTGTTTTGTTTTGTTTTGTTTTCCCTGAAAAAGCTCTGCTTTCAGAATGTTTCCATCAACCTAAGCTAAGCAGGGATTTTATTCATGATAATGATTGTGAACTGTTTTCTCTAAAGCCAAAAATGTTTTTGAAAACTTTTTCATCCTAAATCCCTGTTTTCCTGCTCCTCCTTTTAATTTCCTTTTTATTCACTGATGTGCTGCTTACAGAAACTGTTGCAGCCAGATTGGAGAGCGCTGTGAAATGAATGGCTGTGATATTTATCCCTCCTTCTGGCAAAACTTCTTTGTGTAACTGCATTAAACCCTGCGGAATCTAATGTTAACGTGTGCATATTTTACTAAGTTCCATTGGAAATGAGGCATGCTGGAAGAATGACATCATTTTTTCATGGTGGAATGAGAGTACCTTCAATCAGAATAGAATCAAAATGCTAACATTTCTCCCTCCTCCTTGTTTAAACATTTTTGTCAAACCATTTCATTTCCATTTTTAATTTATTACTTGAAACAAGTAATAACAATACTTCCCTCTCTAATATCCACTGATGCTTTTCAGCCATAAAATGCATTAGACAAGCGATCAAATGCTGCTTTCATCTTTACAAAACCCCACTTCTTTTTTCCTCTGGCTTTCAAATAAATGACAAAATGCCTTCCATGAATCAGCAAGTTGGATTTTGTGGGTTGCAATTTTATGAATTTAATCAGGTTAACTTGTCTCCCTTACCAAAACACAAGCAGGGTTAGAAGTCAAAAACAGTTTGGTCAGCCATGACTAATCTGCTGAATACAATCACGTTAAATTCTGGAAAAGGAATCTGGGATTTTCCTCTGTTATTAAGGTCCCTGAAGCTATTGGACTTGGGAAAACATCTAGTTGTCTATTCAAGACGGCGTCTCTATTCTCCACTTCCTTTTTTAAAACATTGTACTCAAAAGACATTAGAAATAAAGCAAAATAAAATATATACAACTTAAATTTTATTTTTCTTCTAAAATGTTTTTCTCTTTAGGCAAACATGAATAATGTAAGATTAAGGATAGGAAAAATGTCTTGCTCCAACTACAATAGAATGGTGTTTCTTGAAAGCTCTTGAAAGTGCAACATTAATAAAATCTCTTAAAATGGTTCTGTTTTACTTGAGCAGAATAAGATATCCTACAAGTTTAATTGGCAGGTATCTAGGATATTTTTTACTTAACCTGAGAATGGGTCAATTCCTTACCACCTGTCTTTTTTTAACACCTATTATTCTTGTAAATTAGACAAATAACTGAATGATCAGCAGTCTTTATTGCCATTAAACTTGTAATTAATTTTAGGTTTTAGGCATCTTAACATTGCCAGGATATTTCCCAAATAGTATTTAATAACATAGTGTTATTAATACTCCAAAAGAAGTAAACTACACTATCGAAGTGCCACTGTCATACTATGTTCAGAATTAAATATAATAACTTCCATAATGGTGAAACCAAAAGTAGTTTCAGTGTTTGGTTCTCAATGTATTTTTGGTTCAGATAGAGTCTAATAAAGTCAACTTAATATTTTCTCTTTTACTTCCATGAACAATATGCAAACATATAGCACGTATGATTTCCACATTTTTAATTTTGCATTATCAATCAGCACTGACTTTAATAGATTCGCAGTATTCAGTGCGCTTCTGTATATATTGGATTCAAAGGACAATAAACTTAGTAAGACACTGTGGTATGTATAATGAAATAAATCAGAAGGCCTCTTTTTAGTCCTGGCTTTTTCACTTCCTATGTATATCACTAGTCTAGATATTGAAATTTTATGGTTCTCAGATTCTCATCTGACAAGTGTAGATTTGGATAATAAAACCTGGAGAAATGCTTCATAATAAACCATAAAGGACAAAACTAATGAGAATAGGGAAAAGTGAGCAAAAAGGAAGGAGCAGGTGGGGAACTTATTCACGTGAAATTCAAGTCTTGCCTGATAGCTCAAAATTGCTAAAAAATACCAAATTTGAGGCCGAAAATAATTATGTTTTAAGTACAAAATAAAATATACAAAATAAAACACAACAGCAATTTTAAATTTGTATTACTTTTAGAAAAAGTTAAGTAATAAGCGTATTTAACCTCTTATTGATAAATGTTAACAAGCACAGTGTCCGACATATGGCTGGCACTCAATAAGTAGATTGAATAAATATATTGAACAATAAAACTCATTTGGTTATTTTCATTGCCTTAAAGTTATTAAACTTGATGATATGTTAAAAATTATTCACATCAAGTCTGCGAAAATGTCTCTTTGCCCTGGTGTTAACCTCCACTAATTTCTCATAGAGGTTCTCTATGAGAACCAAGAGCTTGGGGACCAAGCTGTGGTAATAGAAGTTGTTGTTGTTGTTTTAATTTACACCAAATTTCCTCCAGCCTTCTAGGATTTCTGAATTTAATTCAGATCACATAATATCTTAAACAAAATTTTGGATAGTGTTGCTTTATTTATACAATTTAAGCCTGTAAACCCCTACATTCTACAACCCCTATTACTGCATAAACCTTTAATCAACAATAATAAGAATTACGGTCAGAATAAAAACAGAGCAATACTTTTAGAACATTAATACATATGTATTTTACAATTCATTATTAATTTTGACCCTATTCTGCAAATTTTGATATGAGAGAGACTTTAACAAAGATTGCAATGAAGTACAAATACAAATATAATCTATGAGAAATTTAAACAATATCTGTTATCTCTCTGTTTTGAAATAAATGATTTTAAATCTCAAATTCTTTTATTTAGGTGGTATTGTATTCTATACATGAAACAGGAAATCATGTGAATTGCTCAAACTATTTTGGAACCTTATTTATCTATGCTCTTAATAACAGTCATTTAGAAAACTGAAATCCAAGCTCTAATGTTTAGAGCTCATATTGAACTTTTCATTTCACTCCTTCCATGAATTCATGGATTTTCTATTACTTAGTATTAAGCAAAGTCTAGAATTTCCATAGAGTTTTCTCTAATCCAGTTATAGAAATATTTATTGAAAATGTACATTTGTGGCCTGAACTGCCCAAAGTGCTTGAAAACCAAAGATGAAAAGATGTTAAAGTACCAAATGATTTTTGAGCAGAAATATAAGAATGATGAACTCCACTTTGGGGAACTGGAAAAGACTTTGAAGCCCAGCTTCCTTATGAAGGATGAATAGAATTTCAACAAGGGAGGGAAAATCACTGAGGCAAAGTAGGAACAGAGTAAAACATACATATCCAATGATGACGAGAAATCAATGTAGTTAGCCCCTAGACTCCAGTGGGAGCAGCAACAGTGAGAGACAAGGCCCCAGAGGGAGCTTAGACCTGCATTTATAAGATCCTGACTGCCCTGCTGTAGTTAGGATGTTACCATGTAGACAGTAGGAAGACAGATCTTTTAGTGTTTTTATCTGGAAAGTAAGCTGGTTAGATTTATAGTTTAGGCCAGGCATGGTGGCTCACACCTGTAATCTCAGCACTTTGGGAGACCAAGGTGGGTGTATCACCTGAGGTCAAGAGTTCGAGACCAGCCTGGACAACATGGTGAAACCCCATCTCTACTAAAAATACAAAAAAAAAAAAAAAAAAAAAAATAGCCAGGCGTAGCAGCAGGTGCCTGTAATCCCAGCTACTCGGGAGGCTGAGGCTGGAGAATCGCTTGAGCCTGAGAGGTGGAGGTTGCCATGAGCCGAGAATGTGCCATTGCACTCCAGCCTGGGCAACAAGAGTGAAACTCCATCTAAAAAAAAAAAAAAAAGGAGAAAGAAAAAGAGAAAAGGAAAAGATGTATAGTTTAGAAAGATGTCTATCCAGTGGTGTGAAGAATGAAATAGAAATGAACAGAATCAGGAATAGCAGGTTAGGAAACTATTAATGCTATATTTCAACTAAAAGAAAATGAGATATTGAACTGAGAAAATGGCAGCAGGGGTAGAGACGAGGGGGTGGATTTGATTATTATTTAGGGTGTAGAATGGACAACACATGAAAAATAATTGAAGTTGAAAATGAGGAGGTGAGGAAGATTTCCTATTATTGTTTCTGGTCTAGTGACTTGGACTGATAGTAATGCCATTTCCTAAGACAGGAGAAGAGGACAAAGAGGAGGTTATGGAAAAATACCTACTTAACTGTATAGTATATGCTATTATGCAAAATAATAAATGTGTATCACAAATAATATGTAATATATCAAGAGTAAATTTTCAACATGTTGGTTAAAGTGGAAAGTCTAATTTCTTAAATCACAAGTTGTCCAAAAGGAACTCTTTGTTGATATTGTTTCTGTTAATAAAAAGGATTCAATTGGGAATCTTTAAACTTTATTTTAGTAAGTGTCATGCCTTTAATGAGTAAGGTTAGAGTATGTGCGGAAAAACAATGCCTAAAAGAGAAGCTTGGCTGCATGGAAGGAAGATAATGTGTGATTAATACAGTAAAACTCTTTGAGGTTGTAAATAAATCCAGTGGCTGGTTTTTGAAGTCATAAATACCTTAAGAGAATCAGATGAAAGCTATAGACCTGCTCTCTTATAAATATTCAGATTTATGTACATAATATTTTGCTTATGATTGTAAGATGGCTATTCATGGACTCCCTTGTATTGCAGGGACCTTAGCTTAATTAAGATCCCTTGGTTTAGAGTTTAGAGTTGAACAAGTTTAGTTGTAGAAAAGTATTATTTTAAAAATCACATATAGATTTAGAGGTATCTTTTTAGTACTAATAGGGAATTTCTCCCTTCCAAGTTAATTCCTAAAGATCAGGGTTTTACAACTCAGCAGGATTGACAGTTGTGCTAAATAATCTTTTATTGGGGTTGAGAAACAGAGACTTGCCTGTGAACTGTAGAATGATCAGTAGCATCGGGTGGCTTCTATGCACTTTGTCAAATTTCTCCTAGAAGTTAAAATTGCCCCCGTTTGAGAGGTCTTACTACAGAGAATAATATTTATACATATAAAACTCCAACATAAGAAATCAAGTTAGGTATTATTTTTCTGAAGAAAAAAATTCATGAGAAAATTTTCTAGAATAGAACTACAAAGTGAGTAAGCAGACAAAGCCATAGTTGAGCTTTCCTGTTTTGGGGGAACAACACAATCTTTTCTCCTGCATCCCTATTCTGTTATATAAGTGAAACTTATCCCTTCTCCATAGGTAGCTAAGAATCGTACAATTAAATCATGAAACCATAGCAGCTGCTTTTTACCTCTTTGCTTTCCTCTTGTTTAGAAAAAGTAATCTCCTCTTTAAGAAATTAAATACTCAACCTTAAGAAACTGAGAAACTGATATTTTCATAGCAACAGGAAATCAACTCAAAAATAAAACATTATAAAAGCTAGTTAGTAATACTACCATTTGCAGTGTGACTTTATAAACACATTAACTTTATCAAGTTTTGTAAGTGGTAATCTGCAAGCTACGGAATATCAAGTACAAAAATATGTTAATACCCACACATAGAGATGCTTATTAATATTCAATATAAAGGCTGTTTACATCTTTTTGCTATTTCTGCCTTGCTCCACAAAACAATGCATTTAGTCTGCCTTTATCATAATTTATATTTCTTTGTACTTCATATTTTTCAGTAAACTAGACATCTGTGTTTGTTCCCTGTACTCATTTACTTGTCTTCTAATAATATCCCCCATCTTTATTCTAGTGGACATTCCCTCTCCAACTCTTAGCTCACATGATTCTGATAGTCTGGCAGAGAGATAGCCATCTTTCCTTCAAAAAAAACAAAAATAGAACACCTAATTTTTAGTTAAGTAGTTGACCATGTAGAATAAATTCTAACTTGAAGTTAGGTGTGGCTGTGTGACAAAGTCATAAAAGGAAAGAAATGAAAGTATTGAGTGGCAGCTTCTGGAAACCTTTTGAAAAGAAAGCTAGACCCATACCTGTGGCCAACAATTTTCTTCCATTCCTCCTACTACTGACTAGAACATTGATTTGATAGCTGTAGCTCTGGCTGCCATTTTAAACAGTTAGTATGAACTTACTATGTCAGGAATGGCCAAGAGAAACATTCAAAACAAACTCAGTCCTTATGGACTTTGCAGACCAGAGCTGCCATATGAGCCCTCATCTGCCTCAAGGCTTCTTTGTAAGAAATACACTTGTACCTTATTGTTTTCAAGTCACTGTGATTTGGGGACTCTTATTCATGTGGGAACCTAATCTTAACTGATACTAATAAAAATTTTAACTGACACTGGGTAAGAGTCTTAACGGATACTAGTAAGAATCCATTCTCAAGTCAGGTTGGAGTCTGTGATCTAAGTCAAAGCCACACACAGATTACATTCCTTTGTTTCAGAAGTAGACACATGCTATAGCAATATCTATATAATATAGTATACTTACAGTACCTCAAGACTATTGTTCTTCCAGAAAAATTTGGGTGAAAGAGGTACAAAGATGATGTGAATCAAAAGTCCAAAATGTCTAGTATATTTTGGCTTAAATGTAAAAATTCGTATGAGCTTCAGATAAAGTAAAATCTTCATGTGAAAACTGTATATGGCTTGAAGGGATGGGACTGAACAGCCTCAGGGTTATGCTATTAAAACAAATATTTAGAGAGCCATGGAAGATGTTTTGTGAGCATCAAAGACTGTAAATGAGATAGTCTGATGTGAACTTAACAAATTCTGGAATTTGTAGAAAACCATGGTATTTGGTGCCTAATTGCATCAAACATTTTGTGACAAAGCGTTATCCATCAAGCTAAATCATCTTATATCCATTCCAGTCAGCCCTTCTAGGTGGTTGACTAGTCTGTGAGAAAGAATAAAGAAGTTAGTAGCTTTTAAAATGTGGCAGAATTTTTTAAAGTACTAATAATGCTAGGAAATATTGAGTTTATTAATAATACATAAGCTTTACATTAACGGTATATCTCAAGTAATTATTACTGATGGCCACAATCACATTCAACCATTATTGAATTATGCATTCTATATGTCAGGTACTATTGTATATACTCCAGATACAGTAGTAAACAAAAGAGATTAAAGATTACAGATGAGATTACATGGTAAAGTAAGCTAAGTCAAAATTCAGGAGGGTTTTGGAGTTTGAGTGAGGAGTAGAAGAGGCAGAAAAACGCTTCTCAGATGAGAAGAAACATCTTAGGATTTTGGAACAGTTAAAAAGGAAGAAAACAGGGCTTGCAATACTGCATGTTTTGAGTTTTGCATATTGCTTAAATTTGAAAAGATTCATTTACTTGTCAAATCTCAGAGATAGGACATGGCAGGTACATGATATTCCTATGCTTGTTTTTTAATGTTAACATATTCTTTAATCTTTGAATTAATACATGATTATTTAAAATCCTTGGAAAATAAGAACAGCTTAAAGAAAGGATATAATATCAATCTGACACTCAGAGGCATCCACTATTATAGCTTTCTTTTATTCCAGTTTTTAAACATTTTTTCTTATTTGATCTAATTTTCAATGCATATTTTTATAACATAAAAATCACTGGAATATAATTATTTAATGGCTACATAATTCATATAATATAAAGTCGTGTTTCTAGTCATTTTTAAAATTAAAGTATATATTTTCATAATATAAAATATACTAACAAATATCTTGGACATAGGATTTCAGCATTTAAGCAGTGCTGAGTTGGTACGGTTCACTGTTAATCCCCTTCAGACTGGAGCACTCTGAGTTGAGAGCTGGTGATTGCTGCTTCCCCTCCCTCATTCACCACTCTTGACATCCAGCCATCTCCTTTGCATAAAAGTTCATTTATGAATAATAAAAATGACTTTATTATGGTTTCACCCTTAGTGTCATATTCCCTGACAAGTTTTGAGATTGAATTAGGTTTCCATAGAGACATCTCTCGATTGTATAGTGGCCTGTCCTAAAGCCCAAATCTCCTCACTCTACTAAAGGGATGATGATGTAAACTGCCAGAATCAAGACATCTGCTTTTGTGTATAGTATGCTGCATCATCTCTTAGGCTATTCTCTGGCTCATACCTGGTCATGGTCAGAACTACTGCAATGTGTTTGGGTTGTTGCTAATGCATGTTGCATCATTTTGAGTATTAGTGCTCATTTTTAAGTAGAAAAATAGCTTTAAAAATTCCTTCTTTTAGCAGTCCATAACCAGAAAGCACATTATTTGCCTATAATCTTTAAAATGTTTAATATATATTTAAAGTATACCTAAAGATGGTTCATGTATTATCAGAAAGGATTTCTGTCCATTGGTTTATTCTTTACTTAGTCAACAAAAATACATCTAACTTACTTAATTTGAACCATGAACAATACAAGGTACCAGAAATGAATAAATGAATGTTATATTATCTTAAAAATTAAAGAATTCTCAAATCCAATAATAAAGATAGACATTCAAATAAATAGAAAAGATGCAAGGTGTGTGTGTGTGTGTGTGTGAGAGAGAGAGAGAGAGAGAGAGAGTGTTCCAATGAGTCAAATACTCACAGAGTTATGGGAATTCAGAAAAGCTAGTAAATGAGTTGTATGTCCTTGCAAAAAGATGATGATATCTCAATTTTGTTATAAAGTATTTGTAAGAATTTACAAAGCAGAGGCAAGTAGGGAGAGCTAGTCAGTGAAAACAGTGTGTGCGATAAAAGTTATGAAAATTGGGTTATTTGTCTACTTGAGTTGTAGGTGCTCCCTATATTTTTTATAAATCAACCCTTTATCAGATACATGATTTGCAAGTATTTTCTCTCATTCTTTAGATTGTCTTTTTATTCTGTTGATTATTCCTTTTGTTTTGCAGAACATTTTTAGTGTGATACAGTCTCACTTGGCTATTTATGTCTTTGTTGCCTCCTTTTCGTATCTTAGTAATAAATCATTGCCAAGATCAATGTCAAAAAGCTTTTCCCTTTATGTTTTTGTCTGGTAGTTTTATAGTTTCAGACCTTATGTTTATGTCTTCAATCTATTTAAAGTTGATTTTTCTGTATAATGTAAGGCAAGGGTCCAGTTGCCTTCTTCTATATGTGGATACCCAGTTTTCCCAACGCCATTTGTGGAAGAGACTAATATCTCCATCATGGATTCAACTGATCGTGTATGAATGGATTTATTTATGGGCTGTCTATTCTGTTCTACTGGCTTATGTGTTTGTCTTTATGTCAGTGCTATAGAGTTTTAATTACCAGGGCCTCATAATACATTTTGAAATCCGGAAGTGGGATGACTCCAACTTTGTTCTTCTCTGTCAAGATTGTGTAGGCTATTTTGGGTCTTTTCTGGTTTCACATGAATTTTAGGATTTTCTTTACTTTATAAAAATGTAACTCAACAATTAACAATAACCCAATTTAAAAATGGGCAAAGGACTTGAAGAGACATTTTTTTCAAAGAAGACATACAAGTGACCAACAGCTGTAAGAAAAGACGCTCAACCTCATTATCAAAGAAATGAAAGTCAAAAGTACAACGAAATATCACCTCACACTTGTTAAGTTGGCTTTTATTAAAAAATCAAAAGAAAACAAGTGTCAGTGAGGATATGACAAAATTAGAACCTTTGTACACTGTTGGCAGGAATGTAAATTGGTACAGTCATTAGAGAAAAGAGTATGAAGTCTCCTCAAAAAATTAAAAACAGGACTACCATATAATCCAGCAATTCCGCTTCTGGGCATATATCCAAATGAATTGAAATCAGTAAGTCAAAAAAAATCTGCATTCCAATGTTCATAGCAGCTTTAGTCGCAATAACCAAGAAGTGGAAACAGCTCAACATCTACTGACAGATTAATGGATAAAGAAAATATGGTACATACATAGAATGAAATATTACTTGACCTTTAAAAAAAGGAAGTTCTGCAATAGAAACAACAGGGAATGGAAAATGAGAAGTTGTTCAGTAGGGTATAAAGTTTCAGTTGTGCTACATAAATAAGTGCTAGAGATCTGATGTACAATATAGTGCCATAGTTAACAATATGATATTATGCCCTTCAAAATTTATTAAGAGGGTAGATCTCATGTTGTGTGTCCTTACCACAAAAAGAGGGAGGGGGAGACACAAGAAAACTTTGGCATGTGTTGTATACGTCTATTGCCATTACTGGTGATGGTATCATAGTGTTTGCATATGTCCACATTTACCAAATTATATACATTAAATATATGCAGTTTTTGTGTATCAAATACCTTAACAAAACTATTAAAAATCAGCTGTGTAGAAGTGTTGTTCCGAGGACTAAAGAAATTTAAAGGTTCAACATTGTCTGATATTAAATAGGTGTATGAACCTCAAAAAAAAAATAAAGGCATGAAGACATGAGGTATCTTAATTTGAGGACACTGAGAAGTATTTTATTATTTTGTAGATCAGGTACATGTTGGCGGATGGGTGGCTGAGTTTGCATATATAAATTTTGGTAAGACTGTCAAAGACTTTGGGTTGTACTCTTAGAGTAATGATCAGGAGATAATGAATGACATCGTTTTAATTAATTTTTTAATTAGCTTCACAGCAATACATAAAAGTATATCCACTGAAGACCACAGCTGTAGGCAATGTCTAAGCGGGGAAAGGAATCAGTCAAACCTATTCTCAGATTATTTTCTTGCTCTTACTCTTAAATTAAATTTGCCAGATATGTGCTCCTTTCAAATATTTTTTGACTTTAATCAAAGTCTTAAGAAATGTAAGCTGCAGCAACTCTGACTGCAACCATTTATTTTTTTTCAAAATAATTCTGCAAACCTTTGTTTTTCTCTTTGTAATTTCCTTCTTATAAAACCTCAGGTGAATACGATGAGTAAAGTGTATTATTCTCCCCATACTTATTGAGTATTAATTCAGGATTCGGAGTTCCTGAAGGTAGGTATTCACACCAGCTTCTATAATCAATTAGAGACAAAGTCGGAAAGTCAATAAATTCTATATATATATTTTTTTACCAAATAACTGATAATTTTCAAGGAATGAAGGTAAAAAAATCATTGCTTAAAATACTATAGAGACATCTCAAAATAAGGAAAATATGAGGGATTAAAATGAATAATTTATATTGAGAAAATAACGAATAAATTACAATAGCTAGCACTGTTTCTTTAAAAAATATTCTAGAATTATATTGTGTGGTGCATTTTATAAAGACCTATCTACAATCACTGAAAACAAGAATAAGGGAAAATTAAGATTTGTTTTTGAAAATTAAAATATGTATTAAGGTTGAGTGGAAACTACATATTGTATTATTTCATTTATGTGATATGACCAAATGAGGCAAATTGCTAAAGATAATTACTGGTTGATTTGGGCTGGGAGTAGGTGGATGAGAATTAACTTTCAATGAGGTTTCTTTCTGGGGTGATAACACTATTTTAAAATTAGATTGTGGTGATGGTTGCATAATTCTGTAAATATACTGAGAAACACTGTACCCTTTTAAGTGGTGACTTTTATAAAAACACTTTTATTGTGATATAATTGATATATCATAAAAGTGGAGTAGCAAGAGCTCAGTCACTCTAAGTTGTGAATTTTTTTAATGCAAAAGTTGTATTTGGAAGGGGTATTGGAATTGGGATGAGATATAGTGAGAACCTTGTTTCAGTGAAGTCTTATATTCAAGATTGCCATATCTGCTATAGCTTTTTCATTTGCCTTTCTTTAAATAGTGCCTTTTTAATAGGCAATTTCTTCCTGTGACATCATGTTTGTTGGACTGTTTTCAACTTCCCTTTGTGATTTGGCTGTTGTGAAATAGTACTTCCAAACTTTATGCAATCAAAGTAATTTCTGTATTCTCAGGGAGGTGAGATTACTGAATTTAGGACTCAGATGACAAAAAATCTTTGACTCTTCAAATTGGAGTGAAGGAGAACAGCTAATGCTGCATTTGTAACCCTTCACTTATGTCTTTCCTGACATCACTTTGCCCCAGTCATGACATTTGCTCATATTGGTGATTGTAAAGAGCCATGCTTGAAAGGATTGTGAAATACAGTATTTTATTGGAGAGTATAATTAGCATAGAACTTTGTGAAGGTTTGCCTTTGATTTGGGCATGACAAAACATATTGCCTACTTCTATGGTGCCCTGAGGCATCACTAAGTCAACCAATGTCCTAAAATCCTGCAATCTGGACTGAGATGTTTTGTCTTTGTAATAACAAGACATTATTAACAGCTCTTAAAGATGAGAGCAGCCTAACACAAATGCGAATGTTAACTTTTAACCCTTTAAAATTATTTGCTGTTAATTCTTGCTGTGTTCACATCAAAATGTTGTTATCCAGTTGTGACCATCTGTTCCCAAAATTTAAGCAAATGTAAGTGGAGTAACTTAAAGAATGGATACATAAACATTCTTGTTTTATTAGTGTTTTTACATCAGATTTTAAAACATTTTCTCTTAGTATTCCAATTTCTGAAATAAAAAATCACTAATATTTGTCTTCATTCAGTCACCACTGAGGAGGAGATAAAACAGGTACTTTGAAATAAGTTTAAATCAAATATTCTACCTGCCAGAATTGACAATTAACCAGGATTATACTAACCCCATTTTTTTCATTTACTGGCATTAATAGAAGGGGCACCATTTGGGGAATTGTCAATTTGTAGCAATATGTCCAAAGGTCATTAATTTTTATCAAATGTTTATAATCATCTATTGTATACCCAACTCTATAATTAGCTGCTTATAGCCTTGTGGAAAAATAACGGTCTTGTGCTATATTGAGGATTACAGTTACTAGAAAATCAGTGCAATGGAAAATCAGAGTGAGCTGATTCACTTAAGAGGGAATTAAGCTGATTAATTAAAAGTGGGTAGAAATAAAAGTCACCACTTTGATAATGAAAACATAACCCACAAAGAAAGATGTTTGCAATGTATATATGACACAATTGACTAGTACTGAGTGTGTCAAAACTATGTGCATCAATGAAAAAAAGATATAATAGAAAAGTAATAAAATAGTTGAATAGAGGGTTCACATTGGATGAAATCCAAATGGCCAATAGATGTGTTTTCTTAATGCTTAACTTTATTAAGAAAAAGAAAAATGAAAATTAAAACCACAACATGATACCACTACATACTCTAGAATAGATAAAACAAAAGCAGGCAATGACTAGTTTTGGGAAGGAGGCAGTGCAACCAGAACCCTGGAATGCTGCTGGTGTCAGGTGTAAATTTGCATTAATACTTCGGAAAGCTATTTGAAGTATGTACTTAAGCTAAAAATACAGACACAAAACTCACGGATTCCATTTTTTGTGTATAATACCTAGATAGATAGCTTTACCAAAGTACAGGTACTAAAATATTTACAGCATTACTGTTTATAATAGCCCTAAACTGCAAAGGCCACTTATTAACTATACCTATAAACACTGGAATGGATAAATAAATTGTGGTATGTTTCCATAACAGTAGTATACAGCAGTGAGAATAACCATCAAAATCCACACGCAACAACATGGTGAAGATTGTAAACACAGGATCACTCAAAATAAGTTAGTTATAAAAGGCTATGAACTTACCTCTCCATGTATAAAACAGACAAAACTAAACAGTGGGATTAGAAATCAGGAAAGAAATTATCTTGAGTGTGAGAAATAGTGACTAAAAGGCATATGGGGGCTTTGGAAATGTTGGTAATAATCTATTTCTGGATATCAATGCTAGTTACATACTATGTTTAGTTTGAGAAAATTCATTGAGTTGTAAACTGATGATAGGTGGACATTAATGTATACATATTGCAATTCAATAAAGGTTTTTAAAAATGGATAAAAGAGGTTTAGAAAAAGAAAAGAAGGTAAAGAGGTTAATTTTTGTATTAAAGAATACTTTTTACAGCCAAATATTTTCAGGAAAAAATGTTCTTTTAAATGAAAGGCAGAACTTTGAAAACTCTAAAAACTACCCCAGAGTTGGATGTTTTTCACAGTTTATGTGATGCAATCTGCTTAAGCTGATTTATTCTAAACAGCTTTTCACCACTGTCACAGTCCAAAATCAACAACTGTTATTTATACACGTAAGAGACTTCCAAGGGACATTTGAATCATCAAAAACAGACTAAGATACATTCAACTTCTTTTAAGTCTATTTGGTTACACTGTCTCTCTTTAAACATCATTAGAGGCACATGCGATATGTAAGGGAAAATATTTCACAGATTATTTTCTGGTCATGCAATTGTTCATGACCCATTATTTATATTTTAAAGACCTTTTATTTCATTTTAGAACCATATAATTTTGTTCTCTTTTATGGTGTTATAAGTAGAACATACATATTTGAAATCAAAATAAATATGTCAGGTTTCAAAAGACAGAGGATATCATTCAAACATCTTGGGAAAGGGTGAAGAATAAAGCACTCAGGAGGTAGGCTCTTCAGTCTTTTGCAGTCATGGTTATTCCTCAAAAAGGAGAAATGATCAACACAGGCATCCTAGGAAATGATGCAAATTTGGGGGGAGGTTTTACATTGTTGTATGATGAGAAAGGTTAATGAATTTAAATTTCAAAGTAGAACCATAAATGCCAGTGGGTGGCAGAAAGTGCTAATTATTAATTATCTAATTTTCTTGATGTTAATACGAAATGAAATACCTTTGACAGGTAATTGAGGATGACCTCTACAAGTAATAAGGTGCTTAATTAAGAACTTCTAAATGCATTATATACACTTCTTTGACTTCTTTGCATTCTTCAGTTGTCAACACTAAAATAAAATTTAATCTTTTCCTTGATTAATCAAGGATTTAAAAATCTTCATCGTATGTTATCCATAGTTAATAGGCCACCTCGCCAACTAGTTTTGAAAAGCCTGACACCAAAATCAGAAAAGGACAGGAACACACAGCGATAAAACTACAGGCCTATATCTAGAATATAGACACAAAAAATCTTCAACAAAATACTAGCAAAGTAAACCCAAGAGCACATTAAAAAAAAATTAAATAATGATCAAGTGGGATTTATCCAGGGATGCAAGGCTGGTATAACATAGACAAATTGATAAATGTGACATATTACATCAAGAGACTGAAAAGATGAAAACATATGATAATCTCAATACATGCAGAAAACGCATTTGGTAAAATTCAATATGATTTCATGATAAAAACTTTCAACAAACTAGGCATAGAAGGAACATACTTCAACATAATAAAGGCCATGTATGATACACCCACAGAAAACACCACACTGAAAAGGGAAAGCTGAAAGCTTTTCCTCTAAGAACTAAAACAAGACAAATATGTCTTCTTTCACCACTACTACTCAACATAGTAATGGAAGTCCCAGCCAGAGCAATCAGACAAGAGAAAGAAATAAAAGTTCTCTAAACTTATAAACGTGAAGCCAAACTGACCCTCTTTACATTTAGAGGATCCTCTTACATTTAGACGATCCTACAGATTCCACCAAAAATCTCTGAGACCTGATAAGCAAATTCAGTAAAGTCTCAGGATACAAAATCAATATAAACAATCAGTAGCATATCTGTATATTAATAATAAACTAGCTGAAAAAGAAACGAAGAACCCAATTCTATTTATAATAGTTACAAAAATAAATAAATAAAACACCTAGGAATAAATTTAACCAAGAAAGTGAAACACCTCTACAAGTAAACTTACAAAAAACTGATGAAAGAAATTGAAGAAGACATGAACAAAGAGAAAGAAATCCCATGCTCATGGATTGGAAGAATTAATATTGTTAAAACGACCATACTATTCAAAGCAATCTAAAGATTAAGTATAATTTTTATCAAAATACCAACATTATTTTTCATAGAAATAAAACAATTCTAAAATTAATATGGAACCAAAAGAAAGCTCAAACAGTCAAAGCAATCCTGAGCAAAAAGGACAAAACTGTAAGTATCACATTACCTTACCTTGGAAAATATGTCCAAGGTTATAGTAATAAAAACATTATTGCAGGCCAGGCGTGGTGGCTCACACCTATAAGCCCAGCACTTTGGGAGTCCAAGGCAGGCTGATCACTTGAGGTCAGCCTGGCCAACATGGCGAAACCTCATCTCTACTAAAAATACAAAAAAAAGAGCCAGACGTGGTGGATTATGCACCTGTAATCCCACTTACTTGGGAGGCTGAGGCAGAATTGCTTGAACCGGGGAGGCAGAGGTTGCAGTGAGCCGATATCATGCCACTGAACTCCAGCCTGGGTGACAGAGTGAGACACTGCCTCAAAAAAAAAAATTGCTATTAAAATGGACACATAGACAAAAGGAACAGAATAAACAATCCAGAAACAAATCCACATATTTACAGCCAACTGATTTTTGTAAAAGGTGCCGAGTATGCCACAGACACATATTGGGGAAAGTACATTATCTTTAGTACATGAGGCTGGGAAAACTGGATATTCATATGCAGAAAAATGACACTAGACCCATCTTACCACACACAAAAATCAACTCAAAGTGAATGAAAGACTTAAACCTAAGATCTCAAGTTACAATGTTAGTAGAAGAAAACAGAAAAATAACGACATTCGTATTGGCAAAAATATTATGGCTAAGACCTCAAAAGCACAGATAACAAAAACAGAAATAGACTAATGAAAGTATTTTAAATTAAATGCCTCTGCACAACAAAGGAAACAGTCAACAAAGAGACAACCTGTTGAGTGGGAGAAAATACTTGCAAAGTATTCATCTGACAAGGAACAATATCTAGAACACACAAGGTACTCAAGCAATTCAACCAGGAGAAAACAATGCCCTTAAAAAGTGGGCAAAGAACCTGTATAGACATTTCTCAAAAGGAGACATACAAATGGCCAAGATTGCTTGAGCCCAGGAGAGCGGCCTGAGCAACATAGGGAGATTTCATTTCTAAAAAACAAAACAAAACAAAAAACAACATTAGTCAACATATTTAATCATCAGGGAAATGCAAAAATGCAAATCAAAACTACAACAATCACAATAATATATTATCTTACCCTACTTAGAAAAGGTGTTGTCAAAAATAGATGCTGGCAAGGATGCAGAGAAAAAAGAACTCTTACATACTACTGTTAGGAATGTAAATTAATACAATTATTATGAAAAACAGTATGGAGATTTCTTTAAAAACTAAAAATAGAACTACCATGAAAATTTGCATCTCCACTGCTGGATATTTATCCAAGGAAAGGAAATTAACATATCAAAGTGATACTTGCCCTCCACCATGCTTATTAAAACACTATAGCAGTAGCCAAAGATACATGCAATCAGCCTAACTGTCCATCAACGAATGAATGAAAAGAAAATGTGGTATGTATAAACAGTGGAATAATAGCCATAAAAAAGACTGAAATTCTGTCACTTTCAGTAACATGCATGAAAACTGGAAGTCATTATGTAAAATTAGCCAAGCACAGTAAGATGAACATTGCATATTTTCGCTCATATATGGGAGGTAAAAATGTTGATCTCATGGAGGTAGAGAATAGAATGATAATTATCAAAGGCTGGGAAAGGTATGTTTTTGGGGGGAGGTAAATGAAGAGAGGTTGGTAAATGGGTACAAACATACAGTTAGACAGAACGAATAAATTCCAATGTTCAATAGCAGAGTAGGGTGAGTATTGTTAACAACAATATATTGTGTATTTTAAAATAGCTAGAAGAGAGGATTTGAAATGTTCCCAACACATAGAAATGATAATGTATATCTTTAATACCCTGTCTTGATCATTACACATTCTAGGCATATAACAAAATATTACATGTACCACATTAGTATGTACAAATATTATGTACTGATAAAAAAAGATAAATCTAAACAAAATATACCTTGATTTTAAAATAAACTTTTGATTTATGTATAATTTTGCAACCTCTAACTAGTAGATCTAAACACTTATGCATGATTGCTAATACCACGAACAAAAGAGAATCGGGCATTTCCGTTATGTTCCTCTTTATAGATATAGTCTTTGAGATATAGTCTAGGGGTAGTTTTGCCAAGGGGAAAAAAAATCAAATCCTTATCTGGGCAAGATTCTACCTCCAAACACCATTAACAAAAAATGATCCTGTTATAAACTACACCTTGGGGATGTAATCAGCAAAGTTCAGGCCATGAGAAATGTATGAGTTAAACAATCCAGTTTCCTCAAAAAATAAACTAGAAGAAATACAGAAGATATGGAGGGAACCATGCATAGAGATTAATTAAAATAGGCTTAAAATACATATGAAGCAATAGATACAGGAGGGCCTTGAGTCTTGATTTTTAATATAAAATAATGTATAATAAAATAATAAATTTTATATGTATAAGACAATTAGAAATGTTAACACTTAATATTTTATCCCATTAAGAAATTATCATTAATTTCTTTAGAAAATGTGACCTGGTTTGGTCTCCCTCCAAAACAGATTCTGAAACAAGAACTGTAGGACAAGCAACTTGTTTGGGAGGTAATCTCAGGATACAAATAGAGAAGTGAGGAAGCAAGGCAAGGAAAGGAAGGGATTCCATACAAGATGCACTATCCATCAGGTTTTCATTGTGCTACCGGAGCTCAATCCTGCTGTAATGTATATCAAACTTCAGAGGTATTTTAACTGAGGGAGGCAAGCTGGGGAATTTATCCACTAAATTCCTATTTGATATTGGTCGAAGGTTGCTCCCTGGGGCCTTAACTCTCCAGCCCTTGCAGCTTATTCTACACAAAGGTCTAATGTGATCCTGTGGTCAGGAAAAATGAAAGTATTTATTAGGTAAAGTCTCAGGTAATTAAGCAACATGCTTTGGCTTTAGAGGTAAATGCTAAGGGGATATGAAAGAAGCACCAGGCTCAGTCCTGTAGTACCTTAAAGATGTAGTGGTGATGGTGAATAAAACAAGGGGTTTCTTGTTTTAGATATAACTACCAAAATTTTATAAATAAAATATGATACCTGGAATATGCTTTAAACTAATATGAGGGGGAGGGAGAAGATGCAAGTATAGATGAGACAGGTTTGGTCAGTAGTTAAAAATGGCTTAAGAGGGTATGGGTATATTGTATAATTCTATTTTCATATATATTTGAAACATTATTTCTATATGTCACCATATTTATATAAATTAATTTAAACATGAATTCTTACTGATATGCCCAACTTTTATCCATTACAACATGGCTCATTCTACCATCCTCCTCTTACTAATCTGTACATTTACTGCAACAGTGAGAAATATGGCTCCAATCATCCACCATTCATTTGCTTAATTATTCAATTCAATTATACATGTGTAGTAATATCAAAATTAACTTACACCCTGTTAAGAAACAACTTTATCAACAAGTACGCATATTTAGGTCTTTTTGCTTTTAGACTTAGAGACTCTAGTCCTATACAAAATGACTTAGATTAGCACCTTTTACACACACCCCCTTCAGAGAGCAATATTATTTCATACATTGTTATTAGAGTTAGGTTCTGTTGTCATATTATGCATTCCTTTTGGGATCCCCCAACCTTCTAAATGATTTTCAAGAAACAACTTTAACAACAAGTGTATTTATGCAGTTCTTTTTGTCTTTAGACTTCAAGACTCTAAATCCTATCCAAAATTACTTAGGTCAGCACCTTTTACACACACCCACTTCAAAGAGATTGTTTCATATTTAATTTAGATTCTGTTATTATGAATTCCTTTGTGATCTCCAAAACTTTTAACTGATTTTTTAATTTGTATACACTAAGGTTCACTCTTTGTACTATAAAGTTTTATGAGTTTTGACAAATACATAATGTTACAAGTCCACCATTACAATATCATAAAATTTAATTACTCTTTCTAAAGACAAAATCTTGTGCTTCATATATTCAACCCTCTATGCCTCCTCCTGAGCCCATGGAAGCCACTTATATTTTTACTGTATCTATATTTTCTGCTTTTTCATATAATGTTATATAATTAGAATCATATAGTATATAGTCTTTTTTAGACTTAAGAGTTCTTTATATGTTTTGGATACAAATCTCTATAAGATAAATGTTTTGGTAAGATTTTAATATAGCACTAAAATTATTGGGGTGATATGAATTGTAATGTATATCATAAGGGAAATTTTAAGAAATAATGGTATAGGCTGGGTGTGGTGGCTCACGCCTGTAATCCCAGCACTTTGGGAGGCCGAAGCGGGCAGATCATGAGGTCAGGAGATCAATACCATCCTGGCTAACACGGTGAAACCCTGTCTCTACTAAAAATACAAAAAATTAGCCAGGCATGGTGGCGGGTGCCTGTAGTCCCAGCTACTTGGGAGGCTGAGGCAGGAGGATGGTGTGAACCTGGGAGGCAGAGCTTGCAGTGAGCTGAGATTGTGCCACTGCACTCCAGCCTGGGTGACAGAAGCAAGACTCCGTCTCAAAAAAAAAAAAAAAAAAAGAAATTATGGTACAAAAATCAATGTACAACTCTTCAATAACTGCAATTTCTATTTGTATCAGCAAGAATGTTCAAAAGGAAATATGCTCAAAATAAAAAATATGACAAAGTTATATAACTGATAGACAAATATATTTTTTAGACTAATGTATTAGTTTGTTTTCATAGTACTATAAAGAAATACCTGAGACTGGGTAATTTATAAACAAAGGAGGTTTATTGACTCACAGTTCTGCATGGCTGGGGAGGTCTCAGGACAGTTACACCAACAGGAGGCCAAGGGGAAGCAAGGCACGTCTTACATGGCAGCAGGAGAGAGAGAGTGCAGGAGAAACTGCCACTTTTAAACCATCAGATCTTGTGAGAACTCCCTCACTGTCATAAGAACAGCATGGAGAAAACTTCCTCCATAATCCAGTCACCTCCTAGCAGATCCCCCCTTCAATATGCGGGGATTACAATTCTACATGAGATTTGGGTGGGGACACAAAGCGAAACCATATTAACTAAGTAAAAACAAAGCTTTCATTTTTCTCATGCTCTACAACAGAATGAAAATAACTTTCCAATTTCTTGAAGAGATCATATATAAAAGCTGATAACATCTAAATGAAATTCAAGAGCTGATGCATATGGGGCCTATGATACAGAGCCCAGCAACAATAAGTCTTGAGAAGTATTTGCTATTATTACTTTCACTTATTATGAAAATCAGTACTCATCTAAAAATACTACATTTGAGAATACAAAAAATTTGCGTAACATATTTCATAATAAATATAAACTATTTCCATTATTTTTGCATCAAATTTGATTCCAAATAAGTTACTGACCTAAATGCATAATTACAAATACCTACAGTGAAAAAATAGTTAATAATGTTAATAAAGTTTTAACAATAAAGTTACAAGAATAATAGAGTAACATGTTAATGAAGTCTTGACAATAAAATTACAAAAGTAGCCATATTAAAAATAGTTTTACATTCTAAATTTACATGTAATTACTCACTCCTTATTTATCTCATAAATCATAGGTTAATGATAATTTTTTACTCCAATGCATTTGTCAAAATCTTCATAGAATGGTTATGAATATGAAAACTATAGTTCCATTTTTCTATTTAAATCGAGGCTAGCAATATCACCTTCATTTTGAGTATATCAGTCACTACAATTTCTCAAAATAAAAGCAGTAAGAGATTTATATTTGCCATTAGTTACACATCGCCAATTCACCAAACCTATGATCTCAATTCATCTGGTATTATCTATAATTATTACTTTATTATTTAAAATTAAATGAAGAATATCATGATTCTGTGTTTAGAAATATTTGTGTCAAGGAGTATTTATAATCATATAATAACGACAAAATAAATTTAAATTATTTTCTTGATTTCAAACACCACATTATTTTTCTTTTACTATATAGCAAAAGAAAAAGAAAGCCAGTAGATCAAATTTTCACCCAGAAAACACTGCTGAAAGAACTCACAGATGAGACAAATGGAGAAACATTCCATACTCATGGAATGGAAGAATCACTATCATTAAAATGGCCATAATGCCCAAAGCAATCTACAGAGTCAACGCGATTACTGTCAAACTACCAATGTTATTATTCACAGAACTAGAAAAACTATCCAAAAATTCATATGGAACCAAAAAAGAACCTGCATAGCCAAAGAAATTCTATACCAAAAGAACGAAGCCAGAGGCATCATGTTACCCAACTTCAAACTGTACTATAAGGCTACAGTAACCAAAACATCATGGTAGTGGTACAAAAGCAGACAAATAGACCAAGAAGAGAATAAAGAACCCAAAAATAAGGCCACAAACCCACAGCCATCTGATCTTCAACAAAGTTAACAAAAATAAGCAATAAAGAAAGTACTCCCTGTTCAATAAATTGTGCTGGTATAGCTGGATGTCCATAGGCAGAAGAATAAAACTGGACCCCCTACCTACGTGTCCCCATATACAAAAACTAAATTAACTAAATTAACTAAAGAAGGATTAAATAATTAAATGTAACACCTTAAACTATAAACTTTAGGTTTCCCCAAGAAAACCTAAAGAATACCATTCTGGATATTGTCCTTGGGAAAGAATTTATACTAAGTTCTAAAAAGCAACTGCAACAAAAACAAAAATTGACAAGTAGGACCTAATTAAACTAAAGAGCTTCTGCACAGCAAAAGAAACTATCAATGCAGTCAACACACAACCTATACAGAATGGGAGAAAATATTTGGAAACTATGAACCCAACAAAGGTCTAATATAAAAAGTTCTATTCATAAGGAACTTAAACAATTAAGCAAAAGTCAATCCCATTTAAAAAAATGGGCAAAAGACATGAACAGACACTTCTCAAAAGACATACAGGCAACCAATAAACATGAAAAAAAATGCTCCACATTACTAATTATCAGAGAAATGCAAATCCAAAACATAGTGAGATACCATCTCATACCAGTCAGAATGGCTATTAAAAAGTCAACAAATGGCCGATGCTGGTGAGGCCGCAGAGAAAAGGAAATGCTTACATACTTCTGGTAGAAATGTAAATTTGTTCAACCACTTTGGAAGGCAGTTTGGAGGTCTGGAGGAAGGGAACCTAAGGCCAATTCACACCAACTTCCTACAACTAAATCAAAAGGAAAATTCCAACTTCCCATGCTCAAGTAACAAAAGGATCAGAGGGTACTCCCTTTGCAAGCCCCTCCCCACTTCTGTGCAGATGAAAAATGGAAAGTACCTCTGATTGGTCCCCTACTGCAAACAATCAGACTGGTTGCAGGCCAAGTCTTCATGTGTAACTTTGTAACTTCACTTCATTCTCTGATTGGTTCCCTCAGGCAACCAATCAGACATTTACATAAAGTGTAACTTTGTAACTTCATTTCAGCCTCTGACTGGTCACCTTCCACAACCAATCAGACTAGTTGCAGGTCATTCCTTCATTTACATAGGGTGTAAACTAAGTAACCAATGGGAAACCACTAGAGGGTATTTAAACCCCAGAAAATTCTGTAACCAGAGCTTGAGCCACTTGCTTGAGCCCCCTCCCACTCTGGAGTACACTTTTCTTTCAGTAAATCTGTGCTTTCATTGCTTTATTCTTTTGTTGCTTTTTTGTGCATTTTCTCCGATTCTTTGTTTAAAACAACAAGAACCTGGACTACTCATAGTCAAGAGTCACCACCAGTAACACTATTACTGGGTATGTATCCAAAAGAAATAAATAATTCTACCAGAAAGGCATGTGTACTCATAGTTCATCACAGCATTATTCACAATAACAAAAGACATAAAATCAACCTAGGTGGTCCTCGACAGTGGACTGGATAAAGAAAATATGGTACATATACACCACAGAATACTATGCAGCCATAAAAATGGATGAAATCATATTATTTGCAGTAACATGGACACAGCTAGAGATCATTATCCTAAGTGAACTAACACAGGCATAGAAAATCAAATACTGCATGTTCTCACATAATTCGGAGCTAAACAACAGGCACTCATGGACATAAAGATAGCAACAATAGACTCTGGAGACTGATGGGAGGAAGGAATGAAAAAGATAAGGGTTGAAAAACTAGGTATTGGATACTATGCCCAGTACCTGCCTGACAGGGTCAATCATACTTCAAACCACAGCATCTTGCAATATATCCACATAAGAGGCCAAACATGCATCCCTTGAATCTAAAATAAAAGTTGAAATTATTATTTTTTATTTTTTTTAGATTTTTTTTAAATTTTATTATTATTATACTCTAAGTTTTAGGGTACATGTGCACAACGTGCAGGTTTGTTACATATGTATCCATGTGCCATGTTGGTGTGCTGCACCCATTAACTCGTCATTAAGCATTAGGTATATCTCCTAATGTTACCCTCCCCCCTCCCAAAATGACAAAAGAAAGAAGTGAAAAAAACTTAGTCACATAATACAGCTGAAAAATGATCAACCCTAGGTTTCAACACAAGCATTTTCTCCTCTCTGGTTTGTACACTCTATGATATTCTATTCCCAATTTTCTATAGCATTATCAAGTAAAATATTTTCACTCTCCTTATACCTCATGGTTTCTGACTATTGAACTACGAGGTTTTGATCCATATCTTTTGACCTTGCTCTTAATTTTTAATTTACCAATGGTATAGAGTTAGCAATAAAGAAAAGTAAAGATGTTATCAATATCATATTCATCTGCTGAGGAAGACAACTTTTTACAATTTTGCTTATGTTTTAGTTATATCAGGAAGAAAACAATATTTCTAAAAATATTCTGCTTAATATATAATATATAAATACTTTATATATTATATATAAATATATAATAATATATAACGATATATATTATATATAATATATAAAATATAAATATATTATATAATATATATTATATATAATTACATATAATTATATAATATATAATATATAATATACATAATAAAATACATACTATATATTATATAATATATACTATATACTATATATTATATAATATATACTATATACTATATATTATATAATATATAGTATATAGTATAATATATAACATATAATATATATGTTATATATTATATATTTATATACATCATATAACATATATTTATATATAACATATAATATTTATATGTTATATATTATATATTATATATTATATATTTATATATTATTTTATATTTATATTTTTATATTATAATATCTAATTATATATTATATTATATATTATAATATATAATTTATAATATATAATTATATATTATATATTTATATTTATATTTATATATCATATTTATATATTATATATTAAGCGGAATATTTTTAGAAATATTCTATTTTCTTCCTGATATAACTAAAACATAAGCAAAATTGTAAAAAGTTGTCTTCCTCAGCAGATGAATACGATACTGATAAATCTTTACTTTTATATATTATATAATATATATATTATATATGTTATATATTATATTATATAACATATATTATATATAATATATAACATATATTATATATAATATTTATATACATTTATAGAGATTTATAAATATATATTATATATAATATATAAATATATAATATATAAGATATTATATATAATATATAAGTTATATATATTATATATAAATATATAATAAAACTCAAGGGATGTTAGAGTACATATAATTACATAACTGAAGAACTTTTTTATTCAAATTTGAATAATGATATTATATATCTCATATGGCAGTTGTAAGAATTGAACAAGGCAATGTATGTGAAAGAATCTGGCACAGTGATTGGCATATAGTAAGAACTAAAATGTTTCTTATACCTAATTCATCACTATCATCACCATCACCATTGTCACCATTCTCACACTGATCTGAATTCTGAAGCAAGTGTAATTTTAATAAAAAATAAACACACAGATATAGATCACTCACCATTCTTTACTCATCAAGTTTCTAAGACTCCATTATTTAACTAAAAATTTCTAAATTTATTCAAGCAAAACTCATGGCTTCTGACTTGTCTCAACAAATGGGGACATTTCTTTTTGTTCTTGGCTCAGTTACGTACCTGTTCTTCCTCTTACTTGAATGGTAACTTATTATTTGCAGCATGCAAAAGACGTTTTAACCTCCTGTGGTCTTATTTCCAACCCTATTTCTGTGCTGAAATTATACTTTCACAAATGAGTGACTGATTGTCAGATTCAAAGGCCATTTCTTATTCGCTCCGCTCCTGGGCTTCTTTAGACCATTTAATTCATTTGACTTGTATTTTCCTTAAATTTCTTTGGTTTACTTCCCTCCAAATCTACTTTGTACACCAGATTGACCTTTTACAAATGCTCACTCATTGCTCTGCTAACTCCTCTGCTCAAAACCAAAGTCATATCATTCCTCTGCTCACAACAATTAATGTTTCCTCATCTATTCGTGGAAAAATAAAAAATCCTTAGTGTGACATTTGACATCAATAATATTATCCTAATTTATCTTTATATAACTTTTTAATGAAAGAGATGAAAAAGTCTTACATTGTTGTCTGATCTATTTCACCAGCATTTTGCCCATTCTGTACCTGAGAAAATATATTATATACATTATTGAAACTTCAACTTTCATTTTTTCATTTTCCATCTACTGCTTTCCACTGACTAAGCTAAATAACTATCTCGTAATGAGTATTTTCCCTACTTGAGCTAAATTGATTTATAAACCTACGAAGAAATAGAAACTTATAACCAAATATCATTCTTTAAACTTCTGAGCTAGATATAAAAGAAATAATATATTTATGACTTTTTATCCTGTTACACAATCTAGGAATATAGAAGTTAATAATTGTTGGTCTCACATAATGGTATCATTTCACATAGGAAATTTTTAAGGAAAATCTTATTTTCCCTTTTCTTTTGGGTCTCACTAAGTCAGTTTGGTCTAAGCACAAATAAGCCTAATCAGTGCATAGATAAACAGCAAGATGAGAAAATGTCTCTCATGTACAAATGTTAGGCCCCTTACTGTCCCTCCTCACCTTCAAAAAAACAATAAACAGGTTATGAAGCCAGGTTTCTCTGTTATTGTGTATTATTTCCCCGCTTTCCTCAGGCCCGCATTATCTCCACTGTTATCTATTCTGTAACCCATCATGGATGCCAAGGTCTCGTCTGGAATTAATGTATTTATAGCTTATTTCACATGGGTCTTCTCTTGTCTAATGGTCAAAGAAGTTGAAAATATATTTCCCTGGAGTAGGCAGTGATTCATAAAAAATGACCAATTTTCTATTTGGAATTCAGTTTTTTTAGCAAGTCTTCCTATAGTAACAAACTCCTAAATGATGTATAACTGTGTATGACTGTAATAACCAGGACAATGTAATATAATTAATATTAATTTATTTAGAGGTGTTTCAAGAACTACATTAAGATACCACAAGCTTCTTCAGAAAAAGTCAGTTCCTCTTGACAATGAACAATTTTAAAGATAAAGTGGAAATCTTTGAACTATCTAAATAAAGAAGTTACTGGAGTTTAATATCACATAATTCTGAGGAGGCAAACTTAAATGAATATTCCAGAAGTACACTGAAAACATAAATACATAAAGGCCTACCTGTGAGCCTGTGTTAATGGAGAACACTAAAGTACTTCCACCCACCCCCTACAAAGATGTCCTGATAGTGAAATGAGATTAGTATTTCCATATGATTGGTTCATTTTCATCCACCTGTTCTTTCAAAAAATGTTGTCATAAACTTATAAGGTCAGAAAGAAAGCATGTTCATATTTGAAGTAATTCAAATAAAAATATTTTACTTATTATATTTCTTTTGTGGATCCTGAGAGGTAAGTTCTCTGAAAATACACCATTATGAAAAGGAATTTAAACTGTAAAGCTAAAATTAAAAAAAAATGCCCAATATCACTAATCATCAGAGAAATACAAGTCAAAACCACAATGAGATATGGTCTCACTGCAGTTAAAGTGGCTTTTATCACAAAGATCAAAAAATAGGGAGTGCTGGTGAGGAGGCAGAGAAAGAGGAATGCTCTTGATACATGTTGATTGGAATATGCAAATTATTATAGTCACCATGGAAAACAGTATGGAGCTGTCTCAAAAAAACTAAACATAGAATTACCATATAATCCAGCAATACTTTTGCTAGGTGTATCTCCAGAAGAAAATAAATCAGTATGTACACCCATATTTATTGAAGCACTCTTCACAATAGCCAAAATATGAAATTACCTAAGTGCCCATCGATCAATGAATGAATACGGAAAAGTGGTTCATATACAGTGGAATACTACTCAGCCATAAAAATGACATTAATGAACTCTCATCATTTCAGCAAGATGGATGGAACTGGAGGACATTATGTCAGGTGAAAGAAGCAAGTCACAGAAAGACAAATATCACATGATCTCCTTCATATATGGAAGCTAAAAAAATGATCTCATGGAGACAGAGAATAGAATGATGGTTACCAGTGGCTGGAAAATGTGGTAGGGAGTAGGGGATAAATAGGGGTTGGATGAAGGAATAAGTTCTAATGTTTAGCAACACAATACTGTGACCACAGTTAACAATGATTTACTGTGTATTTTAAAATAACTAGAGAAGTGGACTTAGAATATTCCCAACACCATAAAAAATGATAAATGTTTGAAGTGGTGAATATCTCGATTACCCAGATTTGATCATTATACATTGAATTCTTATATCAAAATAACACATGTGCCTCATAAATATGCACATATGTATGTATCCATAATTTTTTTTTTTGAGATGGAGTCTCACTCTGTCACTCAGGGTGGAGTGCAGTGGCGAGATCTCAGCTCACTGCAACCTCCGCCTCCCATGTCCAAGCGATTCTCCTGCCTCAGCCTCCTCAGTAACTGGGATTACAGGTATGCGCCACCACACTGGGCTAATTTTTGTTTTGTTTTTTTTTTAGTAGAGACAGGATTTCACCATGTTGATCAGGCTGGTCTCGAACTCCTGACCTCAGGTGATCCACCTGCCTCGGCCTCCCAAAGTGCTGGGATTACAGGTGTGAGCCACCGCGCCTGACTCTGAAAAACTTTTTAAATAAAATGAAGTGTTATCCAATATGTTGACGGGGTAAAAGTATTGGTTGACTTGAATCTTATGGAGTTTTTAATTGGCTTGTATCATATCAGGATGAATCAATAATTTACCTATTAGGCTCTTATATTAATTTTGAAAAAAATCAAATGACTGAGGCTGAATATATTTTTTCAAGAAGCTCTTTTACCAGTCAGTTAACAGCTTATTTGTTGTAAACTCCCACAAAAATATTACACTCAACTAAACCATACTGCTGAATGTTTTGCTACGTAAAGGTACCCAATTTTTCACAACAAAATAAATGAAAAAATTTTAGAGAATGACTCATGTTGATTCATATGTATTTTTTTCTGGCTTCAAACATATTCTAATCTTCATTATACCATGGGGGTAAGGAGAGGTGGTTAGACAAATAAATTGTTACATGATCTTTTCTAAACAAAGAGTCTCTATAAATCTACAGAAGAAAGTTTGATTTGAAATTCGATATTAGAACATTTCAACATGAAAATACTCTTTGGTTCTTTTGTACCATTCATTTCTCAAGACACAGACTATTCAAACGAGAATATCCATGTGCATATTCCTTTCTGTAAACACTGTTTGTTGCTATTATACAGAATTCTTTCTATTTACTCTTGCTCTTTGAAAATAAAATTTCATAGCTTAACATAAATAACTAGGTTTTGGTATTAATTATTTTGCATTATGGATGAAATCAGTGATAATCTTAGCAGCTCTCAATGCAAAGAGATTGAAAATGCCTATTGAGAATAGCACATAGCATGACAGTCTAAAATAAATACTCTCATTGAACTGAAAATGTGTAACTGACAGTACATTGTTATGAATAGCAACACTTGGAAAACAAAATATTAAAAGACTTACATTTGACTTTTCTATAATAATTTATAACTATTCTATAAACATACTCAAGCTCAGGTAGCAACAACAATTTTGCCCATGGATGGATAAAAAATAATTTATGTGACATAATTATTCAAACTCCTAACATAACAATTTTGTCTTACTTGATATAATTTCAAGTTAAATTTTGTGCTTCTAAAATTTGAATGCTCAATTTAATCCTGCACATTTTTTATGTTATAGAGAACTAAGAATGTTTATGATGATGATATAAAATATATCATAAAATTTTCAAATCATACCTTTATTTTTCTAGTGTTTTCTATGAAAATGAGTTTAACGTTGCTTTAGTTTTAATTTATAGATATATGCATTATATGTTTTCAAAGAAAATTTTCATTACATGTTATCTATAATTAAATCTTACTATTTGACATATGGTAAGGCCTTGACATACTACTGCCACTTGGAGGTGGCATATAAAACAGAAATATCTAGAATTTTTTTCAGCAGGAGTAAAATTGTTTAAAGTGTACAATTATAAAATCAAATGTAAGAAATTGCTAACAACAAAATATCACTCTGATTCCATTTGTATCTTTTCCCTTAAATAAAAGTAAATTTTCATTCTGACGTTTCTAGATTGCTGCACGCTCTCATAGTCCCTGGGTCTTCTCTCCCTTACTGTCTGTCCACAATGAGCCTTCTTTCAGTTCCTTTAATTCTTCATGCATGCTCTTTTCTCCCTCAAGGATTTATGACATCTCATTTATCTATCTGCCTGACATGTTACCTATTAAATGAATGCCATTTCAATCCTCTGAGTTTAGCTCAAATGTCATTTTCTTCTATAAGTTTTCCCAGATTTCAACCTTGGATAATGTCTCCCAAATGTTTCATAAGACCTTGTATTCTTTTCTCATAGACTTATTAAAATTTTAGATTAAATAATTATGTCTTTGATTAATGCCTGTTTTTTTCACTATTCCATATTTTCCACATTGAAAGATACTTTTTTTAAGCTATTAAAGTCCCCAAATATACTACACACATATAAAATGTCAGGTGAATGAATGAATTTATGAAAGAATAAGTTATACATGCAAAAAAATGGTGTAAGGAAAATATGTGATATTTCAGCATTAGTTTGTCAAAAGTAAAGCAAATATGTTTTAGAAGAGAATTACTATTTGTCTGAAAGAGATAGATATTAACAAATCTTGTCTATTTAAAAATCATCAACCTCACTACAGTCTGAACATGTCATGAAACCATGTAATTTAAAAATAGGTGCAAAGAAGCAACTTAGTTTCCTATTTCAGTATTTTGCTCTCTCAAGGCAATATTAATAATCATTATTAAAAATCCCATCTATCCTGGAAATTTAATCATTCAATAATATATTGTCAGAGGGACTCCCAAATAGAGATCTGATAGTGCACGGATCATTCACATTTTTAAATTGTTGGATAATATATAGAGAAATATATGGCAGCAACGATTCGTAAATGACATACTTTCATATAATTATAAAAAGAAGTAATTCTAAAATGTGGGGAATCGATTGCACAAAATGTAGATTTTCTAATTTTTTGGAACTAAGAGTACGCATAATTGTTTTTTTTACATAAAGTCTAGTAATCTAAGGAAAACATAAATTACAAATATCAGGAACTGTTTGACAAACTAAATGACTTTCTTTCTTTCCTTCTTTTTCTCCTTCCTTCCTTCCTTCATCTTTCTCTTCCTTCCTTAAATTGTTTTCTATAAACAGATTAAAAGCCTAGGCTCTAAAAAGCGCCTTATTCTACATGTACCTCTTGCTTTTGACTAAGCAATGCCTGTCACTTTAATATTAGATTATGTATCTGCAGGCATTCATTGTGGGTACAGAATGCCAAGGGTAGCTTTCTTAGTTAACACACAATGTTGCTCCTTTTTCACAGTAATATCTACCACTGGCCATCTTACAACACCTTGAGAATCATTGATATGATTGGTTCTACTGGAGACTGAAGCATTTTCTAAAGGATGAAGCTTTCTACATCAGATGCAATCTAATTGAAAATGCAGCTCACACATTTACGGAAGTTTGGTTAATGGCATTGGTTCTTAGAGGAGTAAAAGTTGGTGTGCTTAATTTACATATCAAATTAACTAAAAAGGTAAAAAATAAAACTTGAATGTATGAAGCATGCCTAGGTAAATTGGCTAGTAGGTCAGTTAATCAACTGTTAAACGTAAATCTCCTCAGCTGTCCCCTTAGCCCCACACATGCAGCCAGTCTCTAAGCATAAATCTGTATGTCCTTTGGGGTCTTGTATGAAAAAATATGTTTGGGGTTTTCAATCACAATTAACTTTGAATGCTTTTTCTTCACAGTAAGTTTCAGGTAAACCTAAAGGTGAACTTTCTCTTCAACAGCGAATAACGAAATGAATCTCTTGGCAACTCTGATGAAGTAAATTACTTCAAATGGAGCTGACTTTAAATTAATATTTTAATTTTTTCACTTAAATTGAAACGAAAGCTTGCTTTTTATTCCTTCGAAGAAAGATGATTTTATCCAATAACTATGTTGGACAATAGTTTAAGTCAAAATAATTTCTCCTGTGACTCCCGATGAAGAGAACATAATTTGTTTTCATTTGTTCTCAAATTGTGGTCCAGTTAAGCCAGTATTCCCTCGCCTCCCTTCCTGAAAATGAGTATTCCTCCTGATTGGTTTTCCGTTACAATGTTTCTCAACTCTGGCTCTACATTAAAGACCTCCAGGAGCTTTTGAAAAAAAAATACCACTGTCAGAGTGGCACCCAGACAAATTGAAAACAAATTTCTGGAGCTAGGACCTGGGCAGCTATTGTTTTTAAAACTTCCCAAGCAATTCTCATACACAGTGAAGGTTGCAGACTACTAATCCAGTGTTTCATGTGAAAGAAATTCGTAAAAGATAAACACTGATAAATTATGGAAAAATATTGACAAAATTGGGAAGGATGTAGTTTTAGTTCCGAGTTGGCTCAAGAAGTCTTACTAAGATACACTTCACTAAAAAAAAAAATCTCTGAGTTCCTCTTGTAACTCCAAATTTCTTACTTTTTTAAAGACTTAAGGGTACATTTCAGAAAATCAATTATAACTTCAGAAGAAAGTTGTTTCCCAAATCAAAATCACACTTAACTGGAACAATAACAGGACTAGGAGCATATCTCATTTCCCTCAGTATCATTAGCTTTATGCCAAATTCAATCACAGTTCTGGTCACCTGGGCCACGGAGATAACATTCAGCAACATGTTTCAGTGTCAATCATTGTATGGAAATGATCCGAAGGAACAAAAATGTAATATAATTAAATAGAAAAAAAAAAGCTTTTAGAAAAAATTGAACAAATCTAAATACAAGCCTCTAAAGATGACAGAATTATGCCAAATCTCAAAATTTCACCGCTTCCAAACTAAAATTATGAATGCAAAGGCTAAAGGCCACACGTGGTGGTTCACACCTGTAATCCCAGCATTTTGGGGGGCAAAGATGGGTGAATCACTTGAGGTCAGGAGATCAAGACAGTTTCACAGCCTGGCTAACATGGTGAAACCCTTGTCTCTGCTAAAAAAAAAAAAAAAAAATTACCCGGGCGTGGTGGCGGGTGCCTGTAATCCCAGCTACTCCAGAGGCTGAGGCAGGAGAATCACTTGAACACGGGAGGAGGAGGTTGTAGTGAGCTGAGATCGCCCCACTGCACTCCAGCCTTGGTGACAGAGTGAGACTCTATCTCAAAAATTAAAAATAAATAAATAAATAAATAATAAAATAAATACAAGGCTAAAACAAAACAAAACAAAACAAAGCAACAAACACAACCCTCCACTAATACACTGGAGGCCATAAAATCAAAATCTGATACCCAGAGAAAGACAGTATTTGTTGTTGTTGTTGTTTTTGTTTTAATATTCCACAAACCCTGAATGCTTCACGCAATTCCTAACAGTCCAATCAGAAGCAGAGGGAGATAAAGGTGATTCTAAGACATCCTGAAAAAATCTGCTAAAAATCCATGGATGGAAAGAGCATAATGAGAAAGAGTGGATGCTGCTTAAAGAGAACAAACTTCCAAAACACCTCAGAAAAAGGAAAATGGTTGATCTTAATGATTTTGGTTTTCTGGATGGGAGTAAAGCAGAGAGAAAAAGCAGAAACATTTCAAACACTCAGAAGCAAGATCCCATGCATAAACAATAATTTCATCAAACAAATATAGAGAAGAATAAAAAAAGAGATTTCTGGGGTAGTAAGAAGCAAAAGAATATGTAAAATATATCTGACCCACTTTGGACTCAGCACAGTGCCCTAAAATCACTTTGACAATCTCATTATCTTCTTATGATTAGGGAGGATTGGGAAAGACTTTTGGGAGAAGCCAGGGTGAAACAGGGTTAAAAACTGCTTCAGCAGCTGCTCTCTGATAAATACCAAGACTCTAAGGTTCTGCACCAAATTCATAGGTGTTCCTTGAAACCTGAAGATCTTCTGGCACGGATTAGGATACACCTTCTCTACAGTGAATTGGGTTAGAGGACATTAAGATACAATTCAAATTTTCCAACTAGTTTTATATCTAGTTTCAGTTGATTCCCACTTTACCCCCCATTGACAATCCCTTTTCCTCAAATACATGCAAACCACACACAGAGGCGAGCTATAGCTTTGAGAAAAGATGACTAAAAGTCAGATAAGGGAAAAGAAAGTATTTATGACAAATATATGCAAAAATAATGATACAAATAGAAAATGTGGACTAAGTTGTCCATGTTATAAGTGAGTCAGGTGAGAAATGTCATGAGCTCTATTTTAAAAGAAAATAATGGATAATTTACATTGAAAATTTTAACAGGAAATATGAATCTAACATATCAATATTGTAACTGCTGGGCCAGTCTTATCTGGCTGTCCTCTATTGATAATAGAATGTCCAGTTATTTTGCAGGCACAGAGCTAGGAGGATGCAAGATATGCAGACAGAGCATATGCAGGAAAGAAAACTTAGACTTCAGGTAACACCCAGAACTAAAGATCTGTCTCCTTCCCCAATCCCCTTCCAACCCTGTGGAACTGAAAGATTGAGACATGGCCTGCGCCAGACAACTGGAACACTTTCAAACGTAAAGGGTCCCTTTTCTAGGAATGTCTGGTGAGAAGACTCCACCCCATGCCTTACTACAGTCTTGTTTGAAGTTCTTCCAACAAAACCTACCCTGCCAGCGCTTTCACATACCAACTTGTCCTCCTTAACTCATAAAACTTGCCCCAGGCCCCAGATTGAAGAGACAAATTTGATCAGTGCCTCCTGTCTGCTTGCTGGTTGAAATCACAATAAAGCCTTCCTTTTTCTCAAAAGCAAGTGCCATAGTATCAGCTTTTATGTACATTGTACAGTGAGTCCATTGCTCAGTAACAGTCTCTTGAAGATAAAGTTATAAAACAACAGAAAGAGATGAAAAGGAAAATTGAAGTATAAGAAGACAAATATAGGACCAATGCTACACTGCTACTGAATTATTACATATATTAGATGCATAAAGGAAAATAATAGGTAAAAATGATTCACTAACAAATAGGAAAAAACAACATATTCAGAATGAAAACAAAGGATAAAATAAAGTGATTAAAGCAAATAAGAAGAAGACTATGAGTATGAAAGTTAGGCAAAGTTTATCAAACCAAGGATAACTGGAGTCCCTGAAAGAGCAAATTCAATTAATAAGATGTAAATGCTTTCAGAGACAGAAGAAAAATTTCCTAAAATACAGCAAAAAGTAAAAGTAACCATGAAAGAGCACAACATTTTCTAGGAGAAACATCTGCTACAAAACTATTAATAATAAAATATATCTCAAGTAATTAAAATTAAAAGATAAAGTTTGCAAAGTTCCTTACCATTGTAAAAACTGTCAGGCTGTCTTCAGACAGTTCACTACAATATTCGAATGCAGAAGACAGAACAATAACTCTGAAATTCTAAGGGAAAGAAAATTTAACCCAACACTATTACACCAACTAAGCAGACATTCACAATGAAAGCTACAGCCCACACCTTCAAACATTTTTTTTTAATCACCTATGAAATATACCAGTGGTGAGACTTTCTTGAAAAAAACAATCAAACAAAAGCTTCTCAAAACTAAATTTTACTAACCAAGATATAAAAGGAACACTGAATTTATTTAAATAAAAGTGAAAATAAAATAACTGGGGAAATGGGATTATAGGAGGTGAATGCCCGAAAATAGACCACATAAAATACATTAGAAGAAAATATTCAGAGAAGAAAAAGGAGAAAAGAGTGTGGGAGTTGGAATAATGACACCAAAGATGTTCAGTTTCTAATCCTGGGAACCTATAAATAGTTACATTACAAGATAATAGGTAGAACAGGAACTTTGCATATGCAATTAAATTAAAGATTTTTAGATGGAAGATTTTCCTGGATTATTCAGTTGTGTTTAGTGTAATCACAGCCTTCTGTCAGATGAAGGGAAAAGCAAGCTGTTATGATGGAAGCACAGGTTGGAGTGGTGCACTGATGGCTGGAAGGGGGCCATGAGCTAAGTTATGTGGGCAACCTCTAGAAGTTGAAAAGGGCAAGAAAATGGATCCTTCTTTAGAGCCCAGAGGGAGCCAGCCCTGCTGACACCTTGACTTTAGTTCCATGAGACTCATTGTGGACTTATGGGGTCCAGAGCTTTTAACAAATAATATATTTATTTATATTGTTTTAAGCCACAGAGTTTGTGGTAATTTGTTAAAGCAGAAAGGAGAAACAAATACAGATAGAAAGAAGTTTAGATGCATTATTTTAAAATTAATCTTTCTTTGAAGAAAGCCAATAGGTATTAAATACATGAATAAATTATGAAACTATGCTTTTAATCTCTTTTGTGAAATTAAAATTAAGAATTTTTTGTTTAAAATTAAAGCAAAAATAAAACTAAAAAATAATTTAAAATTAAAAAATTCAGAGATCAAGGGGTAGCTAATATTAAAAAATACATAATGAAGATACTTATCAAGAATCTGATATGCAATATCAAAAGTTTTGAATGTAAGAGCTGAGAAAAAGAGCATTATAAACTTTCCAAATTTTCTGAGGAAAATTGGCATACCTGCATACACAGACATCTAAACTATAAAAGACAGATGCAAAAAAAAAAAAACCCACAAGTAACAAAACATTGAAAATAGAAGCATTAAAAATAAAGCAGACAACAGAAATTCAAACTAACATGTTCATTACATTAGCAAATGTAAATGAATTTATTTATAGGCTTCAAAACCCATGTATTCTGTAAAAATAATGAAATATTATATATTGTATAAAAGAAATGCAGTTAAAACAGTGATACAAAAAGCTTAATTGTAAATAAATGAAGATGTATCAAACAAATGCTAACAAGAGGAGAGAAAATCATCTTAATAGACACAGAAAATGCTTTTGAAAAAATTTAATAACAAATTATGATTAAAAAGAAAGACACTTGGCAAAAAAACAGAATAGAACTTTCTAAATCTTATAGTATCTATAAAAACCCACAGAGGCCTGGTGCGGTGGCTCATGCCTGCAATCCCAGCACGTTGGGAGGCTGCGGCAGGCGGATTACCTGAGGTCAAGAGCTGGGGACCAGCCTGGCCAACATGGAGAAAACCCGTCTCTACTAAAAATACAAAAATTAGTCGGGCTTGGTGGTGCGTGCCTGTAATCCCAGCTACTCGGAGGCTGAGACAGGGGAATCGCTTGAACCAGGGAGGCGGAGGCTGCAGTGAGCCGTGATCGGGCCAGTGTACTCCATCCTGGGCAACAGAGCGAGATACTGTCAAAAAACAAAACAAAACAAAACACTCCACAGAAAGTATCATACTTAATGATGAAATATTGAATGCTTTTTTCTGAGATGTGGAATAAGACAAAAATGTTTACTATCATCACGGCTATACAACATTGGCCTAAAATGCCAAAACTTTGTAATAACTGAAAAAGAAATAAAAGTTTCAAGAATGAAAAAAGATGAAATAAAACTTTCCTTGTTTATAGATGATAGATATGGTTGCATAAGTAAAAATTATGAAAGAAAGCTGGGTTGAGTAGCAGGTGCCTGCAATCCCAGCTATTCTGGAGGATCTCTTAAGCCTAGGAGTTTGAAACTAGCCTGGGCAACACAGTGAGACTCTGCCTCAATAATAAAATAAATAAATAAATATATGAAGGAATTTACATGTAAATTATTAGAATTAATCAGTGAATTTAGCAAAATCAGCAAATTTAAGGTCCACATGCAAAATTAACTGTACTTCTATATATATAAAAAAATTTTTAATTTAAAATATGCCATTTATGTTTGCAGCATAAAATATCAGATACAGAAGAATATAGCTAAAGAAATATCTTCAAGTGTTCTATATAAAATACTACACAATAATGCAAGAGAAATTAAAGAAAAATTAAATACATTGAGGTATATATTAATAGGAAAATTAATTGTGCTCTTAATTTTTGTTAAAAAGATCTATGATTTTGCT
This sequence comes from Homo sapiens, assembly GCF_000001405.40. Taxonomy (NCBI): domain Eukaryota; kingdom Metazoa; phylum Chordata; class Mammalia; order Primates; family Hominidae; genus Homo; species Homo sapiens. Next base: position 120,740,920 of record NC_000005.10, on the reverse strand, counting down.
ATGAAAGTAAAATGTAAAGTTAAATGATACCTTTTTATGCTATCATACAATAAAAATAACATTTTAAAGTACAGAAAAATAAAAATAAAGCAAAATAAATATAATGCTGCATATTATAAAAATGTAAATTGTCCTTCAGTTAATCTAAATGTTCAAGGTAATCTGTCCCCCTCCCCCAATTCCTATGAACTTTTTTGAGGATTTTGGAAAACTGATTCCAGAATTTATATAGAAATGAGAAGGTTTAAGAATAGCTGAAGATTTAAACTACCATATATTGGCACACTTTGCAGAGCTGTTATAATTAAGACAGTATGGTATTGATATAGTCATACAAAAGTAGGCCAAAGAAACAGAATACAGAGGCAGAAATAGACCCACACATGTATAGTCAGTTGATTTATGACAAAAGTGACAGTACAGTACAGTACTAAAGTGTGGTATTTTCAAATAAAATGTTTAAAAGAGAAATGAACACAAGAAATTTCCAATAGAAAGTCTGTGTGAATTTATTTATAAGTTTCACATGGAAGTAGTCTTTTTTAGCCATAACATAAAATACAAAAGCCATAAAGAAAATGTAGATAAACTTGCCTATATAAATGTTTTATGAATTCCAAACAGAAAACATTTAACTTTAGTGAAGAAATCTGACAGACACCATACAGCTGCATGAAATACCCAGAGAATGGGTCAGTAAGAAGAGAAGAGAAATGAACCAGGGCACCATTTCTGCTTATGTGCAAATAGCATCTCAACAGAAGAAAAGCAAAGACCAAAGCCCCTTAAGTATTCAATGGCATTGCCATTATTTTAGAAGTAATAATCATTGTCCCATTAGTGTGTCATTCATCTAGCTAAGCTAAAACTTCAAACATTGAATAATAGTCCGGGGTCCTAGAGGTTATAATATAACCATTTAAGCATATATTTGCCTTTGCCATAAAACATTTTAGTGGATCAAATCTGCCATTTCCAATTTTATTCATCTATTATATAAATTTTAAAATATGTTTTAGTATTTCAGTAATTTATTTGAAGCTTACTGAAAAATCGCTTCCAGAACTCTACTGCCTTGAACCTGTTAGGAATTGCAGAATTTCTAGAAGGCTAAAAATATGAAACATCCAATGTATATTTAAAGATATTTAAGGCACTACTTCCTTCTTAAATTGATAATTTGTGCTAATGATTTTTTCCTAATGAGAGAAGAAGCAAAGAAACTTCTATAGCCAAAACATTTTTTGAAAGTCTTAGAGAGTGGTGCTATTGTTAGGTTTAAATTTAGGGTTGTTGACGTCCTATGTACAATGTAAAATAAACCAATTTGTTAAAACTATCTAAGTAGATTGTATCACTTGTTAACTCATTTTGGTCCCAATTTTACCTTTCAGTATACTGTTCTAAAAGACTGATTTTTATATGCACAGCTCAGACATGGCAACTGTCTTTGTTTTAAAGACTTGTTCTCATAGTTGAGTTAGACAAAGAAAAGTAACCCATTGCCCTCTTATAACCATGTAAAGGCTTGTGATCTGCAGTTTCAGCCTTGTCTTTTGACAGCAACTCAATATTTAATGATGTGTGTTTAGATACATGCAACTTTGAGAGACCAAATCTATATTCATATTTCAGCATTACAAATTTTTTTATAACAGTATCTAAATATCTCATAATATAGAGACCATCTTTTATATAAGCATCCTATTAAAGGATTGTTCTTGTTACATACTCACTCACAGAAACTTTGGTTTTTCAGCATCTTTCACTAATTTTTTCTGTTAGAGTGGCCTCCCAAAATTATACCTGCCTCATTATTCCACTTGCTACTGCTTATCTCTATTTATTTCAATTTACATTTATGTTCCCTGAAGACATGAGTCATATCTTATTAGTGTTTTTATTCTTTGTTAGTGCCTGAAGAGTGCTAAATGTAGTATGTAAATGATAGTTTTCTATGCAGGAAATATTAATGTCATACAAAAATTCCAGGAAGCAGATCTCCTCTGCAAAATTAGTATTTGATCCAGCCAGTTCCTTTTAGTTCATCTTGGTTTGTCTCATTAGGTGTCCCTGTCTCTCTGCTCACTGCTATTTGCTAAATAGCCTCTTGCAGTATGGAGCTATCTGCTAAAAGCTATGATTACTGACACTCAGCACAAATCAGTCAGTCACTCTCTGATGAAGTCCAATCAAGTCGGTACACAAATGCACCTACCAAGATAATAGGCCAAATTTTGAACTCTGTGCTTAAGAAGAGAAATCTAAGATAAGCTGTGAACCCGTGAACTTTTAAAATGGTTTGGTTTTATATGTTCATAGGTTTTTACTAGTTTAAAAGGGCTTTGTAACACATGCAAAAATCATTCCCTCACTTTCAGCCATAATGATGATGTTATTAAAGTTATTAAATGAACAAAGTGGAAGGGGGTCGTCATGTAAATATTAAAACTTGAAAAGTTAAAAGCAAGTTTCTAATAATTAAGAAAAAATGTGAAATAAAAATATTAAATAAAAAATTTTTTTTTCATTAAGAATATCATATCTAGGTTGGAAACCCCAGATACTAGGCTGGCCAGGTTATTTTCATTTGTATACCCACCCTCCAACTTAATGAAATATTTAACTTTATTCAATAAAATCAAAGAGAAGATTAGCTTACAGCTATACCCACGAGCCCCCATAGATGTATTACTGATAGGAGCAATGCTTTACAAAAGGCTGTCAAATAATTCCATATTCCATATTCTACTGATTAAATATATTATTTCCTATATGGACAGGCTTTTCATCTTTTTTTTCAGAAATGTCTTCTCTTATGATTCTTTATACTACTCTAATACCTAGTTGCTACACTTTTTGCCCAAAAAGGCATTTTCTTAGGCTTTCTTTGTTTCATATATTTCCTGAATTGATCTCCGAAATTTGTCTTCTCTTTCTTTTTAAAGAACAAATTTCTCAACATCAATATTGTGTTAGCATTCTAGGGACAAGTAATAGAATACTAAGAATTGTAAAATGCAAACAAAATAAATAACCTAGCAAAAATGGATACATTATTAGAAATACAACCTATCAAGACTGAATCATTTAGAAATTAAGAAACCTGAACAGAAATATCACCAGTGAGGTGATTGAATCAGCAATCTAAAATATCCAAACAAACCAACAAAACAAACAAAATAATCCCGTACTGGATGGCTTTACTGAAGAATTCTACCAGAAACTGAAAATAGAATTAACACTAATCCTTTTCAAACTCTTCCAAAAAAAAAAAGAAAGAAAGAAAAAACTAAGAGAGGGAGCAGTTCCAACAAGTTCTATGAGATCAGCATTATTCTGAAAAGTCAGGTAAAGCTATTACAAGAAGAGATGTACAAAATACTAGCAAACTAAATTCAACAACACATTAAAAGGATTATACACTATGATCAAATAGTATTTATTCCTGGAATACAAGTATGGCTCACCATATAAAAATCAATCAAGGTAACGCACCACATTAACAGAATAAAGGACAAAACTCACATAATTATCTCAATTGAAGCAAAAAAAAATTGACAAAATTTGACACCCTTTCATAAAAAAAAAAAAAAAAAAAAAAAAAAAAAAACTCAACAAACTAGGAATAGGAGGAATCTACTTCAACCCACTAAAGCCATATATGTAAAAGCCACAGCTAACACCATACTCAATGGCGAAAGACTGAAAGTTTCTCCCAATCAGTCAGGACTAAAGCAAGGATGTCCATTCTTACCACTTTTATTCAGCATAGTACTGGAAGTCTTAGCCAGAGCAGTTAGGCAAAGAAAAAAAGTAAAAGGAATCCAAATTGTAAAGGAAGAAATAAAATCATTTTTCTGCATAAATCGTTTCTCTTCATAAATGACATGACCTTCTGTGTAGAACACTCTAAAGATCTCTCTCACACACACACAAATACATTGTTAGAACTAATAACAGACTTTAGCAAAGTTATAGTATACAAATTCAATACACAAAAATTAGTTGTTTCTGTTCACTGATAATGATCAACACCAAATGGAAATTAGGAAAGCAATACTATTTACAATAGAACACAAAAGGATAAAGTATGAATAAACTGAACTAATGAGACAAAAGACTTATGCACTAAAAACTATAAAACATTGCTGAAGGAAATTAAAGAAGACACACATAAACGGAAAGACATCCAATGTTCATGAGATGATTGAAAGACTTAATATTGTTAAAATACATACTACTCAAAGTGATCTATACATTCAATGTAATCCATCAAAATCCCAATGACAGTTTTTGCAGAAATAGAAAAAAACTCTAAAAATTCATATAAAATCTCCAGGGACCCCAAATAGTCAAAAAAAAAAAAAAAAAAAAAAAAAAGCCTTTACACTTTGGGAGGCCGAGGAGGGCGGGTCACTTGAGGTCAGGAGTTCAAGACCAGCCTGGCCAACATGGTGAAACTCTTTCTGTACTAAAAATACAAAAATTAGCTGGGCATGGTGCTGCATGCCTGTAATTTCAGCTACTCGGGAGGCTGACTCAGGAGAATCACTTGAACCCGGGAGACAGAGGTTGCAGTGAGCCGAGATTGCACCACTGCACTCCAACCTGGGTGACAGACTTTTTCGTATAAAAAAATTAAAAAGAAAAGCAAAGTTAGAGGTCTCACGCTTCCTTCTTTCTAAACACAGTACAAAATTTTAGTCGAGAAAACATTGTGGTACTGGCAAAAAGACAGGCATATATGCCAATGCAGTAGAATCAACAGCCCATAATTAAAACCTTGCGTGTGTGGTCAAATGATCTTTGACAAGGGTGTCAAGCCTATTCAATGAGGAAAGAATAGCCTCCTCAATAATTTCTCCTGAGAAAATTGAGTATCCACATCCAAAAGAAAATAATTGGATCCTTACCTTCCATGGTGTACACAAATTAATTCACAATTGATTTAAAAATATATAAGGCCTAAAACTGGAGAATTCCTAGAAGCAAACATAGGAGAAAAGCTTTATGACATTGTATTTGGCAATGATTTTTGAATAACACAAAAACACAGGCAATGAAAGCAAAAATACACAAGTGGGACTATATCAAATTTAAAAGCTTCTGCATAGCAATAACAGTAAAAAAATCAACCTACAGAATAGGAGGAAATTTTTGTAAATCATATGTCTGATAAGGGATATATAAAGAATATATAAAAATCCAGAATATATCAAGAACTATAACTCAACAATAACAACAACAACAACAAAAATATGAGTAAAAAACTGGGCAAAGGACTTGAATAGTCATTTCTCCAAAGATATGCAAATGGCCAACAAGCATGTGAAAAGATGCTCATGATCACTAATCATTAAAGAAAAGGAAATCAAAACCACATAAGCTCTCACTTATACCTACCAGGATGTCCACTATTTAAAAAATTCCAGAAAATAACAAATATGGGTAAGGATGTAAAGAAACTACACCACTTGTACACTGTTGATAGGATTGTAAAATAATGCAGCCACTGTTGATATATATATATCCCCACTTTTGAATGTATATCCAAAAGTATTGAAAGCAGAATCTTGATAACATTTTTGCATACCCACAGCCTTTGCAGCATTACTCACAATAGCCAAGAGGTGGAAGCAACACACATGTCCGCCTACAGATCAATGGATAAGCAAACTCTGGTATATACATATAATGGGACAGCATTTTGCCTTTAAAAAAGAAGGAAATTCTGTCAAGTGGTACAACATGAATGAACTTTGAGGACCTCTTGCTAAGCGAAATAAGCCAATCACAAAAGACAAATACATATGCTTCCATTTATGTGGTATTTAAGAAAGTTAAATTCATAGAAACAGAAAGTAGCATGGTGTTATCATAAGCTAGGGTAATGATGAAATGGGAACCTGGTATTCAATGGCCATAGTTTCAGCTTCCCAAAATGAAAAAGATTCTGGAGATCTGTTGTGAAACTGAAGTTTGAAAGAAAAATGTGTCTAAATTTTATTCATTCATCCAACAAATACTTGTCAAGCTGAATGTAAACATTGTTTCATTTTTTATGTCCAACAAAGTATTCTTGATTTGTACCGATATTCAATATGCTATCTCAAACTAGTGAAAATCTCTGTAACATTGTTTTAAACTTGGGAAGATAAATATTTCATATTAATAGTAACAGGCACAAAGACAAATAAAAGGACTACAGTTCTACTAGCAGAAATATGCTAGGTGCTGCAATATATACAACTTTGCCTTTTAATAAAGGAATAAAGTCAGAAAAAAATGTAAAAAGCATTTTGTTTTCTAATCAGAGGACATCAACCAATGTTTACTAGGTACTGCTATAAGAATTTTCAAAAAAATAAAATCCCAGCCGGGTTAGCATTCTTACTGTCTTTCATGTTTAGCAACAGCTGCTGCAAAATAAAAACTAAATAACATTTTTTTACTAAGTTCTAGATGTAATGACAATTATCAGGCTCAAGGGCTTTCCTTCCTAGTGAAAAGAACATATTATAAATGAGAAAAACTGTAACGAATAAACATGCACTTACACACACACATACACACACACACAGAGAGAGAGAGAGGAGTGTGAAAAATGTGCCCCAGCCTCCTGCTCCCTCTTCCCTCCTCACTCCTGTTTTTGTTCTTCAGCTACTTCCCCTTATGCGGCTTCTCCCTGGGAAGCCCAGATGGTCACCGGAGCCAATACTCTGGCCAGGCAGGCCCATGCCAGGAGCCCTCCCGCTTCAGGCTCCAAGCAAGAGAGGAATGAACACATGTGCAATGAATCCTAGGGCTTACATCCCCTGTGTGCCACTCCTTTCAGTTGAAGATTACAGATGTAACACATTTAAAAATAAGGGCAAAAAAAAATCAGTCACACAGTTGTATTAATGAATAAGTAGATTTTTTTTTCTGCCTACACAAATGTACACACATCACCGTAAGTAAGGGATAACACAGATTGAAATAAAATAAATGTAACTTTTAAGTATGTTTTAATGCATTGAAAGTATAGTAAAAACATTTTACTTGGTAAAGGGCCCCTTAATCTTTTTTGTTTGTTTTTTCAAACCAAGGGATACATTGTAAACACTCAAAATGAAAGAAAACAATTGATAAAAAATTACAAAAATTTTTAGAAACTATTTTAATCAATTCATTAAAACTGTGGAAAGGCTAGGTAATCAGGCTGGATTCTAAAGGTTCTGTATTAATTACAGTTTGAAAACTCTAGCCGCTTCCCAGTTGCATAACAACAATGTTACTGAGAGAGCGGGGCATAGGTTTAATGCCGTTCATGATTATACAACTTCTTGAGCTACTGAATGAGTAATTTAAATAATTTTCAGCAATACAGGTAGAAATTTTGCACAAATAGGGATTTGGGGACTTATACACTGGGAAATGGGGTCAAAAACCAAATATATATTTTATAATATTACAGTCTACCATCTTTTTTAAACCCAGATTCCTTATAACAAAAGAATACACAATTTGAGATGTTAAAGTGGGAGGATTTCTTGAGGCCAGGAGTTCAAGACCAGCCTGGGCACCATAGTGAGACCCCATCTCTTTAAAAAATTTTAAACTTAATGGGCATGATGGCACACTCCTGTAGTTCCAGCAACTCAGGAGGCTGAGTTGGGAGGATCACTTGAGCTTGAGCCCAGGAGTTCAAGCTGCGGTGAGCTATAATTGAGCCACTGCACTCCAGCCTGGGTGACAGAACAAGACTCTGTCTCAAAAAAGAAAAAACAAATGGATATACAACTCCAAAGATACCACCACATTATTAGAATACTAGAATACTTCAGTCTTATTAATAAATAGTCCACTGCATCATCACATTGTATGTTGGGTGAGGCCACTCAGGTTTGCAGGCTTCCATTCCATTTTGTCAGGTTCCAACAGCAAAAGTTGTCTCAACAAACATATAGCTTTACCCTTTCACGCATCTGGTATAATTGAGCTAACAGACATGTCATCTCTTACTCTGAGCCTCTTGTGAAGTGTTTTTATAATATCTGATTTTCCCTAATTAAAACTCATTTATTCATTCCTTTTTCTTCCATTTATACACAAAATTTTCACCTTTGGAAGGGACATTAGAATCTGCCACTGTACTGGTCTAGATTGCAAACAGAAATACTGGTCTACCAGTACCTCCTCCTTGGTCCACTCCCTTTCACATGGGGTAAGGTTACACAGGTGCTGACCTAGTGGGCCATCTTTACTATCAGGCAGTATATATGCATTCATTCTTAGCTCCAATTTTGCCAGATGGGGTAAAGGCACAACCTATCCCCATCAGGCCCTTGGGAATTTTGGAATGAGTTTTAAAAACATAGTTATAGTTTCTGCTTAGGAATTATATATGCTTCCAACACTTGCAGTTGCAGCCTTGATCCTAGGACCACTGCATCAGGTAGGGAAAAAAATCAAGTGATAGTGGGAAGAAAGAAAAAATAGTATAATCAATATATCAGGGTACTGCTCCCTTGGAAAGAATTATATAGCCGCACCAGCATCCATACCCACTCCCTCGTCTTCAGATCAACCAAAAAAATGGAGGAAAAGTCTAGTGGGGACATTCCTTTACTCCTACTCACGTTAAGCGTGAACATACTCATGAAGATGTGTAAGCCAGCCCTACATGTTGTAATTTTCTCCTCTTTCAGACAACTGATAAATTAATTGTTCATTATAATTCTTACCAAACTATTACTCTGAGGAGGATATCTCTATGTGCACTGCTGAACACTATGAGCTGTACAGTGTGTCTCTTGGTCTAAAGAAATGATGATTGGCCATCCAAATCTGTGCAATGTCTTTTTGGTTTTCCTATAGTACTCTGAGCACTTGCATCTCCTACTAGGAAAGCAAAGCCCAGTCCAGGGTCAGTGACTATTCCTGTCAAGACCCATTTGTAGCCCCCTAGGGCTACCAGCACCAGTCTGTCTTGCCAGCTATGTTCAGGGCCTTTTCACCAGGGAATCTTCTACATAGTTATCACCAGTGTGTCTCTTTGGCTAGTAAACAGAGCACTTTTTATTGGCATTACTGATTATGAACCTGTTCATATTAATTTGATGCAATGTTCTAAATGAGTGAGCATTCAAACAGAATCAGTCCTATTTAATGTATAAGGCACTGTCATTGCCAGCCTTGTTTTGATGTGAAAATTAAGAGTGGATACAACACTTTATGCAATTATATTTTAATGTTCTAGGGCACAAAAAAGAGTCCTACTAAAGGAGCAGATAAATGCCCCTTGCATTTTCTGTCTTTTCTGTCAGTGGTGCAAATCCAATGATGTGCTGGTAAATTTTAACAACTAGCTTTTCAGGGGTGGAAACAAGCCTTCATCTGTAGTTTTTTTATGAGTTCCATGGTGTTAATATTTCCACCATGCCTGATTGCAATTACCAACATAATATCACTGAATGTGGACTTGAGAAAAAGTATATACAATTGGTTTCTATGAGGTGGTACAAGCCAGATCCAGCACACCACTGTGACAACAGCAATCCCCAAATTTTATTGGAATTGAAGCTCCCAATCATTATATGCAAGGCTTCTCCTATAGTTTAAGAGCATGTGAAGAACTATGAAGATTTCTAATTCCCATTCTTGTTCCCTCTATTCCAGAATTACATATTTTAGTTTACTATAGATTTTTGAATACAAATATCTACTGTCCACATATATCTCTATTTTTTCCAGGGAAATATTCTATCAGATTCATGCACAGAACTTGTTAGATTCTGAGATCTGTTGACATATAAAGTATAACTTATACCTCAATTTTCTCACAAATGGGAAACCTAAATGCCATATTTTAAACATGTGATTAAAGGGCTCATATTTAAGACAATCCTGTTCTGGTGTATAATTTATGCTTTAATCATACTCCTCAATATTCATAGATGACCAAACAATTAACTCTAATGACCATATGAACAGTTTTTAGACTAAGTAAAGATAATTGAGTCCAGAGGCAATAAAAAGAGCAAAAGATTCTCAGCTGAGCATTGCGATAATTTAAACATAGATGATGTGGTAGTGCTAGAAAGATCATCTCAGGGTAAATAACAATTTTGTTTTCCATATGCATGAAGCATAATTTTGACTCTCTATTTGATCAGTTCAACAGACATCTTATATTTCATACCTTCACTTATTCTTTTTAAACTCAACATGCTCATGGCTTCCAAACTATCCTATTACCTTAAGTTAGTTAATCAAACTATCTCAGTTTTCTTTTTTACACTGCTTACCATTGCTTCATCTCCTTGCTGGACTCCTTATCCAGCAATTTGGTCTCTGAAGAGCCAGTTATTCCTAAGAATCCATCCTTGGTCCACTGCTCCTCTTCATGAACCTTCACTGGTTAATTTTTATCAACTCTTATAATTTGACCACTATGCAAATGACACCCAAATCTATGTATTCAGCTTAGAAATTTCCCCAGTCATCATATTTATCTAACTAACTTTTAGTTGGACACCTATTTCTGGATATTCCACAAGTTGTGCAATAACAGGAAGGACCTAAATTAATTGCACATCTTCACACTAAAATCCATGTGTGTCTCTGTTTTCCACCCTGGTTGTATCATGATTAATTCTTTTGCTTACCTTAAAAGCCTGAGAATTCATCCTGTAGAGAGCTGCTAAGATTAAATATCTAAAGTATAAAATCTTCATACCATTCTCCTACACCAAATACTCCATTGTCACTGCTAAAAAGCTATTTTTCTATCTATCATAAAGTAGTACAATGATTTCTAAAACGAAGCATACAGAAAAGCTCAAAAAGTAGTATGTAAATGCATAAAGAAAATAACATTTCTGGTTGACGTCTCATACTGGGATTAGGGGAGAGAAATGGGAGTTGTAGAATAAAGCCCTGTCTATATGGCTATCTCTCCATTTCCTTGGCATTTTTGAGGTACTGTGAGGAGACTATCTGGACCCACAGAGCAAAGATTGAAAGCCACTTGACCACAGAAAAAGTTAACTTCTTGATATGGCATGCAAAGCCCTCCATCACGTACAACTTTTCCCCATCTTAACCTTCACAGCCCAGCAAGATCAAACCAATGGCAGTTTTCCCAGGAACCATGCTGTTTGTCATTCCCTGTCTTCGCTCATGTTTTCACTTTGTGAGGAACTTTCTAAGACTCTCCACTCAATATCATTTGGATATACTATCCAGTTTTAAGACTTATATGGGAGGATATTTCACTCATTCATTTATTTAGTCAAACATCCATGCGTAAACAAAATAAATAAAATTCTTGCTTTTATGGAGCTTATAATCCAGTGGAAGAGAAATAGACAATAAGCAAACAAATACTCAAACCCTAGTAAATGAAGGACTGCTCAATCATCATTTATTAGCGCCATGTTGGCCGCATAATAGACACCCAAAAATATATTAGTGAGCATCTTTTAGTTGTCAATCACAAGGCTAGATGTTTTCATACAACTCTTCATTTTAACTCTCAAAATTATATTAAGAAATAAGTATTGTTCTGCCACTTTAGTAGGTAAGAAGACGTGGGCTCAGAGAGACACGAATTTACCTATGGCCACACAGCTGGAGAGCATGAATCTGAATATAAATCTGGAAATCTCTGATTTTAGAAACCATCCATGTTTATGATACTACTGGCTTTGTTTAGCTATAAAAAAAATATTGAGTCCTTCCTTAAGTCAATTCACATGTTCACATTTGTCCTGCCTAGATGGATTCTACTAAATTTTGTGAAGCTTAGAGGAAGTTTTACAATGTAACACTTTAGAATTCAAAGGATTTAATCATGAGCAGTGAATCAGCAAAAATATGCTATCAGAACCCCACTGGTTTCAGCAGAAGGAAGGAACAGTCTCCTGCAGCATCTGTTAGAATAAAATGGCTTAGGGAAGGTAGGGGAAAGCATAAATGATATACTGAACAAATGGTATTTAAGGTATTCTGTGCTATATAAGCACCAAATTAAATCTTCATTTATTTACTTTGAAAATGCATATAGCCTTGCAGTAAGATTCTCAAATAATAGATGCAGGCTTCAAACATAATCACCGACATATGATTTCAAAGTAATATGTGGCTGCTATAAGAATAAGTAGAGTAAACAATGCCAAAAATTAGGCACTTGAGTGCCTGGACTGCAGGTTACTCCTGCCCAGATGCAGAAAAGCACGCCATCCAGCTTGACAGACAGATGAAGCATTTCGCTGTAGAGTCTGAATAAATTCTCTTCTTGAAAATACCAACATAAATTCCCAAGAGAAAACAAAACTAGAAAGCTCAAGTTCATATTTGATTCCTAATCACCCCCTTATATTCATTGCTAAAATAAGGATACCATATGGGAATTTAGTATGATCTGGACAGGTATAATTGCCATCAATGGAGAAAATACCCTTAACATCACTTCATAATTATGTCATCAAAATTTAATAACTTTAAGAATTCTCTCCTTAATAGAAAACAGAGAAAAAATAATTTGTTGTCTTTGTGTCTCATGTTTAATATGAAACATCCTTCCAGGATCCTGTGTAAAAAAAAAAAAGGTTATTTTTGAAAAAATAAACTTTTTACTGTTACTATATCAAACTATTGTAGTATGTCTTAATGCTTATAATTATTTGGGATTTTTTTGAGATCAGAAACTCTTGCTTCAGCAATTTGATTTTGTTTTCTAAATTATAAAAACAAATTACAGTAAATACTACTTAAAAAATTAATCTCAGCTTCCACAGATACTTACAAGCTGTATTTTGAAATTTACTTTATGTATAATTTAATCAAACAATATATGTAATTCTATATAATAATTTTTTCATGTGATATTATATCACAAACACTGCCCCTACTTTCAATAGCTGCCTAATATGTTGTTGAATAGATATTCTATAGATAACTTAATCTTATTTTTGAATATTTAGATTACATTCAGGGTTTCTTCTATTATTAACACATTTGTCTAATCTGTAAGAATGTTCAAGCATTTTATGTATTTAAAAGTTTTCTTAATGATTTAAAAAATGAACTTATAGGAAGCTCTACTAGTAAACTTTCTTATTTTCTATATTTTCATATTTTAACATGAATATGTTACATGTTTAGATATCTAACATATCTATGTTAGAATATATCAAAATATGTTAGATATTTAACATAAATATCTACAGTCTTAATTGTATACATTACACAGGCAACAATAAAGAGTTTCAAAACCACATTGTTTGTTAAATCCATTGCATATCTGCAAAGTAATTCTTCAAGACAAATATTATTCTCATTTCACAGATAAAGAAATTTTTCCAAGTGTTTAAACAATATTCTCCTGGCTTTCTAAAATGGGTATCTGCTGGGTGATGTCGGTGAAAGGTTGCAAAGAAAAGAACAGCACAGGTTTGTGGGGAGGAGCCTGAATTCTGTCTTAGACACATTGGGTTCACATTGCCTTCAGGATACCCATATGGAGTTATGTGAACATACAGATTAGGCAGGTGACCATACAGATTAGAAACTTGGAAGAGCAGATTCTTCGGAAGACACCAACTGGGGAGTCCTCAGCTTGTAAGTGGACTTGAAGCCATAAAACCAGAAAGGATTATCCCAGAAAAGTATGCAACATGTAAGGCAAAGGGAGACAAGTACAGAATCTTGGAGCAGCAGATATACTTGGCATAAAGAAAAAACAAAACTTGAGACACAAAAAAGAGAAAAAAGTAAAAGAAAATACCAGTGAGTGAAGTCTTAGAAATCAAGGAAGGAGAAAATTTCGGGACAGAAAGTTGATCATTCAGTGGATGATCAACTGGTGATTAACTGGATGCCATTGGCTTGAAAGAAAGCTTCAGTGATGTTCTGGGGCTGAAAGGGGATTTCACTGGGTTGATGAGCAGCTGATCCATTTAATATGAATAAATATTTTAGAAGACAAATGTAGAAAACCAGAAAAACATTTTGCTACTCTTCTAAACTATAGTAACAATGCTACTACATAGGCGGGTAGAAGAACAAGGCAGTTTGCCATGGAGATACTCAAACAGGCCTTCTAAGTATATACAGCCCTGAATTCAGCCCATTTCTATGACAAGTTGACCCTGAATGTTTTCTCACCATCAAGAGTGGACATGTCAGTCAGAAGAGGCAATAGATATGACCTGTCAATTATCCTACATTCCAAATGAGTAAAACCAAAAGCAAGTACTCCTTTGTTGTCTATTTTGTTCAAGGCATTATTAACTATCAAATCATATTAAACCATGAGCTATTAAACATACTAAACTAAGAAACATTAAAATTTGTAAGAATCAAAATAGTAAGTTATGATGACGACAGCTGCCTTTTCCCATCTGCATGCCATTTCTGTTTGTCAGGAGCCAGAAGAGAACAGTTTGAAATTTGTTAATATATGATTCTTAAATATCTGTATTTTAAAAAAATCAAAATACTATGGGGTATTGAGGAAAGTTGTGCAGACGTTACTGTCTCCATATTCCCTCCCTGGATGACCTTTAAACTGTCAGTCTTAATGTTTACCCACAGCTGCACTGCCACAGAAGGCTTACAGAGGAAAAGGGCAATTGTGATTTCTTGACATCCACAGATAATTACTACTGCTGTTTGAATCCAAAGGATATAATCTTTGCTCTGCCTTTTCTTTGTTTAGTAGAAAAGAACTATTTACATCCCAACTTTCCTTATATTTTCAATGTAAAGCGTTATCAGCAACTACCAAAATCACATGCAGTCTATGGAATTCTCTTATTCACTATATTCAGTACTGAACTGTGTAAAAAATACTTTTAATGGCATAAAATGAACAACCTTAGTGCCAAGTACAAGGCAAGTGTTTAGCATAATAATCTCCCCTCTTTCCCGAGACCTTTCCAAAACATTGGCATGACTACGTCACCCACAGCTCTGGAGTCTCAGAGAGGATGGATTAATAATATGCTGCAAGTGGAATCTATTAATTTCCTTCCTTAGATGGCAGGGGTTCTTCTGCCTTCTCACTATAGTATTCATTCACTCATTCATTAATTCATTTAAGAAAAATTTATTGAAAATCAATTTTACCCAGTATTTTATTTTTTAGGACCCTAAGCTCTCAGAAGAGTAAGATAATTTCTGCACTCAAGGCTATCACATTACAGTAGGGAAAGGTGTATAAACAGTTGAGAACTACAGCCTGAAAATTCCACAGTAAGAATATTTTTCCTCTGTCACTCAGGCTGGAATGCAATAGTATGATTATAGCTCACTTTAACTTAAAAATCCTGGGCTCAAGCAATCCTTCTGCCTCAGTTTTCCAAGCATCTAGGGTTAAAGGCACATGACACCATGCCTGACATGTGTGAGTGTGGGTGTGTGTGTGTTTTAATTTTGTGCGGAGATGGAGGTCTTACTATGTTTCCCAGCCTGGTCTCAAACTCCTGGCCTTAAGTGTTCCTCCTGCCTTGGACTCGCAAAGCACTGGGATTACAAACGTGAGCCACTACACCTGGCCTATTTAACTGAAGATGCGCTGTGTGTCAGATTCTGGGTTAAGTCTTGAATATGGAAAAAAAAAAAAAAAAACAACATCAAATTTACAACCACAAGGAGTTCAGAGTCCTGAATATGAGACTTAAGTTAATCATATAGTCCTGATCTTGTCATGATATAACTCTTATCTACTCCTAGTTCATCACTCTGCTTCAGCCTCCAAGCCTCATAACTGGCCAAAAGGCCCAGTTGGCTCTCACTTCAGCACCTTTATACAATGCTGCCTTTGGTGGAAATACTCTTCCTCCAGATAGCACCATGTCTTGTTTTCTTATTTTATTCAGTTATCTTTTCAATTATCTTCTCTCTAATAATCTTTTTCAAGATAAAAGGATGACATGTTCACCTGTCATGTTTCAAATGTTTGTCTTCAAAATATTTATTGCTACTGAAATTATACTATATATATTTTTTTTAATTTTCATATGTCCTCCACCAGAATACAGATACCATTAAGGCTTGAACTCAGTTTATTAGTCATTAAAGCTTAGAAGAATGCCTGGTATGTGGTAGACTCTTCCTATGTATTTGATGAAACAATAAATGAGTTACATGGAAATTTAATTATGCCCTGAGACGTTGTGCTAGGAAAGTCCGGGATATTAAAAGAGCATAATAGATGTGCAGGTAGGGGAGATATCTGAAAGGTCCCCTGAAGGAGTGACATTGTGACAGGTAAGTTTAGGTCTGAAGAATGTCAAAGAGTTAAACAGGCAAAACAAAAAATTATCATGATTCATGGAATCTATATGAACATAAATGTAATGAGTGATTTAATCAGTCTCTGAAAATCGTAATATAAAATCATGTAAAATCAGTAGCTAATATTTATTGCGAATTCACAATGTTCCAGGCACTATTCTAAGTGCTTATCTGAATAAACACATTTAATTTTCTCAGCAACCCTTAGGAATAGATGCAATCCTCATCCCCAGTTTACAGATGAGGAATCTAAAATAGAGAGAGGAGAAGCAACTTATTAATCATTATAGGCACAGCAAGTGGTAGAGTTAGAATTTGAACGCTTGGTCTGTGGCTGCAGGTCCTGCGTTCTTAATCACAATTCTGTGGAAAGACTAAATATAGTGAAAATAAGTTAATTATTCCCAAATTAATTAATAAATTTCATGCAATTCCCAGTAGGGTTTTAGGAGAAAGTAAATTTGCAGGGAAGAGAACCTAAGAAAGAGTGTCTGAAGTTAATTTGCAATTAATAGCCAGTTGGAAAAGCTAATAAAAGTTTGAGAAAGCCATATGCTTAGGATGTCAACCCTGAAAAACATATTCAAAGACTGGAAGAAAATATTGCAAACAGAGGTCACCCACTTTTTAAGATTATGGGTAGTTTTGTGTTTTTTTTTTAATGCCATAATTGTCTGTATTTTTTCATTTTCTTATTTGATAATCATAAAATTAAAAACCACTTCATATTAATGCAAAACCTTAAGAATAAAATAAAATTAATAGCCTCAAATAATTCCACTTTGGAAGATAAAGTATTTTGAATATTTACAAATAATAGCATAATACCAAGAAAAAGTCCTAACTAAATAAATATGTAATGCATAGGGACAAAATAAATGAACAAGAAGTACATGGCCTGGAATGTCAGGCAATTCAAAAGCACAGGAAATTTACTAGTCTGGAGTAATTGCAATAAATGCTTGAGTAAATTATAAACAGTGTGAAGTTCAGGCTTTGTGAAAATCAAGAGTCTTATTTCTGTCTGGCACAAATATTAATATAAATGACTTGTATTGTCAAATACAAGTACCAGCACATTTGCTTTACTGAATATATACAATGTTATTTGACATCAGCACATTGCTTGTATGCTAATTATATGGTTAAAGTCATTAAATTTTTGTAATTATGCTTTTTTAAATTATTAATTTACTTAGGAAAACTATTTCTCATAGACAGCATAAGAATTTTCTTTTTTCCGTGCTGAAATTACTGATAAGATGCATAGAAATGAATGTGGTTTTACGTTTTATAAAAGCACAATTGAAATTGCAATGAGGTTACTCAGAAAACATATAAATTGAGTACCAAATACATACCAGGTATGAAGCATAATGCTAGCCACTATCATGTAATCAATTCTTCTTAGTCCTGTGTAAAATCAACCATTTTATTAATAATTACAAATTACTTTAGATCACATATCCTTAGATATAATTCTGTAAAATTCTTATAGAATGAACTACAATGATGGTATTGCTACAAAAGCGAATGTGACAACTCAAAATATGATTTATATAGATTATTAAATTGTATCCAATTTTTTACTTTGATATCACTGCATTAAAAAATTTTAATATTTGTTAAAACATCAGTAAAACTTAGTAAAAGTTTATAGCTTATTATATATATAATTCTTAAAATATATGGAGAGTATAGATGTAAATATAGAGATAGATACTTTCAGAATATATATATTATATATATGTCTGTCTGTATATCTACAGATCTGCAGAGAAAGAAAATTCCAACTCCAGGTGCTATTGCTACCCATAATTTACAGATAACAAAAGCTTAGAGAAAGAACGATTAAGTAACTTATTCAAGTTCTCACAGCAGTATGTGGTAGAGACAACTATGGTAATGAAACAGTCTGCTCTAGAGTTCATAATCTTCACCATCTTGATACACTGCTCAGGTTAGTGAAAATTTGAGCTTCCAAGGTAATTGAGATATCAGGACTGTTCATTAGTTCTTTTACCAGGATTTTAGTGATTTCATATTTTTTTACATTGGGATTTTCCATTGGCTTGAGATAGAAAAATACTAGAACCCTCAGATATTGTAAATCACTGAAAGATATAATGTCTGTAAGAGCATTTTCTACAAAACCTGGACCTTACTATACATTCAATAAATGTGAACCACAGTTACTGTGGCTGTTGACTCTATAAATCCTATAATTTATTACATTAAAGTTTAACATAATATATCTTGCCAGGACCTTACCCCATATTTAGATTCCTGTATTGTTCTTAAAGAGAATGCTTAACCCTGAGATATACAGAACGATAGTATCAGAGTCTTTTCTTTTTCTCTCACAACCTAGGAAATCTTGGCTCTATAAGAATACTAACAGACGGAATACTATGCAGCCATAAAAGAGGATGAGTTCATATCCTTTGCAGGGACATGGATGAAGCCTGAAACCATCATTCTCAGCAAACTAACACAGGAACAGAAAACCAAACCACATTCTCTCACTCGTAAGTGGGAGTCCAACAATGAGAACACATGGAAACAGGGAGGGGAACACCACAAACCAGGGCCTGTTGGCAGGTAGGGGGCTAGGGGAAGGATAGCATTAGGAGAAATACCTCATGTAGATGACAGCTTAATGGGTGCAGCAAAGCATGTGTATACCTTGTAACAAACCTGCATGTTCTGCACATGTATCCCATATGTATCCAAGTATAATAATAATAAAAAAGAATACTATTAGTATTTTATAGATTTTATAACTTCCAATGGGGCTATCTGGTGCAAGCACCAGTTTTTTTGTCTGAATTACTATAATAGCCACTTAACTGCTGTTCCATCTTGAACTCTTCCTCTTTATAGTATATTCTCAACATGGAAGCAAGAACAATAATTTTAAAATGTAAGGCAGTTCACATTAGTTTTCTTTATAAAACCCAGAAACTTTACAATGGCTTTGAAAGTCCCATATAACATGGCTTCCTTCCACTACTTGCTCACAACAATTTGGCACACTGACCTCCCTGTTCTTTCTCACTCAAGGGTGTTGCCTCTTTAGGGATTCCACATTTGCTTTTCTCTCTGACTCCAAAGTTCATAATGCATATAATTGCATCGCTTAGTCTCTCATCTGCTGCCAAGTTCTAGCTTGAAAATACTATCTCCTCACTTAGGTCAAACATGATACCGCTATTTGAAATTGCAAATTATATGCCCCTTCTTCCTAACCTGTCATTCTAGATCATCTCACCTTGATCTATACATATTTTTCTATGGAATTTATCACCTTACAACATGCCCCATAATGTAATTATTTAATGTTTATTATGTAATTGATTATGTTTCCCCCTAAGATGAGCTTCAACAAGAGCAGGAATCTCTGTTTTGTTCACTGATACATCTCTATGTTCTTAGAAAAATCTGTAGTAAATAATAGTCACTGAATAAAGTCTTATTTAATAAATGGATGAATGAATAAATGAATTCCATACATTTTATTGAACAACTATTTATGGAGCATACACTTACATGTGTAATTTGGACAAGAAATTATGATGTTTAAAAGTTTCCATATGATGATGGTCATCAATATAACCTTTTTCGGTAAATGGTGAGATAAATGATGAAATGATGGAATGAGATAATGCATTAATTACCATTGAAAGATTACCATAGTTCTCTGAGATACGAGAGAATCCTTTTTCATACTGATGAAATCTGAAGGATAGGGTATTTGAATATTCCATCTTTTTACCCCAAAAAGGACACTTACAGTTCATTTAAGTAAAACTATGAAATGGGAAAAATATAAATCCATCATAAAACTGTTCAAGACACACTTTGAGAAAACATTTGCCTTAAATATAGAACACACATACAAATATAATAAAATTTTGCATAATGCAGAATTTTCTGTTATTTTGAATCAACTATTCAGGAAACATATTTATTTTCCAAATTTCAAGTTTTATAATCTCCTCATCAAAAAGTAGGAAAGAGAAATGAGAGTGGATTCCAACTATCCACCCAAAAATAATTATACTATAAATTGATAAAGCCAGAAAAAAATTGGCAGATATTGAGACCAGTTATGTGAATGTTAGAACAATTCTGATGTGTCTTGGGGTAAGAACTAATATTCTCTGACATTTCAAGAATTAAAGCATGTGAGAGGGTTGGGAGGACTTCACTTTTTTATATGTAGAAGAAAGATGCATATATTTTCACTTGGAAAAGATGAAGAAGATGGTAATGGGTCAAAAGGAAATTTAATAAACCTTAATTTTGGTGGAAAAATGGCAGAATAAAAATTCAAAAAGAAGAATGATGAAAATGAAAAAGGAAGGAAGAAAAGGTGAAATAAGTAGGGACATTAAGGTAGAGAACATGCTGAATCCTGAGTTTGGTGTGCCACATTCACAGAGACTGACGTCCCATTTAGCAAGTCAGGAGAGAGGAAGCAAGACTATTATTCTTATGGCTATGAATAATTACTTCACTCTTGCCACCAGTTGACAAAATGAAATATCAATAAAATAATATAGACTATACAATAAATGTGTGCTCTACTTTGGGCCTAAGTAACTGATAAAACCTTCCACTATGTGCAGGGGTTTATAGAAGGTTCTTTAATTTGGGGGCAGTATGTGCCATGACTTCTTCCAAATTAAGAACAAATTTGGTAAATATTTTATTTTAGATAAATGTTATACAATTTTCTGGGATTTCAAATCAATTAGATATAACACATGTCATTCTCACCTAACATAAATTCATATGTAAGATCAAGATAAAATAATTTTTTAAAAACAAACTTAACTGAGTCTAAGATGTGCCAAAGACAAGGGTCATAATATCTGTGTCAGTAATCTATTTTATTTGAACATTTCTACAAATAGAAAATTTAAATTAAAGTTTTTCTCTTAGAGCTGCCATGCTATTTTTCTAGTTTTACCTAGAATTGGACATATGCATTTCATCAGACAACTGGCTTCTTTGGTTGCTATGCAATATGTCACAAATCATCGTACTATTCAAAAATGGATTTAATGAGCATAAAAATCTTCCCATCAGCAACAAGTCCAGAATCTCATATCTCTCTGTCCTTTTGCGATTATAACAGAAAAATGGAAAAAGACAACCTGTTTTCTGCTATTTATGTGACAGTATAATTGACAATTACCTTGATGAAGTTAATTTATTGTGTAATACTTTAATGATGTTTAGTATACCAATACAAACCTTAGAGTAAAATATTTTCTACAATTTATCTGACATTACACACAATCAAACCAAAAATGCCATCACATCTATCTGTAACACTATGATTATCTATCATTATTGTCATTATCACTCTGGTCAATCAAACTCACTAGGTCTGAAAAAATTAAGTCTAACAATATAATGAAGATTTATATTTCATCTTACTTGTAAATATATATCCCAAGAAAAGTATATAACAATGATATTTTACTTGTAACTGAAGCAATAACAAAAATCTTTAAGATACCTTACACAATTTTGTCAAAACTTAATGCACTGAAGAAAATTATGACATATTGCCCAAACAGCATTCATTTATAATCAGGTAGAAATAATATCTGTCCTCTAATCTTCTCCTCAGCTGTACTATCTCTGACTGCTCCCCTTAATCTAAAATTACATGCCCCTTCTTCAGTGAGAGCCCCAGTAGCTTTCCCTATACACTTCTATTAGTGGTATGCATTGTGGTAATGGTTACAATCTTTTACTGTTTCATTAGTTCCCCACACTACACTGTAAAATATTTTAGGGACAGAATCTAGTTTAATTGTTGAGGTAATACTTGCCTGCCTACCTAAAGCTGAACCCTCATAACTCATTGGTAGGAGAGTCCTGATTATATTCTAGGTTCACCCCCATGCACTATGTAATCCATGGATGAGTGATGGCTTTCCTGGACCAGGGGAAACCATGGATTGTAACTACGTATTGTAGTTCCCTTCTATTTCTAACAACTTTAGGTATAGGTGGTAGACACAATGTTGGCCAATTAGAATATAAGGGAAGCCTGCTGGATGGCTTCTGAAAAATATTTAATAAGCCTTAAAAAACACACACAAGAAAGAATTGACTACTGCTCCTTTGGAGACTTTGGAGTCTGCATGAGATATCTATAACAGGGGCAATGACTTAGCAATTGTCAAGGGAGTTGAAATAAAGATTAAAAAGATAGGTTTCTTGCCTATATTATTTGCTCCTGAACCACCATTCCCAGAGTTGTGTGTCTTCTTGGTATAAAGGATAATTAATTTTCTCTATGTTTAAGCCAGTATATTGGTGTTTTCTGATACGTGAAGTCAGAGGTGTCCTATATGACATAGATTTTTTCCACTTAATTAAGTAGGGCCACAGAAATGGTAAATGAATATTAAACTCTAGGTTTCACTGCAGGATGTGAACATTAGACGGGAAAATTTTGTCGAAATATTATCTTATGCATTAGTGAGGCACATTATGATATTTTTGAAACTCCTCCACTCTCAATATGAACTTTCAATAATGTTCTAACAAGTGTAGGGCATTATAAAGATGATGGGTTGAATCCACAAGGCTTTTATCTTTTGTATTATTAACAATAAATTTTTAGATTGAGGAGGGAAAAAAGCAGAATATTAAATTGCTGCTACTTTACATATTTAGTACTGAATGCAAGGCTCAGTTAAATGTATAAAGCAAACCTCACTAAGTATTTCTATTTAGATTCGGATATTAAAAGATCAAACCTCAATAGTTGTTTATAAAGTTTTCGTTCTGACATTCAAATTTAATTAACAGTCTCTTCATTCTAGACTGTGTGTTTTATTTTCAAACACTGATTTATAAAGAGCACAGAGTCACAGAGAGCCGCAGATGAGGGAGGATATTACATCAAATTCTTCACAAAGAAAATATAGCACAATGCTCAGATTGGGCCTTTTTCCTTTTAAAAGTCAAATGCCATCATCTTTCTAGATTATTACCAGGCAAGAAGAAAAGGACTGCATATGTGACAGACAGCACTGTCATTTTGTTTTCAGCCAGTGGATAAGTAGAAAATAAATTGAAGATACACGGGTGTAAGAAGTAGCTTTGTGATTTCTATGCAAATATCTTCTGCATGAGATTATTAATCAAATCATCATTTTCATCAGGTTATTCATGAGTTTCTTTAGACGGTTTCAAAAATAAATAATGAAGGATAACTAGAAAAAATCAGAAACAATGACTAGATCAGAACTAAAATATATGCAACTATAAAATTTCCTTTCAGAATTATTTTTTTCCTCTGGCTAAAGACATATACAAGAATCTGCCACTAGTTAGAAATCCTTATTTTATTAATACGTGAAAAGTGGAGGAGCTAGTAAATAGTTAAACCTTAAAGTGTTTGTACTTTTTCATCCATTAATCTATAACTGAAAATGTATTCCAAATTATTAGTGTAGAAAAACATTTTTTAGTAATATGTTCATCACAGCATTATAATAAAACAACTTAACATCAAAATACTTGTCAAACTATGGGTGACAAGGTCACAAAAAATTGTTAGATTGTAAATTCACTGAGTATATGGGCCACGTCCATCTTCCTAACCTGTACCAGCACATTGCCTGGTATAGACTAAATGCTAAGGAATATTGATTCATTCACTCACTCCTGCATTCTACTCATTCATTCAAGGACCATGATTTTTGTTTGTTTTATTTTGTTTTGTTTTTTTGAGATGGAGTCTTGCTCTGTTGCCCAGGTTGGAGTGCAGTGATGCAATCTCAGCTCACTGCAATCTCCGCCTCCCAGACTTGAGCAATTCTCCTGCTTTAGCCTCCTGAGTAGCTGGGATTATAAGCGCCCGCCACCACACCCAGATTTTTGTATTTTTAGAAGAGATGGGGTTTCTCCATGTTGGCCAGGCTGGTCTCGAACTCCTGACCTCAGGTGATCTGCCAACTCAGCCTCCCAAAGTTCTGGGAATACAGGCGTGAGCCACCATGCCCAGCCCCAAGGACCATGTGTTAAGCCTTGCATCCATTTCAGGAACTATGCCAGCCACTGGTGGTACCAGGCAGATTAAAACGCAATTTTGTCTTTAAAGGGCTAGGGCTGGTGATACAGTTGCTGAAACAGCTGGGGTAGGAAAGAAGAAAAACATGTAAAAGGTTGATAAAGTGCTAATGCTCCACAAATATCTGATGCTGGTTTATGGAGTAGATAGTGGAAATATATGTATGTTTCCTTGGCAAAATGAGAAGAGTTAAAAACAAAAGAGGTGGAATTCACTTGATTCGAAGAACAAGAGGAAATCAGAGCTGCTACCTGAGAAAATCAGTCACATAGGCAGGAAGACAGATCTCTGCTGGTCATAAAGTCAAGGAGGGTGGCAGATTTGGAAAAGGGTTTGACAAAGAAAGACCCCAATAAATATATGTTGAGTAACTGTAGCAAAGATGTGGGAGAAAATGATTTAGTGAGAACATTTCCTCATGTTGGAGAATTTCTGGAGATGCTTTTTTCTAAGCTCTCCTGATTTGTTGTTGTTGTTGCTGCTGTTTAGATTTGTGATATGAATGCAGATGAGACATATTGGAGGCTGAACTAATCCTCGCCACTGCTAAAGCCTAAACCCTAGTTTGATGTTCAGAATTCCATGAAGGAGAGAGATTTTTCTAGTGCACAGCAAGCAAAAGGGGAGTGGCGCTTCAACGGCTACTCTATAGAGAGAAGGCCTATGTGAGCAAAGCAGCAAGCCTTGATAAATGTCTCCCTGTATTATTTCTACTTACTCTTCATCTGAGATGATGTTGGGAAGGAGAACAGCAACAAATTCCAAATATAGTGTATCTCCTGAGATGTTCAAACATAAAAAATAACAAAAGAAAAATACCAGTTTAATTTATTTTGATTTTCATACATCCCACCACTGCTTTTACTTGCTTTGTTTTAACATGATAATCAGGCTATTATAGGGCAAAATAATTTGGTATTTGAATTATGAAATGAAATTCAGAAGTGAAATTGCAGATAGCATTGATAAGGAGTTTGTTAACACACAATAGTCCTCAATAGAGATCATAGTAATACATATGAAGAATTATCATTAAAAATATTTTCATTAAAGTTTGACTTTTGAATGCACCTGTGAAGCATTCAATTATAGCTTACTTAATACCCAGTTAAGCCATAAATAGAATGTGTGTGTTTATATAGTTTTCATTGAGTAGTAAGGGCTATAAACGTGAAGCACTGAAATCATAAAAGCTTCCATGGACTTTTCCACAGTGCTTTGTGCCACTCATAATAAAGTCCAGTAATTAATTTTAGACTCAGCATTCAGAGTTCAAAATTTATTTTTTATACTGTCTGTAAATAAAGTTTTATAGAACACAGATCTAAGTGTAAAACAGAAAACTATAGACTCCTAACAGAGGAGATGATAACAAAAGAGAAAATCTAGATGACCTTGGCTATGGCTACGACTTTTTTTTTTTTAAGTTCTGGGATACATGTGCAGAATGTGCAGTTTTGTTACATAGATATACGTGTGCCATGGTGGTTTGCTGCACCTATTGACCTGTCCTCTAAGTTCCCTCCCCTCACCCCCCACCACCAACAGGCCCTGGTGTGTGTTGTTCTCCTCCCTGTGTCCATGTGTTCTCATTTTTCAACTCCCATTTATGAGTAAGAACATGTAGTGTTTGGTTTTCTGTTCCTGTGTTAGTTTGCTAAGGATGATGGCTTCCAGTTTCATCTATGTCCCTGCAAAGTACATGATCTTATTCCTTTTTATGCTGGATAGTATTCCGTGGTGTATATGTGCCACATTTTCTTTATCCAGTCTATCATTGATGGGCCTTTGAGTTGGTTCCATGTCTTTCCTATTGTAAATAGTGCTGCAGTAAACATATGTGTGCATGTGTCTTTATAGTAGAATGATTTATATTCCTTTGGGTATATATGCAGTAATGGAATTGCTGGATCAAATAGCATTTTTTGGTTCTAGATCCTTGAGGAATCACCATACTGTCTTCTACAATGGTTGAACTAATTAATATTCTCACCAACAGTGTAAAAATGTCCCTATTTCTCCACAACCTCACCAGCATCTATTGTTCTTGACTTTTTAATAATCACCATTCTGACTGGTGCAAGATGGTATCTCATTGTGGTTTTGATTTGCATTTCAGAGTTCAAAATTTAAACAGAGTTGTCACTTACAGGAGTCATACACAGGCAACCAATAAATTTCTATACCTCCCACTCCAAGTCAATGTTGGCAAAAGGTGATTTTGATCACAATACCTTCTTTATCAGAATATTAAATTAGTTCAGATTATACATTTTACATTATGTTCTATTATATTTGATTTTAATAAATATTCTAATAAATTGCTCAATATTAATTATCAACTATAACAATCACACTTGCCATTTTGGCTATTTCTTTTAGTGAACTTAATATTGTGATTTAATATCATATTATAAATATATCAAGCACAAAGAAGAAATTGTTTTCCTAAAAAAAAAGACATTACATTACAGAATTTTTCCTTATAATTGTTTTCTGATTATAAAATATCAAGTATATAAATCTAGGAACACTAGGAATTTTCATGGGTCTCGGAAATGTATCAAAACTTTGAACAGGGAACAGTTTTCAAATATAAATCTGGTTTTTGATACAGGAGAACCACTTGGAAAAAGATTGCTTATGAAAGTTAAAGTGCATTCACATGCTTTCATGGCACTCTAAATATGTTCTTATTTATTAATTGTACTATTACATATTTAAATGCTCAAATTGTTATAGTAGTCATATACTATTAATCTTAACAATTATTAACCTTAAAATTATCATATAAAAAGATGTACTATGAAACAAACAGAAAAGGAGGAAAAACTACTGAGCGAAAGGCCCTGGTTCTAGCTCTGGGTCACTGTGGAGCTATGGAAACTTGGGCAAGCTACTTACTGCCTTTCGGACTCAGATTCTTTGTCCACAATACGAATGGTTTAATCACACAAGTTTTAAAATTAAAACTTCACAAATTTTCTGATTTTCAATTTCTATTTCCCACATATAATATGGATTTTACTATTTTTTAAAATGGAGAACTATAAAGATCAAGAAAACAATGTTATCACTTTATATTTACTATTTCTTATTAAGAAAAAATAATTCTTCTGTGTACCTGAAAACTTGTCTGGATTAGTCAGGATGTTCTTTTCCTAGCCCATGAAAGGAAAGTTAAGAGCCTTGAATATGTACAGATTATAGATATACTATGCTACATTTATGTATCTAGGTTACAAGAGTCTGAAAATAGATTTTACACGTAAGTGAAATTATGCAGTATTTTTATTTCTATGTCTGGCTTATTTTACTTAGAATTATGTCCTCCAAGTTCATCCATGTTGTCACAAATGGCAGTATTTTCTTCTTTTTTAAGGTTAAATAATATATGTGCGTGTGTATGTGTGTGTTTGTGTTGTGCCTCACAATTATTTTATCCATTCATCTGTCCATGAGCCCAGGTTGTTTTCACATTTTGGCTATTGTGAATAATGGTGCAATGAAGACAGGAGTGCAGATATCTCTTCAAGTTACTAATTTTATTTCCTTTGGTCATATACGTATATGCTAGGTCATATGGCCGTTCTATTTTTAACTTTTTTAGAAACCTCTATATTGTCTCCAATAATGGCTGTACCAATTTACATTCCTATCAACAGTGTGCAAAGGTTCCCTTTTCTCAACACTCTTGCCAACACTTATTATCAATTGACTTTTTGATAATAGCTAGCTAACCAAGTATAAATGATAACTCATTGTGGTTTTGATTTATATTTCCCTAATTATTAGTGATGATTAGTGATGTTGAGCACCTTTTCATATATCTGTTTTTCATTTGTATGTCTTCTTTGGAAAAATGTTAATTCAGATCCTTTTCCCATTTTAAAATTGGATTTTTTTTCTTTTACTATTGAATTGTGTTTGTTATATATTTTGAATATTAAACATATATTTATACACCCTTATCAGGTATATAGTTCACATATATTTTTCCCAATCTGTAAGGTTCCCCTTCTTTTTGTTGATTACTTCCTTTGCTGTGCATAGTCTTACTCATATGTGGAATCTAAAAAATAAAATGAAAGAAAGAAGAGAAAAAGTCAAATACATAGAAACAGTACAACAGTGGGAAAGAAACGTATAGCTGTAGGTCAAAGGGTACAAACTTGCATTTATGTAGAATAAATAAGTCTAGAGATCTAATGTACAATAGGAAAACCATAGTTAATAGTATTGTATTATTGCATATTGTGTATTGTGTATTATATATTGAAAATTTGCTAAAGAGTAGATTTTAAGTTCTCTTACCACGCACAAAGGAGGTAACTATAGAAGGTGATGGATATGTAAAATTGCTTACACGTAGTAAGCATTTCACTATGTATACGTATACCAAAACATCATGTTGTATACCTCAAACTTATATGATAAAAAAAGTCTGAATTTAGCCCAGTCATTAGTGATATACAGAGCACTAAAAACATACAGTCAGAAACTTGTCAATAAGAGGAAAAATATGACACACAGGTGGTCAAATTAAGGCTAACATAATAACTTAGACACAGAATTTTCTGGGTGTGGAAATGGGAGAGGAAATTGCCTTTTCTCTCACTTCAAATGTCCATGGGAGGGGCTCCATAGAGACACATTCCTGGCCTCTCTCTGTAAATCCCGTATCCCTCCCTGTAAAGAGAAGTGTAAGTTATCTGATTGGTGAATTTGGAGGAAAAGAAGGTCATTCTTGGCTTAGCCCCCTCTGCTTTGCAGATCATAGACTATCTCATGGACTATCTCTTATGCACTACAAGGCTTGCCTCTATAATAAAAGCAGGACTTTGTACAGCACAGCTTCAGGCAGCTTCAGACTTGGTGGCCAAGTGTGTCCAATCCAAGAGAGATGTATCTATAGGACTATATGGCCCAGATCGCATATCTAAGTTTTATGAGTAATAAAGTGACATACTGATTAATATCCTTCTGCTGAATGTTTGGGTAAATCTCAAATAGTTCTTAACTTAATCAGCTTGGGGTAGTAGTATTAATTTGGCAAGCTAAAATCATGGCAAACATCACATTAGATACCTCATATTGTTTTCATTCCTTTATTCAGTCTTCATCCAACCAATAGTTAATCACCAGAAAATGAAAGAGACAGACATGATTACTACTCTACACTGAGTCTATAATCTGGTGGGAGAAAACAGAAAAAATCAAGTAAATTATAAATTAAATAATTGTAGTTGTGTTAGGCACAATGATGGCTCTCCAAAGATGCCCACATTCTAATCCCCATACTCCATGAATATGCTGTTATATGGCAAAGGGGAATTAAAATTGCAGATGAAATAAAAGTTGCTAATCTACTAACCTTGAGATGGGAAAAAATTTTTCTGCATTATCCAGTGAGACCAATATAACAAAAGAATTTTACATGTTGAAGAGGAAGGCAGAAGACCCAGAGTCAGAGTGATGCAATGTGAGAAAGACTTAACCAGTCTTTTGCTGGCTTTGAAAATGGAGGAACAGACCATGGGCCAAGGACTGCAGGCTGCCATTAGAAGCTGAGGGGGGAAAAAAAAAAGAGTGGATTCTCCACAAAGGACCAGAGCCCTACTAACTCTTTGATTTTAGTCCAGTGAAACCCATTTTAGACTTCTGCGTATAAGAATTATAAGATAATACAAACTTCACAAAGAGGCAGTATTACACCCACTGAGGTTTATCCAAGGTATGATTCTTGCTAACTGAAAACTTTTCTCAATGTCTCACCATGATGACTTGAAGTCTGATATTCGACTTTGGCAATTTTTAACAATCACTGTGGGACTGAATTTAAAAAATAATAATAATACATTTGTGTCTTTTTGAGCGACTAATCTTGTCATACTTGTTACAGCAGCAATAGAAAACTAATACAGCAGCAGTAAGTTCTATAGAGACATCTGTAATACTAACACACTAGAGTGTAACTTGGAGTGAGATCAGTGAGCTACCATGCATGTGGTAGTTCAGATAAGCTGGCTAAAATTTTTAAAAATATTTCTAATTTTAATCCTTTTAGAAGGTCTATAAACTTTCCTGCTTGTCACATGCCCCCATAATGACTATGTTTTTTCCACTGGATACTTTGGGAAGAGTACCTAGAGCCTATGAGATTTTCAGTAACCAAAAACAACTTCGAGATCCTCCCCTTTCCTCCCACTAAAATGATAAATTTTTTAAAAAGCCTTGTATGTACTATGCACCAGCCGGTTGTACCCCTGGAGCTATGATGCTAAACATCACTAATCATCAGAGAAATGCAAAGTCATCAGGGAAATTCACATGATAAAAATATATCATTTCATCCAAGTCAAAACGGCTTTTATCAAAAAGACAGAAAATAACAAATGCTGGCAAGGATACGGAAAAAGGGGAAAGCTCATACACTGTTGGTAGGAATGTAAATTAGTACAGCCACCATGAAAAATAGTATAGAGAAGCCTCAAAAAACTAAAAATAGAACTACCACATGATCCAGCAATCTCACTGGTGGTTATATATCCAAAAGATAGGAAATCAATATATTGAAGACATATCTATGCTCCTGTTTATTGCAGTTCACAATATCCAAGATATGGAATCAACCTAAGTGCCCATCATGGATAAATTTATAAAGAAAATGTGATATTTAAATACAATGGAATATTATTGAGCAATAAAAAATGAAATCCTGTCATTTACAGCAACATGGGTGAAACTGGAGATTATTATGTCAAGTGAAATAAATCACGCATAGAAAGACAACTATCCTATGTTCTCACTCATATGTGAGCTGAAAAAAACCTGATCCTGTGAAGGTAGAGAGTAAAATGGTGGTTACCAGAGGCTGGGAAGGGTAATAAAGAGTAGGGAGGAAGAGGGTTTGGTTAACAGGTACAAAAATATAGCTAGATAAAAAGAATAAGATCTAGTGTTTGGTAGACTAAGAGAAGACTATAGCTAACAATAATTCATTGTATATTTAAAAAAACTGGAAGATCTAGAATGGTCACAACATAAAGAAATGATAAATATTTGAGATGATGAGCATCACAATTACCTAGATTTGATCATCTCATATTGTAAGCTTGTATCAAAATGTCACATGTACCCCATAAATATGAACAACTAATGTGTATCCATATAATTGTTTTTAAAAAATAACAAAGTAAAATAAAATTAAGAAGCTTAATTGCGGCCGGGTGCGGTGGCTCACACCTGTAATCCTAGTACTTTGGGAGGCCCAGGCGGGCAGATCACGAGGTCAGGAGATCGAGACCATCCTGGCTAACATGGTGAAACCCCGTCTCTACTAAAAATACAAAAAATTAGCCAGGCGTGGTGACGGGCGCCTGTAGTCCCAGCTACTCAGGAGGCTGAGGAAGGAGAACGGCATGAACCCAGGAGCTGGAGCTTGCAGTGAGCCGAGATTGCGCCACTGCACTCCAGCCTGGACCACAGAGCAAGACTCTGTCTCAAAAAAAAAAAAAAAAAAAAAAAAAAAAAAAAAAAAAAAAAAAAAAAGTACCAAAGAGTAAAGAGTAAAGATAAATTCAGAAGATATTTTGAACAAACAATAAAATTATTTCCCGCAAAGACTTCCTACAAGTTTTTGCATCATCTGTAAATGATCAATTAAGAATGGCCCAGGGATTCCAGTATAACCAAGTGCTAATTTAAACTAAATGCGTTTGATAATGCTCAGGAACCTCCTTTTACTCTGCAATTTCCACAAACTCTTAAAAAAATCTAAGTTGTGCATGTAAACTTAGTTTAATTCTGGTCTCCTTTGGTAGGATTGGGTTCTGAAACTGAAATGCTTAATCCACAAATATCTTTCTTTAATGTTTACAGAATTTGATAATCGCTTTGTACACTTACTTCATAAAATTACAAGTGTCTCCTTTACACTTTCCCTTTTATTTCCTCAACATTAATAAAATTTTTAGCTTTTCCTGTCTGAGGTTTACTGGAACATTCACATATTCAAGTAAAGATGTTTTGAGAGAATTTCATGCAAGATATCCTAAGGAAATCATTTTCTGACAATTAAAATTCAACCAGGAGCTCATTACTGCTATTATAAAAAGAGGATAAAAGCAACTAATCACCACTCTATTGAAAAGTTGAGATAAATAACTGCTAGCCATAACTAGAACATTTGATTTAACTTTTAAAGTTTTTGATAAATTCATTACCACAAAGAGGAACTTTTTGTCTTTCATGTAACCTAAGGTAAAGAGCAAGGAGTAATGAACAACACTGACTACTTTATAGTAAATACATGACTGGGAATTCCCAAGGCAAATGTACAACCCTGAAGGCTACTAAATTTAGGAGATTTAACTGGGATGAGAATGGCGTTTTCACTGTCATCAGAAATACTGACAAATTAGATGGTTATCATTTGTTACATTAAAAATCAAGACAAATTATTACAGTGAAAATATTTATCTTTTCATGTACACTGATCCTGTACAGAGAAAATTATACTTTTGTTTTTTCATTCTTAGAAGCTAAAAACCAAACAGTAACTAATTGAGATGAAGACTTCTCTCTCACCAGGCCATTGGTTTATAGCCCACCACCTGGATCTGACCCCAGGATGTTTTCCCAGCTGACAAGCCTCATTCCCATATGCAAGAGAATTGCCCCTTAAGAGCCCCTGGCAACTTTTTCATACTGTGTTTCCCTTAAGGTTTTAATAAAAGAAATTATCTTTACTAACAATTGAAATAATTGTCTTTACTTGTTCTTTTCTTCTTCCCCTATCAAAAATAGTGTCTTAACTCTTGAGTAGTGCAGACCCAAATTTTCATTTAAAGAGGGTAAACGGAAATTTCCTAGAGCTATGTCATAAATATCCTAGAGACTCATGTGCTGTCTGTAAGAAGCCGTTATTAAAAATACGGAACATAACAGTCAGGCAGATTATATGGCTCTTCCTGCCTTAAAATGTCATCTGTTTTTAAGTTGGTGAAATATTCCAGTTGTTGAAAGCCATAGAACATGTGGCTTACAATAGTTTTAAATGAACAGAACTTTAGAGAGAACTTTGTTTCTCCAAAAGTATCTAGAAGAGCTTTGGGACCCATTCTCTGACAATCCCTCCTATATGGGCCAGCATTCTCCTCCCATGGAGGACTTTTGTAAGCCTGAAGTGTATTGGTAAAATCACAAGCTATGGAACATATTAGAATTATGGTCACGTCTCTACTCCATCATGTAATAGCTGGGAGACTAGAGCAAGCAAAAGTAACACCTCCAAGCCTCAGGCTCTTAGTAAGTAACTTTAATGGTGAACAAGATGGCCTTCATAGCCCCCTAAGCCCTTCTAAATGTTAAATAAGACTGCAAGCCTCTGACATCACTTTTCTTAGAGCATTTAGTTTAGAAACCCTTCAATTGTAGATTTCCCTTGCTCCTTTGAGATGTAAATTTTCTCCCAGCCTCTTTCCAGTTTTACAACCTAGGAAGATCTTCTCAATCTGGGAACCATTCCTTTGAAATGTAATCATCAAAAAAGATAGTGTCCCTATGTATAATGTCCCTATATCCCAGTGTCTATCAGAGGGTAAGAGCTTAACTTTGATAAGTGGTAATTAGCAAACACAGATGACCTAATCACATTGACCAACCTCCTTCCCACAATAGCTTAGAGCAGTGGCAAAAACAGCCTGCCTTTTTTCTCCAAGAAGTTGAATTCGATCTTTCTCCTTATTGAACTAATCTTAACTTCTCTTGAAACAATTTGAATAAAATCTTTCTTGTCTGTTTAACCTGTCCTATGCAATTTTTATTTGACAAGAGTTATTATGAGAATTAAAGTAGCATATGTAAAATACTCAGCATTGCATAAAATGGTTGCTTAGTAAATGTTACTTTTTCTCAGACCCCTCTCTTTTGAACCACAGAATTCTTCTCTGAATGGAGATCCCTGAAAACCCAAAATGTCTCTTTTCAAAGATCAGGTATAGTGGTGTGATACGGCAGTTGAACAACTTAAAAAAATTCCTTGTGTGTTTGCTGTTTTGTTAAATGAAGAAACAGGCTGAAGGAGCGTATCAGCAAGTGCTATTTCTATCCACTGAGCCAATAAACAACCTGGCCAGAAAAAGCAAAGGGTCTTCAATATTAACATAAATTTCAAGTACGGAGTGAAAATATGTCCCCAAGTCAAACTGACAAAAATCAAGAGGTAAGAATATCTACATGTCATTACATCAGGAGGCCTGGTGATGACTTGCTTAGCAACTATCAAAGGTAAAATCGTGAAGTCCATTTTAATCTAAAGGTAATACAGAGTTAAACCAAAGAAACCCTTCTTTCAAGTAGCTCTCTGAGCACAAAAGAATAAAATTGTCATCTTCACTAATATGAAAATGGTCTCTTTCTCTTGTTATTATTTACCGGGATCATTTGTAAGGCCATTGGAAGCCATTTTTGTACCCATTTAATTAGATTACATGTCTCCGAACTTTGTTATATGACTGTTAAAGCACAATGATGAAAGATACAATGTGAATTTTTGAGTAAATATGTTTTTTCAAAGGTTTCTGTTATGCCATAAGCAACCAGTGATGTACCAAGCTCTTTGCTGTTAGAATACTTCATATTTTTTAGGGTCTCTTGTGTTACAATTTTTTTTCTATCCACATCATCTTGTACCAGGCTCCAGTTCAAGTTTATTAACTGACAATATTGATTTCTACCAATAATTACTACAGAGTCAGAGAAGAGCATTGTGAATTGTTTACACTTACTATCTTTCATATTAAATGTACATTCAAATATACATAGTGATCATAATGATTATAATGTTGTTGTTATTAACTTATATCCTGAATGTCAGAAAATGACTTTTATTGTCTTAGCTAAAGAACACAAAAACACAAGAATAAAAATTTAAATTTTGTTAAAGCTAGTGTGGAAAATATAAGCTGATTATAAAGAAAAAACATAATGAACAGAAAATATCATTTGGATATTTGATGTTGAAGAATATCATTTTCCTGAACACTGAAAATTGACTTCTATTTCCTTAGAATAAAAGTTTAAAAGATGAACAGATAAACTTTTTTAAAAGCACATGTGGAAAATACTGATATATATGTTTACTAAAATTTGTCAACATGATATATAGAAAAAAATTTGAGGGAGATCATGAAGAATATAACATTTCTGGCAATGTTGGGATATTTTATTGGATAGTTTAGCTTAACTGCACCATCAGAAAATCTGAATAAAAGCTATAAATGAATAATTTTCATATAATTAACATAACATTATATATACATAATCACTTTAGAATTACTCATACCTAAGCATATTACTGATACCTAAGCAATATTCTTTGAATGCAAACAATTAAAACTTTGCTCTTTTTAACAATTTATTGTTGAAATGTACTCTCCTTTTTTTTTTACAATGGACATTGAGCCAGTGAATCACACAAACTTAAAGTGTTAAAGTAATGCATGGAAGTCATATATTTCCCACTCTAAACTAATCTTAAATGGATCTCTAGCTCAGGAATTACTTCTTAATACTGCATTAAATTAAAAAAACGTTTTAATGCTCCACGTAAACTTTTTGAAATATAAATTTCTAAGTACATTCTTGTCTCTTACACATATGGTGAAAAAATGCGTAAATAGGCTTCATAAGTACTGACTATATACTGTCTCAATTAGGATAAAATAATAACAGATGTGCCATTCTCTGTATTGTATTATTTAATTATTGTTAATTCTACTGATATACTAGAATCACCTGGTTCATTTGAAGCCTACTGATGTCTGAGCGCACTGTAAAGAGATTCTGATTTAATTGGTCCAGGTTGGGGATCAGGGTGTGAAGCTTCCCAAGTGATTCTGATGTTTAGGGAGGATTATGATTCATATTGGTATATAACGGAAAGCAAAGAAATAAGGCTCATGAGTTTTAAAATACTCTTGAGTACATTGGTGCTCTAGTTTCTATACCATAAAATGCTAAGAATTTTTAGAACATATATTCTTAGATTTGCTCATCTCTCCATCTGGAAAATAAAATCATGTTCTCTTTGGTGCAAATAGTACAAAACTTATATAGAAACCCTGCATTCTTTCAGGCTTGCAACACATCCTTAGGCCAGGAAAGGAGGGAAAAAAAGAAAACAGTCTCAAGCCAATAATGTCAGTTTCCCACACTCATAGAAACCAGGCCTCCCCTCCATCCATCGCTGCCCATTTCCAAGATTCCAGATTGGTTGGGAACTCAGCTTTCCATAGCACTATCTGCTCAGAATCTAGAAGTGTCTTTTGTCCTTCTCCACCACCAACAAAATTTTTGTTTCCCATACCCCTTTTTTAAAAAGCTGTTTTCTACAGAGTTTTGAAAGGAGCCTGTGTTCTCTTAAGAGAAAGCTTCTTTCTTATGTTAACTTCTGTGTTTGAATTTTGACAATGGAAAAACAAAGAAACAAAAGCCCCAAATTCTATTTGTCTACCTAAGTCCAGCTGTATCATCAGTATCTAAATCTTTATAGAAAAGCTCCCAAAATACCTAGAGACAGTACATACTGACAAATCCAATTTCATCTCTGTGTACAAAGAATTGGGGTATATTACATAATCGACAGCTATTTATGTGGGCCTTAAATTATAAGAAATCCAGAATAACTTTCCTTATTTCATGGATTAGGAAATCTATGAGGACTAACCTTTAAAACTGCAAGCTAAGTAAATGTCACACTTTTTAACCATCAATAAGAAAACTCTCACACAGAGAACCAGAGACATAAAAATAATATTTTCAAATCTCACTCCAATCTCTTCAAACATTGCAAGGAACAACACATTAAATAAAAGCAATAGACAAAGCCATGAGAATAGGAAAAGATAATCAATAAAGCACTTTACATCTGATTGTTCATTCTATGAATTCAGTAAACAAATACATATTGGGATGGCAGCTGTATCTTTACCAAAGTGATTGCATCAAACACAAAAGAAACAATGCTGTGTATTCAATGCACAGGATAGCACTCCCCAGGAAATGAAACAACATGAGGCTTCAGTTCACTAGGCTTCGAAAATAAATTTGATGTATGTCAGGCCTCTGAGCCCAAGCCAAGCCATCGCATCCCCTGTGACTTGCACGTATACGCCCAGATGGCCTGAAGTAACTGGAGAATCACAAAAGAAGTGAATACACTTTGCCCCACCTTAACTGATAACATTCCACCACAAAAGAAGTGTAAATGGCTAGTCCTTGCCTTAAGTGATGACATTACCTTGTGAAAATCCTTTTCCTGGCTCATCCTGGCTCAAAAGGCACCCCCACTGAGCACCTTGCGACCCCCACTCCTGCCCGCCAGAGAACAAACCCCCTTTGACTGTAATTTTCCTTTACCGACCCAAATCCTATAAAATGGCCCCACCCTTATCTCCCTTCGCTGACTCTCTTTTCGGACTCAGCCCGCCTGCACCCAGGTGAAATAAACAGCCATGTTGCTCACACAAAGCCTGTTTGGTGGTCTCTTCACACGGACGTGCATGAAATTTAGTGCCGTGACTCGGATCGGGGGACCTCCCTTGGGAGATCAATCCCCTGTCCTCCTGTTCTTTGCTCCCTGAGAAAGATCCACCTACAACCTCAGGTCCTCAGACCGACCAGCCCAAGGAAGATCTCACCAATTTTAAATCAGGTAAGCGGCCTCTTCTTACTCTCTTCTCCAACCTCTCTCACTGTCCCTCCACTACTTTCTCCTTTCCACTCTTCAACCTCTCCCTTCTCTTAATTTCAATTCCTTTCATTTTCTGGGAGAGACAAAGAAGACACGTTTTATCCGTGGACCCAAAACTCCGGCGCCGGTCACGGACTGGGAAGGCAGCCTTCCCTTGGTGTTTAATCATTTCACGGACACCTCTCTGATTATTCACCCATGTTTCAAAGGTGTCAGACCACGCAGGGACGCCTGCCTTGGTCCTTCACCCTTAACAGCAAGTCCCGCTTTTCTGGGGAAGGGGCAAGTACCCCAACCCCTTCTCTCCTTGTCTCTACCCCTTCTCTGCTTTTCTAGGGGAAGGGCAAGTACCCCTCAACCCCTTCTCCTTCACTCTTAGCGGCAAGTCCCACTTTTCTACAGGAGGGGCAAGTACCCCAACCTCGTATCTCTGCGCCCCAATCCCTTATTTCCATGCCCCGACCTCTTATCTCGGCGCCCCAATCCCTTATTTCCATGCCCCGACCCCTTATTTCCGTGCCCCGACCCCTTATTTCTGTGTCCCGACCCCTTATTTCTGAGCCCCATCCCTTATTTCCACACCCCAACCTCTTATCTCTGCACCCCAACCCCTTTTCCCACTTTTCTGGAAGGTAAGAACCCCTGAACCCCTTCCCTCCATTTCTCTGCTCTCTCTTTTCTCTAGGCTTGCTTCCCTCACTATGGGCAATCTTTCACCCTCCATTCCTTCTTCTACTCCCTTGGCCTGTGTTCTCAAAAACTTAAAACCTCTTCCATTCACACCTGACCTAAAACCTAAATGCCTTATTTTCTTCTGCAATGCCGCTTGACCCCAGTACAAATTCGACAGTCGTTCCAAATAGCCAGAAAATGGCACTTTGAATTTTTCCATCCTGCAAGATCTAAATAATTCTTGTCATGAAATAGGCAAACGGTCTGAGGTGCCTGACGTCCAGGCATTCTTTTACACATCAGTCCCTTCCTAGTCTCTGTGCCCAGTGCAACTCGTCCCAAATCTTCCTTCTTTCCCTCCTGTCTATCCCCTCAGTACCAACCCCAAGCGTTGCTGAGTCTTTCTAATCTTCCTTTTCTACAGACCCATCTGACCTCTCCTTTCCTCTCCAGGCTGCTCCTTGCCAGGCCGAGCTAGATCCCAATTCTTCCTCAGCCTCTGCTCCTCCACCCTATAATCTTTTTATCACCTCCCCTCCTCACACCTGGTCCGGCTTTCAGTTTCGTTCCGTGACTAGCCCTCCCCCTCCTGCCCAGCAATTTACTCTTAAAAAGGTGGCTGGAGCTAAATGCATAGTCAAGGTTAATGCTCCTTTTTCTTTATCCCAAATCGGATAGCGTTTAGGATCTTTTTTATCAAATATAAAAATCCAGCCCAGTTCATGACTTGTTTGGCAGCAACCCTGAGACACTTTACAGCCCTAGACCCTAAAAGGTCAAAAGGCCATCTTATTCTCAAAATACGTTTTGTTACCCAATCTGCTCCCGACATTAAATAAAACTCCAAAAATTAAATTCTGGCCCTCAAACCCCACAACAGGATTTAATTAACCTCGCCTTCAAGGTGTACAATAATAGAAAAAAGTTGCAATTCCTTGCCTCCACTGTGAGACAAACCCCAGCCACATCTCCAGCACACAAGAACTTCCAAATGCCTGAACTGCAGCGGCCAGGCGTTCCTCCAGAACCTCCTCCCACAGGAGCTTGCTACATGTGCCAGAAATCTGGCCACTGGGCCAAGGAATGCCCGCAGCCCGGGATTCCTCCTAAGCTGTGTCCCATCTGTGTGAGACCCCACTGAAAATTGGACTGTTCAACTCACCTGGCAGCCACTCCCAGAGCCCCTGGAACTCTGGCCCAAGGCTCTCTGACCAACTCCTTCCCAGATCTTCTCGGCTTAGCGGCTGAAGACTGACACTGCCCGATCGCCTCGGAAGCCCCCTAGACCATCACCGACGCCGAGCTTTGGGTAACTCTCACAGTGGAAGGCAAGCCCGTCCCCTTCTTAATCAGCACGGAGGCTACCCACTCCACATTACTTTCTTTTCAAGGGCCTGTTTCCCTTGCCTCCATAACTGTTGTGGGTATTGATGGCCAGGCTTCTAAACCTCTTAAAACTCCCCAACTCTGGTGCCAACTTGGACAATACTCTTTTAAGCACTCCTTTTTAGTTATCCCCACCTGCCCAGTTCCCTTATTAGGCTGAGACACTTTAACTAAATTATCTGCTTCCCTGACTATTCCTGGACTACAGCTATATCTCATTGCCACCCTTCTTCACAATCTAAAGCCTCCTTTGCATCCTCCTCTTGTATCCCCCCACCTTAACCCACAAGTATGAGATACCTCTACTCCCTCCTTGGCGACCGATCATGCACCCCTCACCATCTCATTAAAACCTAATCACCCTTACCCCACTCAAGGCCAATATCCCATCCCGCAGCACGCTTTAAAAAGATTTAAAGCCTGTTATCACTCGCCTGCTACAGCATGGCCTTTTAAAGCCTATAAACTCTCCTGACAATGCCCCCATTTTACCTGTCCTAAAACCAGACAAGCCTTACAAGTTAGTTCAGGATCTGCGCCTTATCAACCAAATTGTTTTGCCTATCCACCCCGTGGTGCCAAACCCATATACTCTCCTATCCTCAATACCTGCCTCTACAACCCATTATTCTGTTCTAGGTCTCAAACATGCTTTCTTTACTATTGCTTTGTACCCTTCATCCCAGCCTCTCTTCGCTTTCACTAGGACTGACCCTGACACCCATCAAGCTCAGCAAATTACCTAGGCTGTACTGCTGCAAAGCTTCACAGACAGCCCCCATTACTTCAATCAAGCCCAAGTTTCTTCCTCATCTGTTACCTATCTCGGCATAATTCTCATAAAAACACACATGCTCTCCCTGCCAATCTTGTCTGACTGATCTCTCAAACCCCAGCACCTTCTACAAAACAACAACTCCTTTCCTTCCTAGGCATGGTTAGTGTGGTCAGAATTCTTACACAAGAGCCAGGACCACACCCTGTAGCCTTTCTGTCCAACTTGACCTTACTGTTTTAGCCTAGCCCTCATGTCTGCGTGCAGCGGCTGCCACTGCTTTAATACTTATAGAGGCCCTCAAAGTCACAAACTATGCTCAACTCACTCTCTACAGTTCTCATAACTTCCAAAATCTATTTTCTTCCTCATACCTGATGCATATACTTTCTGCTTCCTGGCTCCTTCAGCTATACTCACTTTTTCTTGACTCTCCCACAATTACCGTTGTTCCTGGCCCAGACTTGAATCCGGCCTCCCACATTATTACTGATACCACACCTGACCCCCATGACTGTATCTCTCTGATCCACCTGACATTCACCCCATTTCCCCAAATTTCCTTCTTTCCTGTTCCTCACCCTGATCACGCTTGATTTATTGACGGCGGTTCCACCAGGCCTAATCGCCACACACCAGCAAAGACAGGTTATGCTATAGTACAAGCCACTAGCCCGCCTCTTAGAACCTCTCATTTCCTTTCCATCGTGGAAATCTATCCTCAAGGAAATAACTTCTCAGTGTTCCATCTGCTATTCTACTACTCCTCAGGGATAATTCAGGCCCTCTCCCTTCCCTACACATCAAGCTCGAGGATTTGCCCCCACCCAGGACTGGCAGATTAGCTTTACTCAACATGTCCCGAGTCAGGGAACTAAAATACCTCTTAGTCTGAATAGACACTTTCACTGAATAAGTAAAGGCCTTTCCTACAGGGTCTGAGAAGGCCACCACAGTCATTTCTTCCCTTCTGTCAGACATAATTCCTCAGTTTAGCCTTCCCACCTCTGTACAGTCTGATAACAGACCAGCCTTTATTAGTCAAATCAGCCAAGCAGTTTTTCAGGCTCTTAGTATTCAGTGAAAACTTTATATCCTTTACGGTCCTCCATCTTCAAGAAAAGTAGAACGGACTAAAGGTCTTTTAAAAACACACCTCACCAAGCTCAGCCACCAACTTAAAAAGGACTGGACAATACTTTTACCACTTTCGCATCTCAGAATTCAGGCCTGTCCTCAGAATGCTACAAGGTACACCCCATTTAAGTTCCTGTATAGACGCTCCTTTTTATTAGGCCCCAGTCTCATTCCAGACACCAGACCAACTTAGACTGTGCCCCAAAAAACTTGTCATCCCTACTATCTTCTGTCTAGTCATACTCCTATTCACGGTTCTCAACTACTCATACATGCCCTGCTCTTGTTTACACTGTTTCTCCAAGCCATCACAGCTGATATCTCCTGGTGCTATCCCCAAACCGCCACTCTAAACTCTTGAAGTAAATAAATAATCTTTGCTGGCAGGACTTTGCTGAAACCCCTTAGGCACTCTCTAATCAGATGTCCTGGGTCCTCCCAATTCTTAGACCTTTTATACCTGTTTTTCTTCTCTTATTCCATTTAGTTTTTCAATTCATACAAAACTGTATCCAGGCCATCACCAATCATTCTACATGACAAAGTTTCTTCTAACGACCCCACAGTATCACCCCTTACCACAAAATCTTCCTTCAGCTTAATCTCTCCCACTCTAGGTTCCCACGCCACCCCTCACCCTGCTCGAAGCAGCCCTGAGAAACATCGGCCATTCTCTGTCTCTCCATACCACCCCCAAAAAGTTTTCGCCGCCCCAACAATTCAACACTATTTTGTTTTATTTTTCTTATTAATATAAGAAGGCAGGAATGTCGGGCCTCTGAGTCCAAGCCAAGCCATCGCATCCCCTGTGACTTGCACGTATACGCCCAGATGGCCTGAAGTAACTGAAGAATCACAAAAGAAGTGAATATGCCCTGCCCCACCTTAACTGATGACATTCCACCACAAAAGAAGTGTAAATACTTCTTTTGTCTTAAGTTTGTCTTAAGTTTTGACTAACTTAAGGTCCTTGCCTTAAGTGATGACATTACCTTGTGAAAGTCCTTTTCCTGGCTCATCCTGGCTCAAAAAGCACCCCCACTGAGCACCTTGCGACCCCCACTCCTGCCCGCCAGAGAACAAACCCCCTTTGACTGTAATTTTCCTTTACCTACCCAAATCCTATAAAACGGCCCCACCCTTATCTCCCTTCGCTGACTCTCTTTTCGGACTCAGCCCGCCTGCACCCAGGTGAAATAAACAGCCATGTTGCTCACACAAAGCCTGTTTGGTGGTCTCTTCACATGGACGCGCATGAAAATGTAAATGCTGAACATAACCATACTAAAACTATTAGAATTTTCTCACTGGGAAGAAAACTCATGTAACTTTGTGTGTTTATTCCAGTAAGTGGACAGGTTTAGGATGGTTTAAGGAGAATGCCATCTGTACAATTCCAGTTGCAAATTGTATTTATCTCTTATATTTTTATCTTCGTGTCTGACACGGAGATCATTTGCCAGCAGGGAGTACTCATTCTTGTCCCATCTACATCACCATAGTGATTGGGACGGAGTTTAGCGTGAGATGGATCTTTAAATGTATGAAATTGAATGACTAAATATAAACCTAACTAAAAGCCTCATCCTCAGAGGAACATTTATACAAGGGACCTGTCTCTCAGAAATCCCTCTTATCAGCTATATGCTTCCTGGGAGGAAAAAGCAACTTTTTCTCCAAATAAAGTCACTCAAAGTAGAGAATATCTTCAAATTTGTTTTCCTTTCAAACTTGTTTTAAAAAAGTCAACATAAATATTATAATCTAAGTGATAAAAGTGTAACTAAATCTTCATACATTAATTTAAGGGCCTAACTTTTTATTTTCTTGGTTCAGGTCAAATTTTAAGCACAATATATTAATTGCTTATTTCTTTCATAAACTATTTAAACAGATAAAACATTTATATGTATTTGTCAAGTATAACATGTTTTGAAATATGTATACATTGTGGAATGGCTACATTGAGCTATTTAACATATGCATTACTTCACACACATATTTTTCTGTTGAGTGTATATTTCTTAATTTTGTTTATTTTTCACTTCCTCTCCTTCTTTTTGTTGGTTACAGCATTTTACATCATTAGCTCAAATTTTTTTGCTTACCTCTTCAGAACCAAGATTCAGATACTAACACACCACTTTGTAGCAGTCCATCTTCTCTAGAGAACCACTTTGTTGGAAGAAATAGGAATATATTTTATCTCAAATGAGGAAACTTACATTTCTGTGCATGTGGTTTCACAAGTTTATTCAGCCTATTAAGAGGTCAAT
Source organism: Homo sapiens (assembly GCF_000001405.40). Classification (NCBI taxonomy): domain Eukaryota; kingdom Metazoa; phylum Chordata; class Mammalia; order Primates; family Hominidae; genus Homo; species Homo sapiens. Next base: position 120,696,527 of record NC_000005.10, on the reverse strand, counting down.
AAAGTGAAGGAATTCAACTTAATCATTTTAAATTTCTTCAACTTGAATACACTATACAATTTCTTCAACTTGAATACAACTTGAATACAAGAAACTATATGTTTCTTGTTAGTAAACGTAGGTATGGTAAGTACTGCCTTTAATAATACTGCTAATTTAAGAAAAAGATGCACACTACAAAAGCATATTTAATTACTAATTTTTTTATATATATTTTGTTTTGTTTGTGAATTTTTACCTGTGTTGTACTCATTATACCACTGTGGGTTTTTTGTTTTTGTTTTTTGAGATGGAGCCTCACTCTGTCACTCAGGCTGGAGTGCAGTGGCACGATCTCAGCTCACTGCAACCTCCACCTCCTGGGTTCACACTATCCTCCTGCCTCAGCCTCCTGAGTAGTTGGGACTACAGGCGCTCGCCACTACGTCCGGCTAATTTTTTTTATTTTTAGTAAAGACGCAGTTTCACCATCTTTGTCAGGCTGGTCTCGAGCTCCTGACCTCGTGATCCACCCACCTTGGCCTCCCAACGTGCTGGGGTTACAGGCATGAGCCACCGTGCATGGCCGGTTTTATATATATATATATATACACACACACATATATATGTTGGAATAAGATTTTTTTTTACAAGTTATGATAAGATTCAGATAAATGGTGAAAATCTACAGAGCAAGGCTTACAAAACGAAGTTATTTCAGGCTGGGCCATAAATCCAGGAAAAGGTGCAGCAAGGCATGTCAGAGGAACAGTAATTAGACTACTCAGCTGGAGCAGCCTTCTCAGTATTGGGGTCGCTAGATTGGGAGATTATTAAGATAGACTTTGAAGTGTTTTTGTTAGGACTGCCAAGACCAGACGTAAGAATTTTAAATAGCAGATAGTCCTAAACCATCAAAATTTTTGGATTGAGATGAAATGGCGAGAGGAAAGTTTCTCCATTGGGTATTGGCAGGATGGAGTAGAAACTAAGGCAAGAGGTCAAGTGAGCAGGCAGGTGGGAAATGCAACTTTCAGAAGGGAGATGATAAAAGCCCATCTGAGGACAGTCATTGGGAATGACTTTACAAAGGAAGACATGGCAAAAAGTTAAAATTACTTAGATTTAAAAAAATGAGAGAGATTGAAAAGCTAACTATAGCTGAAATTTGGAGTTTAGGTAATCAGAAAAATTATTGAGAAGTCATATGGAGGAGCTAATTTTAATATTAATTCTCTAATAACTGATAAGTCCACTTAGAAAAAAAATCTGTTTTATACAGCCCAGAACTTCAGTACTGTATTTTCAATATCACATAAGATATAGTCATTATTTGATACAACTATAAAGTTTTTAAAAAAAGATAAAATAAATCAATCCAAATACTCGATTTTTGTCATAAAGGGTGGTTTGAACGGGTAGAAAATAATAGTGCCAGATGATATTTTTGGACTTTTATTGGCAATATTCATATTGGTGAATGTATGAAACCATAAATCACTGTAACCATAGGACTCCAGTTCTCAGTCCTTTTGAAATGCACTTCACTGAAATATGTATTCAAATATATCACAAACTTTTATGCTTGGTCAGAATTTTTTAAATATCACTGAAAAATTAAGTTTTAAACCACAAACCTAGATATTTTTTTAAAACAAAAGATGGTTTATTCTTGTATGAATATTTTTAGAAGATGTAAAGATGACTAGTGTATTAGACTTTAGTTTCACGAATTATACTCTAAATACATTTATTCATGTGCTATTACAAGTTATTGTAATTAAAACTAGGCTACACTTGTCAAAACAGTTTATTAAACCATGCTTTTTGTTTCAGTTTTCTTAGAATTCTTTTTTTTTTTTTTTTGAGACGGAGTCTCGCTGTCGCCCAGGCTGGAGTGCAGTGGCGCAATCTCGGCTCACTGCAAGCTCCGCCCCCTGGGGTTCACGCCATTCTCCTGCCTCAGCCTCCCGAGTAGCTGGGACTACAGGCGCCCGCCACCTCGCCCGGCTAATTTTTTGTATTTTTAGTACAGACGGGGTTTCACCGTGTTAGCCAGGATGGTCTCGATCTCCTGACCTCGTGATCCGCCCGCCTCGGTCTCCCAAAGTGCTGGGATTACAGGCGTGAGCCACCGCGCCCGGCCAGAATTCTATCATGCTCATTTGCCGACTTTCTAATTCACAAAATGTAATCCATCAAAAATGAGACTTCTACAGATGAATTGGTAAGGTTCTAAGAGAATTATTAGGCTTACCTGATAATATAAACTACAAAAATATCTAAGTAAAATGATTACTTTATAAATAAGATGAAAACAATATCATTAGCATCAACTAAGGCAAATAAAAAACAATCCACCATATTAACAAAGAACACGAGTAATTTGGTAAGAAGTGTCACAAATTAATAAGAATGATTTGTATTTGTTCAAGGTTTTACTCTTAGTATTTTCACATTCATTAAGTAATTAGGACCTCATAACAACATGTTGGCAGGTGGTGTCCTTCAAAGGAGGAATACAGGCGAAATTGTTAGGAAACTGGGTGGTAATAGAAGATAATTAATGTTACCAGAGAAATAAATATTTAGAAATAAAATGTGTGAAACCATGTAATTTGAGGAATGAGTACTAAGCTTTTAGCAAGGACCACGACCTTGTGAAGGATTAGATAAAATTAAGCAGGGGTAATACATATCATTTCTATAAATGTTACTACAAGAAAGACATGAGTTGAGAAAGAATTGAAGTTTGAGTAAATAAAGGAAACAGAAGATACAACTGACCTTAACTATGTGTGTAACCCACTCTGTGTTAGCAGAAGAGCTTTTATCCCATGCAAATAACACAGTAAAATTTAAAGCAAAACATTGAGTAAATAGTAATTTCCTATGAGACCATACATAGTCTAGTTAGCACCAATCTAGAAGATATTATAAAAAAGTTTGGGAGACGTTTCTGACCTATACAAAGAATGAAGTAGAATAATTTAGTGGCTCTGTCTATTCAGTAACTCTGAAGACTGCAGACTTGTTGAATTCTGAAATTGCATATCCGTTTTGCCTCATCCATTTTGCATTTCAGCATTGCTGTCTAGGAAAGAACTGAAGCTTGTAGTCCCATTGCCTTAGAAATTCATCTGGGGTTTATGTTATTGTAGCATCCTTCTGTTGATATTGTTTATTACATTGTAATGGAGGAGTCCAGGTGATCTCAGGATACATACTTAATGACTCAACATCCCCATTAAGTGGAAAGAGTGGCACCATTATCTACGTTTTAAACCAAATCTCAAACCTGGTTGAGTAAGTGCTCTATCAGGAGCACTTAAGATCTAGAAGGACTGAGACTCAAACACGGGCTTTCTTGTTTCGAGTTGATATTTTTATCCAAATACATTGTCCTCTAGATTAATATTATATATACATATATCATAATTTACATCATCACAGTCCTAAATTTCTGTAGTAAGTCATGATATTTATTTGGCTATTCTGGAGAGATAAGTATGTATCTTCAATTTAGGTTTATGTAATATTTGGGGGACAATTCATTTAGGAACTTAATTATAATTGAAAGATTATTTATTCAGAAACTTGACAACTGAAAATTTAGTATGCAATTCTAAAGTGTTTAAATTAAAAATGCCTGTTGGTGACTATTCTCAGACAGAATTCAAATATGGTTGTTAAAAGTTGTAATAAAACTCAATCCTCATCATATTAAATGTTGTTAATTCCCCCCACTAAGCTTTTAGCAGGGTTATAGTAGACTCATTTCTATCTGTGTTTAAAATAAAATGGCATCCTAGTTTATGGTGAGGTTAAGTGAACATTAGGTAATATAAAAAGAAAACAAAGTCTTCAAGAGTCTATAAAATATTCAAATTATTCAAACACTAAAAAATTACTCCTTTGAAACTGTGATGGGTATGACTTGGGCCCACACCCATATGCACATCTCCTTCCATTTCTGGGCAAGGGGACTACAAACAAGACCATGTGACTAGTTTTGGCCAATGACACATGCAAGGGCGTCAAAGCACCAATCTTTGGTGCATAAATCTTAACTGATGTAAAAGCGCCAGTAAGATTCTCCAGTTGCCCCTTTCTATGTTGTGATGATCCTCAATGAGAATGTTGGATTCCCAGAGTCAACACAGTCTTTACTTTTTAATGACTACTTGTGAGACTCCTGCTCTAAAGATTCTCCCAGGCTCAGGGTGAACTCTGACAGAGTTCGTAACAAAGAACTCAGATGTTTTTGAGATACTGGGGTTATTTGTTACCATAGCATACAGCCTAGTCTATCTTGGCTAACACAGAAATACGTTTATTTTTCTACCTTATATCTCCCAACAGCCTTCTAAGGCAAATTCCAGAAAACGATGATGTTCAGCTCTACAGATTACCTGTACACAATGCAGGATCGATGTTTTTAGGTGGTGCTGAAAGATGGTGAAGAATATGGATTGTGGAGGCAGACTGCCTGACTTATAATTCCACTTGACCACTTACTGGCCCTAAGATCATGGGTAGCCAGTTTCCAATACCACAGTTTTCTCATATGTAAAATGTGGATAATAATTGTGTCCAAGATATTGGGTCGTTATGAAGGAAAAGAAGATGTTTTGAGGAAATGATGTTTTATATTCACGTAAAACCCTTCGAAGAGTGTTTAGAATAAAGTAAGCCCTTGATAAGGATTAGATAGCATGTGTCTTGATGCCATGAACCCTGACCCACTTGAGGCACACATTGTTTTATTTAGCTGGTCTAAAATCCCTTTGATTGGTTAGGATAATTGACAATTATATTATGAAATAGAGGGAAATCATATCCATAGCCTAATAACAAAAGTATAGAAATGCTTTTATTAGAGAGAGTTGTAAGCACGCTTTAGAGGTTCCATGGAGCAGATCTATTGCTACTTTTGGCTTTAGGGGTCAATGTTAAATAGATGAAATTCACAAATGAAACACCAGTGTATGATAGTGACAGAGTCAGGGTCAATGGCATAATTCTGTGGAATCAGAACTTCTTAGGGAAAAGATCCAAAATAATAGTCTTTGAACTTAGAGAAAAAAAACTAAAAGGTGAAGCCACTGGTATAATACATGAGAAAATGAAGCTTTCATTATTCAGCAGCTGATTCATTTTAGATGGTAGCTAAATTGCCTGAAATCCCTTTCATATTCTGCAAAGATCAAACACATTAAGAATGTCAAAACAACATTAGGTAACCCCTTTCAAGCGTCAAAATAACTGATCAGAATAAAGGAAAGATTTACGAAGTTCGGGGCTATGAAGAACACAATTAAGTGGCGATATTGTGGAGAGAAAAAGCATGCTGAGTCGTGCTGGCAGCACAAAATGCCAGCCCAACACTTACCAAGGGGCAAATTTTGGCAGAATATTGAAACTGAGGTCTGGAATTTCTACATTTTTAAATAAGTGTACTAATTCCTATGTTATATATTAGTATTAGAGATATGTTAACTTTGAGAAAGAATATATATACCTACATTTGATGAGTCTAGAAGTTATAAATTATAAGCAATATTTCCTCCTTATTTTCCCTGTGTCTTTACACAATTCCATACCCCATGTCGATTTAACCGTATTTTAAAGAGAGAGTTATTTGTAAAGCTTCTTTATGTTACACTTCAGGTTTTTTTTTCCCCAGTAGATCAGAATGATAAATCCAAGTGCTTCAAATGAAATGACAGCCTACATAATTGCTACTCCTGATTCAAGATAAGGCTAACTGCAGTTTTATGTTCAACACTACTGTGTGCCCGAATTGCAGCATCACATCTGCCATTATTTCAAAATCATGTAACTTGAAGAATTCGAAGACTCCAAAATGTTTACTGTAAACATTTAAACTTGTCACAGTTACACATTGACCCAGAAAAGGTGATGTGATTTTGTGAAAATGTCTAGTAATTGATGCTGTGCACTTTATCTACTTTCGTGATATGGCTTTTTATAGAAATTTATTGCTCATAAATCATTTCCCCAGTTAGAAATCATCCGTATTTTATCAAAGTACATTACAATGTAAACTTTTGCTACAACTTGGAACATAGGCTATAGCAAAATGTGCTGGGGACAGAGAATTAGAAGCAAGAAACGAAATCTTCAGGATAATTACAAGACTCAGCATCGCATTATCACATAGAATCCATGGAAAAAAAATTCAGTCACGGCAGTGATTCATGACTTGATCACACCATTCCTTGTGCAATTATATGCAGAACTACGCAGATTTTCTTCACAGAGCACCCAAAAAGAGCTATAGTTAGACTCTGTAGATTCAAGGTCTTGTATAGTTTCAGAGACTGTGAGTAGCTGCTGCTCTAGTCATGCTGATCTGTCCACAGAAAGCCATATCAACTGTATCATATTCCTTTATTCATTTAATAATTAGGATGCAGTTATAATTCAAACACAGGATAATTTAGGTTAATTAAACCACTTCTGCTGATAGTAGATTCATTTCTTCCAATATTATTCAATGAATGAGGGAAGAAATGGATATAATAACGTCAAATCAGAAGAGTGAAAAATTTCTGTTTTTGTATGCCCTTGTATTTTTGTGAACATATTTTTAGATTTGGCTTAAGCATGACCTTAAAAATGTGTTTCATTTCCCTTTATAACTGCTATAACTATTGGTAGGTGGAAGATAACTTTGGGCAATTTTTATTTTCTTTTCAACTTTCATCAGTAGAAATACAACACAGCAAAAATGGGAAAATCTTTGTCTAAAGTAAAAAAAAAAAACCAAAACACCCTGTTTATTCCAATTTAATTAATGATTACCATGCCTTTTGAAATATGTCCTATTTTTACAGTATGGATATTATCACATTATTTTATTTAAAATGAAATGTATTACCATTTTACATTTTGTGGAAACATCACCTTCAAAGGAGTATGAAGGCTGGCTCTGTGATAAACGCTATGTGTAAATAAAAGTGTTCAAATGCACATTGTTAACAAAACGTAGTTTCAAGTATTTGAGGAAAACATTTCTGTTTATGGTCTTTAGGAAGAGGAAATATGTACTATATTTTATGATGATTTAATGGATGATGTGTAGAGCTTGCACTTCAACATTTACATTTTGAAGCAATGTTGGCTGATTGCAAAAACTGTGCTGCCACTTATGATACTTTAATTACAAGTTTGCAGACAAATATTATGAAGCTGTATGTTAATTGCTTTCTGTTTTACAAGTTTGTATATATGCAAAAATATAACTAAGTTCCAGTGAATGTGGCAATATTATCACTTGGGCAAGAAAACATATTGGTACAATATATTCCATGCATTAATAAAAAATGAAATAGCATGGAGTAAATAAATTCAAAATAAGTCCTAAGAGTGCTGTAATCTAACATTAAATGTTGATTATAAATAAACTGTCATAAAAGAGTAAGGTCCTTATTAGCAAGGTCAAAACTATAACATTTGGGGGATGGTATTTAACTCACATTTCTAAGCCAGTAGTTAGTTAGTTATTTATGTGTTGAATAAAAACAAGTGTAGTTTTGGTATATGTCACCAATCACACAGAAAAATATGGTCTTTCATGGAGAAGCTTTGCCTATACTTAGAGAAAGAGAAACGGATTTGGAACACTGAGATTGTTTCTAGGTGTCTGGCTCAATATCCTTACTCAACCAGCTTGAACGATTAAATTTATTCATCTTGCTTTATCGCAAGGAAATTATCTGTTCTGTAGGTGATGTGTGGTTGCTAGAAAGCTCTACCTTGGGATCGGGCTTGGATCCCCGACATCGAAAAGTGTCACAGTCTTAAACTATAGGGTGATTATTAGGTCACAGTAACTGGTGGAAGAGGAAAGATGAGTTGAAGAAAGAAAACTGCATGTCTTCTACAACTGTTTATAATATTGAACGGTCTAGCTTTTGATAGACATGTGAAAGGAAGTAATTATTTAACCCTAGAAATATGATAAAACCCTGGCTTTATTTATATCAAGACTAAATGCATGCATTAAAAAGTTAAGAACACATTATTTTGGTATTTAATAAGTCTATAATTTACCTGGCTCATATCTATTAAACATATTAATAATACAGATAACAAATTTTAGATTATGGTCTTTCTTGATTATGGATCTGTTTTGTAACTTTCTGATTATTGTAAGTCGGATTATTTTGCTTTCATTATCTTCATGTCCAACACCTATGAAACATAACGCATGCTGAGTAAATATTTAACATGACATTCTGTTTTTTACTCATTTGATTGTTCCTTCAAAAAATAAGGCCTATTTTCTTTTTGTATTCCATCTAAAATATATAATCATTTTTAATAGGAAGCTGTCAAAAACACTATTCAAATTACCATGATCTAGCTTGAAAAAGGCAGGAAAGAAATACGATTGAAGGCTATCTGCCTGTGCAAAGATTACAGTTTTGAGATCAAAAGCCAACTATTCATAAAAGTCATTGGATTCTTTATCAAGTTATGCCATAAATACATTTCCACAAAAGATGACTCCCTCTACTCTTACCACTAATGAACCAATTTTGTTTTCAGGAACCTGTCCTCATCATAACTCTAGGGGAGAGAAACTCATTTCCAGCTCCAGGACAAAATATCTCATCAGTTGAAATTAATAAAATTGGAAGTTAAATTTGGACCATGGGTGGGTAAAGTTTGTTAAGTTGGTAGATAAGACGGAAGAGGAGGATTTTTATTTGATGTTAGAAGGAAAGATTTCTTCTCTTTCTTTTAGAAGACAGCAACGGCCCATGGTATCTTTCAACTCTGAGGGGGAAAAACTTACGCCAAATGCTGAACACATCCTGATACCAGAAGCATTCAGATATCCCCCTATAATTCTCCTATAAATGTGGGTCCACTTGGGGAGGCAGAGAGCTTGCTAATGCAGGAGGCAAAACACCCTACAGCCTCAATGTAATAGTTTAGGGTACATCCTGGAAGAATGCTGAGTATGAGGAGGGCTTGGCAACATAGGGAGAGTTCAACAGAAGGCTCTTGAAGTACCAAATGGAAGTATAAAATATGTAGTGTGTAGATTTTGATTTATGATGTGGAATATGATATTTCATTTAGAAAATTCTGATATACACTCACTGTAACTTCTCCAAACTCTGTCAGATTTGCTGCCCATATTGAGGAATGTTAAGTGAGATTAAATGAACCACTACTTCATTTTAATTCTGAGGAACATTTGCTTTTGTCATTATTTACTATTGTTTATTGATTTAACAATATTTCCACAGACCAAAGTATTTTATTACATATATAGCTGAGCATGTAATTCATAATTGTATAATATAGAAAATAAACTTCTTGGTATTGGCCTCAGCATTTAATAATGAAAAACTAGTGACAAACATCTTTAGAAAAAAATAATAAAATAGTCCTTCAGTATTAAAATTTCCTAGTAAAAAGCATTAGATCAAAGTTAAGAATATGACATGTTAATGCATAGATGACTTAGGCATAAATAAAATGAATCAAATCCCAGCTCTTATAGTAAATCAAAATAGGTGAAATCTGCAGGTTCACAGTTTGTCATAGGTCAATTGCAAAAACAATGCATCATTCATATTTTTCATCATTCTGAGGTTTTTAATGATACAACATTTAAAATAATGCATACCCAGGATATAAGCAATGTGCTGCATACTTACCAGGTGATTTTTATGCCACTTTGCTGAATGCAGGATTAATATATTTGGGCTTTTTATTGCTTGAGTAGAAAGTGCTCATTACTTATTTTATGTTTATAATATAGAAAATTAAAAAAACAATTTTTTTAATGGCATACATCACACGGTTGTAGTGGTTGACTTCCTCAAGATCGTCTTCTGTGGTTTTGGTGCAGTGGGAGGAGGCACAGTTGCAGGTCTGATAGGGGGGAAGCTGTTACTGTGGCTTATTCCCATTCCCCCATTTTCTAGTGGGAAAGGAGGGAGATGGGGTGTAGGAGGGAGGGGAGGGCCTTGGTGAGGAATCTTTCCCGGTGGGTGGACAGGTTCACTGTGTAAGTGGACCTCCCTGTTTTTTATGTTATACCGGGTATCACAGTCAGGACAATAGCCATGGTACTGTACTTTTTCATTAAACCGAACTCGTTCTCGAGGCCCTGCCTGGGGACATCTGTCTTTTTCAGGTCTATGCATCAGAAGCTGGACTGGAGCCTTGTCCAAGTTACTGTTGGGTATGCAGCAGATATCTCCATTTGGAATTTTGTTAGGTCCACCTGGTAAGCCTCCATTTCGTAGAAGGGTGCCATTGGTTTTTACAGGATTGGCAGTTGGAACCACCCTTTTGGGGTCTTCACACTTCACAGGTGTCAACCTTGGAGGAGGTGGTGGAGGGTTTGGCTTTCTCAGGACCGTGAGGATAGCAGACGGGTGTGCTGGGGGTTTAATAAGCGGTGCATTAGCCTGCACTTTGATCTTCTCTAGGCTGGAGGCTGTTGTGCCACTTGAGCTACTATTCAGCGTGTCCGTTTTGGAGCTGTCAGTCATCTCATCCTCCAGCTGTAGGTCAGAGGTCAGGGTGTCAATCTGGTCAACCACCTAGTGGAAAGGACAAGGTAATTGTTTTGAAGAATGACCCAAACAAAGTATACTAGAAACAATTTATTTTTGTCTAGGGGAAATCTGCTATGGAAGCCTTAACTGATATTGAACTGAACATTCCATTGCTGCTTGATGTTTTCAGTCAATAAATTTACAGAATAGTGACCATCACACAGAGGACCAACTGTATGATAATATAATTTAACATGCTTAGAACATAACATATGATTTATATATACATTCTATTTCTGACTCTGATATACCCACCCATAAAATATGAAACCTGATGCAGGAATATAACTGATTTTTAAAAATAATCAGAGGGCATTTCCCTTCTGCTTAACATGCAGAAAGCTGTAGGAGAACATTGCTTCCAATCTTGAAATTAAAAAAAAAGATAATCTGCAAAATCATAATTTTCTTGAGACCAACAGAGACTTGACCTCACAAGGCAACCAAATGAACTCAACTGTTGAGAGTTTCAAGCCCTCTGAGGATATACAGAAAACATCAACTGTTCAACCTTTAGAAAATCACAGGAAAAAAAGGCAGCAACCATCAGAGTGAATGAAGAAAGCAACTAAAACTTTGATGACTAATTAAAGGTTGAATATGTGCTATTATGACAATTTAGAATCCTTGGGAGTCTCAGACACAGTATCATCTGTACTCACTCATGGCCTCCTTTACACAGACCTCTCATGCTGAGAGGAGGAAAGAGATGGAAGAGAGCCCCTGGTGGGCACACAGGCACAAAACCCCATTTACTTCTCAGACTGTTCTCCCTTATAAAGCAGAACCTTTACTGGTGCAGTAGCAAGAAACCCTCCAACCTGTAAGACACAGGCAAAGATATTTTGCTTCTGAGAGAGGGTAGAAGCAAAAGCTGTCTCGCCTTGGAGAAAGGGAAAGAAAATTATCTGGGCCCAGGACCCTAAACTAATACAAAGCAGATGTTTACTATCACTGGGTGAATGACAGGAAGTCACACCAGTCAAGGGCTACTACAGGTACCAGGCAGAGGAGCCAGGGACTCAGATAAGGCTGGCAGAGGCATCAGAGCATAAGACAGGTGGGAACCCACGTTAAGGAGAGAGGTTGTGAAGATAGGAACATTGAATGGAAGTATCTTAGACAATGCAGTTCTAAGGAGACTTTGGCAAGGATACTGGGGAGTCTGACATCTCCCATAACAGGGCAACCTTACTGTCTCTGCCCTGTTCAGTCATTGGCTGGGAGCAGCAGTGTGGTCACTGCTCAAATGCTGACTTTCAGAGTACAGCATCAGGGTCCTCAGTCATTTACACTCTGCATTCAGAGGTCTTGGAGGCCATTCTCATAGCCACCATACCTGCACTGTTATACACATATGAGAATGGAAAAGTTATGGATTGTTTTAAAAATAGTTTATGTAAGGAGACAGTTCCTTCATTTCACACATTTCCATCACATTTATTCCATATGGAGATTTTTCCCTCCTCTCTTACTTAGGTCTAAGTTTAATCAACTGTGAAGTTGGCTCTTTGTCACATGGTGGCAGGATTGGGCTCAAAATGAAAACACCAAAAGCATCTAGACGTTGGACAGGATATAGACTTTACTTCCTCCTCATGAGGCTCTTAAGTGATTGATTCCACCAGGCAGGTAAAGGCCACCAGGGCTCAGTCTTTGGATGTCTCGAAGGCCTGCAAACTCAGCAGTTTCAAAACATTCAACAAATATAGTAAATTCAACAAATTTCTTCTAGTATTTTCTATTTTAGCAAATGACAGCACAAACCTCACATCTGAATAATCAGAAATCCAGAAACTCTATTTGATATCACCCTTTCACTCACCTTCTGGTCAGGAGAACAAGTCCTTCTATTTTAGCTCCTAAATAACGAATCTTAAATCCATTCACTTTCCTCCATTTTCACTTCTGTCATCCTACTCTGAGCCTCTATGATTTACTGTATGGACTATCCAAAGCCACTTTGCTTTTTTTCATTTCAGTAGTCTCAATGACTTTTTTGGTTTTTTTTTTTTTTGAAGCAGAAGTGTGCTTTTGTTAACTCCCTGTTTAAATCCTTTCTATGTCTGCTCATTTCTCCTGTGATAAAGATCAATTCTGAAAACAGACTTCAGGATTCTGCATAGTCTCACTCAATGGAATACTGGTGTTTATCAGCTGGCTCTTGGCAGTGTAAGGAAGTCTTCATTTGAAAGGTTTTGTGTAAAATTCCACTGTGGTTGATTTCAGGTTAGTCATGTGACATTACTGAACCTGAGGTTGGGAATAAATGTACAGTAGCATACAATTAAAAAGTGTACTATACATAAATAAACTCAGGAGCACAAATAATAGTGAACTGCAGTAAAATAATTAAAAATAACAGGGAACAATTAGAAAACCTTTGTTTTTAATGTAATTAGTTTGTTTATACAGTTTCACTTTTTTTTTTTTTTTTGAGACGGAGTGTCACACTGTCGCCCAGGCTGGAGTGCAGTGATGCGATCTCAGCTCACCGCAACCTCCATCTCCCAGGTTCAAGCAATTCTCCCACCTCAGCCTCCCAAGTAGCTGGGATTACAGGCAGCCACCACCACACCCACCTAATTTTTTGTATTTTTACAAAATACAAAAAGAGACGGGATTTCACTATGTTGGCCAGGCTGGTCTCAAACGCCTGACCTCATGATCCACTCGCTTCAGCCCAGTTTCACTTTTAGTAACTGTTGTGTTTAACAACCAACCAGCTCACAAAATTTTTAAAAAATATGATTGATTTTTAGCTAGTATGAGTCAGTTCTAGTCATTGTCTCATGCTCCTAAATAACTCTCAGTCCTCAACTCTGTATTTCTGTTCCCAATCTCTCTGGTATTCTTTAGGCCCTCAAAATTGCTTGTCTGCTTCCTGCCACAGAATGTTTGCACAAACCATTATTTCTTCTTGAAATGCTCTTCCTTCTTCTCTTAGTCAGGTTAACTCTGACACATCCTTAAAATTTTTCCTATTGCATTCTAAAGGCCTAACATAACAACCGGTACTAATTAGGGGCTCAGCAAATATTTGTTAAGTAAATGCTCCGAGGGTTATTTCTTCAGTTTAAGTGTGAGCAAAAGCATTTTCTCTCCAATTTGATTCTTGGAAGTGGTTGTTACTTCAAAACTTATTCAGTTATTCTAGAAGAAAATGGGAAGGAAAGAATTTATCCATAAATGACCACTGAGTTGGTTGCATATTCTCAAGCTCTGTCTAGAAACTAAAGTGAAAGGCTATCTAAAGAATGTGAGAGGTAGAGAGACAGTCTTGGCTCATGGGTCCTTGTCCTATTTCACCTGGAGGTTATCTACCCCACACATTTTATCATAGTAAATTCTGCAGCAAATGAGAGAAAACAGGTCTTTTAGGAGGGCAGTGAAGCTGATTTTCAGAGATGAATAAATGCCACCTCAGTTCCTGCTGGTTTTATGCTTCCTACCTGGTTTCAGTCTCTACGTTATTTCCTGAGTGCCTATAAAATTCCAAGAGAATAAAAAACAAACAAAACACTGCTTTCATGGAGCAGACAATCCATGAAAGGGCCTCACTTTGACTAGATCTTCAAACAAGTAATTTTAAAAGTGCAACTAGCTCAAGCGCTCTGAAGAATATAAGATGTTATAAGAGAAGAGGAAGACCCCATCAGAAAGGTTAGTGAAGCATTCTGTAAGGATGAGTTGGAGCTTACTGGCAGAAGAGTGGTTCAAGCAGTCTGCTCAGAAAAGAGCCTGATAAAGGTCCTCTGACAGAAGAGATCACCTGAGTGTGAGTGATTTAAAGACTGTTTTGGCTCAAGGGCACTGTGAGAGATGAGGTTGGATAGTTAGGTAGCAGCTATCCTGTGAGAGCCTTTGAGATGATATGATAAAGTACCACATATTTTTCTTTTAAAGAGTTGCAGAAGTGAGAGATGTAGTATTCAAACAGACAATGAATTAGTACTTTCAGAACTGAAGTGTCCTCTAAAGTACACAGTTTCAAACAAGAAAATATAAACAAACTCTCACTCAGACATACCATAGTGAAACCAGAAAACACTGAAAAGCAATGATAAAAGTTTTACAACCACAAAAAAGGGAACACCAAGTATTTATAGAGTAACAAAAATTAAGCTGACAGATCTTCCCACAAGTAACAGTGGTCCCAAGAAAATTTAGGAATAGGTTCATACTGAAAAATAATTGGGAATGTTAATATAGTTTAACTGATATAGAAGTGAGAGAAATAGACATTTTTAGACAACAAAGACTGAGAGAGTATTGCTCTTATAGCTCAGTATTGAAAGTATTGATAAATGAAAATTCAGTGAAAGGTAAATAATCAGAAGGAAGAACTGGAATGCAAGAAGCATAGATAAACAAAGGCATTGGTAAACAAGTAAGTCAAGTTATGCATTGATTACAAAACATAATATATTAATGACTAATTTGGGACAGGGTAAGAAAAATGTGAAGCTAAATACTAGGAAAAAGAACATGTCTGTAGGACAATCAGAATTAAACTATTTAAGTTCATTGTCTTTGTTGTGTGTGTGAGGAAAATTATTATCTATCTGATACTGATTAACTTTATTAAGTCAAAAGTGCATGTGTAAATTTTGCAGAAACTATTGAAATAACAGATATAAAATTATCACTTCCAAAATAAATAAGAAATAAAAAGTGAGCAAAGGAAACTCAATAAATCTAACAAGGCAGAAAATAAGAAATCTTAAAAAATGACAACGAAAAGCATCGTAAATGAAAGTCACTCTATACAATAGAATAAATGATGCCAATATATTTGCAATTACAAGAGTGTAAATAGATTAAAATAATGTATAAAAGTAGTGATTGCTGCCAAAAAGAGACACAGAAAGACAATATAAAGTTATAGAAATAAGATATTATCAGGCAAATATCCAGATGCAACCTGATGCAGCCATGTTAATTCCAAGCACAGAACTTAGTCCAAATCTTTCTTAAGCAAAGCAACATATAGTATCTATACCAACTTAGGTGAATAAATAAATAAAACATAATTTAGAGTTTATGTTCATGTGTACACACACACGAGTGGAAAAAAGATTATGAAGTAGCAATTCACGTGAAGTGAACACAAATTTCCAAACACTAAAAACCACACACTCAGTCTTACTAGTAATTGAGGTCATGCAAACTTGAGAAAACAACATAACATTTCAAACTCAATGATTTGGTAAAAATGAAACAACCTGATAATCCCAATTGTTGGTGATGATATCTATAATTGGAACTTATGCATTGTCAGTGCAAATGTAAATTCAGTCAGTTCAGACAACTTTTAAAGAATATCTTATAAATTGAATAAGGTACACACTTTGTGGCAATTCTACTAGGAACACAGCCTCGAACGCCAGGGAAAGTCCAGTAGATGTTCACAGGGTTGGAAATACACAAGGATATTCCTTGCAGGTTTTTCACTTTTGGTATAAAAAGAAATTGGAAACAACCTAAATATCTATTAACAAGTGATTGTGTTAGCAAATATAAAGTAGTTAAAATGAATTAACTAGTTCTATATGTATCAGCAGGGATAAATCTCAAAAACCTAATGTTGAATATTTTAAGAAATAATAAAAAGATATATTCAGTAGGTATATCTTGTTTATGCATACAAGCACAGGTAGTTTAGTTAATACCTGGAAATAAATAATACACATCAAATTCAGAGAAGGAGACAGGAACGAATGAGGGAAGGCATCAGCTACATAACATCAATATTTTGTTTCTTTTAAAAGGATATAAAGTCATGCTGAGAAAATGTTAACATCTGTTAAATAAATTTTATTGTGGATATTTAAGGTACACATGAGGTTATAAAATGCATATACAGTGAAGTGGTTTCTTCAGTGGAACGAATGAGCATATCCATCATCTCACATAGTTACCCATTTCTCCCCAACAAGAGCAGCTATAATCTACTAATTTAGCAAAAATCCTGAATACAATACAATATTATTAACTATAGCCCTCATATTGTACATTAAATCTTTCAATGTGTTCATCCCACATATTTGCTATTTCGTATCCTTTGACCTACATTTCCCCATTCTCTGTCCCCCAACTCAGACCATGGTAACCACTGATTTTGTTGTTTTTGTTGTTGTTGTTTTAGATTCCATATATAAGTAAGATCATGCAATATTTTTCTTTCTGTATCTGGCTTATTTCATTTAGCATAATGTCGTTCAAGTCCATCCGTGTGTGGCAAACGGCAGGGTTTCTTCCCCTTTCTCTTAAGGTTGAATAGTAAATATCTAACATTAGCTAAATATATTTAGAAAGAAATAAAATAAGTAAATCTTTCAGATGCTATGTGGAAAACATACTGAAGGGTGCTGTGTTTTATTTACTTAACCAATTAGATTTTATTACAGCCAAGTGAGAAGTAAATAAATCACCTAGAAAAGGAATCCACTATATCCTTATAATTGCACATCTCTGTTTTGCTTAAGGTATTTCAAAGTATGAAATTGCACCTAAAGAAATAGTAACCACAGGCATGATAGAAATTAAAGATAAAACAAAATGAGAGAAAGCAGGACTGAAGGGATAGATTTTTTGCAGACATTTGGAGGTGAGAAGATAGCATGGCATCAATCATAAATCTAGGAACATCCACAACTAAACATCAGGTATCTAGAAAAAAATGTATCTGAAACTTGAAATTGAGTCATTTGTCCAAATAATTGTGGTTATTTGGGTCTGTGGAGGACTTTGTTAATCACAGTGAAACAAAGAGAGTTTTAAAACAAGGATAATGGCAGATGTTGTGTTTGACAATCCCAGGAGGTTTTTTAAACCATGTATACAAGGAAGCTATAGTAGACTGTGGAATAATTAAAAATAGTGATAAATATGAGTTAGGAATCACAATATTTTCAATATTTCAATATTTCAATCTCAATATTTTCACATATGGATAAATATATCTAATTTCAAAACAGAAAAGCAGATTAAGAAGAAATTAAATAATTATATAATCTAAGTTATTTGTGGAAATCCAAATTCAGTTTATATTACTTCTATAAATCTTAAACTGCAATGAATAAAGGTAATGGCACCATAGAGGTGTCATTAGAGTGGAATTCAGATGTCCTAGCTAGAGCAATTAGATAAGAGAAAGAAATAAAAGGAATCCAAATTGGAAAATAAGAAGTTAAATTATCTTTATTTGCAGATGATATGATCTTATATTTAGAAAAGACTAGAAACTCCACGAAAACACTATTAGAATTGGTAAACAAATTCAGCAAAGTAGCAAGATAAAAAAACTACTAGTAGATCCTTTTCCTAAGCTCCTACTCTGCTTTGTCCTTTTATTACTACAATTGCCTTAATGTATTGGGACTGTCTATTTATGTGTATTCCCCTCAGAACATATAAGCACGTGTTTCCATCCTTTATCCCTGGCAGAGAGCACAGTGACTGCACATAGTAAGAATTCACTAAGAATTTGCCTAGTGAGGTAATTGAATAAATGTAGATACTATGGAAAAAGTCATTTGTTGCCTTTATTTCCATCCTACCCCAGCTTTCCATGGTTAGGTCTGATTTTCAACATCTTTAATCCCTCCAATCCCAGATGGCCCAGAAAGACACATAAAAATGGATTAGACAGAGAAAAATATAGAATTGGTGAGACTTGGTGAGCTCTCTTCCTATTTTGCCTAACTCGTAAAGCCTTGCTCCAAAGCTTGACATAAAAAGCAGTTTACAGCTTAATCCCAGCACTTTGGGAGGCCGAGGCAGGCGGATCACCAGGTCAGGAGATCGACACCATCCTGGCTAACACGGCTAAACGCCGTCTCTACTAAAAATACAAAAAATTAGCCAGGCGTGGTGGCCGGCGCCTGTAGTCCCAGCTATTCGGGAGGCTGAGGCAGGAGAATGGCGTGAACCCAGGAGGCGGAGCTTGCAGTGAGCCGAGATCGCGCCACTGCACTCCAGCCTGGGCGACAGAGCGAAACTCCGTCTCAAAAAAAAAAAAAAAAAAAAAAGAAAGAAAAAGAAAAAGCAGTTTAGTCCAATTCCAAAACAACTAAGAGAGTTTAAGTATATACTTTTCTTCAAATAAATTTCCATATAGCACTAAGTGCATTTAGAACCTAAATCTTACTTTTTTAATAAAAAAATATAATTCAATTGCCTTAAGAACAAAACAAAATGAAAACCTCTTTCAATTTGAGTGAATCTTTAGCTCCTCCTTGTCAACAATTCTCAACCACAAGAATTTGCAATAACAAACTTAATGGAGAGAAAAAAGGAACTTAACCCTGACTGAAACCTTTCCAAGAAGATTTATAGATTCCTGTAAGATCTTTAAGATTGACTTAGAAAAACAATCACAATTTAAATATGGTGGCATTATCAGCAAAGAACTGAAAAGAGAAATTAATGGGAGCTATAGGAATTTCTAACAAGAGAAGAAGACCGGTAAATACACTACCTTCCCCTAACTATTTGACCTTTCTCAGTAGCTGAGTCCAAATGCTGGTCGGTAAAAGAACTGTGTCCAACACAGGCATAATATATAGGATAGCAAGTGACATACCCTCCTCTGGAAGAGCCCTCATATAAGCCTAACAGAGGCGAGGCAGGAAGTAGTGAAGTCAACAGTGAGGATATTCCAGCAAGGACACAGTAGGGCCACTTTGCCCTGAGTTCATAGTCATCGCAAACACACTTCATATAAAATGTTAAAAATCTCTACCCACCTATCCTAATGATCTACTGACAGGATGAAAATAAGCACCTCATTATACAGCCTACAACTTCGTGTTCTGCTGCTAGATCACAGTATTTCTGATAGACTGTATATGAATTGATATGTGTGAATAAACACTGTGGTTATCTTCTGAAAGGTAAAATTATATTGAATTCTACTTGTGCTAGAAACAATGTAATAAATGGAAACATTTAAATTATATCACAGTTTGGTTAACTTCTCTTTGGTATTTATTTATTTAGAAGAATCTATACAAACCTTAAAAATTAGGAGTGACTCGGGCCTCTTTTGACTTCTGAAAATGTCCAATGTCCATTATGAAAAAGTCGCTCAGGGGAACTTCACTAAATGCTTTTTTCCAAAGGGAAGACTAGAACTGCATTGGGTTCCTGGGCCTGTCTTTGGACTTCTAGAGGAATCATATTTCGTTAACAATATTATTGTTTCTTAGAGATGAGGCCAATCGACTCCTTACATATTTCCACATTGTTCTTAAGTTCTCCCTATCACCTAAAGCAATTAAGCATGTCTGTCTTTGCTGTCTGAAACATCTCAAGCACCATAATTGTATTATTTAACTCTTTCTTTTTTCCTTGATATATTTGAAAAAGCATACATATATACACACGCACACACACACACACACACACACACATATATATATATATATAAAATAAACATAATCCAGAGTAAGTTAGACAATCTTGATGTTGTTAGAGACCCAAGGTCTAACTTTCTGCTCTGCTATACCAAGGGGGTGTGCTCCATTTTCATGTCCAAATTCAGGAACGGGGCCCCGCCTTCACATATACATTTCAAAAGGTAGAATGAAATAGGGTGGGGAAGTCATAACTACTCTTTTTTAAGGAGATGTTTTAGGAGCAATACATTTTATTTGCTTACATCTCACCAGTCAAAATAAAGTCATCGTGATACATGGATACTGGGGAATGTAGACTTTTATCTGGGATATGGTTCTTCTACAAAATTAAGAAGAAAGGATATTCCAAAGCAACAAGCTTTCTCTGAAAGAGATACTAAAACAAACAGTGACAATAAAATACACACACCCACACAGAGGCACATATCTAATCATACTGTCAGAAAGTAAATATGGAGGATATATACTTAAAAATTTTTACTAAATTCTTTTTTCCAAGTTTTTTTGGAAATAGAGTAAGGTGGATTCTTGGGAGGTGTTGTGTTGTTTCTTTTTATAATATGCATATAAGTGGCAACTTACATCCTGTTCTCTGGAAATAAACTAGATTTTAAAATAGACAACAATCATTATTCATAGTTGAGCCTAATAAATTAAGTATTTAATACCTAATAATATTTTTGGTCAAAAGCAAGTAAAACTATAATGCAGTTTGTCTTATTTTTCTGTGTGTTCAATTGGATTCAATTATAATTTATTGTGCAAGTACTATTCATCTGGTAATATGTAAGACATTGAAGATAAAAAATAAGTTTCTAGTTTAAATGAGACTGACCATATGTACTTCATGTCTTCCTCCTCAGATCATCTTTAAATGAGAGTAAAGAAGTAAGAATAGTAATAAACTCAGAAAACTTTCAGAGAAAAGTGAAATCTAATCAGATATTTTATAAATATACAGATGAGTTAATAAAAAGGTGGAAAAAGTACTGATGAAGTCCCAGAAGGATTTCAAATTTGAAAGTGGAATACAGAAAAAGTGGAAGTGAGAAGTAATACAAAAGTTAGAGTGGGGCATTGTTGAATCACTGTATTTAACAAGAACACATTGTGTCTAATGGCCCCACACTCTTTCACATACAACACGATTGGCAACATAGTAACAGCTAATAACCTTAAAAAAAAACTGAAATCCTTGCTATAAAAATATGGAACAATGTCACTGGATAAGAATGCTCTGAGTACGGGTTAACAGCAGCTCCGAATAAAGCTCTCCATTTTTTTCATTGGGAAAGTCATGAAGATGGAGTCACAGCATCCAGCCATTTGCTCTTGCTCCATATGTGGGAAGATTCTAAAACATCTATATTATAAGAACATATGACTAAGTATCGTGAGATTTTTGAAATAAGCAACAACACAAAACAGAAAGACCAAAATGAATGAATTGATCAATGTTAAAGATGAAGCTGCCATTATTAGTGAACTAAATAGAACTTTGTAGTAAGTCTAATTAATCTATTTAGAGATGCTTGAAAATGTACTGCAGTTATAAAATAATAACACATACGTAAAAAAAGCAATAAAATAAAAAAATTGGAATATAAAACAAATGTTAAATTTTAAAAATATTAATGGCTTAAAAATAAAAATAAAATCTTAGAAATATTATTAAATATAAAGCAAAAATACATTTTAAAAATACAAGAAAAAAGTTAAAAGACATAGAGCAAAAAGATCAATATTGGAGCTTCAAAAACTGATTAAGGAGTTCCAGAAACAGAAAAAGAGAAATTGTGAGATGGTAATAATAAAATAAATAATGGAAGAATAAAAATTTCATGGTTGACAACACAAATGCAGCTTCAAATGTAAAGGGCCAACTGAGTGCTGATGAGAATGAATGAAAAATAAAGAAAAGTCAATTTCAAGACACTCAGAAAAAAATACAAATCACATGATCAATACAGTTTCTTCAGGAGGAATAGACAGTGAAAGACATTTTGCTAGTAACTTCAAAAGTTCCAGAACAAATTATTTCAACCCCAATTTTAATTCCTGGCTAAATTAATAATCTTTTGTAAAAGTAAATTAAAATATTTTTAGCTATTAAGGACAAAGACACTTACTTCCTTCACATCCATTCTTTAAAAGTTAATTAACGAGATATTCTGGCACAATAAAAATGGAATCCGAGAAAGAAGAGATGCATAGGATCCAAGGAACATTACATTTAACCCAGCCTTTTTTGGAGGGCGGGCAGGGGGGCAGAGACAACAGCATATACAGCGGCATGCAGGTATGAAGGACAATTTTTTTCTATATTGGTAAAAAATAAAGTAGGTAGATGGCATATCAGTACCACACATGGCAGAAAAAGCAGTTAAGAGGTTTCAGGAGGCCCTGTAGCGTCGACATGTAAGAGTTTAGATAGTAGTTGAAATTTTAGAGCTCAATTTCCAAAAGATGTGTATTTACAGCATTGATAAAAAAAATGTAGGAAGTATTTGTACATAGACTGTAGATGAATGCACATGTTTTAGTAGGTTTTTTTTTTTTCTTTGAGAAAGGGTCTCACTCTGTCGCCAGGCTGGAGTGCAGTGGTGCAATCTCGGCTCACTGTAGCCACCGCCTCCTAGGGTGAAGTGATTCTCCTGCCTCAACCTCCTGAGTAGTTGGGATTACAGGCATGTGCCACCATGCCGGGCTAATTTTTTTTTGTTTTTTATTTTTTATTTTTTTTAGATATGGGTTTCTGCTATGTTGCACAGGCTGGTCTCAAACACCTGAGCTCAAGCAATCCACCCACCTCATTCTCCCAAAGTGCTGGGATTATCGGCATGAGCCATTGTGCCTGGCCTAGTACGTTCATGTTTTAAGTCTAATTATTTTATAGCCATAGCATAGATAGTATATAGACAGCCCATATCTAAATATAAAATTCCACTCTAGATAAGATTTGTATAAAAATGTTAACAGACACTTGTAGCCTTTAAAAATTACACAAGATTCAGGAGTTTATGTTAATCGAAACACTAAATGATGTAAAAATTTTAACTCTATAATTTGTAAAACAAGATGTTTATGTGCTTTTTAAAGACCCATAAAATAAGACCAAAGTACCTGGTTTCATTTAATTCATTTTGTCATACAACCATAAGCATTTGTGAGCTGCACTTGAAATACGTAGAAATGCCCCAAATCATCATGCACCACTTCTAACTTCTAATTGGCACATGCCGAAATGCTGTTTAGGAAAAAGAAACATAAAACAAGTACTAAGGGAGAAAGTGATACTAAAGCATCACATAGTTCCATATAGTTAAATGTATTGCATGTTATAGTCACTACATGTAATTCTCACATTTACTTGTCTATAAGTTTTAGTAAATGAGGTTTTTACTTTTCTTTCCTTTGTAACAAACATTATCCACAGATTATAATGGCTGAAATGTCATTACTAACTTTAATTCCTGTTTTCATCACCTATCTTGTGATTTTAACAGACTCATGCCTCTACTGAGGCTTCCTGTAAAGTGTGGCAAAGGAAACATCCTTCATCACAATTGCTTTAGTAACCTAATAGATGTACAAGATGCAACTAGTTGCATTTTGTGTGTATACACTTCAAAATGATTCTATTATGTTAATCATGTTCAGAAAGAAATTGTAACTCAAGATAATGGAACTATAAACTTTAACACAAGCTTATAGCTTTCAATATCTATAATCTCTTTTCGTATTTGTGAAGTATGAATTAAACAAATCCTCAAGTTGTCTATTTTAATTTCCCCTATAGATGTTAAACTAGCTCAATAAAAAATATTCTGCAAGCATCACAGTAATGTAATAAGAATAAGAGTATGCTGTATCCAATCCACTCTTTCTTCCATTCAATCCATTCTTTGCCTTGCAGTTACAGAAGACTTTCTTTAAATATGTATCTATTACACACACACACACACACACACACACATATATATCTATAACATAAATTATTAAAAGCCTTTAATTAATTTGCAATTGCTTTTAAGATAAAGACGAAATACTTAATAAAGCTACAATACTCCCAGGATCCAGGTCCTGCCATCCACACCAGGAGGCTCCTGTGCCACCCATCCTCACTCCACACTCTTTTCACTTCTCTTAGTGCTTAGAAGATGTTAAGTTCCTGCCTGTGGGTTCTTATATAAGGCATTCTCTACTTAGGACTAGTTCCTCTGTTTCCCCCCACAACACACACACACACACACACACACACACACACACACACACACAGACCCCTCACCTGCCCTTCAAGAATTAGCCCCTGTATCTCCTCAAGGCACTCTTCCCGATTGCCTTCAAGTCCTGTTATGCAGCCCTAGAGCTCCTGTCCGTGTGCTTCACACCTTGTGCCACTTGGTGATCCAGTGATTCATTGTGTAATTAGCCCCTTAAGGTTTGTCTCCTTGGCAAGACTGTAACCTCCCAAAGGGCAGGAAATCCTGGGCATTTATGTCTAGAATAAGAATATATGTTGAATAAATGAACAATAAACATACAAGAATCAAAGGAAAAGTCTTACAACAAAGTGTTTTTATATTAGACTCTTATTGCTTACATTTTGTGCTTGATTATAAACTTTTGAAGTAATAAATCTGGGTGGTAAATAAGTTATGTTCATGAGATTTCTAACTTCTCTCTTTTTCATACATATATATGTACACACACATATTTAAAAAGTATGGCACTTTCATAGAGAGAAGATTCACGTGATATATTAAAACAAGTTTGAAATATACAGTATTACACTTATCAATATTTTTAAATAAATATTTACATTTACATTAAAATGACATTTTGACATGTTTTTACTTTTTACATCTCAGATACTGAGCAAAATGTTTAGTATACAATGCAAAGGAAGGCAAATTTTAGTAAATTATACTTTATTTGCTTAAATTATCTTAGTATCTATGCACAATATTAAATTACTTGTTAAAAAGATCAGAAAACTCTATCCTCTCCTTCATATCTCAGGCATATATTTTCACTGTAGAAATAATAGCATTTATCATGAATTCCAAGTAATATTACTAGAAATGTTGATACTGATAACACTACTGCATGTAAAGGTAAGATGGTAGGATGTATTCATGATTTGGACTCTCACTAGCTTGAGATGATAAAACTGAGTCTTTTTTCTAGCATTAGTTCTGTACTTTGCAATTTTTTTAAAAGAAAGAAAAAAAGAAACTCTGATATCTGATCTTTGAGAGAAGAGGTAGAAAAAAGTAGGCAACACATTAGGCACAATAAAATGCACAGTAAAAGAAGAAGATTTGAAAAATTAAATGAGAGTTCTAGGAATACAAAATCATCCAATGTAGTACAGTGTAAGGGGTATGGTGTGTGTGTATATGTGCACATTTTAGGATTTTAGTAAATAAGCAGGCAAGCTAGAAAAAGGAGGAAGTGTGTAAAGACAGAAAGGGAAAGAGATGCAGGTAAAGAGGTTTGAGAATGCCTAAGGGTCTTCAACACCATGCTAATGAGTGGGGTTTTACCTAAAGGTAATAGGCAGTCACTAGCAGTTGAAACAGAAAAGTGTCATAAAGCAAGTCATAAAAAAAGGATTATTCTTGTCATAAGCAAATCTACGGAAATTACAGAAAATGATACAAATTGGGAGATTACATTATATTATTTTTGCGTTAGTGAAAACATCTGAAAATCTCTAAAGCCCATCTTTGGAATATCCTCCACAACTTGAGAATACCAAGTTTGGTTCAACCATGAAGGGAGTGTGCTTAGCATGAATGCACATGGGGACATTATCCTTGGTTTAATAAAGGTATACAAGCATTATGATATTCCTTTCTGTGCTAGAGTTCTAGCATTCTTAATGGAGTAAGGGGGTTGCATTTTAAAATATAATACCTTCCTGACTGATTTAATCATCCAGAATACGTGACATGAAAGAGAGGGTTTAATATTTGAAATTCTTGTAGAATAGGCTTTCTAACCATTTGCTCTCACTGTCATGGGGATGCAGAGATATTTTATAAAAATAAGTTACATAAAATTTGAAAACAATGAAAGTCTACATCATAAATATAATGGTCATTTAAATCTGCCAAGAGATTTTGAAAATTGATATTTTACAGCTCTCATTCTGTTGCCAAATCCCAGAAAGACTTCAACATTCACTTTTTTTCTTTATGAAAACAGAGAATTTAGTGGATCCATAGCAAAAGCCATTCATGTTGTTTAATTTTAACAAAACTGTGTTGGGAGATACTATAAATACACATGTTCTATATGTGGTACTGAGAAAGGCAAAACATAGAATATTTTTTCTAACTTCTAAAAATGTTAAGGCAATGAACATATGAAAACTGTAAAACCAATCCCATTGTGAATCTGCATTATTTATCACTTTTCACATGTCCAAATATAAAATTTGCCTACATCACCTACAGTGCATCAAAGACATTACATATTTTGCTTATGGTCAGAATAAAAGTATTGTTTATTTTATGCATTATAACATTTAAAACATTGTAATTATACCCTAAAACCTTTGGTAGTCATATAAACGCCGTTGTTTATCTTCATAAATATACTATCATTAGTTAAAAAAAATCAAAGCCCCCAGTGTTCAAAACGGTATATTTCTATTGTACTTCATTAAATTCTCTATGAATTATTACTTTAAAAAATCAATTAGCATATTTTACGTTGTGAATGTAAAATCTAGAAACACTTTTTTCTTTCAAAACAAGACTTTCTCTTTTACTGAGTTCTAATTTAAAAGAAAAGGTGAAACAATTGTGACGTTTAAATTAATATCATTATTTAAAAAACACCTCTTAAAATATGCTGGGTAATTTAAAATTATAAGTTTGAATAAAATGTTTTGAAATTTCAATTTTAGTATGTGGAGGATTAGATATATGGGCTCTAGGACACATGATTTTCAAATGTAAAAACCAAAAACTAGAGGATAATATCTAAATATTCTGAGTAATTTGTAATATCTACCTATTCTAATAACACATTTTTCCAGAAGGCTAATGTTAATAATTCACATAAGAGCTATATAAGGATTTTTTTAAAAAACAATAAGCCATTTTCAAATACATGACAAAGTAGAGTTGGCAAACTAAATGGGGGAGGTGTATGAACACACCACCATCAAGCAGGGAACTATGGTAAAGAGGGGAGGGTGTGAGGGCCTCATATTGCCCTTTTCCTACGGTTTTCAGAGAAACTTAAACAATTTTTATGTGAAATTTACAGATATTCAAACACTGGGGTAATAATAATAATTTTAAAAACTGATTGAGCAAGTTGTACCAAATCTGCTTGAAGGAGTTCATCAGCACACACACAGTTCAACATTTTGAGACTGTTTGCTTAAAAGACTCAGTGTCATTACACGCAGTCACCACAGAGTTATCCTCTTATGGCACATTAGAAAAAAACACTTGGATAAATCTTCCTCAAAATTAAAATATCTGCATTAGTCTTTCCTAAACAATAAGCTATCATAGGGCATGCCCTTTGCAGACGGTCACTTTATTTTCTTAAAACATTTATTTGATGCGGACGCGTTATTCCCATCAGTTGAAATGAAGGAAAAAATGTTAAGGGCAGCCAGAGAGAAAGGTCGGGTTACCCACAAAGGGAAGCCCATCAGACTAACAGCTGATCTCTCGGCAGAAACTCTACAAGCCAGAAGAGAGTGGGGGCCAATATTCAACATTCTTAAAGAAAAGAATTTTCAACCTAGAATTTCATATCCAGCCAAACTAACCTTCATAAGTGAAGGAGAAATAAAATACTTTACAGACAAGCAAATGCTGAGAGATTTTGTCACCACCAGGCCTGTGCTAAAAGAACTCCTGAAGGAAGCACTAAACATGGAAAGGAACAACCGGTACCAGCTGCTGCAAAATCATGCCAAAATGTAAAGACCATCAAGACTAGGAAGAAACTCCATCAACTAACGAGCAAAATAACCAGTTAACATCATAATGACAGGATCAAATTCACACATAACAATATTAACTTTAAATGTAAATGGACTAAATGCTCCAATTAAAAGACACAGAATGGCAAATTGGATAAAGAGTCAAGACCCATCAGTGTGCTGTATTCAGGAAACCCATCTCACATGCAGAGACACACATAGGCTCAAAATAAAAGGATGGAGGAAGATCTACCAAGCAAATGGAAAACATAAAAAGGCAGGGGTTGCAATCCTAGTCTCTGATAAAACAGACTTTAAACCAACAAAGATCAAAAGAGACAAAGAAGGCCATTACATAATGGTAAAGGGATCAATTCAACAAGAAGAGCTAACTATCCTAAATATATATGCACCCAATACAGGAGCACCCAGATTCATAAAGCAACTCCTGAGTGACCTACAAAGAGACTTAGACTCCCACACAATAATAGTGGGAGACTTTAACATCCCACTGTCAACATTAGACAGATCCACGAGACAGAAAGTTAACAAGGATACCCAGGAATTGAACTCAGCTCTGCACCAAGCAGACCTAATAGACATCTACAGAACTCTCCACCCCAAATCAACAGAATATACATTTTTTTCAGCACCACACCACACCTATTCCAAAACTGACACATAGTTGGAAGTAAAGCTCTCCTCAGCAAATGTAAAAGAACAGAGATTATAACAAACGGTCTCTCAGACCACAGTGCAATCAAACTAGAACTCAGGATTAAGAAACTCTCTCAAAACCGCTCAACTACATGGAAACTGAACAACCTGCTCCTGAATGACTACTGGGTACATAATGAAATGAAGGCAGAAATAAAGATGTTCTTTGAAACCAACGAGAACAAAGACACAACATACCAGAATCTCTGGGACGCATTCAAAGCAGTGTGTAGAGGGAAATTTATAGCACTAAATGCCCACAAGAGAAAGCAGGAAAAATCCAAAATTGACACCCTAACATCACAATTAAAAGAACTAGAAAAGCAAGAGCAAACACATTCAAAAGCTAGCAGAAGGCAAGAAATAACTAAAATCAGAGCAGAACTGAAGGAAATAGAGACACAAAAAACGCTTCAAAAAATTAATGAATCCAGGAGCTGGTTTTTTAAAAGGATCAACAAAATTGATAGACCACTAGCAAGACTAATAAAGAAAAAAAGAGAGAAGAATCAAATAGACACAATAAAAAATGATAAAGGGGATATCACCACTGATCCCACAGAAATACAAACTACCATCAGAGAATACTACAAACACCTCTACGCAAATAAACTAGAAAATCTAAATGGATAAATTCCTCGACACATACACTCTCCCAAGACTAAACCAGGAAGAAGTTGAATCTCTGAAGAGACCAATAACAGGATCGGAAATTGTGGCAATAATCAATAGCTTACCAACCAAAAGGAGTCCAGGACCAGATGGATTCACAGCCGAATTCTACCAGAGGTACAAGGAGGAGCTGGTACCATTCCTTCTGAAACTATTCCAATCAATAGAAAAAGAGGGAATCCTCCCTAACTCATTTTATGAGGCCAGCATCATCCTGATACCAAAGCTGGGCAGAGACACAACCAAAAAAGAGAATTTTAGACCAATATCCTTGATGAACATTGATGCAAAAATCCTCAATAAAATACTGGCAAACTGAATCCAGCAGCACATCAAAAAGCTTATCCACCATGATCAAGTGGGCTTCATCCCTGGGATGCAAGGCTGGTTCAATATATGCAAATCAATAAATGTAATCCAGCATATAAACAGAACCAAAGACAAAAACCACATGATTATCTCAATAGATGCAGAAAAGGCCTTTGACAAAATTCAACAACCCTTCATGCTAAAAACTCTCAATAAATTAGGTATTGATGGGACATAGCTCAAAATAATAAGAGCTACCTATGACAAACCCACAGCCAATATCATACTGAATGGGCAAAAACTGGAAGCATTCCCTTTGAAAACTGGCACAAGACAGGGATGCCCTCTCTCACCACTCCTATGCAACATAGTGTTGGAAGTTCTGGCCAGGGCAATTAGGCAGGAGAAGGAAATAAAGGGTATTCAATTAGGAAAAGAGGAAGTCAAATTGTCCCTGTTTGCAGATGACATGATTGTATATCTAGAAAACCCCATTGTCTCAGCCCAAAATCTCCTTAAGCTGACAAGCAACTTCAGCAAAGTCTCAGGATACAAAATCAATGTACAAAAATCACAAGCATTCTTATACACCAATAACAGGCAAACAGAGAGCCAAATCATGAGTGAATTCCCATTCACAATTGCTTCAAAGAGAATAAAATACCTAGGAATCCAACTTACAAGGGATGTGAAGGACCTCTTCAAGGAAAACTACAAACCACTGCTCAATGATATAAAAGAGGATACAAAGAAATGGAAGAACATTCCATGCTCATGGGTAGGAAGAATCAATATCGTGAAAATGGCCATACTGCCCAAGGTAATTTATAGATTCAATGCCATCCCCATCAAGCTACCAATGACTTTCTTCACAGAATTGGAAAAAACTACTTTAAAGTTCACATGGAACCAAAAAAGAGCCCACATTGCCAAGTCAATCCTAAGCCAAAAGAACAAAGCTGGAGGCATCACGCTACCTGACTTCAAACTATACTACAAGGCTACAGTAACCAAAACAGCATGGTACTGGTACCAAAACAGAGATATAGACCAATGGAACAGAACAGAGACCTCAGAAATAATGCCACATATCTACAACTATCTGATCTTTGACAAACCTGACAAAAACAGGAAATGGGGGAAGGATTCCCTATTTAATAAATGGTGCTGGGAAAACTGGCTAGCCATACGTAGAAAGCTGAAACTGGATCCCTTCCTTACACCTTACACAAAAATTAATTCGAGATGGATTAAAGACTTACATGTTAGACCTAAAACCATAAAAACCCTAGAAGAAAACCTAGGCAATACCATTCAGGACATAGACATGGGCAAGGACTTCATGTCTAAAACACTAAAAGCAACAGCAACAAAAGCCAAAATTGACAAATGGGATCTAATTAAACTAAAGAGCTTCTGCACAGCAAAAGAAACTACCATCAGAGTGAACAGGCAACCTACAGAATGGGAGAAAATTTTCACAACCTACTCATCTGACAAAGGGCTAATATCCAGAATCTACAAGGAACTCAAACAAATTTACAAGAAGAAAACAAACAACCCCATCAAAAAGTGGGTGAAGGATATGAACAGACACTTCTCAAAAGAAGACATTTATGTAGCCAAAAGACACATGAAAAAATGCTCATCATCACTGGCCATCAGAGAAATGCAAATCAAAACCACAATGAGATACCATCTCACACCAGTTAGAATGGAGATCATTAAAAAGTCAGGAAACAACAGGTGCTGGAGAGGATGTGGAGAAATAGGAACACTTTTACACTGTTGGTGGGACTGTAAACTAGTTCAACCATTGTGGAAGTCAGTGTGGCGATTCCTCAGGGATCTAGAACTAGAAATACCATTTGACCCAGCAATCCCTTTACTGGGTATATACCCAAAGGACTATAAATCACACTGCTATAAAGATACATGCACACATATGTTTATTGCGGCACTATTCACAATAGCAAAGACTTGGAACCAACCCAAATGTCCAACAATGATAGACTGGATTAAGAAAATGTGGCACATATACACCACGGAATACTATGCAGCCATAAAAAATGATGAGTTCATGTCTTTGTAGGGACATGGATGAAATTGGAAATCATCATTCTCAGTAAACTATCGCAAGGACAAAAAACCAAACACTGCATGTTCTCACTCATAGACGTGAATTGAACAATGAGAACACATGGACACAGGAAGGGGAACATCACACTCTGGGGACTGCTGTGGGGTAGGGGGAGCAGGGAGGGATAGCATTAGGAGATATACCTAATGCTAAATGACGAGGTAATGGGTGCAGCACACCAACAGGACACATGTATACATATGTAACTAACCTGCACATTGTGCACATGTACCCTAAAACTTAAAGTATAATAATAAAAAAAAAACAAAAACATTTTTTCTCAAATTTTCATTGCCTCATCGCATCTAACAAGATCTGCTCATATGGCCATGCTTCCCAGGGTTGCAGCACGAGTACCTTCCCAGGATTGCAGCACGAGATAAGGATTTGTACATTTTGTTTTGTTTTGTTTTGTTTTCTTTTGAGACAGAGTTTCACTCTGTCTCCCAGGCTGGAGTGCAATGGTGCGATCTCAGCTCATAGCAACCTCCACCTCCCAGGTTCAAGCAATTCTCCTGCCTCAGCATTCTGAGTAGCTGGGATTACACGCATCTGCCACCATACCCAGCTAATTTTTGTATTTTTAGTAAAGACAGGGTTTCATCATGTTGGTAAGGCTGGTCTCGAACTCATGACCTCAGGTGATCTGCCCGCCTCGGCCTCCAAAAGTACTGAGATTACAGGCATGAGCCACCGCGCCCGGCCAGATTTGTCCAGTTTTTTACACATTAACTGTTTTAATCAACATACTAATGAATATAGTTGATTTTTTAAGTAAATTAATTCCACAACTTCAATATTTATTATCAGTAAACAATAGTTACCTTTAGTCCACTTGAAAATGGGTTGTGACCCACCAGAGTCTCATTGCATGTCACTGAGGAACTTTCTATTACAAGTTGTTTTATTGCTTAGCAAAGTGTGCCAAGAGGTTGAGAGGTAGCTTAGACTCAACTGTCTAAAGGAACAAAGTAATAATAATCCTTTCCCAAAAATACATATACTCTACAGTGATATGAATGTGTATAACAGAGAGGCAAGAGCTTCTTAGATAGAAGAAAAGTTGTTTCTAAGCTCATTTTCCTTAACTTCAAGTGTTTTAGCTTGAGCTAAAGTACAAAGTCTACTTAAGATGGCATGATGAAGAATGAAATCTCTAGGAAGTAATAACAAAGGAAAAGTTTCTGGGCAGTAAGAACAAATAATTAAAGTAGACGGTGTGCACAGAAGAAAAGTGGAAATAAAATGACTTATAATTTTTTTTCTTTTACTTTTTGTATCCTGTTCAACCTTTTTAACCTTTTCAACAGCAAACATGCATGATTTTTACTTATAAAAAGTGAGGTCATAGTGAAAAGTTTAGAAAGGAGATGATGGAATAAAGTAGAATTCCCTTCATCAGTAACCAATAAAATCACAAACAGCATAAATACTTACTAGCGGAAACCAAAAAAACTAAGAAGGCATAATTCACTGTGTTGAGTTTGAAATACTA
This sequence comes from Homo sapiens, assembly GCF_000001405.40. Lineage (NCBI taxonomy): Eukaryota > Metazoa > Chordata > Mammalia > Primates > Hominidae > Homo > Homo sapiens. The sequence goes on along the minus strand of NC_000005.10, from coordinate 120,663,226 downwards.
TCAGCTAAGGGAAAAAAAAAGGGGGGTTTTATCTTGACTTGGTACAGACCCTAAAACTGGCCTTAAGCCTCACACTGGTACCAGTGAAATAACAAAAGCCCTCGCATTTTCACAAAGAATACCAAAGATGGACAGTGTATAGGGCAGACTGCAGGGTTGACAATGGTGAAAGAAGAACGGTGAACAGGGACTGAATTATTGAGGCAGAAGTGTGGGGTCACACTGGACAGTAGGAATAATACAACACAGAAAGACATTTCCCACAAGCCTATGATAAACCCTGAATGTGGTGGTGGAATGAACTGGAACACATGTACTTATTCTACAATAAGTACAAAGAGTAGAAATTCCTTGATTGTCCTCCACCCCTATTCCTGCCCCCAAGGTCCCCAGGCCTTCAAGCTATAGGACTGTGTCTGGAATGAAATAAGCTCACCTTCGTGCTGGGCCTTGCCTAGGAGGATCATCAATCTTAGACATGAGAGAAACACGTTAAGGAAAAGTTACCACACTTTTCAGGTCCAGTGGAAGTTCTTAAGCAGAGCTTTTTAAATTAAACATAGCAAGATGAAAAGAATTGGCAAGGTGACTCTATAAACACTATTGTGATATGGTGTGCGGAAGGGGAGAAAAGAAAGAAAGGAATACATAGTGCAAAATGCAGATGAAGAGCTGTTTGGAAGAGAAGAAAAATTTCCCTGAGCGTTTTGTGCTACAAAAATACATAAGATATACACTTATTAAAAGGGAATAAAATAGAAGAGGAATTGAAGAGCTAAAGAAAAAAACTGAGTTCCAGAATAGTACTACTGACAAACTAATAAATAATATGCATGAAGTAAGATGGAGAATAGACATGATTGCAACTGAGTTATCGTCATAATCACTGTGACTACAGAAGGGAAAAAATCAGATATTTCTCACACAGACCTGTTCCTAACATTTCCAAAGCCTATGGTAAGAGTAAAATACAATATATCCAAATATTAAATAAAGATCATTTCAAGGTAAGAAACTATTTTAAAATGTTTACATATTCTATCCTGTCACCTTGAAAAATATACCTTAATAAAAGATCTGAAAGGCCAATTATTTTAGACAGAATTTATGGATAACTCAGCATTCCATGTCAGGATGTAGCAGTGAAGAACCAACCCTAGCTACCAAGGCCTGACTATAGCCCATTACACTCCATTTTCCACCCCAGCTGTGCCTATACCATGAGGAACCTCATATGTACATATGTGGATACCCCAGCCCACATTTCCAAGCTCTTTCCATAGTCCCTGCAAATAGTCAAATTGTTGAACCATTTCTTAGGTCTAAGGATAAACATACTAGTGGTTCCTCAGACAGAAAATTCATGACAAGGAGCTACTACGAGTCCTTGAAATGTGTTTTAAAACAATGGTTGGGGAATTCCAGGGTCTTGGGTACTGTAGCGTGATCTAGAGGGGAAATACAGACTTTGGAAATACAGATTTTAGGTGGACAGAGATGCTTGGCCCCATATAGCAGCTGGCAGAGGACAGAGTAGAGTGTTCTGGAGGACAGTACCCAAGGCAAAGATCTCTCTGTATTAAATTTAAATAAATTAGAAAGGAAACTGAAAAGGAAAGAATAGGTATGGAGGATATATAAAGTTGATATACATCATAAGGAATGCTACTTTTAGGATTAGTTCCATATTGACTCCATTATTACAGAACAGAAAAAAAAAGAGTATTCAAGAGGCTAATTTCTCTGAAAGGAATAAACTACTGAATTTGGCCATTTAAATTATACAACGTGTTCCAATAAAATCTGTTGGCAAACAATTGCCACTAAGAAATTATCCAGCACTTCAATGGAACCAAGCAAAAGGAGCAATTCAAGCACAAGGGAGAAAAGTCAGGTTGGTCTCAGATTTTCCCAGCAGAGCAACATCAAAAGACAGGAGAGGGAATAGCAATGGGTACAAAGCTCTGAGGAAAGAAAGTGTGACCCAAGAAAGTCATATCTGGTTGCTGTAAAGTGTAAAGACAACAGACATAACAGTTTCAAACCTCAAGTACCCAAGAAAGATATGAAGCTCAAAATGTACCTTCCCAAAACATGAAAGGACAAGCTATGATAAAGAGACTGTAGCAACATTCAATGTCCTGGTGTCTACACATTGTGAAGAAAATATGCTATCTTGGACTACTTTAAAATTGCCAAGTTATCCTTCAAGTATAGAGACAACTGACAGAAACTCTCAAAGATCTAAGAAAACACAGATTACAAAATCTCAAACATTTCTTTAAAAACAAACACACAAATAAAAAAGCAAAATGACTTGACGATATACTTGACACCATAGGATCATATCAAACATAGAAAAGAATTTCAAATCCTTTTTTTGCTTTTTATATTCCATAATCACTAAATACTATCATAATTTAAAATAAATTCTGAAATTACACCATTTATGCAAATTCTAAAAACACACATAAGACTGCATAATGTCATGAGTGCCTATATAGTAAAAGTTCAAAAGCAACAGGAAAGATAAGCTACAATGTCAAGGAGATGGAGGAGATTGGCTTGACAGCAAGGGAATCAGGGGTTTTGTTGTATCTGTGTCATTTAAATAAGAAAAGAAAAGCCCTAGGCAAATATGTCAAACAAGAGCATGTCTTAAATCTGGATCATTAGTACCTTGTATTATTATATTATTTTCTGTTGTAACATATGCTTAAAAGTGTTCATAATTTAAAATGTTAAAAAGTGAAAAAGTATTGGCTTGCCTTACCATGGAAAAGTTTTGAATACTTTAATTCTATAATATGTGAGATTATTTAAATGTAGATTCTCAGTTAAGAAAGCAAATAAACATAAAGGGCACTGTGGCATGCTTCCTTTAAAGTGATGTCTGTCAATGACAAAATTTAGAATTATAAAATATGTTGCCACTAATATCATATTATTTAAAATGTGTTGACAAGAACAAAACTGTTCCTAAGAAATACAATTTGAAATTATGTAATAACTGTAACATATATGTTTGAGGACTAGAAGATGGAAAATTTCTAAGTATACTATAAAATTCTTGGTTTGCCTAAAGTTGTGAGTGTCTTATACTGTCCTTATTCTAGTTTCATAAACTTAGGATGAGTTTAGTAACGAAACACTCTTCTATGCCCTACACTCCACACTCAATCTGGATGGAGCAATCTAAGCCATGAGGAAGAGTGATCTGAACTACAGAATGCATGGCAGTGCCTGTGTAGTGAGAAGTACTGGGGCTCTGGGTTGGAGGACATGCATATTATCTCAGGTACTTCAGCAACCTGCTCAGTAGCCAAAATGTGAAGGTGTTTCAGCTATAACATCTGTCACTCTTTTTAAGCATCAAGTGATCTGGCTCAATGGTACATTCTCAAACCACTGCAAGTTAAGCCAACCTTCCCTCAGATGACTGTCTCTTTTTGATCCAAGAATGTCAACTTAGCCAAGCTGCCGTTCAAGTATAAATACAAGAGACAAGATAGTTTCAAACCTCATGTTCTCAAGGAATATAAAAAAGACCAAAATTTACCAACCCAGAAGATGAAAGAAAAAGCTATGTTGAAAGGATTAAATCAATATTAATCTACTGTATATTTCAAAATAGCTATAAATGCAATATTCCTAGCATAAAGAAAAGATAAATGTTTGAGATGATAGATATCCCAATTACCTGCCTTGATCATTATATATCACATGAATGTATCAAAATATCACATGTACCCTGAAAATATGTACAAGTATTATATATCAATGAAAACATATTCAGTGGGTAGGTCTATACATTCTGAAGGAGAAAATATATTACATTTTATATTTGACATTTAAAAATTGCCAAATTATCCAATTACAGAGAAAACAAACAGAAACTCTCAAGGAACCAAGAAAACACAGACTACAGATATCTTGAATGCTTCTTTAAAAAATAATGGAATTGACAATGAAATCTAGCCAACAAAGAAATAGAATAAAAATAAAGGATGGTCTTTGAAAAACCACAACTACTAGGTCCTGGAATCAAATTGGTTCACCTTTGAACTTTTATTTTGTGGGGCCAGTGCTTTTGATAATTGTGTACATCCAATGAACCCTTTGAGCATTTTAAAGTATGGTTCATGAAAGACTTGGAATCAAACTAATATAACATATGAGACCTTAAAAGAACTATGATGGGGGGTCGCAGGTGAGAGAGAAAGAGAAAACCCACACTGAACTGCTGAAAGAACCCTGATTGTGACCAGAGGGAAGAATAAGAAGTTGGCAAGGACTGGGGAGGGCAGGAGGGAGAGAGAGATGAAGAAATAAAAAAAGAAGGAAATACTACTTCTTTAGACTTTTAGATGAACAAGTGCAAGATAATTTGATTTCAGACTATATTTCTGGATTTCACCTTTAAAAAGTGTTAATTTTTAAATATGATTTCACTCTCATATAATTAGAAAAATGGGAGCAGATTTATTTACGTAGGGACTCCTACTGCTGGCATTTTATTATTGGAGTTCCTTATATAAATTTTATCTTTATGTCTTGGAGTTCCATATGCATATGTATTGTTGTAGTATCTTATTTTTGTCTTTCATCAAATTTCAAAGCTTCTACTAGACAGTGAGATTGGAAATAATACAGGATCAGAAAGAGATTAGCAAGTAAATTTTTAGACTTGAATACAGAGAGCCTTCAGAATTTATTTAATTATATTATTTGGAACAATTTCAGGGCTTTATGGGGAAAGTGAAATAGTGAACACGAGTATTTCCGATTTGCTTAATGTTTCCCTAGTGCTGTCTGGACATCGTACAAGTGTTGGTTCCATGAAGAACAAGAGAATTCAGAGCTTTTTTTTTTTTTTCCCCCACTCATGGGAAACTGTTACAACAGCTGCAGAAATATCGAAAACCTATAAACCTAAGTGAGGCTGGAGTTGATATACTGGGCAGACATACATGTCACACTGGAGAGTTACCCGACTGTGAGCTTCTCAGTACAATGTGAGGGATGCCTTCCATTGTGAAATCACATATTGTTGCAGAAAAAAAAAGTGCAAGAAAATTCTGTAGTTGTATTTGCAGAGGGAAAATTGAATTTAAATCTACTAATATTTCATTTTCAAACATGGGTCCAATAGTTAGAGCTCTCTGGGAACAACAACAACAACAACAACAACAACATCAAAACCCACAAAACCTCATCACCAGTATTCCCAGGAAGGTACTCAAAGAAACAATGGTTGGTATTGGGATAGCACGTTGGTGTTGGGATAGCATTAGAAAATGCCCTAAAGGAATGTCAATATCCTTCCCATATGGCGACAATCACACCCTTAGTAAAGTTCAGTTCTTAATGGTAAATTCCAAAAAATGAACAAAAAGCAGAAGGTGGGAGGCAATAGGTGGGGGAACATGCGTTCACATTCCTAATGCTTTCTTCCAAGTTGTCACATCCTCACTTCTTCTGTCCTTGGGAAGGCAGAATAAACAGGAGAGTTTGGAAAGAGCATACATAATTAAAGGTCTTCCTTTTCCCTTCCTCTGATGAATAAGTTATGTGAAGAGAAGCCACTTGTTTAGCTCCAGGTGCAGGGAATATTCATCTTGTGGGACTGAATGGGTAACTCTGGGATTCAGTATTTAGACTAAGATATCCTTGCAGAAAGTGGGTAGCATTCTGTTAAATGTCTAACAACCAGCTCTCCAGGGTAAAAAAATCCCCAATGTGTCATTTACCAATTTTCATAGTGCAAATATTCCCACACAATTTGATTTCAAGGCACCAACATGAGGTCACTGAACATGGAACTAGGAGAATGTGTAAATAATTAGCTTTCACAAGCCCCCTATGAGCTGGCTCAAGCACACCACTGCACAAGAGTCATTCTTCAAGCTGCCGTTTATCAGAAACTTAGGTGTTATCTCAGCTTCAATCTGCTTACTCTAAGTTTATCCTCAATTGGTTTAAAACCTGGGCTGGCAAGAGGCATGCTAATTGTTTGTCTCCCTTAAACACCAAAATACATGTAGATCATTTCTAATTTACCTTTAGAGCTCTATGAGCAAAACAGTAGCTGAACTATACTAAGAACTCAGCAAGTTAAAAGAAATAAATCAGTTTGATTTTGTGATGATTTTTCCATATATAAAAATAACTGAGGTGCAATCTTCTTTCGAACAATCTAAGCTCTTTAATTTAAAAAATCACGTGGCTCCTATAAAGTTAAATGCAGACATTTCTCATTCCAAAGCCCCAAGGAATAAAAATTCTAACCTCTTTTATTTTAACCTCAAATATTCCTACAAAAATCATTTGGATATGTTTTCTTCTTAAAGAAGCCTTCAATAAAAGGAACATTATTCTGTGCACAGACAGTTGGTAATCTCATAATAAACGTAGGTTGAATGAAATAAATTCCCAAACAGTTTACTACAGAAACATTAAGCACAAATATATCACTTATGTATGATACTAAGTCAATAATTGGCTGATTACTTAAATTGCTTATATTTGTTTATAATAGACACAAAAATTATAGAAGTGGCTATTTTTAAAACTGGTAAAAAGCTACTTTGGCAAGGTGTACATAAATATGTTAACTGAAATGTGTGCTTTTCATAGCATATTTTTTGTCACAACTAATTATACTGGATTTTAGATATTGGCATCATACTTATAACGATTTTTCCCTTATTCCAGAGTGTCTGGTAAGTACTTTAGTAATTTTTTTTTTTTTTTTTTTTTGAGAGTGATTACTACTGTTAGAATGGCTTTCTATTTTCTTTGGAGCTTAATGTGACATGATAGATTATGGAGGAAGATAACAGTTTTCACATGATAGCTACCACTTATCTTACATCCGTTAAGAAGAGAGGTGCTATAAGAAAAGAAGTAATTGAACCAAAGATAGGCAAAGATATTATAAGTTAGCTATACAAGCTAACTACTCAGTTGACTTCTTCCATGATTGCCTGAAGATAGTGTACTTGCAGAACTTCAGTCAGCAGAAATTAAAGCGCAGTAAAATCCTTTCATAATGTGGTAAGAAGGCTCAAAGACAGTCATTGGTGAAAAGGTGGTGATGATATTTTGAGAATAACGAAATGAACCAAGCAGTTAGGGGGTTTGGAATTCTGGGTCTGACTGTGTACTCCAAATCCAAGTCCCAGTTGGAATTTGGCACCACCTGGTGGCAACTGCATGCTCTGTCTAAAATATAAAACAGGTAAAAGGCTCGGTTCAGTAACTGGCTGGGGTTCCTGGACAGTGATAGTGATTCAAGGGATCTTCTGGTGGCTGGAACCTGTCTTATCATCCCTATCCAAGGAATTGGGAATGATGGATACCAAGAATATAACGACCTTTCCTAAATCCACCTAGATCTTCAAGAGGGTGTCTCACTTCTCTTCACATTTAGCCTTCTCATTTGACCACCTTCATTTGAAAATATGGGTTGCATTCAGAAAAAAAAAAACAAAAAAAAAAAGTCAATTGCTATCATCCAAATTCACATTACCATGAGTCATGTGATTGCATGGTTTTATTTTATTGTGTTCCATACTAGGGTGTTTTAATGTACAATCCCACAGACCATATCCGTGAGTTTTCATAAGACAAATTGAGTAAAGAAATATTTTGGGGGAAAATGAAGCACTAAATTTGGTTATCAGATATTGTCAAACTACTACTTCTAACACTTCCTCTCCTTCTTTTTACTTGTTTGTACAAATGCTTCTATATATGTCTATAATAATAGGTCCATCTCTTTTTATGCTTTATTTTGACGCTAAACTATTAGGGACCATAAAAACCTCTTTTTTTTTAAAAAAAAAAAAAAGGTCAATTATTGATTTGAAGATAAATCATCCATTGAAAATTCTTGCTAACATTATACATTTCTTTTTAGTAATTTGTACAGGTAAATTTTATAGACTTAATGTCTATCAGCTAATATACACAATCACCAAGAGAAAATAAGCATTCATTATTAAGTATTGTATTATTAAATATTTATCATTACCACAGGCCTGAGTTAACATAAAAAATAAGTGAGCAGAGGGATGGGTGGAGACTGGAAATCAGAAATATCATTTTATTTCTCTTTTTCTTTTCAGTAGCTAGTATATATTCTGGCAGGTAATATATGATCAATAATTATGATTGGTGTACATGAGATAAAGAATGCATATATGAATACTTCAGTAAGTATATATTGAGCATCATTTGTTTTTGTTTTGAGATGTGTTTATATATTATGTTTTTGATCGTTCTCCCTTCTCTAATCCTTCCCTCTCTCTTTCTGATAATCTCTAATAGTTGGGTAATGGATGTCCTGGGTTGTTCCTACAATGTTTTTATCTTTTTTTCCCTCATTTTTTCTATTTCTGTCTTGTACTGTTTAGGGCTTTTACCATTCAACTCTTTTACTGAAGTTTTAAACATGGTCATAATATGTTTACATATGAGGACCCTTTCTTATTTTTATTACATATTTTCATAGAATCATATTCTTTTTAAGGGATGTAGTATATTCTCTCTCACTCTGAAATTATTCATAATATTTGAGGTTTACCTTTTCTCTCTGTTGTGTATCTTTCAAATTCCTTCTTATTTTTCCCCTCCTGAATCAATGGAGATGGAAGATAATTTGAGATTTTTTTTAGCTTTTCAATGTATCTCTGAATTTAATTTTTGTTGGAGGTGATATTTATATTTAACCAAGTTAAAAAAAAAAGACACTTTTTGTGGCAACTCTTATGTGTCAAGTAGTTTGTTATATACTAGGGAAAAAAAGGCCATTAAATTTTGTCTTCTCCTAGTAAGTCCATTATCTAGTTTCCTATGCAAAGAAGCAAAGGTTACATGGGGGTAGAAACAAAAAAATTAGGATTAGATTCAATACTCAAAATAAAAGGAGCTTGAATGAGTTAGAAGTCTCTTATTCTCATGTAAAGTAGGTAGTCCAGTGCATATTCAATTTGCGTCTTCTAACTTGTGGTCCAAGATGACTTGCAGCCATCATGTCTGCATTCCAAGCAGCAAAAAAGGGAGAAGGGGCAGCAAATCAAACACACCTCCTCAGAGGATATTTCCTGAAAGTTGTTCACATCACTTAAACTCTATTGGCTGGGTCTACATTATCTGTCACATCTACTAGTTACAAAAGAGTTTGAGAAATGTAGGTTTTTGGGACAGGGTGGTCATTTGCCTAGCTACCTTTTGGATATTACTTTATTGAAGAAGAATCAGTAATTTGTTAAGGGACAATTAACAGTCTGTGCCATAGTCTTGTTTAGGAGTTTAGATTTTTATCCAGATAGTGAGGAGGGGTCATGAAAGAGGTTTAAGCTAAGGCATTACTCACTTTTAAAAGGTCATTTTGATGTGTGCAGGCAGGTCATCATGAGAGGCACATAAACATGAGGTGTATGGCACAAGAGGGCTGCCCATCAGGGACTGGAGAAATGCATCACTTCTAGTGAGAATAAATGACTGCATTAACTTTGTTCTATTTTTTTTTAATGTGAAGCATTGTACAGTTGATTTATAATTATTTACAGAAGTACACTCACCATAAACCTAGGCCTAAGTCAAATAAATGGTAATCAGTGCTCTTGACTGCAGATATCCCTTCCTACCTCTGATTAAGATTTATCTCTTTATTTCTAGAATACCTTTGTTTTTCTAAGGATGTGTATTGTGATTTTTTTAAAAACAGACATGGTAAAAATTTAAATAATGCAAAAAAGATATACCAATATAACACTTATTATTATACTTATGGGTTAATACTATACTGTTTCTTAATTTTAAAAAATCATTTTACACAAAATGCATTTTGGTGTTTAATGCTTAATAACCCTTTATAATGTATATAATCCAAATGCCAGTGAAAAAATACTTTTTTTTTTTACTTTTATTGAATTATATATACAGACAAATATAAAAATCATAATTATAGCTCAACTGTTTTTTTTCCAAGGTGAACATCCATGGGACCAACATAGAGACCAAGAATCTGAATACCACAGGCCCTCCCAGAAAACACCTTGTGCTCCTTCCACAGTCACTTTCCTCTCCCAAGTGAAACCATTTTTCTTGATTTATAATAGCATGAATTAATTTTGCCTATCCTTGAACTTTATCTAAATAGATTAATATCTCATACACACTCTTATGTCTAGATTACTCGGCTGCATTTTAGGTGAATGATGAAATATATCTGCACTGTTATTTTAAATAATCTTTTTATTTTAGAACATTTTTAGATTTACTGAATTGTTGAGAAAATAGTCCAGAGAGTTAACATACACCCTTCACTCAGTTTCCCCTATTTTTAGCATCTTACATTAGTATGGTACTTTTTTACAATTAATAAACCAATATAAATATATTAATATTATTATTATCTAATGCCCATACTTCACTGAGATGGCCTCAGTCTTCACCTAATGTCCCTTTTCTGTTGCACGATCCCATTGAAGATACTGTATGTATCATGTCTCCTTAGGCTCTCTCAATTTCTCAGATATTCCTTGTTTTTCATGACCTTAGCAGTTTTGAGGATTATTAGTCAGGCATTTTGTTGAATGTCATTCAGTTGGGGTTTGTCTATACTTTTCTTATGGTTAGACTAAGGAAATGTGTTTTTGAGAAGACCACAGAGGGAAAACGCCATTCTTAACACATCACATCAATAATACTTACTAAAAATATGATTTATTACATTGATATTAAGCTGGTCCACTTGCCTTCAGGTAGTATTTGTCAGTTTCTCCAATATAAAGTTCTCTTATTTTTCCTCTATCTTTCCCTACTGTACTTTTTGGAAGAAAGTAATACATACTAAAAGTAACAAGCTTATATGACTCCAAAGTATATCATGACTGCTATACTATACAGAAACCTACAGGAAACAAACATTTACCACAGGTCCAATTCATGATGTCCATGTAGAATATCAATAAACAAAAAAAACATAGACACCATTGCAAATATTTCTTTTCCATAGAATCATCTAAATCGATGATCAAAACAGTTGACTTGATCTTTATATTAATGTACATCCATAGAAACAGTCATAAATGAAGTCTACACAAAACCAAGTGAAAGAACTTGAAAGTATAAAAATAATCCAGGTATAAAAATCATTTGACTTACAAGGGACGTGAAAGACCTCTTCAAGGAGAACTACAAACCACTGCTCAATGAAATAAAAGAGGATACAAAGAAATGTAAGAACATTCCATGCTCATGGGTAGGAAGAATCAATATCGTGAAAATGGCCATACTGCCCAAGGTAATTTATAGATTCAATGCCATCCCCATCAAGCTACCAATGACTTTCTTCACAGAATTGGAAAAAACTACTTTAAAGTTCATATGGAACCAAAAAAGAGCCCACATCGCCAAGTCAATCCTAAGCCAAAAGAACAAAGCTGGAGGAATCATGCTACCTGACTTCAAGCTATATTACAAGGCTACAGTAACCAAAGCAGCATGGTACTGGTACCAAAACAGAGATATAGACCAATGGAACAGAACAGAGACCTCAGAAATAATGCCACATATCTACAACCATCTGATCTTTGACAAACCTGACAAAAACAAGAAATGGGGAAATGATTCCCTGTTTAATAAATGGTGCTGGGAAAACTGGCTAGCCATATGCAGAAAGCTGAAACTGGATCCCTTCCTTACACCTTATATGAAAATTAATTCAAGATGGATTAAAGACTTAAATGTTAGACCTAAAACCATAAAAACCCTAGAAGAAAACCTAGGCAATACCATTCAGGACATAGGCATGGGCAAGGACTTCATGTCTAAAACACCAAAAACAATGGCAACAAAAGCCAAAATGGACAAATGGGATCAAATTAAACTAAAGAGCTTCTGCACAGCAAAAGAAACTACCATCAGAGTGAACAGGCAACCTACAGAATGGGAGAACATTTTCGCAACCTACTCATCTGACAAGGGGCTAATATCCAGAATCTACAATGAACTCAAACAAATTGACAAGAAAAAACCAAACAACCCCATCAAAAAGTGGGCGAAGGATATGAACAGACACTTCTCAAAAGAAGACATTTATGCAGCCAAAAGACACATGAAAAAATGCTCATCATCACTGGCCATCAGAGAAATGCAAATGAAAACCACAATGAGATACCATCTCACAACATTTAGAATGGCGATCATTCAAAAGTCAGGAAACAACAGGTGCTGGAGAGGATGTGGAGAAATAGGAACACTTTTACACTGTTGGTGGGACTGTAAACTAGTTCAACCATTGTGGAAGTCAGTGTGGCGATTCCTCAGGGATCTAGAACTAGAAATACCATTTGACCCAGCAATCCCTTTACTGGGTATATACCCAAAGGACTATAAATCATGCTGCTATAAAGACACATGCACACGTATGTTTATTGTGGCACTATTCACAACAGCAAAGACTTGGAACCAACCCAAATGTCCAACAATGATAGACTGGATTAAGAAAACGTGGCACATATACACCATGGAATACTATGCAGCCATAAAAATGATGAGTTCATGTCCTTTGTAGGGACATGGATGAAGCTGGAAATCATCATTCTCAGCAAACTATCGCAAGGACAAAAAACCAAACAACACATGTTCTCACTCATAGGTGGGAATTGAACAATGAGAACACATGGACACAGGAAGGGGAACATCACACACCGGGGCCTGTTGTGGAGTGGGGGGAGGGGGGAGGGATGGCATTTGGAGATATACCTAATGTTAAATGATGAGTTACTGGGTGCAGCACACCAACATGGCACATGTATACATATGTAACAAACCTGCATGTTGTGCACATGTACCCTAAAACTTAAAGTATAATAAAAAAAAAAGAAAAAAGAAAAAAAATCATTTGATAATCTGAACTAGTTGAAGTTTGAATGATTTATTTCTTATTCTTTCTTTTTGCATGTTTCAGATTTTTTCTTTCTTTTTCTTTTTTTTTTTTAGAAGGAGTCTTGTTCTGTCACCAGGCTGGAGTGCAGTCGCATGATCTTGGCTCACTGCAACCTCCACTTCCGGGTTCAAGCAATTCTCCTGCCTCAGCCTCCTGAGTAGCTGCCACTACAGACGCGCGCTGCCACACCCAGTTAATTTTTGCATTTTTTGTAGAGAGAGGGTTTCATCGTGTTGGCCAGGATGGTCTCAATCTCTTGACCTCGTGATCTGCCCACCTAGGCCTCCCACTAGTTTCTGATTTTCTGAAGAAAATGTCCAAAAATATACACTATATAATATTCAGAGTTAATATCACAAATACAGAATAATGATGAGAGAATTTATTCATAGAAGATTAATATAAGTTATATAATTTAATTTATTACGGGGTGCCTTATAAAAATATAATAAGCAAGATACTACCATCATTTTTATCTCCCAAGAAAACAAGTATTTAAAAGTCTAGTGGGAAATAAGACTGAAGAATATATTTTCACCATTTCTGTAGTTTAATATGTAAAATATTTTCTTAATCTAATAACCCAGAAAATAACATGGTAGATTTTTCCCATATTATATTGCAAATTATAAAATGTACTCCCCAGCTTTTTAATGTCATTCAGTAATCTAAACCAGCTTCCAAATGGCCATAGGCTGGAGCTACATCTGTTTACTTTATGCTTAAACCCAGTTATCATATTTCTTTTTGAATTGAAGTAAAAATAAGAAGCCAGATAACTCATAAACCCTGTATAGTCAATAGTAGTAAAAAATCACAATGATCCTCAAAAATAGATTCTGCTATTTTCATTCATCTCTGGGGTAAAATTACTCTTGATCTTCATCCTAACAGTGAATCATGTGGGCTTCCTTGACTGTCATACACTATAAATCTGAGTGATAAATGTAAATCGGCAAGAAATGCATTGTTAACTTCCTAGAGAAAAATACCACTGTTTCCATTACCTTAAAATTAATACTCATACTAACTTCAAAATAATAGGAGAAAAGAATATTAAAATAGACCTAAAATATTCCCTTAGACAATTTATTTCCAACATGACTTAAGTTATATCTTCTTCCAATCCACCCCAGTGGTGTGCTCGAGCCAGCGTGCACTGACTTGCAAGAGCCATTTCTTAAAATTTCTGGAATTTGTGAGCCAATTGTTAAACGATTATTAAAAATTAAACTATATAAACTCACAATTAATCATATTAAAAACAAAAGCAATAACCATTCAAAACGTGTTACTTCCTAATGGTTTACTATTATCCATGGTCTTGAGGGCATTTATATCTATTGTGTAACCTAAAAATTCCATATAAAGGTGTGCTCTTGTGCATCTCTTTCCAATTCCACATTCAGTGACATCAAGTTTGTAGCTTGAAATAAGCTACCATGGGAGTACTGACACTGTAAGAACGGGCAAATACTACAAACCAGGGCTTTGCCTTCCCACCTCAAAAAGCCGGTTGTAAAACATTTGCCAGCACATCACTGACTAACCCCGTATTTAACCCTCCCATCAATTCTCTCTCTGAAAGAAAATAAACTTTTAGTGTTGGTTCTCTTTAAAGATATTTGTTTTGGGGAAATGTCCTGGTTGTTGCCACTTTCAGCTCTGTATGTAATAGTCATTCATTTAAAAATAATAGAGATATTTATTCTCTTGAAAGAAAAATAGAAAAATAATGTTACTCCAAACAGCCATCTCTCAGGCAGAAAGCTTCTATACTGAGCTTAACAAATTCTGAATGTAAGGGAAGGCAGGGAAGCATACTGGTGGTGGAACAAACAGTTTAACTCTGATTTTGCCATTTGCTACACCAGGAACATAACTGATCTTTCAAAGGCTTGAATCCTTATTTATTAAAAAAAGCTAATACCCTACATTACAGAGTTATGAACAGTGAAATGAGGTAAAAAAAGTGAAGCTACTAAACATGAAACTATTAAAGACACTCAATAAATATTAGCTGTTATTTATAGCATATAACTAGGTTCAGCAAAGTATCACCACTTTGAAAATAGAAGCCATGATTTAAAAACATCTAGTGACTACAACGTATAACATCCTTTTCTAAACTGTATATTTACATTGGAAATTAGCATATTAATACTCAGAGAAGTTCTATATACAAGGAAGCTAAATATACTTATCAGTAATATATATTCCAAAAACTTCTCATATTTTCCTTAATCTTCTAATTTTAGTTAATTGCTAACCCATTCCTTTCCAAAATGCTATATCTAATAGTGTAATAAGTCCTCTCTGCACAGCTAAATATGCATTTATTGCTGTATTATTTCTCTGCTAGCCCCTAACTCAAGATCTCAATACCTCTTCCCTCCAAACAAAATTATGTAAACTGGCAGTTTTCTCTTGCTACTTATAAACACGAGTTTTTTGTAAAGTGCTTTAGTAAATGGCATGAAGATGAGGCTTGACATGTGGATACTTATGCAAAGATCTGCAACATTTTCTAGGCTGTATAAAATGTAAAAGGATCATAAACTTTTAAGCAGGGTTCAGAAGTAAGCCAAAAGCAATTACAGGTTTTAAAGACTGAATTTATGAGTAACTCTTTCAGAGATTAGAATTAGTAAAGAAATAATTTGAATAGTGATATTATAACATACTTGAAATAAGTCAAGTATTACCAAAGGCGTCGGTCAAATACAGTCTATACAGAGTGACAAACTAAAAATGAATAACCTTACTTTTTGTTATATGTGATTAACTCTAGTTGCAAGAATAATTTCTTGGTAGAGACTGATATTTGTCGCCCAGTTACATACAGACTATTTATGAAATCTCTTTTTTTTTTAAATCTCTTAAAAAATTAAGCAGGTTTTACACATCCAAACAATTTTAATTGTTATCTGTTGAATGCAAAGCAGAAGATTGGAAGACATCATAATACCCTTTTCTGTTCTACAAATATATGGTTAAAGCCAAGACATATTAGGCAACAACTGAATAATTGTTAGGCAAAATTTGTTAATGTATTCCAACATTTCCTTTTTAATTCCCATTCTATACTTCTCCCGCCATAACGTTATTCTAACTCTTTCCTTAATCATAGACTCCTTTTGAGGTTTCTATAAATCATTAATAATTTACTTAATTTTCGAAGGCATTTAATCTGACTTTTACGATTGTGTCATTCTTAAAAATTTCTAATATTAAACATTTTTTAATATAAATGACTCAGGAATCTGGACCCAAGTCATTCAACTAGAGGAACTATTGCCTTTTTTCATTATAACATGCTGTCTCTGCAACCCATGATTCCTGGAAAAAAATCCAACAAAACAATATAATGCTTGTTTCTGATATCTATTATTCTGTTGTTGTTTCTCTTAGTTATTCCATTGCTAATTTATTCCTTTCCTATTTATTTATAATTCCTCTCAATTCTCACCTGTAACATTGTTAGATATGTATTTATTGCATTTTTCCCATCTGTTTATCCCAAATCAGGATCTTAGCTCTTTCCAAATATTGATACAGCCTCTAGTCAGGAGTCCCATATTGACTTTCTTCCTCTTATAATATATCTAACATATCATTGCCTAGATTTTCTTACTAAAACAGTGCCCTTACTCAATCACCATCCAACTCTGAAATATTAATTCTCCTTAATGGAAGCTAAAAAATCATGCATTTCATCCTCTGAACTGTAATCCCAGCGTAGATTCTCACTCTTCTACTATACTTGCCTGGAGATTCAGGCAAGTGTCTGAGCTTTCCTGATTTATAACTTTGCTAATGACGGTCCCTGTACCTAGAATACTCTCATCTTGGCTGCTAAAATTCTACAAAGTCTCCAAAACCATTCACTCACTCTTTGATTTATTTAACAAAGAGGGGCATATTGATGAATAAGACTGTCACTATTCCTGTCCTTATGAAATTCCAGTACGGTGTCACAACAGAAAATAAATAATCCTGGTATGATAGATATGATAGATGTAAGATGACAAAAATTCTATAAATAAGGTGACTGAAAATTTTTTGACACTTTCTTCATTTATCTAATAACCACAGAGATTATTGTCATTTTCCCCTGCCTGTAAACCCCATGCCACTTTTACATTTCAATAACACTTCAATAATATTCCTATAATATTCATGAAACTATGATATATATATATATATATATATATATAAAATATGTATTTTTTTTTGTAATTTGAGCTTATCTTCATATTTTGGCTAACTCCTGAACATTGATCAATTGATCAGCTCCAATCAATTATGATCCTCATATTGGGCAATAAGAGATAGAAGGGAAGACTCCTGGGCTATCTCCAGGGAAGGATTTCCTCTGTTTTACGAAAGATATCCACAAGATTACATGGTGTATATTTATTTTCTTCTAGTCATTGTTATTCGAGATGTAATGCCTGGAAGTGCTGCAGATAAATTGATCACTAGAGTGAGCAGAACACCAAAACCAAGGATGACATGACGGAGCAACAAAAGAAACTTGGCTCTTGAGAAAATAATTGGGCTTTTGACTTAACCAAACATGAAGGACCCACAAACATATGTATCCTTAAACCACTTATTGAGCAACTTCAAACATTTTCTTTTTTTGTTTAAACTAGTAATTTGCAGCAAATATCATACTTATATATCACATTACCAGATTATAAACACTCTGAAATGGGGAATATGTATTTTTCATCTTCATTATTTCCACAGGATCTAATATGACTTTTGCCCCTAATAGCTGATCAAAAATAGTAGTTGGGAAAATTGAAGTTGCACTTCAACTAAAATAATTTATATTCTCTCACTCTCTTTCTGCCTGTGTGTGTGTGGGGGGGGGATGGGTGGGTATTCGTGTGTGTGTGCATGTCTGTGTGTGTGTGTGTATGCATGTGTCTGTGTGTGTAACCAAACTTTCATGTATTATACAGTACCAGCCTTAAAGTCTCAGCTCCATTACAATATGTTTCCTGTGATATTGTAACACATACGTTGAAAATTTATGATGACATAGACAAAGAAGAAAGTATTTACTCAATTTTTCTAATCTTTACTGGTTTAGTAAATAAAGGACTCATGTCTTGTTTCCATAACAGACGCTAAATGGAGCCAAATAATCTGCATTTTAAAAGAGAATTAAAAAGGTATAGGTTTCAGAGAAGTTGCAAATAACTGACCTCCAGAGATAACAAGAGATACAAACGTTGGCAAAGCATCTAGTCAGAAGAGAGGCACAGGAATAAATATTTGATATTGGTCAACAGCTGGCTTTAGACGAATTAGTTGCAGAGATGGATCTTTCTATTGTAAATGACCAGGTAAGAAGGCTTTGTATCAAAACTGCAAAGTTATTTAAATTCCCATGTGGTTCATGAACTTACAAAACAAAGCAACTGAAGTACATAAACCAGCAACACTGTTTCACCATATCAAATACCTTCAATGGCAATATTCTATCTGAGAAATACAGGCATCATCCATTATTCTAAGAAGGGAACTCAAATGCCTTTCCAAATGCCATGTCAAATGAAGAATCATGACTATGCATCATAAAAAATGAGGTAATGCTGGACTTCATCTCAAAAAAGATTATGAAATATTTTGACCCAAAAGGCAAGATTGAGTGGAAATATAAATGTGATTCAGTTTTCTGTTGACTCAGGTGTAAAAGCAATGGCTAACTCTCAGATATTTTGCAAAGTCCTGTTTGCACTCCCTGTCTGTGTTAACCTTCACCATGTATCTTCCCAATATATTTCCAAATCCCATGAGGTTCTTTTAATAAGAATATGAACAAAATTAAACATCATTTGTTATAATATCAATGTTTGACATTTTCCAAGATTCTTAACATACTTGGGCATTTCCTTTTACCTTTTTTCTTGGCAGCCCTGCTATCGGGATTGAGCTTTTCAGAGGACAAATATTCTATAAGTTAAAGTTAAATAATAAAAATAATAATCATTTACTGAATGCTTACCCTATGCCTAGAGTTAAGCTGAAAACTTTACAGACATTACCTCAATTAATCTCAGTATGAGATAGTCATTCCTGTTTACCTGAAGTAGAAACTAGGTATTAGAGAAGCAATTAGCCTGAATACTCACACAGCTAGTAAGAGAAGGAACAGTTTTAGAACCCAAGTCATTGAGCTCTATCCAGGGAGTTCTACGTCCTCATCTAAAGGGCATCAGCCTTGTTTGTTTGTTTTTCTGTTTTGAGACAAAGTCTTGCTCTGTCACCCAGGCTGGAGTACAGTGGCATGATCTCAGCTCATTGCAACCTCCACCTCCTGGGTTCAAGCAATTTTCCTGTCTCAGCTTCCTGAGTAGCTGGGACTACAGACACCCACCACCATGCCGGGCTAATTTTTATATTTTTAGAAGAGACAGGGTTTCACCATGTTGGCCACGTTGGTCTTGATCTCCTGACCTCAAATTATTTGCCCACCTCGGCCTCCCAAAGTGCTGTAATTGCAGGTGTGAGCCACCATGCCCAGCCTAAAGAGCATTAGCTTTAAGGTTATCTTCAATTCTCTAGTTCATCCAGGTTTACTGAGGTCCTATCTGGAACGGAGATGACCTGTTGCTTACACTGAAGGCTAATTAATCAATGTTATACTTTTAGGACATATCCTGTAATATTCATCAGGTTTTAATAGTTAAAAAAGATAAACTCTATACTTTAGAATTTACTTTTCTAAGGATTTGTAGCATTTTGACCAAAATAAAACAATGAGTGAATATTTTTTTAAAAATCATGTTCTCATTTTTCTATCACTTCTGAGTTTAAACATCCAGTTACTGGAATGTAAGCTAAACTTCACAGTTATATGTAGTAATACTGACTACCAGGTCTCAAAGTACAACAATGTAGAGATGAGAAACTTTGAATGGGCTAGAGATTGGGCATGCTATTTTCAAACGACTTAACTCATAATAAAATAGAGAAGCTAAAAAGAAAATCTCACATCCAATTTGTGGGTCTCAAACAATTTGAAAAGGACAGTGATAGAGTTTTGTTTTGTTTTTTTTTAGAAAACCTGTATGTCTCTTCTTTGTTTCAAACATTTTATTATCAATAAGCTTACATTTGAATTCTCATTTAATCTAAAAATGAAGGCCCATATCACTATGTCAAATATTTTGCGAGTATATTTATCTTTGAAAGGAATTTTATTCTAATTACAGTAATTTAAAGAGCAAGCTATCCATTTAATTCATGTCACAAATATTGATTAATGACTAACTATGGGCAGAAAGACTGTGTTAGGTAATCAGAAATCAAGAATGAAGACATGGAAACCAGCAATTGGCCTCACCAAGTGTCTTAGAGAAACAGATGTCAAGACAGAGTTACAAAACAATATGTTATACAGGTGAAGGTAGGAATGCAGTGGGAGCATACAGAGAAAGAGTGTTTTCGTGTGCCTATGGGTGGGCAGTGGTAATGTGACATGGAACAGATGATGCTCACTGAGCTTCAGAAGGTGAGTAGCCAGTTGTTTGAAGTTCTTGATAAGGGGACACATTCTGGAAAGAGGGACCAGTGTTCAGAAAGTGGTATGATAAATCTCAGTGTACATGTGAAATAGCAAAATTTATGGTTGCAGCATGAATTGTAAACATGCAGAGTGTAGAAAATGAGCCTGAACAGGTGAATAAGTAAGAGTTTACATACCAAGCAACAAGACAGTTTATACATTTTTTTATACAGATCAGCGATTTTCAAGCTGTTTCTGTTCTTCCCTGCAGATGCACTGAGGTACCTTGTGTTATCCAGCAAGATATCCAGGGAGGTTATCATGAAAAAAACCTGAGACCACCATCTCTTTACATCTCTGTACCACAGATTAAACTTTACATCTAATTAATTCCATGTAATTGGAATAAAATATCTTTTGAATGAGGTTTCTGCCCACTATAAACAACTTCAAAAACCACTGTTAGGGGAAAAAAAAAAACAGCTGTTGAAGAATTTTAACAGGGAAATTACAGTATCAGATTTGCAAATAAAATATTTAAAAAGATCTTTTTGGTGGCTGATGGAACTGAGACTGATAAGTGAGAATGGTGTCTTCATCATCCAGATGAAAAATGGTGACAGCCTAAAAGAAGGAGCAAAGGAACGGATAAATAGAGAAGTGTGGGAGGTAGGACTGACAGGACTTGGTGATTGATTAGATGTAGAGGGTAAAGAGAAAAGGAAGGCTACAGAAGGCACCTGAATTTCTGGCTTGAGTAAACGGATGGACAATGTAAGTCATACCTAAAGAGCAGTAGGTTTGAGGTGCCTAGGGTAAGGACAGTGGAGAATCAGATGGACTCCATTCTTGACATACTGGATTTGAAGTCCTAAGGACATCCAGATAAATATCTACATGCAAAAGATGCCAACCTTGAGGTCAGGACTGAAAACTAATCTGCAGATTCCAGTTAACGCTCTCTGCAGACGGAGGGTGAAGCTGCATATGGATGATTTGTCCCTGGAACATTTTTTCAGAGAACAGTTGCATTTTCTTTTACTTGCTCTTTTGATCGGAAAGAATGAAAGCCATCTAGAGCAGATTGAAGCCCAAGGTAGTCAAGGGCAGTTGAGAGGGTGTCTCCCTGTAGGCATAGGTAGCATTCTTTTGCAAGAATCCTGTGTGGGGTTCATTTTTGCCACACCTCACTTCATGCAGGGCAGTGTGATGATGCAACCTGGAAGTAGGGTTTTCCTTCATTGTAGAAGGGCTGGATAACATAGTTAAAGGAAAAGGAGGAGAAAAGAAAATATTTTCTTCCCTTTCCTATGCCCTTGCAATTTCTTAGAAACTATACAGTACTTACATATTTCCACTGTTGCTTATGTTTATCTAACAGCATTATAATTATTGGTCTGTCTGCCTCCCTCATTAATGTCCTCAGTTAATCTGTTAGCACCAGCAGACCAGGTATCAAAACTTAACTGTTGATCCCCCAGGCCTTTCACACTGGTTGACACATAATCTTCAATAAGCATTTGCTGAATGAAAAAAGTAAGAAAAATAATTTTTCTTGCATACAAAGAAGGCAAGTCATATTTGCTATTGCCTCAGCACAATTTTAAGCTAGACGAAAGTTGTGTTTAGCCTCTCACCCTCACGGTTTCCCTTTACTTGTTTGTTATTACCCTTTGGCTCCTCTCCTCTCCCCACCCATACTCTGCTCTTCTGGTTGCCAAGGCCTAGGCCTTACAATCGCCTCTTCTTAAAAATTTTGGGCAATGGATATTTCTCTCATTCACTGCCTCTAGGCTCTGCAGAAAGTCAGCCAAGTCACTGAGAGCCAATTCACAGACTGCCAAGTCACAGAATGGCAAAGTGAAAACTGCCTAGCCAATAAGCCAGTTCAATTTAAAGAGTTAATGCCTAATAGTAGCTCTGTAGGTGAGAGACTCAGACAGAGAAGCAAGGGAGAAGAATTGTGTTTTGTTTTGATTTGTTTATATTTTTTCTGAGTAGTGAAGTCATTTGACAGTACCATTGAGCTACTTTTTAATAAAGATGAAGGAGTTGGCCAAAAGTTACCCTGTGAACAAAACAGCAGTTAAATTCATGTTCTATTCCATATGTAATGATCCACTGACAAGTACATGCAACCAGCCTAAATGTAATTCCAATTCCCCATCTGTGTATAAATAAAACACTATTTTTCCTCAGAATATACTGCCTTAAAAACTGCTACTTCACTGATGGTGAATTACAAGACTATTATGGGGGGCATTATATTAGAATGACCACCTTCATGAAAAATTTATGTGTGCGTGGCTCATGTTTCTCTTTCTACATGGCACCAAACATGTTAATGCATTGAATATAAAATTCATTGTAGTATTTGTAGGTCACAGATTTAAATTCAGTGGCAATAACTTAAAATGACCATGAGAATTTTTTTTCAACTTTTATTTTAGGTTCAGGGGTACACGTGCAGGTTTGTTAAATGGGTAAATTGTGTGTTGCTGAGGTACGAGGTATGAATGATCCTGTCATCTGGGTATTGAACATAGTACCCAATAGGTGGATTTTCAACCATTGTTGACCTGCTACCTGCTACCCTACCCCCTCTAGTAGTTCCTAGTATCTATCATTTCCACCTTTATATCCATGTAAACATGCTTAGCTCCCACTTATAAATGAGATCATGTGGTATTTGGTTTTCTTTTCCTGTGTTAATTCATGTAAGATAATGGCCTCCAGGTGCATCTATGTTGCTGCAAAGGACATAATTACATTCTTTATTAATGGTTGCATAGTATTCCATGGTGTATAGGGACCATATTTTCCTTATTCAGTGCAATGTTGATGGACATCTAGGTTGATTCCATGTCTTTGCTATTATGAACAATGCTGTGTTAAACATGCAAGTGTGTGTGTCTTTTTGGTAAAATGATTTATTTTCTTTTGGGTATGTATCTAGTATTTGGATTGCTGGATTGATTGTAGCTCTGTTTTAAGTTCTTTGAGAACCCTCCAAACTGCTTTCCACAGTGACTGCACAGTGTATAATTCCCATCAACAGTGTAGAGGTGTTCCCTTTTTTCTGCAACCTAGCAAACACCTGTTATTTTCTGACCTCCTGATCATAGCCATTCTGACTGGTATGAGATGGTATCTCATTGTGGTTCTGCATTTCTCCATAGATGCAGAAAAAGCTTTCAATAAAATCCAGCATCCCTTCATCATTAGGGTATTTTAAGGCAAAAAAGAATTAGAACAGCTACCATTCTTTTAGGTCTTTATATTTTGAGCAGGCAAAAATCATTTCTACAGACATTTTTCACTTAGTTTAGCCAGTCAAATGATAAAAGAAAATAGAATATGATTTACCTGAATATATCATGAAAGAAAACAAA
Source organism: Homo sapiens (assembly GCF_000001405.40). NCBI lineage: Eukaryota > Metazoa > Chordata > Mammalia > Primates > Hominidae > Homo > Homo sapiens. The sequence continues at coordinate 120,639,348 of NC_000005.10, read as the reverse complement.
ATGTTCTTCCTATTCAGTTAGAACATTATTTCCATTTTTATGATCTTCTTAAAGTTGACTATAATTTAGGTGTATTTTCAAACAATTATATGGTTTAAACAAATTATAATCACAAAAAGACAATATTAAACAATAAAAATAAATTAAAACCAAAATAAGCATCAAATATCTGATATCTGTAAATAGGTAATCATTATACATAAGATGACTAAGCAACAAAAATAAGTTATTGCTAGTAAAAAATGTCATTCATTTGTTCTGAGTTAGAAGACAGCATAGATTCTATATTAAGTCACTACATACTCGTTTGAAATAAAATATATTGTTTGCCAATAGTTACAAAATCAGAGTTGTAATAATTTGAGAACTCCATGAAATTAATTGCACAGATAAGATATTGGCTTCAATCATATAAAATATGTACCTCAACTCCTCTAAAATAACATCTTCCTATATTAGATTAGATGATTCATTATATTGGGGCCATTATTATAAATTGAAGAGTGAGAAAATTTTTCCCTTTTCTTCCCAATCAGAAAAACAGAGAGATAAATCAAAGTAGAAACATTGCTAAGATAATCATCACGCCATAGGCTGTGTGTGAGTGTGTTAGGGTATATGTGTTGCTACGCATGTGTATTGTGTGTGTTTGCCTGTGCGTGAATCTGTGTTTAAAAAAGAGAAAGTGCAGAGCTGTAGCTCACAGCTAGACTGTGGAGCCAGGCTGCAGATGGCCTGGTTGTAAATCCCAACATGTCTTTGAGAAAGAGCTACCTCAGAGTACTTTGTCTTTTAATGGGATTATAATAGAATCTCATGACCTTGTTAGACTTAAATAAGTCAATAAATGGAACATTTCAAACAGTGCCTGGTTCACAGTGGTATTATCATATTGACTACCATTACTGAAATTCTTCTAGCCTCTATGTGTCATGAATTCCAAAAAATGGCTCAAATACATTGTTTAAGCAGCTTTTAGATATACTTCTGTTTGAAAATACCACATTACTAATAACTGAATGCATGACCTTGGCGAAATAACCTGTGATGCCATTTCTATATAGGTTGGGCATCCTTAATCTAAAAATATGAAATCTGAAATGCTCCAAAATCTAAAACTTTTTGAGCACTAACATGTTGCCCCAAGCGGAAAATTCTACACCTGACCTCCTGTGACAGGTCACAGTGAAAACGCAGCCCAAGCTTTGTTTCATGAACAAAACTATTAAAATGTTGTATAGCATTACCTCCAGGCTATTTGTATAAGATATATATAAAACATAAATGAATTTCATGTTTAGAATTGGGCCCTGTTCACCAGGTATTTCACTAAGTAAATACAAATATTCCAAAATCTGAAAAAATCTGAAGTCTGAAACATTTCTAGTCTCAAGCATTTCAGATAAGGGATACTCAACTTGTATTTTACAAAAGGTTACTATTATGTCTGCCAACACCTTTAAGGAATTCAAAAATTAATGAATCTGGCTAACATTTCTTTTTTTTGTTGTTGAGATGGGGTCTCCCACTCTGTCACCCAGGCTGGAGTGTGGTGGCATGAATGCAGCTCACTGCAAGTGATCCTTCCACCTCAGTCTCTCCCAAGTGGGTGATTTCTGAGATTTTGGCATACCCATCACCCGAGCAGTGTGCCCTGTACCCAATGTATAGTCTTTTATCTCTTGCCATCCCTCACCCTTCCCCCCAAATCCCCAAAGTCCAATGTATCATTCTTATGCCTTTGCATCCTCATAACTTAGCTCCCATAAGTGAGTGAGAACATGTTTGATTTTCCATTCCTGAGTTACTTCACTTAGAATAATAGTCTCCAATTCCATTCAGGTTACTGTGAGTGCCATTATTTCATTCCTTTTTATGGCTGAGTAGTATTCCATGATACATACATACCATATTTTCTTTATTCACTCATTGATTGATGGGAATTTGGGCTGGTTCCATATTTTTGAAACTGCAAATTTTGCTGCTATAAACATGTGTGTGCAAGTTTTTTTTTTTTTTTTTTTTTTTTTTCCGTATAATGGCTTACTTTCCTCCGGCTAGATACCTAGTAGCAGGATTGCTGAATCAAATGATAGATCTACTTTTTGTACTTTAAGGAATCTTCACACTGTTTTTCCATAGTTGTTATACTAGTTTATATTACCAACAACAGTTTAAAATGGTTCCCTTTTCATCGCATCCATGCCATCATCTATTATTTTTTGATTTTTTGATTATGGCCATTCTTGCAGGAGTGAGCTGGTATGGCATTGTGGTTTTGATTTCTACTTCCCTGATAATTAGTGATGTTGAGCATTTTTCCATATGCTTGTTGGCCATTTGTATATCTTCTTTTGAGAATTGTCTATACATGTCCTTAGCCCACTTTTTGATTGGATTTTTTTCTTGCAATTTGTTTGAGTTATTTGCAGATTCTGGATTTTAGTTCTTTATTGGATGTATAGATTGTGAAGATTTTTCTCTCACTCTGTGGGTTGGCTGTTGACTCTGCTGATTATTATTATTTATTTTTGCTGTGCAGAAGCTTTTTAGTTTAATTAAGTCCCATCTATTTTTCTTCGTTTTTGTTGCATTTCCTTTTGGGTTCTTGATCATGAAGTGTTTGCCGAAGTCAATGACTAGAAAGGTTTTCCCAATGTTATCTTCTAGAATCTTTATGTTTCAGGTCTTAGACTTAAGTCTTTGATCTATTGTGAGTTGATTTTTGTATAAGGTGAGAGATGAGAATTCAGTTTCATTCTTCTACATGTGGCTAGCCAGTTACCCCAACACCATTTGTTGAATATTGTGTCCTTTCCGCACTTGATGTTTTTGTTTGCTTTGTCAAAGATAAGTCAGCTTTAAGTATTAATATTTGGCTTTATTTCTGGGTTCTCTATTCTGTTCCATTAGTCTATGTGCCTATTTTTATACTGCTACTATGCTGTTTTGGTGACTATGGCCTCATAGTATAGTTTGAAGTCGGGTAATGTGATGCCTCCAGATGTTTTCTTTTTCTTAGTCTTGCTTTGGCTATGTGGGCTCTTTTGTGGTTCCATGTGAATTTTAGGATTTTTTTTTCTAGTTTTGTGAAGAATGATGGTCATATTTTGATGGGAATTGTATTGAATTTGTAGATTGCTTTTGGCAGTATGGTCATTTTCACAATATTGATTCTACCCATTCAGGAGTATGGTATGTGTTTTCATTTGTTTGTGTCATCTATGATTTCTTTCCGCAGTGTTTTATAGTTTTCCTTGTAGAAGTCTTTCACATCCTAGGTTAGGTATATTCCTAAGTATTTTATTTATTTATTTATTTATTTGCAGCCATTGTGAAAGGGGTTGACTTGATTTGATTCTCAGCCTGGTCACTGTTGGTATATAGCAGAACTACTAATTTTTGTATATTTATTTTGTATCCTGAAACTTTGCTGAATTCACTTACCAGTTCTAGAAGCTTTTTGGATGAGTCTTTAGTGTTTTCTAGGTATACAGTCATACCATCAGCAAACAGCACCAGTTTGACTTCCTCTTTACCGATTCGAGTGCCCTTTCTTTCTTTCTCTTGTCTGATTGCTCTGGCTAGGACTTTCAGTACTATGCTGAATAGAAGTGGTGAAAGTGAGCATCCTTGTCTTGTTCCAGTCCTCAGCAGAAATGCTTTTAACTTTTCCCCATTCAGTATTATGTTGGCTGTGGGTTTATCATAGATGGTTTTTACTACCTTAAGGTATGTCCCTTCTGTGCCAATTTTGCTAAGATTTTTAATTATAAAGGGATGCTGGATTTTGTCACATGCTTTTAATACATCTACTGAGATGATCATGTGATTCTTGTTTTTAATTCTGTTTATGTGGTGTATCACATTTATTGACTTTATGTATGTTAAACCATCCCTGCATCCCTGGTTTGAAACCCACTTGATCATGGTGCATTATCTTTTTGATACGCTGTTGGATTCATTTAGCTAGTATTTTGTTGAGGATTTTTGCACTGATGTTCAGGGATATTAGTCAGTAGTTTTCCTTCCTTTTTCGTTATGTTCTTTCCTGGTTTTGGTATTAGGGTGATATTGGCTTCATAAAATGATTTAGGGAGGATTCTCTCATTCTCTATCTTTTGGAATAGTGTCAAACAAATTGGTACCAATTCTTCTTTGAATGCCTGATAGAATTCAGCCATGAATTCATCTGGTCCTGGACTTTTATTTGTTGGCAAATTTTTAATTACCATTTCAACCTTACTGCTTGTTATTGGTCTGTTCTGAGAGTCTATAACTTCCTGGTTTAATATAGGAGGGTTGTATATTTTCAGGAATTCATTAATCTCCTACAGGTTTTCTAGTTTATGTATGTAAAGATGTTCATAGTAGCCTTGCATATTTTTTTGTATTTATATACTATCTGCTGCAATATCTCCTGTTCTCATTTCTAATTGAGTTTACTTGGATCTTCTCTCTTCTTTTCTTGGTGAATCTTGCTAATGGTCTACCAATTTTATCTTTTCAAAGAACTAACTTTTTGTTTCATTGATCTGTTGTATTTTTGTTGTTGCTGTTGCTTCAATTTCATTTAGTTCTGCTCTGATCTTTGTTATTTCTTTTCTTCTGCTGGATTTGGGTTTGGATTGTTCTTGTTTCTCCAATTTCATGAAGTCTGACCTTATACTATCTGTTATCTTTCAGACTTAATTTTTTAATTTTTTGAGACAGAGTATCACTCTGCTCCCCAGGCTGGAGTGCAGTGGCATGATCTTGGCTCACTGCAACCTCCACCTCCTGGGTTCAAGTGATTCTCCTGCCTCAGCCTCCTGAGTAGCTGGGATTACAGGCACATGCCAGCATGTCCAGCTAATTTTTATATTTTAGTAGAGATGGCGTTTCACCATGTTGGCCAGGCTTGTCTTGAGCTCCTCACCTCAATTGATCCCCCTGCCTTGGCCTCCCAAAGTGCTGGGATTACCAGCATGAACCACCATGCCCGGCCCTCTTTCAGACTTGTTGATATAGGCATTTAATGCTATACATTTTCTTCTTAGCACGTTTTTGCTATATCTCAGAGGTTTTGTCACTACTATCATTCAGTTTGAAGTAGTGATAGGTTGTGTCACTATTATCGTTCAGTTCAAATAATTTTTTAATTTCCATCTTGATTTCATTGTGACCCAGTGATCACTCAGGAGCAGATTATTTAATTTCCATGTGTTAGCATGGTTTTGAGGACTCCTTTTGGAGTTGATTTCCAGTTTTATTTCACCGTGATCTGAGAGAGTACTTGATATAATTTCAATTTTCTTAAATTTACTGAGACTTGTTTTGTGGCTTATCTTAGAGAATGTTCCATGTGCTAATGAATAGTATGTATATTCTGCAATTGTTGGGTAGAATGTTCTGTATATATTTGTTAGTTCTACTTGTTGTAGGGTATAATTTAAGTCCATTGTTTGCTGACTTTCTGTCTTGATGACCTATCTAGTGCTGTCAGTGGAATATTAAAGTCCTCCACTATTATTGTGTTGCTGTCTATCTCATTTCTTAGGTCTAGTAGTAACTGTTTTACAAATTTGGTCCTCCACTATTATTGTGTTGCTGTCTATCTCATTTCTTAGGTCTAGTAGTAACTGTTTTACAAATTTGGGACCTCCAGTTTTAGGTGCATATATATTTTGAATTGTGATATTTTCCTGTCAGGCTAGTTCTTTTATCATTATATAATGTCCCTCTTTGTCTTATCTAACTTCTGTTACTTTAAAGTTTGTTTTGTCTGAAATAAGAAGAACTACTCCTATTCACTTTCAGTGTCCATTTGCATGGAATCTCTTTTTTCCACCCCTTTACCTTAAGTTTATGTGAGTCCTTGTGTGTTAGGTGAGTCTCCTGAAGACAGCAGAAACTTGGTTGGCGAGTTCTTATCCATTCTGCAATTCTATAAATTTTAAGTGGTGCGTTTAGGCCATTTACATTCAACTTTAGTATTGAGGTGTGAGGTACTATTCTATTCATCATGCTGTTTGTTTCCTGAATACATTGGTTCTTTTTCATTGTGTTATTGTTACATAGGTCCTGTGAGATTTATGCTTTAAGGAGATTCTATTTTGGTGTATTTCAGGATTTAGAGCTCCTTTTTGCAGTTTTTGTAGTGCTGGCTTGGTAGTGGAGAATTCTCTCAGCATTTGCTTGTCTGGAAAAAACTGTATCTTTCTTTTATTTATGAAGCTTAGTTTCCTTGGATAAAAAATTCTTGGCTGATAATTGTTATGTTTAAGGAGAGTAAAGATAGGCCCTCAATCTCTTCTATCCTGATGGTTTCTGCTGAAAAATCTGCTGTAAATCTGATAGGTTTTCCTTTGTAGGTTACCTGATGCTTTTGCCTCCTAACTCTTAAGATTCTTTCCTTTGTCTTGACTTTAGATAACCTGATGACTATATGCCTAGGTGACAATCTTTTTACAATGAATTTCCCAGGTGTTATTTGAGCTTCTTGTATTTGCATGTCTAGATCTCTAGAAAAGCCAAGAAAGTGTTTCTCAATTATTCCTTCAAATATGTTTTCCAAACTTTTAGATTTCTCTTCTTACTCAGGAACACTGATTATTCTTAGGTTTGGAATTTTAACACAGTCCCAAACTTCTTGGAGGCTTTGTTCATCTTTTTAAAATTCTATTTTCTTTGTCTTTGATGGACTGGGTTAATTCAAAAGCCTTGTCTTCAAGTTCTGAAGTTCTTTCTTCCGCTTCTTCGAGTCTATTGCTGAGACTTTCTGGTGCATTTTGCGTTTTTCTAAGTGTGTCCTTGATTTCCAGACATTATGATTTTTTTTTAATTTATGCTTTCTATTTCACAGAATTTTCTTTTTATATCTTGTATCATGTTTTTAATTTCTTTATATTTGACTTCACCTTTCTCTGGTGCCTCCTGGATTAGCTCAATAATTGACCTTCTGAATTCTTTTTCTGGAAATTCAGAGGTTTTTGTCTTGGCTTGGATATATTGCTGGTGAGCTGGTACAAAATTTTGGGGGTGTTAAAGAACCTTGTTTTGCCATATTACCAGAATTATTTTTCTGGTTCTTTCTCATTTGGGTAGATTATGTCAGACAGAAGATCTGGGTTGCTGTTCAGATTCTTTTGTTCCACAGAGTGCTCCCTTGGTGTGGTGTTCTCTCTCTTCCCCTAGGAATGGGGCTTCTTAAGAGTAAAACTGTAGTAATTGTTTTTGTTCTTCTGGGCCTAGCCATCCAGCAGAGCTACTGGGCTCCAGGCTGGTACTGGGGAGTATCTGCACAGAGTCCTGTGATGTGATCCGTCTTCAGGTCTTGCAGCTGTGGATACCAGCACCTGCTCCAGTGGAGGTAGTAGGGGAGTGAGGTGGACTCTGTGAGGGTCTCTGGTTGTGTTTTCATTTAGTGTGCTGGTTTTGTGTTGGTTGGCCTCCAGCCAGGAGGTGATGCTTTCAAGAGTGCATCAGCTGAGGTCCTATGGGGGAAGGTAAACTTGCCCTAGGGACAACTGGTTAAGTATTCAGGATTCTCAGGTGGTGGGTGGGGCCATAGATCTCCCAAAAGATTATGACCTTTGTCTTCGGCTACCAGGGTGGGTAGAGGCAGACCATCAGGTCGGGGCAGGGATAGGCCTGTCTGAGCTCTGAGCTCAGCCTCTCCTTGGGCAGGGCTTGCTTTGGCTGTTGTGGGGAATAGGAGTGTAGTTCTCAGTCCAATGGAATTATATTCACAGGGAGATTATGGCTGCCTCTACTGAGTCATACAGGTCACCAGCGAAATGGGGAAATGCCAGCAGTCACCAGCCTCATCCCAATCCCATGCAGCTGGCAGTCCTAACATCCAGTCCCATTGTGCCCCCATAACAACACCAAATCTATTTCTAGGCCACCAGTGACCAGGGCTGAGAACTCATCCCAGACCATGAGCCTCCTGTCCAGAAAGCAAGCCGATTCACAGTTTTTCAGTGTCTCAGGGAGCCTGCAGTGGTGATCCAGTCCTTCAAAAGGTCTGTTGATTCTCTTGGCTTTCCTGGTATGTTCCTGCAGTAGTTCTTGGTGCAAAAGTTCACGATGTAAGTCTCCACAAGCTGCTCTGTCCACCCAAGCTAGTTTTGTCTCTTATCTGCCATCTTAATCATAATCCAGAATCATAAATTTTAAATCATCAACTCTTATTTTACTGTCATGATATATAATGATAAGGATGTCTCTATTTTAAATCCTTTAAATCCCCTTTGAAGTATTAAGTTTTAAATAAATCTTCACTATCAATTTATTTTATTGTCACCTGCTTCTTTATGATGAGTTGATTACAAACATTAAAAATCAGTTTATTTATGGGTGATATTGGTCCTCAATATTTAGAGAAACCACAGCTAAATAATTTAGTATTCTGGGAGACTTATATTTATCTCAATTTACTAGTCTAGCTAGACTAGATAACTTAAAACATCTCTCAAAATGCGTATCTAGATTTACTTAAAAAGGAAAGGGACTTTCCAAGGGCAAGGAACGATAGTGCAAACCAATGAGCTGGTGTGGAAATAAACCTTTGTTGGGGAGGAAGTTGATCATTTGCTGGGTAACTAAACAATTTGGGGTTGACACTGATGTAGACCACGGATAATGAGGAAGTAGAGATATCTCAATCAAAGAAGGAACCTAGAACAGCTGCACCATCTGTTAGCGGGTAGGCAGGAAAAATAAATATATCTATTCAAGGTAGAAGACATGGATGTTTTCCTCATATTCTGGGTGCATGAAAAAAAAAAGGTGTTCGTTTTTGCAACATTTAAAAAACTTTACCTAGGTTTGGGGTTCAAATATATAGAACCTATACATCTTGGCAATCATCTCCAGCAGTGGACTGTAGCAATAGCACAGGAACATCTGCCAGAGTAGATGAAAGTCAGACCCTAGGTGATTTCAAAGCTTAGGATGACCTTACAAGCCAAAATGACAAAATGTATAAGACAACAGTACACTGTGCCGGAAAGTCAGCCCAGAGAACAAGCAATAGGAATGGAAACCCAAGAACTTAGGATAATAAAAAAAGACAATCTGTGAAGTAGTATGTTTAAATTGACTAAGGACGTGAACAAGAAAATGAACAAGACAAAATGAAGTGGATAAATATAGATATATTAAAATTAGAAAAAGTGGTTAGGAGATGTAAATGATAAAATAAGAAAAAACAAAATTGATAGAAATTGAGAAAGAATAAAAGTAAGAAAAATGAAAATAAATTAGTATTTAAAGAATTATAGCTCAGAATTGGCAAAAATCATGAATCCTCAGATAGAAGAAAATCATCAGACACGGGTATAATTTTTAAATTACACATCTCGGATCATCATAAAGGCCAATGACAAAAGAAAATAAAAGATCTTGAAAACAACCAGAGAGGAGACAGATAAAGTGCCAATTAATGAAATTGTGCTGATAGCTGATTTTAGACTTCTCGAAAGCAACAATGCAGCCCAGAAAATAATGGGTTAATATTTTTAAAATGCAGAGTGGAAATAACTGTTCGCCTAGAGTCCTATGCCCAGTAGTAAGTCATAATCTAAAATGAAGGGTAAAGTAAATATAATTCAAAAAAACAAACAGAGTCTTCTACTAACTGATCTTAACTGAAAGAACTAAAGGTTGTATTTTAAGAATATGAAAACTGAGACAGAAAGGTGTGTGAAGGCATAGCGAGCCAAGAAATTGGAAAGCATGTCAGTAAATTTAAAGAAGCAATGTTGTATAAAACAACTCTAGTAATGGTTAATTTATGAAACATAAAACAAATGATTCTAAAATATTAGATGGTAAGGTGGTGAGCAGAATTAAAACATTCTAAGATGCTTTCAATGTTGAAGAGGCATAATAGAAATACTTTATAGCATTTGAAAATTGCATTTTAGAAATAATGTTACAAAAAACATATTTAGAAATAATGCTCAGAAATCACTTGCAGAAATCATGTCAAAATTACCATTTCACCCAGCAATCTCATTATTGAGTATATTATTGAGTATATACTCAAAATTATATAAATCATTCTACCATGAATACACATGCACACATACATAAATAAATGTGGTATATATACACCATGGAATAATATGCATTCATAAAAAAGAATAAAATCATGTCCTTTGCAAATCTCAAAGGATGGAGCTGGAGGCCATTATCCTAATCAAACTAACATAGAAATAGGAAACCAAATACGACATGTTCTTACTCATAAGTGGGAGCTAAACATTGAGTACATATGGACACAAGGAAGGAACAACAGACACTGAGGCCTATTTGAGCATGGAGAGTGGGAGAAAGGTGAGGATTGAAAACCTGTCTTTTGGGTACTATGCTTATTATCTGGCTTATAAAATAATCTATACCCCAAACCCCTGTGACACACAATTTACCTGTATAATGAAACTACACATGTACCTCTGAACTTAAAATAAAAGTTAAAAAAGTATCTCTTTAAGTGACATATTCAGGAGTTACATATGTGTTTATTTCAAACAAATTAAGGAAATTCAACAACTAAACTCATAGGCTTCTACCTTAAGATGCTTACTGTTAGATGGGAAAGACAGATAGATGATAGATAGATAGATAGATAGATAGATAGATAGATAGATAGATAGATAGATAGATGGTAGAATGATAGATAGATAGATAGATAGGTAGGTAGATAGATAGAAGGTAGAAAGATAGAGAGATGAGTAGAAAATTTCATACAAAAAATAAAAGATACAAATCTGCTTTATCCTGGGGAAATCTAATCTCTCTTACCTACAATTTTTTTATCCTTTTCACTTTATCACCGTATGGGAGAAAAAGTTCCAATACATTGATATGCTTCCTAGCCTTTAAAAACACAGTGCTAGGCTTCATGAGAAACACGTAACAGAAACAGAATCCATTATCCCACATATGCTCAGAGAGCTCTAACAAGTGCCTGCAAACTGGCCAACACATGTGCTTTACATTAAGTCCAGCCCACTCAGTCTCACTTATATCTAAAAAACAACTGTCTTAAAAACAAAATAAATAAATATAACTAGAAAAGTGTTTCCATAGTTCCCATGCATATTGCTTTATGAAAAAAGATACCCATCTTTGTTCCCTTACTGTCAGCGCATCAGGTTCTGAATACAGAAAACATGAAGTGAAACAAAACAACTGCAAATAAAAAACAAAATATGCAGGCTTGATGTCCAACCTTTCAGGGAACAATCCATCTTCACATGTAAGAAACATAAATTCACATGATAACCACAGCAATTGAAAAAGTGATTATAGGATACATGTTTTTTGCTAAAAGAAGCAATACATTCACCAGAGTAAGGACAACAGAAAGGAAATATTATTAAGAAATATAATTATGCTAAGAATAGATCAAGAGATATTGTTTTAAAGAAACCACAAACTTATTTCTTTAAGACAAACACTAAGAAAGAAGAGAGAAAATGGATTTGTAAGCTTTTGACAAGTCTTTCTTTAATAGTAAGTTGTTGAGTCCATAAGAAATGGACTGAGATCTAAGGCTTTTAAGCATTAGGAAATCGGCCATTCAGAATATTTTGGGGGAAGAATAACTTGGAGCTCCATCAGAGCCTAATTACACCTTTTGTAAAAAGCAGCAGGGTGGCTCTCTTCTTTTGCTGTGATGTATGGCCAGCCAGCACAATAGTTAAATAATCTATAATACTTTCCTATTTTTTTTCACAAAGCTTAAAGCCCAGTAGTGAAAAATGATGCATTCAGGAACATTATTTTCAGATGAATATGTTGTGTATGTGTAGGATCATTCTTTTCTCCATCTGTCTATTGGTAGATGCCTGAAGCACATCAAAGACTATCATAATTCATCAGTCTCAAGTCACATTTTAAACCCTTATAGCTTGCAGTTCCCATTTACTATATGCTGCCAAAAGAATCTTAAAATATGATAGTAATATAACTGTTAAAGAATCCAGCTATGATATCTACTATGGCTGTACAGAATTAATCAGTACTTGTTAAGTATCTACTAATTTGAGCAATGAGTGCAGCATAGCAGGATCATGTACAGATTGTATAAGACTAGCATTGAGGAAAACGGAGTGCTAGCCACATCTCGGCCATTTAATAGCTACATGATTTAGGCTTAATCCCTGTATGACTGTTGTCTAAACTGTGAAATGGGAGAAATAAAAAATGAATGCCCTGCATATATCACAAAGTACAATTTAGCGAAAATCAAAAGACTGAACATAATAAAATTGGGTGATTGACTATAAGGAAGTGTATTAGTTACTCACCCAGGGTACAGGTAGTGGATTTCTTTTAAGCTTTGCAGCTCTTCCTTTATATATAAATATAATAACATGATAAAACTTCCAATTAAACATTTTCATTTGAAAAGACAAATTTTAAATGAAGGACAAAATCTAATTTATTTCCAAAGTGAGACATTCAGTTTATCATATCCAAGAGAAATAAGGTCAGTATCAAATTCTAAATAAATAAGATTCCTATTTTATTGCCAATTTATTTTTTATGCTAGATGTTAAAACAATTACTTTTTATCTTTTATTCTACAAATTATGGAGGGAACCACAGATAAGTTTAAAAATTACAATGAATTGTAAAATTTAAACTTCGAGTCTGCTTTATGCTTATCATTAAACTATGGTACTTCTGGGCCATGATCCAATCTATTTGTGTCTTTTTTAAACTTTACTGAGACAAAATTTGCATATGATAAAATTCTTCCATTTAAGTGTACAATTCTTTTAGATAAATGCTATTTAGTAAATCTACAGGTTTGTGCAACCATTGCAACAATCCAGCTTTAGGACATTTTCATAGCCTGCAAAAGATCCCTCATGCTCATTTGCAGTCATCACTATTATAACTTGTAGTCCTAGGCCACCAATAATCTACTTTCTGATTCCATAGATTTGCCTTTTCTGGACATTTCCCTATAGTCTTTTATATCTGGTTTCTTTTACTTAACATACTGTTTCTGTGGGGCTTTTTTTGTGGTTCATCCATGTTGGAGCATGTGTCAGCAGTTGTTTACTTTTCATTGCCAAACAGTATGCCATTGTATAGGTATATCATATTTTTTAATCCAATCATCAGTTGATGAACATTTGGATTGTTTTCATTTTTTGAATATTATAATGTATTTATGGACATCACAACCCAGTTTTATGGGTATACACATGTTTATAACGCTTACTGAGCCTTGGGGAAATTGTTACTAAGATATACAAAGCATAAATTTAGATGTTCCAGGTGCTTGATTATTATTCTAAGGTTTCCAAGAGAGACTGAATTATAGTGTGGTTAATAGCACAGATTCTGGAGTGGGATTCTTTGGGTTTCTAAACCAGTTCAATATTGTACTAGTTCTAAATTAAGCAAGACATCCCTTGGATTCCTTTGCTGTAGAAGGGAAATAATGATAATGGATCCTTATAAATAAGCTTGTCATGAGGGTTAGATGATGCTCATTCGATGTTAACTATTATAACAACTACGCACCAGATCATCACGTAAATACATTAAGAAAGTGGTAGTGCTGATAAAACCAGATGATTAGAAGATTTCTGACTCTATTGTCCTACTAAGAGGTGCAAACCTCACTCTTGATTAACATGGTATACTACCAGGCACAAACCCACATGTTTTTATACGGGGGAGAGCAAAGAACTTATTTTCTGGCCACACACAGTGGCTTTTACCTGTAATCCCAGCACTTTGGGAGGCCAAGGCAAGAGGATAGCTTGAGTCCAGGAGCTTGAGACCAGTCTGGACAATATAGTGAGAACCTGTCTCTACCAAAAATTGAAAGATTAGCTGGGCATGGTGGATCACATCGATAGTCCCAGCTACTCAGGAGGCTGAGGTGGGAAGATCACTTTAAATCTGGGATGTTGAGGTTGCAGTCTGCATTGAGTTGTGATTATGTCACTGAACTCCAGCCTGGGCAACACAGCAAGATCTTGTCTCAAAAAAATAAAACAAACTAAAAATTTATTTTCCCATCTGACCACTACCGCACAGTCATTGGTGGGGAAGAAACTCTCTAATAACCACTTGCTTCAAGATAGAACATCACTGAGTTCAGAGACAAAGTACCAGAATTAGATTTCTACCAGTGAACACTCATTCTTCTTCCTGTCACCTCCTTGTGAATATGACAGTAGACACAGGACAAAAGAAAGGCAAAAAAATGTAAAAAGTAATTATGTAGCTGTATTAGTCCATTTTCATACTGCTGATGAAGACATATGCAAGACTGGGCAATTTATAATGGAAAGAGGTTTATTGGACTTACAGTTCCACGTGGCTGGGGAGGTCTCACAATCATGGCGGCAGGTGAAAGGCACATCTCACATGGTGGCAGACAAGGGAAGAGAGCTTGCGCAGGGAACCTCTCCTTTTTAAAACCATCAGATCTCATGAGACTTATTCATTATCACGAGAACAGTGAAGGAAAGATCCACCCCCCATGATTCAATCATCTCCCACCAGGTCCCTCCCACAACATGTGGGAATTATGGAGGCTACAAGATGACATTTGAGTGGGGACACAGAGCCATACCATATCAGTAGCCTTTCTACCTTATTTAACAAATAAGCAGTGCACATTATGATCAGGAGCAGTTCTTAATACTTTAAAAGTAGTAACTCATTTAAAATCTATAACACCCCTATGAATTAGTATCTATTTATTATCTCCACTTTCAGATAAGATAACTGAGGCACAGAGATGTTGAGTAATTTGATCAGTGTCACACAGCTAGTAAGGGCAGAGCTGAGTCTCAAACCAGGCAACCTGGCTCCAGTGTTTACATTTGCACCACTATGCTATGCTATCTCTTTTAGAAGTAGAAACATTTTACTGAAGCAAAATATATTACTGGAAAAGGCAAATGGAGGCATGATCAGTTTTGTTCTACATACATACCATACCAATACTCTTTAATCACTCTATTTGGTTTACTTAAGCCACAGGAAGAGGTCTCTTTCAAATATGAGTGAAACAAGCCAGGTCTAAATTATATCTTACTTTCGGTTTCATCTTAAATCCTGTTATCCATTTTATATGAGTGTAATGATGAAAAACTAAAGCTTTTCAAGTTCAAAGATGTGTTTCTTTAATACTGCAGAAAGGATCCCTAACCTGACCATAAGAATGTTCTCTTCCTAATCAGTCATTCTTTCCTTATCTGTGAATTAAGAGCAGCAGAGCCTCTGTGGAAAAATACCCCACTGTGAAAAATCTTGCACAATTTATGTCCCTTGGGAAGATAGTGATGCATATTAACATTTTTTAACTTTTTAATCACACAAACATTAAGCATACAATTGTAAAAAATTAAAAACCTACAGTTGTTATGTATCTCTACATTAATAGTTGTTATATACAAATAATATATTATTATATATTATGTAGAATGATTAAATCAAGCTCATTAACATATTCATCCTTATTCACATTTTAAAGGCACTGAAAAGTCCTGACTAAACGTATTTAACTCAGTAGTTATCAAATTTTAAAATAAGTCTGCTTTTCCTCGGTGTAACACCCATTTACCTACATTGGAAAACACTGCTGCTCTGGATGTCTAATGAATCCATGGCAAATTAATGCAATTACTTTTTGTTCTAATATAAACTTTGAGGTCTATGACATGGTAAAGACAAGAGCTAATAATATATGATAACATGGGTAAGGGTAAAGATAATAATAAATAGAGTAATACTATATTAGCTAACATTTCCATATGTAATGCTCAAAACAACGGCATAAGGTAGGTATTTACCAATTAATCCTCATTTTGCACAAGAAGAAACTGAGTAATGTGCCCAAGCCACATAACTAGTAAGTAGCGAAGCTGGGTTTCAAAGCCGGGTATTCTAAACCCAAAATCCATGTTCTAATAATTACACTGAAGTACCTCCCACTTTGTGCTAGGCAATCAGTTTATTTATATAGGTAGAATCCTGATTAGTAGGAATGAATTAGGACATAGATAATTACATAAAACTACCAAGAAAAATCTAGGAGTGGTAGATATAATTTATTCATATTAATTAATGTTGTCTCTTGATACTGTTGCCATTATAAAATCTTTCCCCTTTTATATGTTTTTTTCTTTCCTCACTGAGGAATCTAATGACTATAACATTTTCTTTCTTCTTCTCTTTCTATCCTAAAATAACTGTAGTAACAGTACATTTTCAAGTGGTGGTATATTCTGTAAATAGTTGAAAATAATAAAATGCGTCTGAAGTCAATACATTACTTTATATTACCTTTCGTTTTTGTGAAAAAAAATTCATAAATTAATCCCTAATTCCAAGACATAAAATGTGTTGTGTTTATAAGTAGAAAATTACACATTTTTATTGTTCTCTCTCCCTACTGCATTGTTTCAAAGTGCTAACATTTAGTTTCTGCAAATCAAATTCCTTTTTGACACATAGTCTTTTAAAGAACAAAAAAGAAATAATGTAAAAAGTACAGGATTTAAAGAGTGCAAGAAGTAGCTAAAATATGAAATGCCAACTTGTGGCTGGGCGTGGTGGCTCACGTCTGTAATCCCAGAACTTTGGGAGGCTGAGGCGGGTGGATCATAAGGTCAGGAGATCGAGACCATCCTAGCCAACATGGTGAAACTCTGTCTCTACTAAAAATACAAAAATTAGCAAGGCATGGTGGCGCATGCCTGTAGTCCCAGCTATTCGGGAGGCTAAGGCAGGAGAATCACTTAAACCCAGGAGGTGGAGGTTGCAGTGAGCCAAGATCATGCCATTGCACTCCAGCCTGGCGACATAGCAAGACTCCATCTCAAAAAATAAATAAATAAATATAAAATAAATAAATAAATAACATATGGAATGCCAACTTGTGAAAAATAAACACTTGTCATGCTTTGCTCTCAGAAGACAATATTAGAGTAATGAATAAGACACAACTTCAGCTCTGTGTATCTCTTAAAATATATATACTGGTAATCTCTTTAAAGTTTCTAAAGATAGAAAACAAGAACTAACTGTAGAATCTCCTTCCTTCACTCCATACACACTTATTGTGCCATTACTTTTCTAGATATTGAGGTCTCAGAAATAAAAAAGGGAGATGAGACTCATGCTCTTAAGGGGCTTAAATTTGACAGGAGGAGGCAGTCAGCAAAGAAGAAAAGAAACACACAAACAAGAATTCATAAAGTGATAAGTGCCATGGAAAAAACTACAGGTAGTATTGTCAGACATAGAATTGCACCAAGAGACTAAGTGTGTGAGTGGGAGAGATGCACATGAACGGCTAATGCTCAGGTCAAGTGATCAGCAAAGACACCTCTGAAAAAGGTGACATGAAATGGAACTGAAATAATACAGTGAGCCAGTTTGTGCATGCTAAGTGGAAAAGGCCAAAGATGTTGTATTAGTCTGTTTTCCTGTTGCTCTAAAAGAACTGCCCAAGACTTGGTCATTTATAAAGGAAAGAGGTTCAATTGACTTACACTTCAGCATGGCTGGGGAGGCCTGAGGAAACTTACAATCATGGTGAAGGCCAGGGGGAAGCAAGGCACCTTCTTTACAAGGTGGCAGAAAGGAGATGTGCTAACCAAAGTACAAAGTAGGAAGAGCCCCTTACAACACCATCAGATCTCATGAGAACTCACTCACTATCATGAGAACAGCACTGGGGAAACTGCCCCCATAATCCATTTACCCCCACCTGGTCTCTCCCCTGACACATGTGGATTACGGGGATTATGGGGATTAAAATTCATGAAGAGATTTAGGTTGGGATGCAAAGCCTAATTTTATCAAGTGGAAATGAGCTTGAGACCCAAAACACAGCTTGTATAGTAGAGTACTGGACAGGGGGATCAGAGACTGAGACGAGATTAGCTCTGGCTGAGAAGAGATCACAGGGTTTGATTACAAGGTAAACAGATCACAGGGGAATGATCACAAGGTAAACAGACTGATCACAAAATAGAGACCTCCAAGACAAGCAGCAGGAAGAAGCCCAGGTGGCAATGGCAAGTGGCAAAAGTTTTCAATGTAGAATAGCATGAATCCCTTTATATTTCAAAAAAATCCCCCTTATTTTTGCTGCTCTGAGAAAAGTGAATTGTAAGAAAGCAAAAGAAGGAGTAGAGTTTGGTAAGGAATTCATATAAGGGCAGTCTAATTAAAAGATGAGGACTGAAAAGTTGCAAGTAGTGAAGATAGTGAAAAGAAGGACTCAGGATTTTGGAGGAACATTTGACAAAACTTTCTAAAGGAGAACACTACCCAGAGTTTTGGTCCAAGCAATTTGTTTGATGAGGGAGTGATTTACTGACATAGAGAAAACTAAAGGAGAAAGAGAATTATGGGCCTGGGTATTGATTCTGAAGTTCTGCTTTCTATGTGTTTATTTTAAGATGCTTATTAAACATCCAATGGAGACGATGGGGAGAAGCTAATGATACAAAGTTGGAATTCATTCATATATAGTTGGTATGTAAAGCTATGGGCTGGATGAGATCAGCAAAAAGAGCTGGGATGGGGAGCAAAGAGAGAAACAGGTGGAGGGGGAGTAAACTAGGGAGAGACAAGGCTTGCTCTGAGTATTGGGACCCTGTAACATTTAGCAGCTGAGGAAGCAAGGACCCAGCAAAACACACTAATGAGAGGTGGCCAGAGAGGTAGAAGAGGAAATGTAAATTTATCTGTTCCATACATAGAACCTTGACAGACAACATTTTAACAACAATAACAAAATGTAGTACTCTCTGGTATTTTCACATACATCATTGCTATCACAGCAAGTTCACTGACCTACATCACAGAACTACTTATTTTCTGATTAAGGCCAGGTTAAAGAATGCTTCTCAGGAATAATATCTATAGTTGTTTTGATTTGACAACAAAATCAAGCAACCTCACCTCATAAGCACATTTTCCTGCAGGTCATCAATCACTGTACCCATTTGTGGAGCACTGCAACATAATCATGAAGCTCGTCTGCCTGTTTCACCATTACAACTTCTGGCTTTGGTGTTACAATGCTCCATAATTCTTTGCTGTTATAATATTCAAGGTCACTCTTCGTGATAAATAAATTAAAGATTAATTTTATGCACTATGTTATTATGGAATTCCACAATCTTGCAAAAGTTCTGGTCTGCATTTTTCGTCTTCTTTCCATTTCACAGAAACACCAAACTTTACCATGACTTGCCAATTTATTGTGAATCTTTCTTTACAAATTCAGTTAACAAACAATACTTATTCCAGTTTTTGAGGCACATTAATTTTAGCTCCGCTCTAATAACACTATACATTCTTATTTCATAAAACTCAATTTATTAACTTTCATATTCTCTCTGACCTACCTCCAACTCAGGCAGAAAACAATTATTTTTACGTAAACATTGATTTACTCTTGTATTACATTGTTTTAGTCTTCTACTTGACTGTGAACATATCATGGGTAGAACTGTGTCTTATTAATCTTTATATTTCTTTTTTCTAGCACAGTGCATAGTGCAAAGTGCATGTTCAATAACTACTGAGTAAAATAATTAATTGATTAGATTAGTTTAGACTGTTAATTTTTGGTTTGACAAAAATGATAAAGATATCAAACAACTGCTTTACTATATTTTAATATAGATTCTTAGGAGAAATTTTTGCATTCCTGAGATTCATCAGTTCCTCATGTTTTCTTACTTCCTCTTTATTTGGGTATGTAATTTTCATTAGTATGCTAGTATAGCAACAAACCATTTTGAGTGACAACTGCTAGTCGATTAACCTATGATGTTTTCAATTCTCCAGAACTAGCTCTGTGATTGAAATCAATAGTAACATTAAATGGTTGATTCTCTCTTTTGCCAATGCAACAAATACTTCTTGTATTTTAACAAAATGTATAGCCCCTATAATAAATATGGAAAGACATTGCACATTCCATACTATTATTTTTCCTAGTCAACTTTATAATTACTTCAACAGTCAATTCATCATTTTTATTCAACTGAACTCAGCTCAAACAGTTAAATATTTAGATCTGATTCTTTTTTCAAGAAAAATTAGAACTATGTTTGAGAGATGTGTCTGTCTGATAAGTGCAGCGGCAATCTAAAGGGCACAAAATACTTGACTTTAGGAAATTATGTGTGGGGCATCACGTAATATGTACAGAGGATTGCTTCTGAATACATTGCCAATGTGGCAGACACTTTTCATCCCCAAACAACATGAGTTATCAATCTATGCCCATGTAATTTCTTCTAGATAAAGAAGGATACTGTCTGTTTATAGACCATCAAGACTTTATTCCAGTGGGAAAAGCTGGGCCTACAGCACTTTTTGTTCTGACTTTTTGCATAAAAGTCATGTCAAACAGAATACATGGACACTATGTCTTGAATTTTCTGGTCCTTTAGGTCAGGTGAACGTCTTATGAATTCCATTGAATAAGGTCTCAGGAATTCAAGTTGAATAAGTGACTTGGCAAACTGCTAATTGGGAAGTTAATATCAGAGTTGTATAGCTTCGAGGTGAATTCACATAATTGATTAAAAAAAAAAGGAAAGGAAACAAAAAAAATAAGAATCCCAAGTATTTATCCATTGGTCTCTCTTAGCAATAACAGACACAGGCAGACTTTTAAATTTACTTTTTCCTCTTTATCCTGAGATAATCAACAATTTATTTTCTTTTCAGTATACCTTTTTTGTCCATTTTATGTGATTTGCTATAACTTCTTTTTTACTTACCTCTGAAGTAGAATTTGATTGAGAAGATAAATATAGCTAAATTCCAAATACCATTCCCTCTTGTTTTACAACAATTAGAACACATTAAAATGAAGACTTGATTCATGACACAGCACCTAACAAACTGTTAAAAAACAGTATAATTACTATAATCTCAAAACTAAAAATAGTTTACTTATTACATTCTTAAAATCACTATATGCTAATATAGAAATTTTATTTAATGGCACTCAACAACAAAATCAACACTACTCATGAGAATTCATTCAAATAGAGTGTTGTCAAATGCATGACAAAAGAATGCAACTGATTAAAGAAAAACAGTAATTGTAAACATGTTAATATATCTCTAATATTTGACATTATCCAGACATCTTTTATATTTGATTTTAGATATAACAGATTTATTCTTAAAATCCAATAGTTGACTAATCATGGCATCTTTCAGGTTTTATCTACAAGTGGAAAAATTTGGTATCCATATTTAACACAAAAAATAACTAGAGTCTTACATAGATTAAGGTGTTGAAATGATTGTCCCAGAAGCACCAGAGCATAATGAGCAATAAACCCACGTTCTTTTATATGCAGAAAAATACTGAGACCAAAGAAACCTGTACTGACAGCCTTTGATGATGGGAAAATGGAAAATTGCAATAAAAAAAATTATTGACCTTGACTATGCATGTTTTCACTTTGTTAGGAATTCACAGCTGTTAAAGGTAATGATCGTTCTTATGGTCACATATGGCATAACCAAGATTATGTTATGAATATGCTTCTGATGTCATGAATGAATTCTGTGCACCATAAACCAATCTTTAAAAAAAGACTATTGTCTTAATATGTGAATTTAAATTATCATATCTTTTATAAAATTTTTGTTTTTTAATGACTAAAATTAATTTCCTACAATTGACATATATAAAGATAACTTATCAAAATGTAAACTGATTTTGTTAATAAAAAGTGTGAATATTCTAACATGACCTCATTAATTGTGATACCTTGGACGTTAAATCTTGCGGTTTTGAACAAACAACAAATATTTCTTAAAATATTTTTGGAGCCTTAAAAATAAAACATTGCTGAAATTTATGATATTATTATACTTATTTCCTTATGTGGAATTTAAACATAAAACACAGACTGAAGATATGACCATTTATATGATGATAAATAGTGTTGTGAGTGTTAATCATGTTATTCATGGTCATCACTTGATAACTTTAATATTCAAAGAGACCTGATTGTTAATTGCAACTCTTACATATATTTTGAATTACAAATGATATATTGGTTTGCATGTTTCTTAGAAATGTTGGTATGTGCTGTCCAAATTCCTGCAAACATCATGTTAAGGTGGGGCTGACCTTCTTGGGCATTTCCTGATGTCCTGTTGTCACTGTATGCCTGCAGCACTGTTTCCCTGTTTCATCATGTGGGGAGGTGGGAGTAGGTAATGGAGCTTCTGTTAAAAAAATTAGAAAACTTTAAAAAATAGTTCATTTACTTTAGACTTTCCAAAAAACACTGGACTGGACATGGTGCAGGAGGTTATGAATGGATGGGGAGGCATTCGTCATGAAGGAATAGGATATACTGATGGAAATTACACATGGATGGAAGAGAAGAGTGAACACAGAACATGTCTAGGAAGGAAGTGCATGTGAAAGACCACGTATTGTGAGTGAAAACATAAGAAGTATGAGTATTGATCAGTCAATCAATCAAGTCTTCAAGAACATTTACTGAGTACATATTCTTTCTGAAAACAGTATACCATAGCAAATCACTGGATGCTTTGTAGGTTACCACTGACTCATCATTCAATATTGTTTTTGTCTTGCAGCCCAATGAGTTATTAATATAGACATATTAGGACCAGCTCTAAGGACAGTCATCAGGAAGAGACAGTCAAGCATATCACAGAAACGGATATAAACACGCAACTAATGTGGTAGTATAGAGTAGCCTCTGGAAATGAAGGCTATCCTCCAATATTTAAAGGGATACCTTGCATCAGGAAACCTAAGCTTGCTGAACAAAATGTGAATGGGCTGAGCCAACCTCAGGGAAACATACTCTGGGGTCATGGGAACTAAAGACTACACTAAATCTACATGACAAAGGAGGTATTAAAGCAGAGGCTAAGTGATCTCTTGATGTTGATACTATAAGGATTCTAAGTTCCAGAGGGCAGTTGGAGCTTGGCCTGTGAGGCTGCACTCAATTCAGAAATGCAAGATTGTTGCCGCCGGAATGTGTGGCCCCTCATTCCCACCTTACACTTTGGTAACATGCTCCCAAAACACTACAGTTTCTGCATTTGAGACTTGTTCAAACGAGGTATGAATAAAAGAGTAAGAACTTAGATCATCCAGCTTGCTCAATTACTGACTCATTCTTTGTTAGCTACTTGTAGAGCACTACGCTGTGTCAGTACTAGGAATGCAGAAATGAGTGAAAAAGTACTCTTCCTCAAGGAGCTCAAAAGAGTCAGTTTGGGGTGGGGGTTGAGAAAGGGCACGTTATTCTCAGCTTCTTGCTGCTTCTTATGTTATTGACTTTCTTCATCAACAATAACTTGAATATTTAGTAAAGAAAAGCAAAATTATACATTTGAATAAGCTCAAGGAGTTTAACTTCATCATTCATCCACACATGAATATAGTCAATAAACTCTCACTGGGAACTGAGTATGTGCTAGGAACCCTCCTGGTTACTGGGAACGTGACAATGAATAAAACGCCCAGAATTCTCACCTACATATTAATTATATACACATGGATGACAGAAAACACTTCTGTTAAATTATAACTAAATTATAACATTTGACTGCAAAATACTAATTAAAAATAATAATCTAATGAATAGAGTATGCAGGCATTATTTAATTATCATACAGTATTAATTTTATGGTTAAAACATTTAACAAGACCAACAATCAAAAACAAAAACTGTCAAATTTTCTAATCATATTTCACTTTAAATCTACAACGAATACTCCTGACATTATTAAAAAAATTAGACATTCATAAAATTATAATGCTGAAGCAGAAAAGCAAAAAATGGCAAACACTATTTTCTCTATTTTAATACTTCAGAAGGAAATTACATATCTCTGTATCCACCTCCACTCTCCCAAAAAAAAAATTTTATCAAAAAAAAAAAAAAAAAAGAAAAGAAAGAAAAAGAAATCCATAGAAAGTGGCCTAAGGGCCTATAGAAGAGAATATAGATTTTCCTCTTGAACTGTGTTCTTCATATCGAGACACTAAAGAATGGTGGTAGAAGTGTGGTTTCTATAATCAGACTCATTAGCTATGTAATCCCAGGCAAGGTACTTGGGGGCTATTTCTCTGTACTTCTGTTTCCTTATCTTTGAAAAGAGGGCTAAAAAATGTACTAGCTTCATAGGGTTAATGTGAGAGTTAACTAAGTTAATATATGGAAAGAATTTCACACTTTTAAAAGCACATAAGTGCTTACAAATGTTTGCTATTTTTTTTTCCGTTATACAGTCAACAGAATAGGGAAGTAACAATGCATGTCAGAATCTTTACTGACAGAGGTTCTCAGAGCACTTGAATGAAGAATTCTGAACCAAGAACTTGGGCTTTGTAATTAATCTTCAGTGTCAGATATTCTCCGGGCAATACAGCAGCAGAGCAAGCTGCTATAGCTGGTGCCTATATGTTCCTCCTCATGGCAAAGTGAAAGAGCCAAATTCTGCATGTACTGCCAGAATCCCCCAGCTTCATAATTGCCACTACTTTTTCCATTTTGACAGTATAGATTCTGTTCTGCTGGTTGGCTGAGATTGTCTGGCTATGCACAGTGGAAAAACTATTACCAAATCATTCCAGCCATAACTTGTGAACTTATTCAGCAATAGAACATTCCTGCCAACTACAAGCTGAACAATTCCTTCTTTTGTTCCTCTCATGTATATTAGACACAGTCTCAGACAAGGCTAATCAAACCAAAGTGGAAAAGGCTTGAAAATTATCTGGTGAATGTTTGAAGTAAATCATTAAAGTGTTTTCAATTATCCAAAGTATGATGATCCATACTACAAGGAAAATGTCTGAAATTTAGGCTTGGCATTGGCCATTGGAAAATAACAGAAAATGATTTGAATTTGTTGGAGGGGAGTGTACCAAACCTGAATTCGTGACAAATGTGCATTTACATTTTTGGCCTGTGCAGAATTAATCAACATCCCAAATCTGTTTTAAAAACTCCACCGTAAGCATTTGCTTATTCTTCCAATAAGAAGATACAAAAAAGCCCACAGTATGAGAACATAACTTGAGTAGGTTTTTGAGGAATCATGATAGGTTTTACACTCAACTTGCCACATTTCCTTGTTTCCTTTATGCTCAATGACATATATTTTTAAAACATGTCTCACGTGCAGGGTCACAGTTTGATTACAGAAGAAAAACATGTATCTGTATTAAGCCATCAGATTTATCTGGAGATCAAACAAACACCCATAAACTACAAGCTGCAAATACTTACCAATTGAATCTGTGTGTGTGAAAATGCTTTACTAAGGAAAGCTCTGTTCAAATGCTAATCATTATCCAACTGACTACATTAAAAGTTCCTTCAGAGAATTAATAACCTCTTACTCATCTTTATAACACCATCCTCTGAGAATCAAAGGAAATTTGTTTATTGCCTAAACACAACTAAAGCTCAGCTCTTAGGCTAAACAGCAGAGGGCTATTGGATTCTCAGTCCAGATTTCTTAAAGGAGCCATATATGCCTGGATATAAAAAATTGAAATGCAAGGTTCAGTCTCATTATTAGTGGCCATCATCTAAACGATGTGTTAGTGCCTTAAAGGAAAAGTATTTTAAAAGTACTAGAATATAAGTATGCTGTTGAAATTGCATAGAAGACCCAAGAAAAGCCTACAATACAAATGCTTAAAACTGGATTTAATTATATAATAGATCATATATGTAAACCAATCATATGAATTAAATAAAATACTAAAAATTTTTATTATGTTCTATTTTTTCCCAAATGGAAGCCTACATATAAGTTATTTGATAATGTCTTTGTGGGGTTCAAGACATGAATCTTAGTAATATGCTTAAGTAATTATTGAAAAATACAGAGCTTGACTTTCTATAATAATACATAATAGGATTTTAAAAAATGTAAACAGAAAAAAAATAAATTATGAAGCTTTAAATTTTATTTCCACTGAAGTTACCAAAAAAGCAATGATAAAATATGATATAAAATCTAGTATTTCTTTTTTATAAAATACCAATTCTGGTTTGAATTATGTATTCTATGAATATTCAGAAAATCAGCAGTTAAATAACAAACACAACCCTTGTTTTAAAATTCACGCTTAATTGCTAGGTTTCCTTCATTTTACTTGACATTATAGCCATGTTCCATGTGTAAACTCATGGGCAAATATTTGCATTATAAGTTTTTTCAATTTCTGCTGAACTGCCAACTGTATGCTTTGCTCATAATCTTTAAAACATATACCTCATGCTTATTTGTCTTTGCCCAATAAGTGTTTGAGTTACAGAAAATAGCACAGAGTGACTTCTTTATTAATCCATCACATTAGCAAAATAAAAATGTGAGTTTTCAGGATTAAAATATGATCATCCCATTTGAGTGCCCAGTCTCAAGGGAATACATGCATTAATACTCAAATTAAGAATTTTATGATTTGTGCAAGTAATATTATATACATATTTCACTAAATAATGCAATAAAAAGAATTACATTTATTAGCATTTTAGAATACAAACTAGTATATCTGCAAAAAGAATCAAATCAAATAATATGTATGTGTATTAGTCTGTTTTCATGCTGCCGGTAAAGACATACCTGAGACTGGAAAGAAAAAGAGGTTTAATTGGACTTATAGTTCTACATGGCTGGGGAGGCCTCAGAATCATGGAAGGACCCAAAAGACACTTCTTACATGGTGGTGGCAAGAGAAAATGAGGAAGAAGCAAAAGTAGAAGCGCCTGATAAACCCTTCAGATATCGTAATACTTATTCACCGTCACGAGAATAGCATGGGAAAGACTGGCCCCCATGATTCAATTACCTTCCCCTGTCCCTCCCACACCATGGGGGAATTCTGGGAGATACAATTCAAGTTGAGATTTGGTGGGCAGAACACAGCTAAACCATATCATTCCACCCCTGGCCCCTCCAAATCTCATGTCCTCACATTTCAAAACCAATCATGCCTTCCCAACAGTCCACCAAAGTCTTAACTCATTTCAGCATTAACCCAAAAGTCCACAGTTCCAAGTTTCACCTGAGACAAGGCAATTCTCTTCTACCTATGAGCCTGTAAAATCAAAAGCAAGCTAGAAACAATGTTTCTTCCTAGAAACAGTGGAGGTACAGGTATTGGGTAAATACAGCCATTCTAAATGGGAGAGATTGGCCAAAACAAAGGGGTTACAGGGCTGTGCAAGTTTGAAATCCAGCGGAGCAAATTTTAAAGCCCCAAAATGATCTCCTTTGACTCCAGATCTCACATCAAGGTCACGCTGATGCAAGAGGTGGGTTCCCATGGTCTTGGGCAGCTCCGCCCCCATGGCTGTGCAGGGTACAGCCTCCCTCTTGGCTGCTCTCACCAGCTGGTATGGAGTGTCTGTGGCTTTTCCAGGTGCACAGTGCAAGCTGTCGGTAGAGCTACCATTCTGGGGTCTGGAGAATGGTGGCCCTCTTCTCACAGCTCCACTAGGCATTGCCCCAGTAGGGACTCTGTGTGGGGGGCTCCAACTCCACATTTTCCTTCTGCACTGCCCTAGCAGAGGTTCTCCATGTGGGCCCCACCCCTGCAGCAAACTTTTGCCTGGGCATCCAGACATTCCCGTACATCTTCTGAAATCTAGGCAGAGGTTCCTAGACCCCAATTCTTGACTTCTGTGTACTTGCAGGCTCAACACCACATGGAAGCTGCCAAGGCTTGGGGTTTCCACCCTCTGAAGCCACAGTTTGAGCTTTACATTGGCCCCTTTCAACCAAGGCTGGCACGGCTGGTACACAGGGCACCAAGTCCCTAGGCTGCACACAGCATGGGGACCCAGGGCCCAGCCTACAAAACCACTTTTTCCATCTGGGCCTCTGGGCCTGTGATGGCAGGGGCTGCTGTGAAGGTCTCTGACATAGCCTGGAGACGTTTTCCCCATGGTCTTGGGGATTAACATTAGGCTCCTTGTTACGTATGCAGATTTCTGCAGCTGGCTTGAATTTCTGCCCAGAAAATGTGATTTTCTTTTCCATCACATAGTCAGGCTGCAAACTGTCCAAACTTTAACGCTCTGCTTCCCTTATAAAACTGAATGCTTTTAACAGCACCCAAGTCACCACTTGCACACTTTGCTTCTTAGAAATTTCTTCTGCCAGATACCCTAAATCATCTCTCTCAAGGTCAAAGTTCCACAAATCTCTAGGGCAGGGGCAAAACACCACCAGTCTTTTTGCTAACACGTAACAAGAGCCACCTTTATTCCAGTTCTCAGCAAATTTCTCATCTCCATCTGAGACCACCTCAGCCTGAATTTTGTTGTCCATATCGCTATCAGCATTTTGGGCAAAGTCATTCAACAAGTCTCTAGGAAGTTCCAAACTTTCCCACATTTTCCTGTCTTCTTCTGAGTCCTCCAAACTGTTCCAACCTCTCTGCCTGTTACCTAGTTCCAAAGTCACTTCCACAATTTCAGGTATCTTTTCAGTAATACCCCACTCTATTGGTACCAATTTACTGTGTTAGTCTGTTTTTATGCTACTGATAAAGACATAGCCAACACTGGGAAGAAAAAAAGGTATAATTGGACTTATAGTTCCACATATCTGGGGAGGCCTCAGAATCATGGTGGGAGGTGAAGGGCACTTCTTACATGGCAGTGGCAAGAGAAAATGAGGAATAAGCAAAAGCAGAAACCCCTGATAAACCTATTAGATCTCGTGATCTCTTATTCACTATCGTGAGAGTAGCATGGGAAAGACTGGCCCCCGTGATTCAATTACCTCCCCTGGGTCCCTCCCACAACACGGGAAAATCCTGAGACATGTAACTCAAGTTGAGATATGGGTGGGGACATAGCCAAACCATATCAGTATGTATTGAAACTAATTTTAGCTTTAAGTTTTATTTATTTTAAATAAATATTTATTATTTAATAAATACACTTTATTAAATTCATATAATTTAATAAATTATATTAATTTAAGTATAATTTAAATTAATATTGCCTGAAAACTAAAAACCCATGTTGTGACATTAGGCATTCAGAGTCTAAATAAAGAAAGAGTACAGTATTGATAGAGAATATTTTCAGGCAGTATTTAATTTTGGACCAGTTATTTCTGTAGAGCAAGAGAATTTATTCAACTGGCACTAGCAAACAGATGAAGAGCAATGGAGGATACTTCCCCCCACCGAAAAGGAAATGAAATGCTTTTGCACCTGCCTCTTCAGGATAACGGTATAGGTGCTAAATGGGCCCGTGAAGGGTGCCACACAAAACTGGGATTAGACTGTGGCAGGACTGCCTGGAGATAAACGTCCTTATTTATGAAATGTAGGCAGAGCAGGAAGATAAGCCTCAAAACCAAAGAGACTAGCACTTCAGGAGGTGCCTGAGAATTTGGAAAGCTAAGTGCGGTGCAAAAAGTAATTCTGGGACCATGGGAACAGAACTGACATTGTGGCTGCTTTCCTTGAAGTTTAGACTATTATTATTCCAGAAACAGTCCAGAGAAATGGGAAAGAAAATGGAGTAACAATTTCCAGACAGTAAAAATGACATGTTTATTTTTCTTTTCTGTCTTTTCATTGCATGAGTAATGTAGGTTATATGCAAGTATCACTCACACATATCAAATTCTCAAAATAACATGTTTTAAAAATGTGTAAGTGTTTCAGATTTCACCTAAAGAAGAAAATAATTCAATAAGATAGCCATTATTTTACTTTAATATTACTGAGAAACTTTTCATTGTCGAAAATCTTAGCTAAATGGCTCTTCATCTTGAGATCATTTCTGTTTCTATAATAATTTGGCAATGATCTCAAAACAATTTGAAAAGAAAAGCTAAGTAAACAACTCAATAAAGAATATTCCTTTTTTAAAAATTTTTTTTTTAGAAAGTAGGATAGAGCTAACCAGGGGCTCTAGGGAGAGAGAAGTGGGGAGTCCTTATTTATTGATTATGGAGTTTTTGTCTGGGGTGATAAAAATTGTTTGGAAATAGATACTGATGATGGTTGCACAGCATTGTAAATGTAAATGATGCCACTGAATGGTACATTTAAAAATGAATAAAATGTCAAATTTTACTTATATATATCTAACCATAATTTTTAAAAATTAATAATGCAATATACCAAAAACAATTGAATTGTACAAATAAGTGAACTGCAGGGTATGTGGGAGTATATCTGAATAAAGTTGTTGAAAAAAAAAGAACATCTCTTCTTATGAAATAAAAGAAAATGTTTTTAGAAGATGTGGTCATTTTAGGATGAATAATCAGCTCTCTTTTGAATACGAAGAGTTTCAAGGATTAATTTTCTTAACAGAATACCAAGACCATCAGGAGAAACCCTCTTTGGGACACCTTTCTGATTCTGAAAGAAGTATAAAGGAAATGAAGACCGAAGTATAAAGGAAATGAAGACCTCAGTTTATATTCCAGAAATCCACCAGAAATAGGTTAATCCCAGCTTATTTTCGAAGGTCAAAATACAAATAGAACCTGGATCATGGCAGGAATTTAAAAAAGCAATGAGAGATGAAACACCGTCTAGGGGGTTAACCAGATCTAATGATTGCTGCAATACACTTTTTAAAAGAAAAATAATTCTATAGTTGAAAATAAGTTAGAAAAAAATCTAGCCTAATAGAAAAATTCCTGTTATGAATAGATTTAAATCATTTATTTGGTATATTAAGTCACAAATAAGAACTCTAGCCTTTTTTTCTAACTGCTAAAGTAGTTGCAACATTTGGACTGTTAAGCAGTAAACAAGTAATCATCTTGTGAACATGTCTATATTTTTGTCTTTATGTTTGCATTAGTTGGATAGTTTTGCATTATTCACTTCTGCCTCTTATGTTGAAAACTAATGTAATCAAATTAAATTCTGAATACCAGTGCTGGTTTCAACATTCCTACATAGGAAGAGCTCAGGGGCATCAATCTGCTCAGGGACCTAGTCTAATAAATCTGTTTTACATAAGTAGCACACTCTTTTTACTTCAAGACTAGGCTCATTTTAAAAGGCCAAGAGCAACGAAAAAAATGGATATTATGCAGGGAAGGCAAAATTTTACTCCATTCTTGTGCTATCAGAAACCTCTGGATTTCATTTCTTATAAACCAAGATTCAAAACTAAGTGCTGGGTATATTATCAGGAAACAAAAGGAAAGGGCTTCCACCAAAATATGCTCCCCTCTTCCTGTGACCTTAAGATGCTGAAGCTCAAGAACATGTAGCCAAATTATTTCCATTGCCTGCATGCCTGTGACTCCAGCATCACAACTCCTAGATTTGATATCTACTGGATGGATAAATTGGAGAAAGTCGTGATTCAAAGATATAAAAGAGTAGAACTCTACATACAAGGTTTGCTACTATTGATTTATTTCTTTATTTACAAGGGGAGATTAAAAAAAAGAAGGGTGAGAATGTCTTAGAATGTGTCAGGTATATAAGATTCATCTTGTTTTATCAAAAATGAGTTTACCAGAATTGAAACACTCACACAAACACACATGGTTATCACCTCTAGGAAAACAAAAGCACCACCACCACAAACAACCCTAATGATAAGATTTTTTTTTCAAGTTAGTAAAAATCTTTCTTAGTATGCTTTGGGAAGTGGAGAAGCTCTGGTAGGAAATTGCTATCCTTGTGAAGCAGATGGTAGAAAAGATTTTGAAACCAAGATCAACCATGGAAATGATTACAAGACTCTAATGAAGCATAGATCAAGGGTCCCTACTGCAGCATCCATATTCACAGCACAACTCTGGGAGCCAACTCCATCTGCACCCATGAATCTCTGTAATTCTCAAATGAAATCTTCTTTATATAGTAAAATATCTTCAAAGAAACTATTTATCTCCAAAAGAGAAAAACATAAAAAGTTTGTTTTAGTTTCTTCCATTTACAGCTGACAAGATAAAAATAGTTATCATATTTCACATCATATCATTGAATGTGAAACAGAGTATATAAAAAACAAACACTAAGATCTCTTCACTTTTCAGTAAAAGGGGAAAAAAGACAGCCTCTCTTTGAAAAAGAAATCTAAGATATATATTCTACATCTGCCTACATGAACAATGTTGTTTTAAATTATGGGTACATTTTACTGTCTCAAATAGTTTATTGAAACAATTGAATTGGGAACCACTATTTATAGGTTTCAATGAGGCGATTACAAAAAAAAATTCACTGATACTTAAAATTTCTACATGCAACAATCTAATAGAATAAAATGATCTTTTCCAAATGGATCCAAAAAGCACTGCCCATGTTTTGGAAATTATTTGGATCTTTGCATTGTTAAATGCCTATAGCCAATAATACATAATATTAGGTAAGGGAAACAGTATGGCATACCCCAATTTTTTTTTTTAAGAAAGGGTCTTGCTCTGTCTCCCAGGCTGGAGTACAGTGGTGATCATAGCTCACTGTAGCCTTGTGTTTCGTGGCCCAAGTGATCCTACCACCTCAGCCTGCTGAGTAGCTGGCACCACAGGCATATTCTACCATGCTTGACCGATTTCTTTTTTCATTTTCTGCAGAGATGAGGTCTCACTATGTTGCCCAAGCTTGACTCTAACTCCTGGTCTCAAGTAATTCTCCCATCTTGGCCTCTCAACATGCTGGGATTATAGGCAAGAACCACTGCACTCAGCTGGTTTATCACATTTGTCCTAAGAGCATCAACTGATGACCAAAGTGACTTTAGGTGATTAATGAAAAAAATCATTAATAATTATGTATTTATTTTAATATTACTTAGAAAAACATAACTAGTTTACCAAACCAGTAATAAAAATTTTCATTTTCAAAGAAATATATTTAAAAGTCAATATAAAAAAGTATATAAAAATGCAGGTGATAAATCAATGTGATTAAAAAATACATATTTGAAATATAAATGACTAATGTGTGGGAAATTTCTTTTATATAAGTCAAATAGTCAAAAAGCCATATAACTGGATGCCTACTGCTCTGTTTCCTCAGCTCTGGGAGTCCTGAGGAGGCTCCATCACAGCCTCTGTTGCCCTGTTACCTGTAGGTACTGGGAGATATGTAGAAAGGATGCTGGCACATTCTGGAAACCAGAAAATGGCATTATGTCAAGACTTAACAACTCTGAAGTTTCTTTGAAGTTCTACCCTTGCCAGCACACACGTGCCCATGACTGTCCCACCATCATGCAGCATGCACATGCCCCACTGCCACACCAACACAAATGCACCCACAACTGCCCCACCACTGTTCACTCACCTGCATCCCCCCTGCCTCTGTTGGTGTGCACTTGCCCACAGCCCCCTGAACACAACATACTGCCTGGCTGGAGTGCTTTTGCTGGCAGCCCCATTGGAGTGTTGTTGCCAATGGACTGTGAATGCATGGCCCCCTACTAAGTGCAGGAGGTGCTTGACCTCCAGGGACCAGAAAACAAAGCTACATTCCTGGTCCTAGCCTGCCAGGGTAAGAGCATGCAGCCCAGGAGTGCTGAGCTGAGCCTTGGCCCTGGAAAGCATACAGAAATGAAGCAATAAACTAAACCCAACTGATATCACAATCAAACCCTAAAGGGCATCAAAGAATATAAAAGCCAAAAGCCCCATCCAAAAAACTTCAAAGATTAAAGGTAGATCAGTCCACACAGATGGGAAGGAGTCAGCATAATGATTCTGACAACTCTAAAATCCAGAGTATCTTCTAACCTCCACGTGACCACACTAGCTGTGCAGCAATGATTCTTAACCAGATGGAAATGGCTGAAATGGCAACACAGAATTCACAATCTAGATGTCAAGGAAGCTCAACAAGATACAGGACAAAGTTTAAACCCAATCAAAGGAAATCAGTAAAACAATTCAAGCATTGAAAGACAACATAGACATTTTAAGAAAGAACCAAACTGAACTTGTGGAAATAAAAATTTCACTATAGGAATTTAATAATGCAATTTGAAGCATTAATATACTAAGCTGAGGAAAGAATCTCAAAGACTTCTCCTATGAATCAACTCAAGTAGAAAAAAATAAAAATTTTTTGAAATGAACAAACCTCCAAGAAATACAGGATTATCTGAAGAGACCACACCTATAACTCATTGGGATTCCTGAAAGAGATGGAGAAACAGCAAGCAAATTGGAAATCATATTTGAGAATACTGTCCACAAAACCACAAAAATTTCCCTAACCTTGCTAGACAGGCTGACGTGCAAATTCAGGAATTTCAGAGAATGCCTGTAAGATACTACACAAGACAACCATTCCAATGCATATAGTCATCAGATTGTCCAAGGTCAATGTGAACAACAACAACAAAAATCTTAAAGGCAGCGACAGAGAAGGGACAGGTTATATACAAAGGTAATGTCAGCAGTCTAACAGTGAATTTTTCAGGAGAAACCTTACTAGCTAGAAGAGATTGGGAGCCTATATTCAGCATCCTTAACAAAAAGCATT
The DNA here is from genome assembly GCF_000001405.40 of Homo sapiens. NCBI lineage: Eukaryota > Metazoa > Chordata > Mammalia > Primates > Hominidae > Homo > Homo sapiens. The sequence continues at coordinate 120,604,826 of NC_000005.10, read as the reverse complement.
CCAACAAAGAATTTCATATCCACCCAAACTAAGCTACAAAAGTGAAGGGGAAATAAAATCCATTTCAGACAAGTAAATGCTAAGGTAATTGTTTACAACCAGATCTGCCTTACAAGAGGTCCTTAAGGGAGAGTTAAACACAGAAACTTCCACCACAAAAACATATTTAAGTACATACCCCACTGACACTATAAAGCAACTATACAATCAAGGCTACATAATAACCAACTTACAACATGATGACAGGTTCAAATCCTCACATACCAATATTGAACTTGAATGGAAATGGACTAAAAACTCCACTCAAAAGGCATCAAGTGGCAAGTTGAATAAAGAAGCAAGACCAACTGTATGCTGTCTTCAATAGACCCATATCATCTGCAGTGACCCTACAGGCTGAAAATAAAGGGATAGAGAAGGATCTATCAAGCAAATGGAAAACAAAAAGGACAGGGCTTGCTATTCCTGTTTCAGACAAAACAAACTACATCGTCAATGATAAAAAAGGACAAGGAAGGATATTACATAATAATAAAGGGTTCAATTCAAAAAGAAGACTTACATATCCTAGAAATATATGCTCCCACCACAGGAGTACCTAGACTCATGAAACAAGTTCTTAGAGACCTACAGAGAATTAGATAACCACAAAATAACCATGGGAGACTTCAAACTCCACTGACGGTGTTAGACAAATCATGGAAGCAAAAAATTAAAAAAAAAAAATTTGGGACCTAAACTCAGCATTTGAACAAATGGACCTAACAGACATCTACAGAATACTACACCCAACAACAACAGATTATACATTCTTCTTATCTTCAGATGACATATACTCTAAGATTGACCACACACTCAGCCACAAAGCAATTCTCCACACATTCAAAAAAACCAAAATCATCCCAAGAACACTCTTAGACTACGGCACAATAAAAACAGAAATCAATAACAATAATATCTCTCAAAACAATATAATTACATTGAAATTAAATAACCTGCTCCTGAACTACTTTTGTGAAAAAAAGTAATTAAGACAGAAATAAAAATTATTTGAAACTAATTAAAACAAAGATGCAACATACCAGAGTCTCTGATACACAGCTAAAGCAGTGTTATGAGGAAAGTATATTGTACTAAATCCCTACATTAAGAAGTTAGAAAGTTATCAAGTTAACCTAACATCACACCTAGAGGAACTAGAAAAACAAGAGCAAACCAACCCAAAAGCAAGCAGAAGTAAAGAAATGACAAAAATCAGATCTGAAATGAATAAAATTGAGACAAGAATATCCACATAACAGAACAATGAAACCAAATGTTTGTTCTTCAAAAGAATAAGCAAGATTGATAGACTGCTAGCTAGGATGATAAAGAAAGAGAGAAGATTCAAACAAACATAATCAGAAATGGCAAAGGTGACATTAACACTAATCCCTCAGAAACATAAAAAGCCATCAGAGACTAATATGAACACCTCAATGCAGACAAGCTAGAAAATCTAGAAGAAATGGATAAATTTCTATAAACATACAACCTTCCAAGATTAAAACAGGAACAAACTCATATCTTGAACAGACTAATTACGAGTTCCAAATTGCATGTGTAATACAAAACCTACCAACCAGGAAATGTCCTGGGCCAAACAAATTCACAGAAAATTCTACCAGACAGGCAAGGAAGAGTTGGTTCCAACTATACTGAAATTATTCCAAAAAATCAAAGAGAAGGAACTCCTCCCCACCTCATTCTATGAAGCCATTATCATTCTGATACTAAAACTTGGCAGAGACACAGCAAAAAAGGAAACTGCAGGCCAATATTCCTAATGAACATAGATGCAAACATCCTCAACAAAGTACTAGCAAACTCACTGCAACAGCACATCAAAAAGCTAATCCACCATGATTAAGTAGGCTTTATCCCTGAGATGCGATGATGGTTTGAAACACGAAAATCAGTAAATGTAATTCATCACACAAACAGAACTAAAAATATAAACCACATAATCAACTGAATAGACTCAGATATGGCATTGATAAAATTTGACACCCATGCATGTTTAAAACCCTCAACAAATTAGGCATCAAAGGAACATACCTTTGATGATAATAAGAGTCACCTATGACAAACCCAAAGCCAACATCATAATCAATGGGCAAAAGCTGAAGCATTTTTCTTGAAAACCAGCACAAGACAAGAATGCCACTCTCATCACTCCTATTCAGCATAATACAGGAAGGCCTAGCCAGAGCCATCAGACAAGAGAAAGAAATAAATGGCTTTCAAATAGGAAAAGAGGAAGTCAAACTATCTCTCTTTGCTAATGATATAATTCTATACCTAGAAAATCCTAAAGACTCTGCCAAAAGGCTACTGGAACTGATAAACAACTTCAGTAAAGATTCCTAATACAAAATCAATGTACAAAAAAATCAGTAGTATTTCTACACACTAATAACATTCAAGCTGAGAGCCAAATCAAGAAGGCAATCCCATTTACAATAGCCATGAAAAGAATAAAATACTGAGGAATATAACTAACCAGGGAAGTGAAAGATCTGTACTACAAGAATTGCACAACACTAGTAAAAGAATCAGAGATAACAAACAAATGGAAAAACATTCCACGGTCATGAATAGAAAGAATCAATATTGTTAAAAGAAACATATTACTCAATGTAAATTTACAGATTCAATGTTATTCCTATCAAAATACCAACATCATTTTTCACAGAATTAGTAAAAACTATTAGAAAATTCATATTAAACCAAAAAAGAGCCCAGGGAAACCAAATCAATCCTAAGCAAAAAGTACCAGGCTGGGCCATCACACTACCTGACTTTGAACTATATTACAAGGCTACAGTAACTAAAACAGCATGGTACAGGTGCAAAAACAAACACATAGATAAATGGACCAGGTTACAGAACCCAGAAGTAAAGCCACTCATCTATAACCATCTGACCTTTGACAAAGGTGACAACAACAAGCAATGAGGAATGAACTCCCTATTCAACAAATGGTGCTGGGGTAACTGGCTAGTCATATGTGGAAGACTGAAACTGGACCCCTTCCTTACACCATTAAAAAAATCAACTTAAAATGTATTAAAAACTTAAATGTAAGGCCTCACACTATAAAAATTCTAGAAGAAAACCTAGGAAACACCATGGTAAACACAGGACTTGGCAAAGATTTCATGAGAAAGAATCCAAAAACATTTGCAACAAAAACAAAAATTAGTAAGTGGGACTTAAAGAAACTAAAGAACCTCTGCACAGCAAAGAAACTATCAACAGAGTAAACAGTCAACGCATAGAATAGAAAAAATATTTTCAAACTATGCATCTGACAAAGGTCTAATAATCAACATCTACAAGAAATTTCAACAAATTAAGCAAAACAAACACCATTAAGAAAATAGGCAAAGGACATGAAGAGACATTTCTCAAAAGAAGACATACACAAGGCCAACAAGCATATAAAAAAGTTCAGTATCACTGATCATCAGAGAAATGCAAATCAAAACCACAAGAAAGCATCATCTCCCACCACTCAGAAGGGCTGTTATTAAAAAGTCAAAAAATAATAGATGTTGGCATGGTTGTGAAGAAGAGGGAATGCTTATACACGTTGGCAGGAAGGTAAAATTAGTTCCGCCACTGTGGAAAGCAGTTTGGAGATTTCTCAAAGAACATAAAACAGAATTACCATTTTGACCCAGCAATCCCATTATGGGGTATATATTGAAAGGAATATAAATAACTCTACCAAAAAGACATATGCAGTTGTATATTCATTGCAGCTCTATTCACAATAGAAAAGTCATGGAATCAACCTACATGCTCATTAATGGTGGGCCGGATAAAGAAAATGTGGTACATATAAACTATACAATATAACACAGCCATAAAAAACAAAATCATGACCTCTGATGCAACACGGATGCAAGCTGGAGGCCATTATCCTAAGCAAATTAACACAGGAACAGAAAACCAAATACTTCATGTTCTCACTTGTAAGTGCAAGATAAACATTGGGCTTACATGGACATAAAGATGGGAACAGTAGACACTGAGACTACTTGCAAAGAGAGGGTAAGAATAGGATGTGGGCCGGAAAACTACCTATAAGGCACCAGGCTCACTATCCGGGTGATGAAATAATTTGTACATCAAACCCCAGAAACACATAATTTTCCCTTATAAAAAACCTCCATATTTACCCCCTGAACCTACAATAAAAGTTGAAAGAGAAATTATAAAATTAAATAAAATCATTGGGAAAAAAAGAACTATATCATTAGACATTAGTCTTAGCCCTGCTACCTCTTACATGCTGCTCTTAGCAGGTCTCATATTCTCTATTCAGTTTGCAAATTTCTGAACTATTGAAATAATCCCAATTATCATTATGCGTTGTTGGAGCAATAAATAAAGGACAAAACTAAAAACACCTTGAGAAAGTTTTTAAAATATGAGAAGGTATACATATTGTATCAGTTTAAAGTCTTTGGGGTTAAACAAAAAAGATAAGTCAAAGGGGCTTAAACAAAAAAGGAGACATTCTAGTCAAATTGGCATAGAATGGCATCTCTTAGTACAACCCATTCTCCTACAAACATAGTAGATAATATGATTGATAAAACATAAACAGAAAAAAAAATTAAACAAAAATGGAGCTGGGCTACGAAACGAAGAGCATTTCCCTGAAATGGAATCATAACAGAAAAGATAATTGATGAGCCGAACTTAATCAGAAGTGTTATGCTTCAGAAGTGCACCTAGATGTACATAAAACTCTGGAATTTTTAAACAGAAACTTAAAGGGCTTAAAACTATACAGAGGATTTGAGTCATTCACAGGTGAAGGCTGAAGAAAATCTGTTGCAAACCTTGACATGAATTTTATATGGTCCTGTGGGCATAGGGTTAGAGAATATCAGGAGCTCCTTACAAACCAGAAAGAGGAAATTGACCCATCTACCTAAGATCTGAGTCACTGGTTGGACTATGTCAGCAATAATACATGGGGAAAGACTTGGTTCTAAACTGAAAGACGCTGGGCTAGAGGCCAGGTCAAGGCAACCACTAATCACTAGATGGGGAAAGGTAAACAGTGAGTGAGAAAAACACAAGCAAAAATAAACTCAGAAAACGATAATACATGTTAAGAAATTGAATGCTAATCTAGGCAACAAAATCAGTAAGTGAAACAAAAAGTCACTCCAAGTAAAGATGTTTTAGAATACTGTGACAAAAACTTGAAAATAAGCATATTTATGTTTAAAGAGATCTAGGAATACAAACTGTCTCAGAGGAGAGGTCAATAAATTTTTAAACAAATGAGAGGTTAAAAAGTGTTAATGTTTTCTGTCTCCTTAAAGAAGGGGAAGGAACCAGTGAGTAAATATAAATTTAATTGAAAGAATTAATATTTCAGTAACTATATTCAAAATTTAAAGAAATCCACCACAGTAATAGAAATTTTTTCGTTAGGGAGAATGCAAAATTTATAAGTTTAGACTCAAATATTTTACATGGTTACATTTTTATGTACGACTTATGCAATGGTTTTGAATTTAAAGCTGGGGTAGGAAGGAAGGAATCAGCCCACATGGCTTCCAAATTACAATAGGAAAAAGCATAGCATAGAAAGTTTTATCTGTCAACCAGAAGGCAAGAGAGAAAGAAAAAAATCAGAAAAAAAGCAGCAAAGCAAGACAATAATAGGTAGAATGCACAAAATATAATCATAGTAATGAGACTAAACATATTACAAGAACAGCAAGTTTGAACAAAAAATCCCATGAAATATATTCTCAGACTTTCCAAAAAGCTACACTCTGATTTTAAAGGCAAACCTATAATATAAAGAAATTAAGATTAATTAAAAAGATGAACAAAAAATTCTAACAAAGTAAGCTAACTTAATTACATTAATACCAAATTAAATTGATTTTAAAGCCAAAAGCATTAATAAGAACAAAGAAGACTGCTGGGTATTGGATAAAAAAATGTGGCATATAAACACCATAGAATACTACACAGCCATAAAGAGATTGAAATCATGTCTTTTGCAGCAACATTGATGCTGCTGGATGCCATTATCCTAAGTCAGCTAACACAAACGGAAAACCAAATACTCCATACATATTCTCCCTTATAAACGGGAATTAAACATTAAGTACACATGGACATAAAAATGGGAACGACAGGTATCAGAGACTACTAGAGGGGGCAGTGTTGGAGGGAGGCAGGGCTGAAAAACTACCTGTTGGGTTATATGCACACTAGCCAGTTGACAGTTTCAGTCATACCCTGAATCTCAGCACCACACAATATAGCTTTACAGCAAATGTGCATATTACCCCGATTCAAAAATAAAAGTTGAAAAAGAAAAAAAAAGTACACATTCACATCCTTTTGCATAAGAAAAAGACAGGAGGCAGCCATACCAAAACATTTTCAATGGCTACAAGATAGAATATCTTGGAGATAATTCTTTTTAATTAATTAGTTTATTTTAAACTAACAAAAATTGCCTACATTTATGCTGTATAAAAAAGAGGATTGCTACATTAATGTAAAAGAAATAATTAACAAGAAATGTATAAAAAATCTGCACACATGCCCTCAATCCAGTAGTTCCAAATACATAGAAAGGCAGAAATTGACAGAATATGAAAAAAATTCTCACAAGGTAACCTATACATAAACTAACAAAAAAGTATTTTTTAATGATGAGGTAGATCTTCATGGACAATATTATGAAACTTCTTCAGGACGGTCCTGTATGTTTGTATACATAATCCATATTCATGACTGGGAGACCTCCATATTCATAATCCATATTCATTACTGGGAGACCTCCATATTATAGCAACAGCCATTCACCCCAAATTATTCTACACATCCAAAGAGATTTCACTAAAATTCTAAAGGAATATTTTACAAAAATTGACAAGTTGATCTTACATTTCAAATGAAAAGGCAAAGGGAGAAAAATATCCAAAAATATTTAGAAGATTTAGAAGGAGGAGATGGAGGAAGAGAAGTAGAAAGATAACTGAGCCTTACAGATTTGGAAGAATCACGCTCCTAAATATCCAGACACTATAGTTACAGAAATTAAGGAAATATAACATTGTTACATAGTCTATGATCATGTTACTCAGATCAAGCAAGAGAACAGAATCCTTGAAATACACCCATACTGATAGGGACCTGATGTAATAAATCTGTAAGGGGAAAGACTACACGTTGTTTGAGAATATGCTATAAATATGGGATATTAGAATACCTTTATTCCTGCTTCTATGACATTCCAAAATAAATCTGTATTAATTAAACATTTAAATGTGAATGTCAGAATTTTAGTATTTTAGAAATTATAGAGAAACATTAATACACAAAAAATTCTTAAAATACATAAAATTTTAGAAAAAACACAGGAAAATATAGTTTTATAACCCTGGAATACAAATGGACTTCTTAACAAGACTCACAAAGCACAAAGCATAGCAATGGTGAAAATTTTTACTGTAAATTATAAGATATAATATTAACAATATTAAAAACAACCAATAGAATGGAAGAAATTTTTAAAGCATACACCTTATAAAGTACTAGTACTCAAATACAATAAATAAAGTCTTCTATAAATCAATGTAAAAAGAGAGATGATCCAGTAAAAATATAACTTACGTAAGCAAAAAAATTACTGAATGGCAAATGAACACTTGTTATCAAGAAATAAACATTCATTACATTAAAAATATAAAATCCTTAATAAGAAAAATTAGAAAACCATGATTGTGACTCAACAGGTGAGTAGATAAATAAATTTTTGTATATGTATAGGATGTAATGCCCTTCATATTCTATAAAGAAATAGTTCCTGGAAATAAAAATGCATAAACTATAACCAGAAGTTCTAGAAAGAAGACTGTTGCATAATTTTTTTTTCACAAATACATATAATACAAACCAGACAGAATTTTAAAATTATGCATATTTTATTTGGACTTATACATACATGGAACATAAATACAGAAAAAATGCATTATAATAATAAATATGAAATTGAGGATTTGGTTAACATGCAGGGACAGAGAAAGGGAGAACGAAGAGAAGAGCTGAATTAGGGGGCTTACACAAATGATATACGTTGTATTTGTGATATTTTGTTTGGTGTAAAAAAGTTTAAAATCAAATACAAAAAATATTTGCTTTAAGTTGGGCAATTGATATAGAGGTATTGATTATCTCATCCTCTGCACTTTTCATATGGTTGACATATTTCATTATGTTAAAAAAATGAAGAGAAAAATGCTTCCTACAACAAAGAAGAAAAACGAAAGTAATTAAATGGCCCCAAATACATAGAAGTTTCAATGGTAAGGGAAACTCTAGGAAGAGTTTGGTCCTCAGGTTTTTCAATATAATCAGGTTCCGGTTTTGTGGAAATTGTTCAGCTCTTCCTTCAGATGTTTTAACTTCACCCTGGGGACTGAGTCTGTCCCACTGTACCACAGTATCCAGATGAAGTTTAGGTACCTTATGTAGGAAAAGAAAAAGACTTTCCCATAAGCTTCAGCAGGTTCCTTCTCATATTCCATGAGCCCAAATCAAGATTGTATAAGTAAATTGATCACAATGGCCGATGGATTAAAAAAAAAAAAAAGACAAGAGATAAAAAAAATAGAACATCTGGAATGAGACAGATAAATGGATGGATGAAGAGACACAGAGATAAAATTGTAAGTCATAAAAAGGCTGTCCTATTTCCCATCTTTAGTTATGATAAGAACATTCTGCAAGTTTCACAATCACTGCTCATCTTTTGATTTGCTATGAAAACCTCAAACTGAAAATGTGCTTACAAAATATTACATTTTGACAGGAAATATATTAGGTAATTTTAACGATAGAAATACTAAAGGTATATGCAAGTTGCAAAGTTAAATTTTTCTAAATAAGACTACTGTCAAGATAAAGCAATATTAGAGATCCAAAACTCTTCAAAGTATTTACATGAAAAAGGTGTGTACTAAATGGCAAAAGGAGAATCATAAGAACATCACAAATTCTATTAAGACCCTGAGAACAAAGTGATTGAGTCATTGAATTTTTTTAACTTTTATTTTAGGTTCACAGGTGTGCGTGTGCAGGTTTATCACAGGCAAAGTTGTGTCATGGAGTGTGGTGTACAGACAATTTTGTTACTCAGGTACTAAGCATATAACCCAATAGTTATTTTTACTAATCTTCTCCCTCATAAATTGTCACACTACTTCCGACAATGGTTGAACTAATTTACACTGCCACTAGCAGTGTACAAGCATTTCCTTTTCTCCACAACCACACCAACATCTTTTTATTTTTTTTTTGACTTTTTGATAATAGCCCTTCTGACTAATGTGAAATGGTATCTCATTGTGGATTTGATTTGCTTTTCTCTAATGATTAGTAATGTTGAGCTTTCCTTCATATGATGGTTGACTGCATATATGTCTTCTATATGTCTATATACTGTCTATTCATGCTATTTGCCCACTTTTTAATGAGATTGTTTGATTTTGCTTGCAAATTTCGTTAAGTTTCTTATAGATTTTGGATATTAGAATCTTTCTTCCATTTTATAGGTTGTCTGTTTACTCTATTGGTATTTTCTTTTGCTGTGAACAAGCTCTTTGGTTTAATTAGATCCCATTTGTCAATTTTTGCTTTTGTTGCAATTGCTTTTGGCAACTTGGTCCTTCGTCATGATGCCTATACCAGTTCCTATGTTCAGAATTATATTTCCTAGGTTATCTTCCATGGTTTTTATAGTTTTAGGTTATACATTTAAGTCTTCATCCCATTTTTGGTTGATTTTTGTATATGGTGTAAGGAATTGGTCCAGTTTCAATTTTCTGCATATGGCTAGCCAGTCATCCCAACACCATTTATTGAATAGGGAGTCCTTTCCCCATTGCTTGTTTTTGTCAGCTTTGTCAAAGATCGATGGCTTTAGGTATGCAGCATTATTTCTGGGCTCTCTATTCTGTTCCATTGGTCTACCTGTCCGTGTTTGTACAAGTACCATGCTGTTTTGGCTACTGTAGCCCTATAGTGTAGTTTGAAATCAGGCAGCATGATGCCTCCAGCTTTGTTCTTTTTGCTTAGGATTGCCTTGGGTATTAGGGCTCTTGCTCTGTTCTTTATGAATTTTAAAATAGTTTTTTTCTAGTACTGTGGAGAATTTCTTCAGTAGTTTTATAGGAATAGCATTGAATCTGTAAATTGCTTTGGGCAGTATGGCCATTTGAATAATATTTGTTCTTCCTATCCATGAGCATCAGATGTTTTTCTATTTGTTTGCAACATCTCTGATTTCTTTTCAGCAGTGTTTCATTGTAGAGATTTTTCATCACCTTGATTAGCTGTATTCCTAGGTATTTTATTACTATTATTTTTTTGTGGCTACTGTGAATGGAATTGTGTTCCTGATTTGGCTCTCAGCTTGGATGTTGTTGCTGTATAGGAATGCTACGGACTTTGGACGTTGATCTTGTATCCTGAAACTATGGGGTTTTCTAGATATAGAATCATTTCATCTGCAAATAGGGATAGTTTGACTTCCTCTCTTCCTATTTGGTTGACTTTTATTTCTTTCTTTTGCCTGATTGCTCTTGCCAGGACTTCCAATACTATGTTTAATAGGTGTGGTGAGAGAGGGCATCCTTATCTTGTGCCAGTGTTCAAGGGGAATGCTTCTAGCTTTTGCTCAGTCAGTATGATGTTAGCTGTGGGTTTGTCATAAGTGGCTCTTATTATTTTGAAGTACGTTCCTTCTGTGCCTCATTTTTGAGGGTTTTTAACATGAAAAGATGTTGTATTTTATCAAAAGCTTTTTCTACATCTACTGAGATTATAATGTGATTTCTGTCTTTAATTTTCTTTATGTGATGAATCACATTTATTGATTTGCATATGTTGAGCCAAACTTGTATTCCAGGGATAAAGCCTATTTTATTGTGGTAGATTCACTTTTTGATGTGCTATTAGATTCGGTTTGTTGGTATTTTCTTGTGGATTTTTGCATCTATGTTCATCAAGGATATTGTCCTGATATCCTTCCTTTCGTTGTGCCTCTACCAGGTTTTGGTATCAGGATGGTGCTGGCCTCATGGAATGAATTGGAGAGAAGTACCTCCTCCAGAATTTTTTGGAAGAGTTTCAGTAGGAATGGTATCAGCTCTTTTTTTGTACATCTGATAGAATTCAGGTGTGAATCCAACTGGTTCTGGGCTTTTTTTTTCTTGGTAGGGTATTTATTACTGATTCAGTTTTGGAGCTCATTACTGATCTATTCAGGGAAGCAATTTCCTCCTGGTTCAGCTTGGGAGGGTGTTAGGTGTCTAGGAATTTATCCACTTCTCCCAGATATTCTAATTTGTGTACATAGAGGTATTCCTAGTAGTCTCTAGTGATTATTTGTATCTCTTTGGGGTCAGCGGTAACGTTCCCTTTGCCATTTGTAATTGTGCTTATTTGGATTTTCTTTCTTTCCTTCTAGTTAGTAGTCTATCTTATTAGTTTTTTCAAAAAAATCAATTCTAGATTTCTTCATCTTTTGTATGGTTTTTCCTATCTCAATCTCCTTCAGTTCAGCTCTTATTTTCATTATTTCTTGTCTTCTGCTAGCTTTGGGGTTTCTTTGCTCTTGCTTCTCTAGTTCTTACAGTTGTGATGTTAAGTTGTTACCTTGAGATCTTTCTAACTTTTGGATGTGGGCATTTAGGACTATAAATTTCCCTCTTAACACTGCCTTAGCTGTGACCGAGATTCTGGTATGGGTAACAAAGTTATTTCTTAAGTTAGTAATTAAAAGAGAAATTGCAAATGCAGTAAATTATATCTTAGGTTTTTGTAATCTGTTAAAGAAGGTAACTTCAATTATCTCATGCTTCTCTAAAAAAAGAGTAATATATTTTTAGAAGTTAGTAATTTAACATTGACATTTTGGAACATTACATGGGGGACAATAAAATGTTAATAATGTAATGAAATTCTTCTACATACCCTATGAATTAACAACCATTATTATGAAATCTAAAGTCATTTGTTAGCTAAGTTATGGAGACAAAAATCTCCATTTAAACAATAAGTTGTGGTCTTCATAGGGATGGGTTACATGCACAATGGGCAACAAAGACAAAGGAGAGATGAATAATGTGTAAAGCAGTTGTATTTGAGATTGCTTTGGAAATAAACCACCACAAAAGATTATGGCTCTGTCACTCACCGAAAGCCTATCTTCTTAAATTCATGATATAAAAAATTCTTATTTACCATGAATTCACTTCATATGAATTTAATGTATTGTTTGAAGCACTATCTGTCAAATCAAAACCAAAATTATGTTGTCCAGAATATACCATTTTGCAACTTAGTTGCATTTACTATCAATTCAGTCAAGAACACTAGGCATCCACTTGCAGTATACAGCTCCTACGACAAGAGTTATTCTGCATTTTATTCTTCAGATTTACAAGTATATTTTCCATGTTAATAAGTCGAGTATTTTAATCTGAAATTTATGTTAGAAAGACAGTCTTTTGGAAGCAGCATGCAGACTTCAAACAAGCTAAGTTTGTTAGCAAAATTTATGGAAGGGTAGTATGACATCTTTATCATTATGTATGGCAAAACTGCAACACAGTATAATGCCTTGGTTATGCTACTTTGTCTTTTCAGACATTTTGATGATGAAAGTGATAGACGTCCAAAATGCTACATAAAGATTCAAGCTGTTGTACTGCATAATAAATAAAGACTATAACAGCAATCCTGGGCTTTTTATCTTATACATATCAAATAGGGACACAAGCTACTCTTACAAAACTGTTTCAGCATGTCTCTTCAAGAAGATGCCATTGTAAAATTTGTATCTTTACTTGGTACTTTCGAAGATTCAAGAGAAGAACTCCTCAGCCCTTCTGCATTTTTATTTACAACACGATTAATCTCTAAGTTTACTATTTTAAAATTATCCTTACCATGATATGACATATCAATTGCTATAATTCTGAAAATTGAAATCAACGAAGGCTACTTATATGTCCAACACAGGCTATGAGGTTAGTTCTGAGAAAACAGAAAGTAATTATACAAATAATTCAGAAAAAATAAAATAAACTAACATAAGAATTATGTTTGTTTCTACTTAAAACCACAAAAGCAGTTATTGCATATATTAAAATAAATTAATAAAATCTATTTTGTATTTTACTTAATAATGTATAATTTATAATGTATAGAGTTCTAAGGACACCATGAAATGCAGATACACTGTACATCTTTCATAAACGAATAAGGATTATATCCCTTTATAAAAAACATTTATATACTCTCTAATATAATGATTTTGACAAATGAAGAAAGAGGGATATATGGAATATACATATATATTCTCTTAGAATTATGTGAAAATCGACGACTTGTTATAAAAGGATATATACAGTACAATTATTTTTTATTTATTTATTTATTCTTTTTTTGGAGATGGTGTCTCGCACTCTCACCCAGGCTGGAGTGCAGTGGCACGATCTCGGCTCACTGCAACCTCCACCTCCCAGGTTCAAGGGATTCTCCTGCCTCAGCCTCCCGAGTAGCTGGGATTACAGGCGCCCACCACCACACCCGGCTAATATTTTGCATTTTTAGTAGAGACGGTGTTTCACTATGTTGGCCAGGCTGGTCTCAAACTCCTGACCTTGTGATCTGCCCACCTCGGCCTCCCAAAGTGCTGGGATTACAGGCGTGAGACACCACACCCAGCCTACAGTACAATTATTTAATTTGAATTAGAACAGTTTGGAATAGGAATACTATAAGATCAAATCTAAAGAATAAAAAATCAAAGAAGCTTTGTTTATTGTGCACTACTCTATACCAGAACTGTGGTGAACAATTATGAGTAATTGATATACACATTCATTTTATTCATATTTATAATAACAGCTAATCCTTACTGAATGCATATCATGAGATAGGAGCTTGACTTTATAGTCAAGGTCTCATTCTATGTTCAGCAACACCATGTTATAATTTTACTTCTCCATTTTATAATTATAGAAGCTGGAACTTGGAGAGGCCACATATCAAGAAGCAGCCACATAGTGATATGAACCAGGATTTGTCTAACTTCTAAGTCTCCCAATAACTTCATTCAAGTGTAAATCTTAGCTTCTAACAATTCTAGATAAATTAGCTATAATTTAAATTCTCAAGGTTTTTAAAGAAAGTAAAATTCTCTAAAACTTCAACACTGAATCAGGCTTTATAGAATGAGTATCAAATATTGCCAATCACAACAGAATAAGTATAAAGTAAAATATTTATTAAGAAATTCTTACTGACAAAATACTTGTGGATAACACAAAAATGCAGCAAACTTCCCCCAAATTTGCTCACTATTTCTTAATGAGATAAATCAAGTGCAAAAATAACTTTAGGACACAGAAGGACTGAATGGGTTCAACAAGACAGGCAAAAATTATGATGGGCATTCAGAAGAAAGAGATGAATGAAAAGGGAGGATCAAGAATCTGAGCTGGATCCTGAAGGATCAAATTGGGGAGAGATTGGGGATCAGGACTTGTTAAGGTAATACAGCATTCAATATTGTTATTTAGGTTTTGTTTATAATCTGTTGAGAGTAAAACTACTCTTACAGCTAAATGTTTTCTGAAAATCATGTGTTGTAAATGAAACAAAAAACCTAGCTCTTCAGGTCCTAATAAGTACATCAAATAAATCAGGGAAGAAACATAGAAATCTTTTGAGTAGGGAAGGAAAGCTATCACCATACACTTAAGGGAAAACTACTCTCAGTTCTAAGTAATCTTCTTGGCAAGCAAATTCCAAATCCAATTTCTCTTTAGCTTGTGGCCTTTGATCAGTTGGTCAAAGGACTAATGCCTGATATGGTTTGGCTCTGTGTCCCCACCCAAATCTCATCTTGAATTGTATTCCCATAATTCCTACGTGTTGCAGGAGGGACCTGGTGGGAGATAATTAATTTGAATCATGAGGGTGGTTTCTGCCATACTGTTCTCATGGTAGTGGATAAGTCTTATGAGATCTGATGGTTTTATCAGGGATTTCCGCTTTCACATCTTCCTCATTTTCTCCTGCCACCACCATGTAAGAAGTGCCTTTCACCCCCTGCCATGGTTCTGAGGCCTCCCCAGCCATTTGGAACTGTAAGTTCAATTAAACCTCTTTTATCCTCCCAGTCTCAGTATGTCTTTATCAGCAGTGTGAGAATACACTAATATACCACCCTAAATCTACAGCCTTATACTAAGCCTGTGTGTGAAGTGGTAATAGAGTTTGTACTAAGTTGGACATCCCTATACCTTGAGAATTTGTGAGTATTATCCTAGGACTAAACTATGTTATAGCAAATGTTAATAGATTCTGGCAACTGGAAAGCAGATAGAGGATATTTTATTTAAAGAGAGTGGCATCCGCAGAGGTGTGAAAGTTGGAGCCAATAAGAAATTAGGCATGTTTCAGCTTAACTGGAGTATGCATATTTTTAAAAAAGAACATACTTTGCAGAAAATGCCATTAAATTAGATAGTAAAAAATCTTGAAAATCAGGTTAATGAGCTTAATTTTTATTTACTTATTAGGATAAAAAGCTTACTCATTTAATCCTTATAATAATAACCTTATCCAGTGGGTTTTATTATCATCTCTACTTTATAGATCATAAAATTGAAGCACAGAGAGATTAAGTCACATTGCTAGAAAACGGTAGAGGCAAGATTCTAATCCAGGAAGTTTACTAGGACTTTTCTGCCTAGAAATTAATGGTAGAACTGGGCTTTAGTATAAAAAAAAATCTATTGGTTAGACAGAGAGAGATAACCTATTTGAGACTTAGAGAAATTAAAGATTGGATTGTCCTATTATTTTAAAAAATGAAATTAGGAACAGAGAAAAGGAAGTTTTATTCCGGGTTAAGAGCATGTTGTCAGAATTTGTGCTCTACATTCAATGATGAATTACTTAAGGTCACAATAAAAAGCTAAAACCAAGGCATATAATTTACAAATATAGGCATACCTTGGAGGTATTGTGAATTTAGTTCCAGAGCCATACTATTTTTTCTGTTTCCCACTGCATATAAAAATCAACTTTATACTGTAGTCTATATGTATGTAATAGCATTATGTCTAAAAAAATGTGCATACCTTAATTAAAAATACTTTATTTCTAAAAATGTTAATGGTCATCTGAGCCTTCAACAAGCTGAAATCCTTCTAATGGTAGAAGCTCTTGCCTTGTTAGCAATAGCTGCTGAATAATCAGGGTGGTGTTGGGCTAAGGTTGGGATGGCTGTGGCAAAGTCTTAAAATAAGACAGCACTAAAATTTGCCACGTGAATGGACTCTTGCTTTCACAAAAGACTTACGTGTAGCATGAGAGGCTGATAGCATTTTACACACAGTAGAATTTCTTTCAAAATTGGAGTCAATCCTTTCAAACCCCGCCATAGCTTTAAAAACTAAGTTTATGCAATATTCCAAATCTGTTATGTCATCAATGTTCACAACATTTTCACCAGAAGTAGATATCATCTCAAGAAACCACTTTGTTTGCTCATACATAAAAAGAAATCTCTCATCCATTAAATTTTTATCATAAAATTGCAGCAATTCAGTTATATCTTCAGGCACTACTTCTAGTTCTCTTGCTATTTACACATAGGCAGTTACTTCCTCCACTGAAGTCTTTAACCTCTCAAAGTCATCCATGAGGGTTGGAATCAACTTCTTCCAAACTCCAGTTAATGTCAACATTTTGAATTCTTCCCATGAATCACAAACGTTCTTAATGGCATCTATAATGGTGAATCTTTTCCAAAATGTTTTTAATTTACTTTTCCCATATCCATCAGAAGAATTACTATGTATGGCAGCAATAACCTTATGAAATATTACTCTTAAATGATAAGACTTTAAAGTCAAAATTACTCCTTGATCTATGAGCTGCAGAATGGCTGTTGTGATAACAGGCATGAAAACAACATTAATTTATGTACATCTTCATCAGAGTTCTTAGTTGACCAGGTGCATTGCCAATGAGCAGTGATATTTTAGAAGAAATATTTTTTTCTGAGTAGTAGGTCTCAACAGTAGTCTTAATTTATGCAGTTTATCGTGCTGTAAACAGATGTGCTTTCATTCAGGCTTTGTTGTTCCATTTCTAGAGCAAGGGCAAAGTAGATTTAGCATCATTCTTAAGGGCACCAGGATTTTCAGAATGACAGATAAGCACCAGCTTCAACTTAAAGTCATCAGGTGCATTAGCCCCTAAAAACAGTGTCAGAATGTCCTTTGAAACTCTGAATCCAGGCACTGACTTCTCTCCAGCTATGAAAGTCCTAGGTGGCATCTTCTTTCAATAGAAAGCTATTTCATCTTCATTGTAAATCTGTTATTTAGTGTAGCCACCTTAATCAATTATCTTAGGTCTTCTGGATAACTTGCTACAGCTTCTCCATCATCTGCTGCTGCTTTATATTGCACTTTTATGTTATAGAAATTGTTTATTTCCTTATCCCCATGATAAAACCATTGCTAGCTCCAAATTTCTCTCCTACATCTTCTTCACCTTTTAGCCTTTATGAAGTTTCTCAGCCTTCACAGAATTGAAGAAACTTAGGGATTTGCTCTGGACCAGGTTTTGGCTTAAGGAAATGTTTAATCGTCTATCCAGATCACTAAAACTTTCTCATCAGCAATAAGGCTGTTTTGCTTATCATTTGTGTGTTCACCAGAGAAGTACTTTTAATTTTCTTCAAGAATCTTTCCATTGAATTCACAACTTGGCTAACTGTTTGGTGCAAGAGGCCTAGCTTTTGGCCTGTCTTGGCTTTAGACATGCCCTCCTCACTAAGTTTAATCATTTCCAGCTTTTCACTGAAAGGAGAGATGTGGGACTCTTCCTTTCACTTGAATGCTTAGAGGTCATTGCAGGGTTACTAACTGGTCAAATTTCAATATTATTGTGTCTTAGGGAACAGAGAGGACCAAGGAGAGGAAGAAAGACGGAAATGGCCAATGAGTGTAGTAGTCAGAACATACACAACATTTCTCAATTAGTTGGAAGTCTTATATAGGCATTTTTGTGGCACCCCAAAGAATTACAATAGTAACATTGAAGACCACTGATCACAGATCACCATAACTGATGTAATAATAATGATTATTATTATTGTAGGGATTACCAAAATGTGACAGAGAAATACAAAGTAAGCACACGCTGTTAGAAAAAAAAAGTGCTGACAAATTTGCTAGACACAGGGTTGCCACAAACCTTCAATTGGTGAAAAACACAATAACTGAAGCACAAAAAAGTGAATCGTAATAAAATGAGGTATGCCAGTATTACTTTAGAAGATAATTTATTATTACAGTTGAAATAAAGATAAAATTATGCTTTCCTTCCTCTAAGTAGTTTGGTAAATTAGGTCTCTCTTTTTTTAAGACCTATAACCCAGTCAATTATTTTTTACAGTTGTTGCACATATTCCATTTAACAATTAAGATGTTGTTGTGTTCATCAATCAAAAACATATTTTTTTTTTTTTGAGATGGAGTCTCGCTCTGTTGCTGGGCTGGAGTGCAGTGGCACAATCTCAGCTCACTGCAACCTCCACCTCCCTGGTTCACATGATTCTCCTGTCTCAGTCTCCTGAGTAGCTGGGACTACAGGCACGTGCCACCACGCCCAGCTAATTTTTGTATTTTTAGTAGAGACAGGGATCACCATGTTGGCCAGGATGGTCTCGATCACTTGACCTTGTGATCCACCCTCCTCGGCCTCACAAAGTGCTGGGATTACAAGCATGAGCCATCGCACCCGGCCCAAAAATACATTTTTGTATTTTATTTCTCTATGTAGTAAATAAACTTCAAGATAACAGGGATCCTGGAAATGAAGGTAATACCTTCATTTCATTTCAGGAAATGTACCTGAAACACATACGTTCAGCTTGAAATGCTAACTTGAAGTATTGAATAACACAGCTGAAGTTCTTCATGGAATGCAAATATTATGGGAGACAAAAAAAATTAAGCTACATTATCTAGGGGAGATGGCAAAGGAGTGGGGTAGTGTGAAGAAGGAGCTTTTTTTTTTTTTTAGACCAAGTCTCACTCTGTCTGCCAGGCTGGAGTGAACGACACGATCTCAGCTCACTGCATCCTCCAATTCCTGGGTTCAAGAGATTCTCCTGTCTCAGCCTCGTGAGTAGCTGGATTACAGGCACTTGCCCCCTTGCCTGTGTAATATAATATAATTTTTATATTTTTAGTAGAAGCGGGGTTTCACCATGTTGGCCAGGTTGGTCTCGAACTCCTGACCTCAAGTGACCTGCCCATCTCAGCCTCCCAAAGTGCTGGGATTACAGGCATGAGCCACCATGCCCAGCTGAGCTTTTTAATTCTAAACCAAACAGAAAACCTTGTCCTTCATTCTTCAAATCAGCTCAGTTTTCTTACATTATTGTGTAATTGTATGTGCTGTTAGCCCAACTGACTCAAAATTTAAACAATAAGAAGCATAGCCCTCAATAAAGAAACACATTTTCCTCAGGCATATAGTTGGAATTGACATATCTGTCTTATTCTTATTTAACAATTCAAAGTCCATTAATTTTAAAGCTGTTTTAACAATTGAGTCTTTCCCAAGGTGGAAGGGCAAATATTTTGTTGTTTAGTTGAAAGAGTACTTTCGAGAGACTGAAAACAACAGCTAAGATGATCTAGTGAGGCAGAAAGACCAGGGGCTTGAAATCAGAGGAGAGGAGTTTCAGCCCCCTTCTGCTTTGACGAAGATTGAAATGATCCAGTGTCTACAAGTCTTGGTGTCTCTATAGCACCACCTGTCTTATGGGATCATTGGGAAGGAAAATAAGATAACATATGAAAGTAGCATCCAGAGGCCCTTCTACATAGAAGACTCTTAAACACAGACGACTACTATTTTATAAGTATTGTGATCTTAAACATGACATTTGAAGTTAGAAATCAGAAGTATTACTCCTGGTTGAGGAAATTACTAAGTGTTTGATCATGGGTTATTCACAACCCATACAAAATATCTCTTAGTCCATTATAAAATGCAGATAATCTACTCTCTGTGCCTATCTAAAAAAATGATTTAAGAACAAATTAGAAAATGCCTGGGGAACAGAATATCAATATAAATTTAGTATAATTAATTTCAAATAGCATTCATAAAATACTTTTTAAAATTCAAGAATAAGAGCAAGAAAAAATTTTAGCAATTAAATGTTTAGTCTATTAATCAACTGTGGTATCTTTTCATTTTCATAGACCAATTTATTACCCTATATTTAGCTAGAATTATACAACTACGTGCTACATGCCCTCTAAGATTCTTTCCAACTCATAAGGCTTATAATTTTTGATGTCCTCTTTTAAAAACTCCTTACCAAGTCTCTAAGATAGTTCTCAAGAAAACAAAGGCATTTTATATAGTCATTTCAGGTAAGTCTTTTCAATAATAAACTTCTCCTTTATGTCCTAGATACTACTTACCATGTAAGCCTCAACTCCTATCACTTCCCACATAGTCCTGTAATATATAATTAGTCCCTGGGACATCATTTCTCCATTCTTTTCAAGTGGCTTCCCTTCGCCTAGAAGACCTCCCTTGCTTTTACCTTTTATCATGGCATTTCCCATCCTGCAGTGAAATGGCCTTATTTGCATATCTCTGTCTTTTGGTAGATCTGACCTTGTTCATCTCTCTTCTTTCATCACAGCACACAGTGCTTGACCCATAACAGATACTTAGTAAGTGTTAAATTAAATAAATTTTTTGAAAAGTCATGTCAATCTTGAAAACTTCCTATGACTCCCTAGAGTACCAATGACAGCTTGGGTCAATTGCCTAAATGATTACAGATACGGTGCCAGTGGTCTGAGATCCCTTTGTAACATCAGACAACTAGTGAATATCCTACAGTCTGAGTGCCCAGCACTTAAGAGGTAACTTCCACTCAAACAACAAACAATACCACCCTCAAGGATCCAGCAACCTCCAGAGGTGTCCTTGTGTCAGCCAACTAAGCTTAGCATTGACAGTTCATCATACCCAAATCTCAAGATTTACAGTTCTAAAGGCAGTCTTGACACAGTTCTTTCATTCTTAGACCTGTTTCCAGTCATGGTCCATAAAGAAAATTACCAGTTTCTCAGTACAAATACCAATTTAAAAGACACAAAATAAAGTCTCCCCTTGTGAGCTGGCCTAACCCCTACCAAGTTTAATTAATTACCTTCAGAAGGAAAATGTGGCTCATTGTTTTCTACCTGGTTTTCTAGACTTTCTCAGATGGAAGAACAGGTTATATTCTCCAAGCATGGTGACATGGATTACTTGCACACACACACACACACACACACACACACACACACATTATTTTGTATTACCCATTAAAATGTGACACTGAAAATCCTCCAGTGAAATGTGAAATCTATGCTCCCTTCTTAAATCTGGCTGGACCTTTGTAACTGCCTCTACCAATACGATACAGTGGAAGAAATGTTACATGACTTCTGAGGCTAGTGTGTAAAGGACAAAATGACTTTAGCTTGGCTGACCCTCTAATTTGAGACAGTTGTTCTTGGAACACAGCCACCATATTGTAAGGTAGCCCAGGCAATATGAAGATGCCCCACATGGGCCTTCCAATTAAAAGCCACAGCAGGGCCCCACCATCAGATCTGTGAGAGAATGACAGTATAGATAATTTCAACCTTCAATATTTGAGACTTCCAGCTGAGACCCACACAAACTGTTAGAGATTATAGGTGATTATTGCTGTTTCAAGCCACCTTGCTTTAGAATGATTTATTATGCACCAATAAATAATCAATGTAGATCTGGCAAACTGCCAAGCCTTGGAAATACCAATTTATAGCTAGACTTCAGGTGGTCTGAGACCTCCCATACTCTGGGCAATTTCTTATTGACAGACTATTTGAAAATAACCACTCTGAACTTCACACTCCCACATTAAATATTACTATTACGAAAGAAATTTTTAAAAAATCGTTCAGAAAATACTATACCAAATTCCTGTTTGGTAAAAGCCTCCAGATTGTTTTTAAAGTCCTTAACAATATTTCTTTATCTATTTGTAACTATATTTTCTCTAGCATAAGTCAAAGAGCATAGTTTATTGCTTTTGTTATTTGTTTTGCTTTGGTTCTTAAAATTTATTTCCTTATTCTATTTTTTTAAAAAAAATAAGAGTATATAAATTTTAATTTATTTTATTTTAGATTCAGGGGTACATGTCATGTTTGTTACACAGGTATATTGCATAATGGTTCGAATTAGGTTTCTAGTGTACCTTTCACCCAAATATTGAACATTATATTCAATAAATATTCCTCCAACCCTCACTCCCCTCCTTATGCCCTTTTTAGAGATTCCACTTTCTATATTTCCAACTTTATATCCATGTCTACCCATTCTTTAGCTCCCACTTATAAGTAAGAACATGCAGTATTTCATTTTCTGTTTCTGAGTTAGTTCTCTTAGGATAATGATCTCCAGCTCCAGGCATGTTGCTGAAAGAAGGTGATTTCATCGTTTTTATTGCTGCATAGTATCCTGTGTTTTATATATACCACATTTTCTCTATCCAGTCAACTGTTGATGTATACTTAGGTTGGTTACATGACTTCAGTATTGTGAATTGTGCTGCGATAAACATACCATTGCAGGTGTCCTTTTTATATAATTTCTTTTGAAATTACTCTAAAATTGGCCACATAACTGGAAGTAAAACACTCCTCAGCAAAATTCAGCAAATGCAAAAGAACGGAAATCATAACAAACAGTCTCTCAGACCACAGTGAAATCATATTAGAACTCAAGATTAAGAAACCCACTCAAAACCACACAATTTCATGGAAATTGAACAACATGCTCTTGAA
This sequence comes from Homo sapiens, assembly GCF_000001405.40. Classification (NCBI taxonomy): domain Eukaryota; kingdom Metazoa; phylum Chordata; class Mammalia; order Primates; family Hominidae; genus Homo; species Homo sapiens. The sequence continues at coordinate 120,581,784 of NC_000005.10, read as the reverse complement.
TGACTCCTGGGTAAATAATAAAATTAAGGTAGAAATCAAGTTTTTTGAAACCAAGGAGAACAAAGAGACAACATACCAGAATCTCTGGGACTCAGCTAAAGCAGTGTTAACAGGGAAATTTATAGCACTAAATGCCCATATCAAACAGCTAGAAAGATCTCAAATCGACATACTAGCATCACAATTAAAAGAGCCAGAGAGGCAAGAGCAAACTAATCCAAAAGCTAGCAGAAGACAAGAAATAACTAAGATCAGAGAAGAATTGAAGGAGATAGATTCACGGAAAAACCTCCAAAAAATCAACGAATCCAGGAGCTGGTTTTTTGAAAAAAATTAACAAAATAGATAGACTGCTAGCTAGACTATTAAAGAAGAAGAGAGAAGAATCAGATAGGCACAATACAAAATGATAAAGGGGATATCACCACTGATCCCACAGAAATACAAACTACTATCAGAAAATACTAAACACATCTATGCAAATAAACCGGAAAATCTAGAAGAAATGGATAAATTCCTGGATGCATACATCCTACCAAGACTAAACCAGGAAGAAGTTGAATCCCTGAATAGACCAATAACAAGCTCTGAAATTGAGGTAGTAATTAATAGCCTACCAACCAAAAAAAGCCCCTGACCAGACGGATTTACAGGTGAATTCTACCAGAAATACAAAGAGGAGCTGGTACCATTCTTTCTGAAACTATTCCAAACAATTGAAAAGGAGGGACTCCTCTCTAACTAATTTTATAAAGCCAGCATCACCCTGATACTAAAACTGGGAAGAAACACACACACAAAATACTTCAGGCCAATATCCCTGATGAATGTTGATGTGAAAATCCTCAATAAAATACTGGAAAACCAAATCCAGCAGCACATCCAAAAACTTATCTACCAAGATCAAGTTGGCTTCATCCCTGGGATGCAAGGCTGGTTCAACATATGCAAATCAATAAATGTAATTGATCACATAAACAGAACCAAAAACAAACCACATTATCTCAATAGATGCAGAAAAGTTCTCTGATAAAATTCAAAATCCCTCACTCCTGTAATCCCAGCACTTTAGGAGGCTGAGGTGGGCAGATCATGAGGTCAGGAGATCAAGACCATCCTGGCTAACACAGTGAAACCTCATCTCTACTAAAAATACAAAAAAATTAGCCGGGTGTGGTGGCAGGCACCTGTAGTCCCAGCTACTCGGGAGGCTGAGGCAGGAGAATGGCGTGAACCTGGGAGGTGGAGCTTGCAGTGAGCCGAGATCGCACCACTGCACTCCAGCCTGGGCGACAGAGCAAGATCCTGTCTCAAAAAAAAAAAAAAAAAAAAATTCAAAATCCCTTCATGTTAAAAACTCTCAATTAACTAGGTATTGATGGAATATATCTCAAAATAATAAGAGCTATTTATGATAAACCCACAGCCAATACTATATTGAATGGGCAAAAGGTGGAAGCATTCCCTTTGAAAACTGATACAAGACAAGAATGCCCTCTCTCACCACTCCTATTCAACATAGTATTGGAAGTTCTGGCCAGAGCAATCAGGAAAGAGAAAGAAATAAAGGGTATTCAAATAGGAAGAGAGGAAGTCAAGTTGTCTCTGTTTGCAGATGACATGATTTTATATTTAGAAAACCCCATCATCTCAGCCCCAAAACTTCTTGAACTGATAAGAAACTTCAGCAGTCTCAGGATACAAAATCAATGTGCAAAAATCACAAGCATTCCTTTACAACAACAATAGGCAAGTACAGAGCCAAATCATGAATGAACTCTCATTCACAATTGCTACAAAGAGAATAAAATACCTAGGAATACACCTAACAAGGGAAGTGAAGGACTTCTTCAAGGAGAACTACAAACCACTGCTCAAGGAAATAAGAGAGGACACAAACAAATGGAAAAGCATTCCATGCTTATGGATAGGAAGAATCAATACTGTGAAAATGGCCATACTGCCCTTGTAAATTCAATGCTATTCCCATCAAACTACCATTGACATTCTTCACAGAATTAGAAAAAAACTATTTTAAATTTCATATGGAATTAAAGAAGGCCCCATACAGCCAAGACAATCCTAAGCAAAAATAACAGAGCTGGAGGCAACATGCTACCTGACTTTAAACTATATTACAGGCTACACCATGGTCCTGATACCAAAACAGACATATAGACCAATAGAGCAGAACAGAGAACTCAGAAAGAATACCACACATCTACAACCAACTGATCTTCAACAAACTTGACAAATACAAGCAAACGGGAAAGGATCTCCTAATCAGTAAATGATGCTGGGAAAACTGGCTAGCCATATGCAGAAAACGGAAACTGGACCCCTCCCTTACACCTTATACAAAAATTAACTCAAGATGGATTAAAGACTTAAATGTATAACCCAAAACTATAAAAACCCTAGAAGAAAACCTAGGCAATACCATTTAGGACATAGGCATGGGCAAAGACTTCATGACAGAAACACCAAAAACAACTGCAGCAAAAGCCAAAATTGACAAATTAGATCTAATTAAACTAAAGAGCTTCTGCACAGCAAAAGAAACTATCATCAGAGTGAACAAGCAACCTACAGAATGGGAGAAAATGTTTGCAATCTACCCATCTGACAGAAGTATAATATCCAGAATTTACAAGGAACTTAAACAATATTTATAAGAAAAAAATAAACACCCCATCAAAAAGTGGGCAAAGGATATGAAAAGATACTTCTCAAAAGAAGACATTTATGCAGCCAACAAATATATGAAAAAAAGCTCAACATCAATGATCATCAGAGAACTGCAAATCAAAACCACAATGAGATACCATCTCATGCTAATCAGAAGGGCAATTATTAAAAAGTCAGGAAACAATAATAGATGCTGGCGAGGGTGCGGAGAAATAGGAACACTTTTACACTGTTGGTGGGAATGTAAATTAGTTCCACCCTTGTGGAAGACAGTATGGCAATTCCTCAAGAATCTAGAACCAGACATACCATTTCACCCAGCAATCCCATTATTGTCTATATACCCAAAGGAATATAAATCATTCTACTATAAAGACACATGCACACATATGTTTACTGCAGCACTATTTACAGTAGCAAATACATGGAACAAACCCAAATGTCCATCAATGATAGACTGGATAAAGAAAATGTGGTACATATACATCATGGAATACTATGTAGCCATAAAAAGAAATGAGATTATGTCCTTTGCAGGGACATGAATGAAGCTGGAAGCCATCGTCCTCAGCAAACTAACACAGGGACAGAAAACCAAACACCACATATTCTCACTTGTAAGTTGGAGTTGAACATTGAGAACACATGGAAACAGAGAGGGGAACAACACAAACCAGGGCCTTTTCGGGGGTGGAGGTTGAGGGGTGGGAACTTAGAGGACAGGTCAATAGGTGCAGCAAACAACCATGGCACCCATATACCTATGTAACAAACCTCCACGTTCTACATATGTATCCCATTTTTTTAGAAGAAATAAAGAAAAAAATTATAGTAACTCAGAAAATTAAGGTATTATTATTAGTGAGGAAATAAGATAGCAAGAGTATTTGTAGTAGGACAATAAAACCACAATCAAGCAAATTTATGCACAGCATATTAACTGGGGAAAAACTGCTTTAAAAGGTTTCCTTGGATTTGGGGTAAGTAACTGATCTGTTTCTTTTCTATTTTCTGTTATTTTTCCAAATGTTTTCTAATGGAAGGTATTTTTAAATTAATTCTTTTTCTTATCCTTGCTTTCTCTTTCTTTTCATTATATTTATTTTTTCCACTCATAAGTTAGCATACCACTTGAGTCTGATCTCTGGATTCCGAAAGTGCTAGTTTACACACATCCCAGCCACTTTCTATCAGTGTGAACTTAAGTAAGTTAGTAACCTCATAGGTTTCCAAATCTGTAAAAATTAATATACTAGTAGCATCTCCATCCCCAGTTGCTGGGAAAATTAAATGAATAATCGAAAGAAAGCTTTTAGTACTGTCCCTGCTACAGAGTTCATCATTCAATAAATGAGATCTGTTACTATGTAATATTTTGCCTGTCATTTGTCCTACTGTGTCCTCCTTTACCTAATTTCGGAGAAATACAGTCTTGTTAATAGAAGAAGGCACACCAAACGTTACCTACCCAAAGTAAACATTTGTGTTCTTTCCTGTGGCATTGACTTGTGCAAAAAGATTTGCCAAACTCCTAAGAGGTAGTGTTTGTGAAATGGTGTTCCCTGAAAATATCAGGAAGGTGTCCATGTTACAAAAAAGAAGAAATCCACCCAATGAACATTGGTATTATTCCTTTGCCCCTATTTGGTTTCCTCAAAACTGAACTAGTATGCCAGTCAAATTATTGTCTGTGGGCGTGATGGGTGCACCAAGATCATTCTCTAAACCTCAATAAAACAGTCTCTCTCTACTTTCTACATTTTTCTGAATTTACAACATTTGCCAAGTCATATGCAAGTGACTTCTCAATATAAATGTTGCAAGGCTTTAAACAAGGACATGTCAGATAAAATACAAAAACCTTGCTATTAGGAATTTCTTGGTTATAATTTCAGTGCACATCCTTAGAACACATATTGATTTTGTTTGGCTATATCATGATATATATGTGAATCATATTAGTATAAACTCACAAGAATATGCAATTATTCACACATTTTTAACCATTTCCTGAAATTCACCCATGCTTAAAAAAAAGAATCTTTCAGCGTTGGAAAACGAAATCATTTAAAAATGCTATTTGCATTAGAGTTTTCCAGAGAAATAGAACAAATGGATGTTATAAACATATATATGTGTATATGTGTATATACATATATTTATATGTAAGAGAGAGAGAGAAAGCACGTAGAGAATTATTATAGGAAATTAGTTCACACAATTATAGAGGCAGAAAACTCTCAAGACCTGCAGGTGGCAAGCTGGAGACCCAGGAGAGCCAATGGTAGAGTTCCAGTCAGAGTATTAAGGCCTGTAAGCCAGGAGAGCTTGATGGTGTAAATTCCAGTCTGAAAGCCAGGAGGCTAGAAACTTAGGAAGATCTGATATCAGTTTGGGTCTCAAACTGTCCTACTCAAGGAAAAGACCACTGTCCCAGCTCAAGCAGCCAGGCAGGAGTCCCTTGTGACACACATAGGGTTAACCTTTTTGTTCTATTCAGGATTTCAACTGGCTATACTAATTTACATTTCCGCCAGCAGAGTATAAGGGTTTCCTTTACTCCACATCCTCACCAACACCTGTTATCTTTAATTTTAGGACAGTGGCCGTTCTAACTGGAATGAAGTAATGTCTCATTGTAGTTTTAATTTGCATTTCCCTAATGATTAGTGATATTGAACATTTTTTCATATACTTGTTGGTCACTTATGTATCTTCTTTTGAGAAATATCTACTCAGGAACTGCTGTCCAGTTTTCATTCATGTTGTTTCTGTTATTGTTGTTGTTGTTACTGAGTTGTTTGAGTCTTTTATATATTTTGGATTATATTCCTTTACCAGATGTAGAGTTTACAAACATATTCTCCCAGTCCATAGTTTATCTCTTCACTCCGATGATTGTTTTCTTTCTTGGGCAGAAGATTTTTAGTTTGTCTTCGCTTTTGTTGCCTGTGCTTTTGAGGTTTTATCGAAAAAAATCTTTGCCTAGACCAATGTCATGGAATCATGTCCTTTATGCTTATAGTTTTGTAGTATAGGGGTCTTCCATTTAAGTCTTTAATCCACTTTGAATTCATTTTTGTATATGGTGAGGGATTAAGAGTCTAACTGCCTTCTTCTGCATCATATCCAGTTATACCAGCACTATTTATTGCAGAGGTTTTTCTTTCTCTATTGTGTGTACCTGGCACCTTTGCTTAAAATCAATTGGCTATAGATGTGTTTACAAACAGGAATAATTTGACTTCCTCCTTGCTAATTTGAATGTTTTTACATTTTGTTCTCTTGCTTGATTGCTCTGACTAGAACTCCCAGTACTATGTTGAATAAAAGTGGTAAAAGTGGGGATACTTATCTTATTCTCAATCTTAGAGAGAAAGCTTTTTCAGCTTTTCCCCATTCCGTATGATGGTAGCTCTGTGTTTGTCTATATGGCCTTTATTATGTTGAGGTGTTTCTTGTATAGTTTGTTGAGTTTTTATCATAAAAGAATGTTGATTTTTTCAAATGCTTCATCTGCATCTATTGAGATAATTATGATGTTTTGGCCTTCATTTTGTTGATCTGACATACCATGTTTATTGGTTTGAGTATGCTGAATAAACTTTGCATCCTTGGGATTAATCCCCTTGGTCATGATAAATAATCCTTTTGATGTGCTGTTGTATTCAGTTTGCTAGCTAGTATTTTGTTGAGGATTTTTTTCATCTATGTTCATCAGAGATATTGGCTGGTAGTTTTCGTGTGTGTGTGTGTGTGTGTGTGTGTGTGTGTGTGTTTCCTTGTCTGGTTTTGTAATCAAGGTTACATCCAGTTTTTGATTATTTGAATAATCCTACTATAAACATTATTTTACATGTCTTCTGGTAAATACATCAGTCCTCATTTATCCATGTTCCAAGATCCCCAATGGGTGCCTGAAACCATGCATAATATTGAATGTCATAAATTCTCTATATTTGCCTACACATACATACCTTTGACAAAGATTAATGTATAAGGTATATTCTGAGATTAACAATAATAAGTAATAATTAAAAGGCTACAACACTATAATAAAAGTTATATGAATGTGATTTCTCTCTCTCAAAACACCTTATTGAAATGCACTCACCTATTTCTAGACCATGGATGACCATGGGTAACTGAAACTGTGTATAAGGGGAGACTGCTGTATACGAACAAATTCCTTTGTTATGTACCTATAAATGGAATTTCTAGGTTTTAATGTTTGCATTGTTTTCAGCTTTAGTACACTCTCGAACAGTTGTCAAAGTAGTTGTGTCAATTTACATTTTTACCAACAGTGTATGAGAGTTCTTGTTGCTGCAAGTCTTCACCAATATTCAATATCTATTTTTTAATAATTTTAGTTTACAAATATTATAAAGTGGTTTTAATTTGCATTTCTCTTTGACTAATGAAATTGAGTACTGTTTCATATATTTATGGTTAATTTGGATATCCTTTTTTCGTCGTTGTTGTTTTTGTTTTTGAGACAGAGTCTTGCTCTCTTTCCCAGGTTGGAGTGCAATGGCATGATCTTGATTCTGCAACCTCTGCCTCTCGGGTTCAAGTGATTATCATGCCTCAGGCTCCCAAGTAGCTGGGATTACAGGTGCATGCCACCATGCCTGGCTAATTTTTGTATTTTTAGCAGAGACAGGGTTTTGCTATGTTGGCCAGGCTGGTCTCGAACTCCTGGTCTCAAGTAATCCACCTGCCTCTGCCTCCCAAAGTGCTGAGTTACAGGTATGAGCCACTGTGCCCAGCTGACATCCTCCTTTATAAAGTGGCTATTCATATCTTTTGTATATTTTTTGTATATGATTATCTTTTATTATTATTGACTTGTTGCAATTATTATATTCTCAAAACAAGTCCTTTCTCAAGTATAGATATTACAAATTTCTTTCCCTATCTGTTCCATGCATTTTAATTCACTTTATGATACTTTTGATTAAACATTAGTTTATTTTCATTTGGTCCAATTGATGTTTTTGAGGTTATTAATGTTTTTCCATTACAGTTAGAGCTTCTGTATTTTTTTGAAATTGTATTTGTCTACTACAAAATCATGAATATATTCTTTTTTTCTATACTCTGTAATGTTTTTCTGTTCACTTTTAGAATTATATCATTAATTTATACCATTTTTGCTATACTAAATGGTGTTTGATATATATATATATACACACATATCATACAAATTATATATATACACATACCATATAAATTCGCCTTTATACTATGTTTGTGATAGTATAAACTAAGGTTCAAAAATTAAGGTCAATTCTATATATTCAATTGACATGGCGTTATTTATTGAAGGAAACATTCTTTCTCCATGGCTGCAGACATTTTGAGTACTAACTTTAGCTCAGTTATTACACAAATGCAAAATAACAAGCATTGTTTTTATTTTTATCATGTATCATTTTATTTATCATTGTTGTCATTTATCTTCCAGTTGAGTAACAGAGCCAGGTCTGTAACTCAGGTATCCTATAAGCTGGTTCAATGTTCTCCAAGTTCACCGTGCTCTTTCTAAAGCTTTACTAAATTAGTCCAAGAGAGAGCTGCAGCATTGCCACAATAAAATTAGCATCTGAAATGCAAAATGCCTTCAGAAACAAGGCAGGACATATTAATAAGACAACAGATAATGGTGTGAACTATGGCCAGTTGAGAAGTACAAGTCCAAAGGCTTTTAAGTTCATTTGTTTTCCTCATAGTTTTAACACTGGAATTTATTCCTCTTGCCATTTTGAAATAAGAGTAAGAAAACATCTCAAAGCAAGAATTTGAATTCAAAGTCATGACACTTTCTGGATATTTAACAGTGTGAGAGGGAGACAAACAGAAACATATACAATGGCCAGAAACAATTCTAGTAAACATTTTTAATTCACAGACTTAAAGTCACAGACATTAGTTTTAGCATTTGACCTTAATCTGATGCAAATGCCCATGGCCCTACATTTGCCTTGGTTCAGAAATAGAGGGCAAAAATGAGAATATTGGTGTTTCATTTTGGGAGACAAGAGGCATACTAAAAAAATGCATTATGGATTTTGTCCATACTAGCTTTCTCCACTTGCTCTCCTCACATTTTGTCTTGAGATCACTCTGATTGGGCTTTTTGTTATCCCCTGGCTCAAACACAATATCTACTATAGAAGTCACCCATGAATTCCACGTTCCAAAATGACATTCAATTTGCAGTCCTCATCTTATGCAATCAGCAGTGGATAACCAATTTGACCATTCCCTACATCTTCAAATATTTTCACTAGGCTTCCTATATATAGTTTTCCCTTGGTTCTTCTACTTCATGACCTATTATTTCTTGATTTCTTCATTAGCTCCTTCTTGAATCTGTAATTACTAGCATTTGAATTTTCATTTGGCACAGTAAGTAGATCTCTCATCCACCTACTTTCCTCATTAAATGAAACTCATGTAGTCCCATTAATTTAAATACAATCTATACACAAATATCTCTCTGCTCAAAGCTCTTTCCTCATCTCCTGACTTATATATCTAACAGCCTACTTGTATATCTACGTTGGGAATGGAACAGGCAACTCAAACTTAATATGTACAAAATGAAATGTCTGATTTTCATTTCTACAATTTTCCCTATCCCAATAAACAGTAGTTCCTCCAGTTGTTGAAATACAAAAATTAGTTCAACTCTGATTCTTCCTTTACCCTCAAGTGCTACATCTAATTCATTAGCCAAACTTAGAAGATGTTCACTTAAAATTCAACTGGAATTTAACCACTTCTTACAACCTTGTACTATGGCCAGTTACATATGGCCACAAATTCTTTGAGAGTTCTCCCATCAGGAAATGAGGTTTCAATTCCCTGCCATGGAATTTGGGTGGGCTGTCTGACTGCTTTGACCAATACAATATGAGAGACTCCTTTGACCAATACAATATGAGAGACTCCTTTGACCAATACAGTACGAGACAAAGAATATGCCAGTTTCTAGATCTAGGTCTTAAGACACCGACAGCTACCACTTCTGGTCTTTCGGGATACTTGTTCTTGTAGTCACAAACTGTCATGCAAACAGTTTGGATACCATGCAGGGAAGCCCATGTTGGGAGGTCCTGAGACTATATGGATGGAGGGAGACACTCACCTGAGTCTGACCTTCTAGATGTCCCTGTCAAGACACCAGGCATGTATGTGAAGCTGTCTTGGATCCTATAGACAAGCCATCAGCTGAGTATCTCCAAATGAACTCACTTAGGCCCTCATGGAGCAGAACTGCCCAGCTGAGGGACCAGCCCATGTCCTTCACCCATTAACATGTGATACATAATACAACAATTGTCATTATAAGCCACTAAGTTTTGGAGTAATCTTTTCCAAAGTGATAGATAACCAGCTCATACTCTTCCAAGGTACCTGCATGCCTCTCTTAGATAACTTAAAGCCTTCTAACTAATCTCTGATCTCCTTCATTCTAAGCTTGATCTCTCCATTCTCTTTACAAATCATCCAGAGTAACCCTTTAAAAATATACCACCCTTTTGATCAAAAACCTCCAGTGGATTCCTGTCTCACTAAGATTAATAGCCAGGTCTTCACAACAGCTTTGATAGCCCTACATGATCTGAACCTCCTCTAATGTTCTGACCTTATATCTTACCATTATTTATTGTACTCACTCCACTTCAGAAATACTGGCTTCACTGAAGTTCCTGGAACACACCAAGCACACTCCCACTGCATTCACAATTGCACTTCCATTTACTATTCCCTCTGTGCAGAAGACTTCCTCTCATCACCCACATGGCTCACTCATAAACACACTGCATCTGTGCAAAAACTAAAGCAATGCACATGCCTTAACCTTTGCATATCAAGGACCTCTCTCCAGAGTATCAAACTGTATGCTCTGTTTGTGTATTAGTTTTATAAGTTTTTACAGGAATAAAATTCACAAGCTTATAAAAGCACACATTTTTAAAACATGGCTTATTACTTCCCTCCATCCTCTGCTCAAATGCCGTCTTCTAAGAGAAGACTCCAATGACCACTGTATATAAAATAACATCACAATAACCCCATTCCAGCTTGGCCTAACATCCTACATTATTCATTTTCTTTCCTGAACCATAAACATTGCCATCTATAATACCTATTCACTTGTTTATTTCCTGTCTCATACTTTTTTTATAATTTTATTGTATTCATATTCTTCTTTAAGAACTTTAAGAAACTATATATATTTAAACCTTAGTTGTTTTTAAATTTACAGAAAGTCTATCATGTTTATAATCTTTGGGAATCCATTTTTCATATAATAATTTATTATTAAGATTTATCCATACATTTCATGTTTTTATACTTTGTTCATTTTGCCTGTGGTATTATTTTGTGAATATACATCAAAGTACTTAATGCACTATTGTCTAGTTGGGATTGAGATGGTTTTCAGATTTGCCATTATGAGTAGAGCTACAATAAATACTATTGTATATGTCTTCTACTGTATTATGTATGAGAATTTTACTTGGCCATACACCTAGCATTATCCTGGGTACTTGCATGTAATGTTTTATCTATTACTCTTCTTGCATTAGGTCATGTTTCCCCTGAAAACCATTTAAGCTTCGTAGGTCCCTACATTATACATCTGGCCCAACATATCAACCTGTGCAGGGCATTTGGCGGTTGTCTTTTCACCATTTATCCCCTCTTTCCTCCATCAAGAGTACCCTACTTTTTTCTTGATAAATTCCCTTCATTCTCATTTTCAGCCATTTAGGATGGTGCCAGACCTAGGAATAGAACTGAGTGGCAGGGCCACTCAATGCACCCTATCCTCTCTATCCACAGGTATCACTGGTTCAGGGATAGCTAGGTAAGCCATTTAGAGATCTTTGCTGCAGCTTTTGGGAGGAAGGGTTTTATTTATCTTCTATGTAATTTATCAACCACATGCTCTCATCTCTTCATTTGGTAGTGAAAGATATGAGGCTTATAATCTGGGAATGAAGCAAATCCTGGGGACACAGTGTCAAGAAACAATAACAGAGAAACCAGGTCCTGGTCACATCTGGAGGATTACTATGGTCCAAATAAGCCAAATCTAAATTGAATTCTATCCTTGGAATTGCAAGCTTTTATGATCTAACAATCTCCATTTTTCTTTTTCTTTAAGCAGAGATTATGTTACTTATTTCATTTTATCCCTAATTTTATCTCAATTATTTTCTGTATATCAACCCTTTACTCAGATGTTCCCAGCCAGGTCCCTTGTTTTCAAATACTTAACTGGCATGTATTATTTTCTACCTCTGACTGGCAAATTGTCACCCACTCTTCAAATCCCAGCTTTATTCTCATGCCTTTTATGAACCCTGCCTTGATCACTCCGGAACATGACAGGACACCGTGGCATTTTTCTGCTGCTTCTTTGTGGGGTGATGTTTTGTTCTTATCATCTCTTAAAAGAGTCTTCTGTTTAATGGACATCTTCTCATGTGTTTGTCCCTTCATCCAACCTGTAAGTTTTTGAGTTCAGGGACCATGAGTTTTATTTCATTATCTCTTCCAAGACAGTAAATCTTTATTAAATAAACACACTGCATCTGTGCGTATTACATGTGGTAGCCAAATTCTCACTCCGGTTTCTCCATTTCAAGTATACAGATTCTGTTTTGAGGGGAAAACCCTGAGACCCCATCACTGCAAAAACTAAAGCAATGCACATGCCTTAACCTTTGCATATCAAGGACCTCTCTCCAGAGCATCAAACTGTATTCTCTATTTGTATATCAGTTTTATAAGTTTTTACAAGAATAAAATTCACAAGCTTATGAAAGCACACATTTTTAAAACATGGCTTAATACTTACAGACGATACAGTAAACAATTGGTTAAAAGTCTGTCATGAGTATACAGCAGAAAAACTTGGCACATCTGACAAAATGTTTACAAGCATTTATAAACAAAAAGAAAAATAAATAACTCCTAAAAACAGGATACTGATTAGAGGCATGTATAGAATGTGAGTATCAAACTATGAGTGGAATCTATTGATCTAATGTGACCCTAGGGTCACATTAGAGAAATAAAAGATTTAGAAGTTGGGGCATAAAAAAGAGGACCTATACTCAAAGCTTTGAGAGATGGCTGGTGATGCTATTGTGTTTGTTTGTCAGGAACCAGTGATGACAGCATTCCAAAAATATTTTACTGTTTTTTCTAAATTTAGCTAAATTCATTTCACAAAAATTCTACTCAGATGGTTCTGAAAAGTTAATGTAGTGATTTAGACAATTAATGTCTAAATCCTGTTCTCCAGAAAAGCATCTGAATCACTTAAAAAAAATTTGTGTTGATGTATAAGTTATAATTACCAAAGAATGTGTAATTCTCACATTTGTATTACCCTGTTCACTACAAAATTTTAAAATACTATAGCATATCTGCTATGGTATATAATATAGACAACAAATCAACAAATATTAAACAGTATTTTCTATTTAGAATGGGTTCCCTTGATTAGGTGGTAGAGAAAGTGGTGAGATTGAGGGAAAGGAGATGGGCTTTTATTTTTGCTTTTATATAGAACATTAAAAAGTCATTTTTTTCCCAGACAACTTTATTTTGTTTTCTTTCAGGAAAGATCTTTCCCATAAATATCTCATATCCCTGATCATAAACAATGACATTAAGTTCATCTCTTGCTCCATGGGGTAATAATTCCCCACTAGCTGCACAGACTTATTACCTCAGGAGTTTTTAACAGTACAGGTACTTCGGGCCCTATCCCAGCTCTATCGATCCACAATGTCCCTGAGTGGGACTGGAGTCCTTTAATTTTCCAAAGCCAGCTTACTAGGGTCATGTATCTGCCTTTGCAATCACTGGTATTACTGCTCACTGCCTGGTCACATCTGTGTCCGTTTTTCCGGGTTCTCCAAACCTCTAAAATGATGATTAATATGCAAAGAAATAATTATATCATCACATAAATCTTGTAATCATTTGTCCAGAAGGTACTACTAATGTGTTAAATGTGTTAACAATCCAAGCAATGCAGTCATATCATATAGAAATGAATCTTGAAACTGCAGCTATATCCAATAGACATGTTAGGCCTGAGTGGGATGGGTGGAAAGTGGAGTGGACCTGGGTAAGAGAGGGCCTGATCCAAAGTGATAAATCATGTATGTATTAGTCTGTTCTCACACTGCTATAAAGAACTAACAGAGACTGGGTAATTTATAAATAAAAGAAGTTTAATTGACTCACAGTTCCACAGGCTGTACAGGAGGCATGGCTGGGGAGGCCTGAAGAAACTTACACTTATGGCAGAAGGGCAAAGGGGAAGCAAGCACATCTTCGCATGGTAGCAGGAGACAGAGAGTGAAGGGGGAAGTACTACACTTTTAAACAACCAGATCTGATTACCAGTCACTCACTATCATGAGAAGAGCAAGTGGGAAATCCGCCCCCATGATCCAGTCACCTCCCAGCAGGCCCTTCCTCCAACACTGAAGATCACAATTCAGTGTGAGATTTGAGTGGGGACACAGAGCCAAACCATATCAATGTGCTGCACAGGGCTGACCCTCAGAAGACAGGAAGTTGTAATAATGATAATATCCTACCACCCTCTGTGTACTCTGACTATTTCATATGAATATTCTGATTAAAGAGGTCAAATGTGATAGGTAAAGCACAGTGGCAGGAGGGTGAACTTAAGAGCCAAGCCAACGTCCAGTCTCTCAGATAAGAAGTCCTATCAGAGGTAGGCAGGTTGTCAGGACCCTAGGCAAGCAGATTGTGCTGCAGAAAAGAGAAAGTAGGCCAAAACCCAGTGGCATAGACTGGGCATGCATTTTCCAGTTATGGGCCAAAACTGGTCACTGGATGAATAAAAGAATGTTATTATAGGCTTAAATGGCATATGTGAGATGGTAGACATAGGACAATGGATTTATTCCTCTACACCAATTTATAAGGTATGATAAGTATGAAAGCATAGCACAAAATGATTTGATAAACATGAAGGGCCCAAGACAAACTGCTGAAAAACTGTTAGTTTGAAACTGTGCAGGAACTGGGTATGCCTTAGGAACAGGAAAAAAAAAATTAACAGAATTTCATGAGACATATAAGAAAACCACATTTATATCAATTTAAAAGTAATATATCAAAGACCAGAGTGAAATCTAAAAACAGAATAATGCTGGCTAAGTTAAGGAAAGAGTTCTTTCCTGACTGAATTCATAGAGAATAGCTTCAATAACATTTATGGAAAGCTATTTAAGAAATCATTAACAGTCATTGAAAGAGTGACAAGCATGGACATTGAGAGAAAAGAATCTTACTGTAAAGTACATGCCCTTTCACAACATTTAAATTTTATAGTGTGTACAGCTATTCAAAAATTAATCACTTTTAAAACAAGAAGTGTTTCCGTTTCTCCCTTTTATTTTTTTATACATGGATAAATTGATATTCTGAAATCAGTGATCTAAAATACTTCCATCAGCCAATAGCACCTCAGCAAACAACATAGTACTAAAGAGTTGTGGGACCAATAAATTCTAGACTTTTGGTAAACACAAACACCAAAATAATATACATAAAGCTCAACAAGATTCAAAAGTATATGGCAGTCATGCTATTAGTTTGGTAACATTCACTAGAATGGGCAGGAAGAGTCACACAACCTGGTCAACTGTCTTAGTTTATTTTCTGCTGCTGTAACAGAAAACCACAGACTGGGTTCTTCATAAAGGAAAGAGATGTATTTGGCTCACAGTTCTGGAGGCAAGGAAGTCCAAGATTCAGAGTCCACATCTGGTGAGGGCCTTGAGGAAGGGATCACACAGAGACAAGGGTGAGAGAGAGTGACAGCACACTGAACAGACAGAAAAAATGGGGCTGGGCTCCTTTTTATCAGGAACTCACTATGGAAATAACAGCATTAATCTATTCATGAGAAAGGAGCCCTCAAGGCCTAATGACCTTGTGAAGGTCCTGTCTCTAACTTAATATTGCTGCAATGGCAATTAAATTTCAACATAAGTTTTGGAAAGAACATTCAAACCATAGCATCAACCATGCCATAGTTATATATTTAACACAGAATATGTTGTGATCTGTGTGACACTAAGCTAAATCAAACTATCAAAATTCAGGGGAAAAATTATTTGAAATAAATTCAGGTGTCAAATACTGTGACAGAAAGAATGCATGATGCAAATGTAAAGTTAATTGCAATTATAGTAAGTCCAATACTCAAAACAATAAAATAGAATGATATTTCAGTGGTATTCATTTTGAAGAAGATAATTACTAAGGCTTATAATGCACTTTAGAATTAACAAAGCTATTTCACAGGAAAATCTCTTCTTACATCCTATAAGTCTTTTAGTAGCATGTATTATTTATTTTTATGTTTTATGTGAGAGTAGAGATTTGCTAGAGATCTTGCAACCAGTGTTAGAGATAGGAGTTAAATTCAGGATTTATTTCAATTATGTATGATTTTTCCAGGTCACCTTTTGATGAATTAGAAATTCAATCAAACATGGCAGAACCAGTTCTTTTTGAAAATTCTAGTGCTGAATGTCTTCTGCACATTTAGGCAAGGTTAATCAGATTAATCTGAATGGGCTAGTTTCTACAGACGTAGAGACTAAAAATTTCATCTCATCTCAATGACATGTGTAACTACACCAACTTACCACTTTCTATATCTAGGTTATTCCTGGCCTTAATGTTTTTTAATTCTTTTTTATGCAGTTAACTGATAATATATCACACATAAAGAAATTGAAAAGTTCAGCTAGGATTTTAGCACAAGTATCAAACACATGCATATAAGTGGATCATCAGACTACTCCTCCCCAAAACATGAAAGTGCTTAAGTAATCTTAGGTTAAAAAAAAGCCCTGAGAAGGAGGGCAGAGCAAGACGGTGGAATAGAATCCTATACCATGTGTCTGCACTGCAAGAACACAAAATTTTAGCAACTATATGTACACAGAAAAGCACCATCACAAGAACCAAAAATGAGGTGAGGAATCACAGTACCTCTATTTTTTTTTTTTTTTTTTTTTCTGGAAACAGAGTCTTGCTCTGTCACCCAGGCTGGAGTGCAGTGGCGCGATCTCGGCTAACTGCAAGGTCCACCTCCCCAGTTCAAGCCATTCTCCTGCCTCAGCCTCCCGAGTAGCTGGGACTACAGGCGCCCGCCACCACACCTGGCTGATTTTTTGTATTTTTAGTAGAGATGGGGTTTCACCATTTTAGCCAGGATGGTCTTGATCTCCTGACCTCGTGATCCGCCCAACTCAGCCTCCCAGAGGGCTGGGATTACAGGCGTGAGCCACCATGCCCAGCCAGTACCTGGTTTTAACTTCATGTCACTGAAAGAAGCACTGAGGAGGGCTTGAATCACTGACACCACCTTTCCACCCCCCAATAGTGGCTGTGCAGTGTGGAAAGTCTGTGTACTTGGGGAAGAGAGAGCACAGTGACTGGGGAACTTTCCATTGAACTCAGTGCTGCCTTGTTATAGCGGAGAGCAAAGACATGCTTGCCTCAGCCAGCGCCCTTGCATGTAGGGAGCATTTAGACCAGACCTAGCTAGAGGGGACATGCTCATCCCAGAGGTCGGAAGGTCGGAGTTTCACGGGAAGCCTCGCCACTACAGGCCAGAGTGTTCTGGGGTGCTAGGTAAACTTGAAAGGCAGTCTAGGACACAAAGACTGGATTTCTTAGGCAAAGTCTAGTGTTGGGCTGGGCTCAGAGGCAGGGGACTAGGGTGGCATATGACTTAAGGAGACACCAGCCAGGAGCAGTTTTGGGAATGCCTGTACCACCCCTCCCCCAACCGAAGGCGTTGCAGCTCACAGCAACAAAAGTGACTCATTCCTTCTGCTTAAGAGGAGAGCAAAGAGTAAAGAGGACTTTGTCTTCCATCTTGGATAGCAGCTCAGCCACAGTAGGACAGGGCACTAAACAGAGTCGTAGGGCTCCTATTCCATGCCCTAGCTCCTGGATGAGATTTCCAGACACACCCTGGGCCAAAAGGGACTCACTGCCCTGAAGAGAAGACGACAGTCCCGGCAGGATTCATCACTGGCTGACTAAAGAGCCCTTAAACCTTGAATAACCAGGAGTAATACCCGTTTAGTATGCCATGTGCTTTGGGCTCTGAGATATGCCAACTTCAGGGTTGAACCAGCACATTCCCAGCTATGGTGGCTATGGTGAAATAGTTCCTCTGTTTGAGAAAGCAGAAGGAAAAGTAAAGGGGACATTGTCTTACACCAGATAGACAGATAAATATCAGATAGATAGCAGCTCAGCCACAGTGGGGTAGAGCAATAGGCAGGCATTTGGATCTCCAACTCCAAGCCTAGAGTCTTGGACAGCATTTCTGGACCTGTCCAGGGCAGAGGTCACACTGGCCCATGGTGAGTCTTAAACATGGCAGCATTCACCACAAGCTGAATGAAGATCCCTTAGGCTTTAAATGAACATTAGCCTGTGGCCTGGAAGAACCCTTCATGGGCTGTTGGTGGTGGTGGCCACAGGGAGAAGCTCCTCTGCCTTTAAAAAGGGAAGGGAAGAGCAGGAAGGATCTTTGTATTGTGGTTTGATGCCAGCTTAGCTTTAGTAAAACCAGAACATCAGGCTAATTTCTAAGGTTTTTGATCCCTGACTCCCAGAGAGCATCTCTAGACCCTACTAGGACCTGGGGGATCTGGCCATCTTGAAGGGAAGTCCACAAATGTCACTGGCATTGCCACTTGCTGATTGTAGATCCTTAGGGCCTTGAGTGAACATAAGTAGTAGCAGATAGTGGTTACAGCAGGCCTTGGTGAGACCCAGTGCTCTTCTGGCTTCAGATCTGACTCAGCATAAGAAAAGAAAACTTTACCATAGAATAATATAGCTGGCAAAAATATCCCTCAAGCATGAAGAAGAAATAAAGACCTTCCCAGACAAACAAAAGGTGAGAGATTTCATCAACAATACACCTGTCCTATAAGAAATGATAAAGGGAATTCTTCAATCTAAAAGAAAGGGATGTTAATAGCAATAGAAAATCATTTGAAGTTACAAAACTCATTGGTAATAGTAAGCATTCAGAAAAACACAGAATATTATAACACTGTAATTAGAATATACAACCTACTCTTAAATAGAAAGACTAATGAACCAGTAAAAAATAATAACTATAAAAACTTTTTAAGACATAGACAATACAATAAGACATAAAAAAACAAAGTTAAAAAGCAGATGAACAGAGTTAAGGTGTAGAGTTTTTATTAGTTTTAATTCCATGTTTTTGTCTGTTTATGCCATCAGTGAAAAGTTGCCATGAGTTTAAAATAATGAGTTATAAGACAGTATTTGCAAGACTCACAGTAACCTCAGATCAAAAAACATGCAATGGATACACACACACACAAAGTTAGAAATTAAAACATACCACCAGAGAAAATCACTTTAATTAAAGGGAAGTCAGGAAGGAAGAAAAGAAGGAAGAGAAGACTACAAAACAATCAGAACATAAATAACAAAATGTCAGGAGAAAGTCCTACTCATCAATAATAACATTGAATGTAAATGGACTAAACTCTCCAATAAAAAAACAGAGTGACTGTATGTATATAAAAAAAGTCACAGTAATCTGTTGCCTACAAGATATACACTTCTCCTATAAAAATACACATGGACTGAAAATAAAGGGATGATAAAAAATGTTCCATGACAATGGAAACCAAAAAAGGCCAGGAGTGGTTATACTTATATCAGAAAAAATAGATTTCAAGAAAAAAATATTTAAAAAGACAAAGGAGGCCATTATATAATGATAAAGGGATTGATCCAGCAACAGAATACAATAATTATAAATATATATCCACCCAACACTGGAACACACAGATATATAAAACAACTATGATTAGAGCCAAAGAGAGAGATAGACTTCGATACAATAATACATGGAGACTTCAATATCCCATATTCAGGATTGAACAGATCTCCCAGACAGAAACTCATCAAAGAAACATCAGACTTAATCTGCACTCTAGAGAAAAACAATAAACCTATTATATTATATTAGTCTGTTCTCACGATGCTGATAAAGACAGATCTGAGGCTAGGAAGAAAAAGAGGTTTAATAGGCTTACAGTTCCACTTGGCTAGGGAGGCCTCACAATCATAGTGCAAGGCGAAAGGCACTTCTTACATGACAGTGGCAAGAGAAAGAATGAGGGCAAAGAGAAACAGGTTTCTCCTTATCAAAGCATCAGATCTCATGAGACTTATTCAATATCATGAGAATAGTATGGGAGAAACCACCCCATGATTCAATTATCTCCCACTGGGTCCCTCCTACAACACCTGGGAATTATGGGAGTACAAGTCAAGATGAAATCTGGGTGGGGACACAGAGCCAAACCATATCATAGACATTTACATAACATTTTATCCAAAGGCTACAGAATACACATTCTTTTCTTCAGCATATGGGTCATTCTCAAGAACAGACTGTATGTTAGGGAACAAAACAAGTTCTTAAAATATTCAAAAAATTGAAATACTATTGAGAATCTTCTCTGACCACAATGAAATGAGACTGGAAATCATTAAAAAGATTAATGTTGGCAACAAAACAAAGACATAGAAATTAAACAATACACTCATGAATGACCAGTGAGTAAATAAAGAAATTAAGAAGAAAATTGAAAACTTTATTGAAACAAATGATAATGGAAACATAACATTCCGAAACCTATGGGATACAGTGAAAGCATTCCTAAGAGAAAAATTTATAGCTATAAGGTCTACATCAAAAAAGAAGAAAAACTTCAAATAAACAACCTAATGATGCCTCTTAAAGAACTAAAAATGAAAGAGCAAACTCAACTCAAAATTAGTAGAGAAAAAGGAATAATGAAGATCAGAGTATAAATAAATAAAATTAAAACAAAGAAAACAAAAAAATCAACAAAGCAAAAAATTTGTTTCTTGAAAAGATAAAATTTACAAACCTTTAGCCAGACTAATCAAGAATGAAGAGAGAAGACACAAACAGAATCAAAAATAAAAAAGGAGACATTGCAACTGATACTTCAGAAAATCAAAGGATCATTAGTGGCTACTATGTACAACTATATGCCAATAAACTGGAAAATCTAGAGAAAATGGATAAATTCCTAGACACATACAACCTACCAAGATTGAACCAGTAAGAAATCCATAACCTGAACAGACCAATAACAAGTAATGAGATCAAAGCCATAATAAAAAGTCTCCCAGTAAAGTGTGGGACCCAGTAGCTTCATTGCTGAATTCTGCCAAACATTTAAAGAAGAAATGTTACCAGTCCTACTTGAACTATTCTGAAAAATATAAAAGAGAATACTTACAATCTCATTCTATGAAGTCGGTATCACCCTGATACCAAAACCAGAAAAAGACACAACAAATGTAAAACTACTGGCCAATATATCTGATGAATATTGATGTGAAAATCCTCAACAAAATACTAGCAAACCAAATTCAACAATACATTAAAAACATCAATTATCATGACCAAGTGTGACTTACTCCAGGGACACAAAGATGGTTCAACGTGTGCAAATCAATCAGTGTGATACATCATATCAACAGAATGAAGTACAAAAAAAAAGATCATTTCAATTGATGCTGAAAAAAACATTTTATAAAATTTAACATTCCTTCATGATAAAAACCCTTAAGAAACTGGGTATAGAGGTAATATATCTCAACATAATAAAAGCCACATATGGGAGACCCACAGCTAGTATCACACAGAACAAAGAAAAAACTGAAAGCCTTTCCTCTAAGATCTGGAGCATGACAAAGATGCACACATTCACCACCATTATTCAACATAGCAATAGAAGTCCTAGCTAAAAAAATCGGACAAGAGAAAGAAATAAAGGGCATCCAAATTGGAATGAAAGATACCAAATTATCCATGTTTGTAGATTATATGATTTTATATTTAGAAAAACCTAAAGACTCCACAAGAAAAATATTAGAACTGATCAACAAATTCAGTAAAGTTACAAGATACAAAATCAACATACAAAAATCAGCATTTCTATATGCCAATACCAAACATCTGAAAAATAAATAAAAAATTATCTATTTTACAATAGCCATACATAAAGTTAAATTTCACCCAAGAAGTGAAATATCTCTACAAGGAAAACTATAAAATACTGATGAAAGAAATTGAACAGGACACAAAAAACTAGAAAGATATTCCATGCTCCATGCATTGGAAGAATCAACAATGTTAAAATGTTCATACTACCCGAAGTAATCTACAGATTCAACGCCAATTCCTATCAGAATACTAATGACATTCTTCAAAGATACAGAATAATAATAATAATTCTAAAATTTATATGGAACTACAAAAGACCCAGAACAGCCAAAGCTACTCTGATCAAAAACAATTACCAAAAACATTACCTTATTTCTGATTATACCACAGAGTTATAGTGACCAAACAGTATGGTACTAACATAAAAACAGGCACATATAGCAAAGAAACAGAATAGAGACCCCAGAAACAAATCCACACATCCAGAGTGAACTCATTTTCAACAAAGGTACCAAGGATATACACTAGGTAAGACAGTATCTTCAATAAATCTTCAATAAGTGGTACTGAGAAAACTGGATATCTATATGCTGAATGAATGAAACTAGACCCTTACCTCTCATCACATACAAAAATCCAATCAAAATGGATTAAAGACAAATCTAAGACTTCAAACTATAAAACTACTCAAAAAAATATTCGGGGAACTCTCCTGGACATTGGCTTGGGCAAAAATTTCTTGAGTAATATCCCACAAGCATAGACAACCAAAGAAAAAAGAAACAAACGGGATCACATCAACTTAAAAAGAAACAATCACTGCACTGCAAAAGAAACAATCAATAAAGTGAGGAGACAACACATAGAAGGGGAGAAAATATTTGCAAACTACCCATCTGACAAATAATTGACAACCAGAACATAAAACGAGCTCAAACAACTCTACAGGAAAAATAATAATAATCCAATTAAAATGGGCAAAATATTTAAATAGATATTTCTCAAAAGAAGCCATATCAGTGCCAAACAGGCAAATGAAAAGGTGTTCAACATCACTGATCATCAGAGAAATGCAAATCAAAATTACAGTGGAATATAATCTCTCTAGTTGAAATGGTTTTATCCAAAGGCAAGCAATAACAATTGCTGGAAAGGATGTGGAGATAAGGCAACACTGGTACACTGTTGGTGGGAATGTAAATTAGTATGACCACCATGGAGAACAGTTTGGAGGTTCCTCAACAAACTAAAAATAGAGCTACCATGTGATCCAGCAATCCCACTCTAGGTATACACCAAGAGATAGGAAATCAGCGTATCAAAGAGATATCTGCACTCCTATATTTGTTGCATCACTGTTCACAATAGCCAAGACTTGGAAGCAACCTAAGAATCCGTCAATAGATGAATGGATAAAGAAAAGGTGGTACTTATACACAACGGAGTACTATTTAATCACAAAAAATAATGACATCCTGTATTTTCTACAACATGGATGGAGCTGGAAGTCATTTTGCTAAATGAAATAAGCCAGGCATAGAAAAACAAATTCACATGTTCTAATTTGTAGTAACTAAAAATCAAAACATGATGAGTTCATCATGGAGACAGAGTGTAGAAGGATGGTTACCAGAGGCTGAAAAGGGTAGTTGGGGAAGAGTAGTGGGTAGGTGTGGATGGTTAATTGGTACAAAAAATAATTAGAAAAATGAATAAGACCTAGTATTTGACAGCACAACAGGGTGACAACAGTCAAAATAATTTAAAATTGCACATTTAAAAGAACTAAAAGAGTATAATTGGATTATTTGTAAAACAAAGGATAAATGCTTTAGGAGATGGATACCCCATTTTCCATGATGGGATTATTATGCATTGCATGACTGTATCAAAACATCTAATGTACCCCATAAATATACACACCTACTATGTACCCACAAAAAATTAAAAACCCTGAAGATGGTAATATGCTTAATTTCTAACAAGAACCTATACTTTGTGCTATTAAATCTAAACCTTAACCCAACACCTTACGTCCTCCCCCTCTCCAAATTTGAAATATTTTCTAAACATTATGAGGTTCCAAGTAGCATGAGTTCCAAAATGATTTTTCAGAAGTATCTACATTAAAGCATGTTATTTCAAGAGATGCTAAATAATTTCAAATTGTCAATAATCTATCAGATATGGTTCATATTGCTTTTTCAAAGTATTTAATGGATTGAAATGTAATGATATATTAAAATCCATAGTTAAGAATAAAAAGAGACCATAGGAAATGCAACTATATGTAATCAAACCCTTTGTTTTGCATGAGAAAGTGAACCACCAGAACTACCAAAGAGTTGCCCAGAGTCACAAAAATAACTAATGACAGGGTGAATTATTTGAACCCAGATCTTCTGAAACCTAATGCATATATTTTTTCATCACATCAGTGCAAGTTTAATTAGTTGTATTAGTAATGATCATTTGAAGCAATTTGCAAAAAGAACACAGATACAATAAAATCAAATATCATGTAAGTAGAAGAAAATATAAAGAGGGAGAAAAAAGTACATATGTATTATATAGATATATGCAAGTATACATTTAGATTTAGAGCTATACAAACTCTGAGGAAAACTATATCAAACAAGCAAAAAACTGGAAATTACATCTAGAATTTCAATTTTACAATTACTTCCTACTTACTACTGAAAACTTCCTTTTATGAAAAATATATCAATACCTCAGAAAAGACAGATATTTCTTGGTTCTGAGACCTGAAAAATCTTTATGAGTGTTTAAGAAAATTTCCCCCTCTTCATAAACAACACCTGTCTTCAACAGATTTCAAGAAATTAAGAAATTTTATTGTTGTGTGTCATAGCAATCTTCATTAAACACCCAGGGTCCAGTGTTACATCTGGGTCTATAAAGGCTATTCTATAATGTAGTAGAAATGAATAGTGGAGAATCTTCTAAAATAAACATACCCTAGATGACTTTTTTTTTTTTTCATGTAGCAGTTGGGTCTACTGGTTATTTATGGGAACTCTCAGATAATTCAGAGCTGAAAAGAAAGTTGTTTAATACTGTTTGGGGAAAGGACCAGGCAAGTAAGCAAGGATTCCACATATGATTTTGTAGGTTCAGCCCTGAAGAGAGCTGGTTGAGGATTAGTGAGGGCAGAAATCTAGCCAGTTCTCCAGTTTCCAAGATGTGCAATAGGCTAGTCAACCCAGAAGAAGAGGGTTTTTATAATTTATCTGCTCAGAGGGAGTTTCTTTTTACCTGAATTGAATAAAAACATACAAGCTGTGCCAGCAACACTCTTACATGCAAATGGCAAAGATGAAACTGTTGAGAAAATGAAAGAGCCTTGGTTTCCTTTAATTGGTGGTAGTATAAATGAGTATCTACAGGCTATACCAGTATTCTTCTCAGGAAATAGCTTTGCATCTGTTTAATTCTTAAAGCAAATCAAGTCAGTCCCAGAGATGTATACTGGAAAGCAGAGAAATAATGGCCTTGAGCTGAAGGATTGTGATCACGGAAATTATCAACGTAAAAGTCGACATGGGCTCCTGGTTAGTATGAGCAAGACTGCACCCCAAAAAGCCAACTGGATAAATTAAATTACAGATTATACAGACCTCCAGATAGTCAATGGTTTTGTAAATTGCTTAATGTTTTCATCTGGATAGCATGGTACAAAAAAAAAAAAAAAAAAACAATGAAATTGACCCTGGTAGAAATGGCACTAAAAGCTCACTGGTAATTGGAGAATAGGCGAGTTGTTTACTGAAGTTTCTCTTTGGACTTCAAAACATGCTTTCTGTATGTTTTGGAGTAGGAAAAAAAAAAGGAGAGTTGAGATAGTTCTATTCTATGCCATTTAAATTGCAAATTTTCCATTTCAGCATTCTCTGAATCTCAGTATGGTACAGGTGAAAAGTTTGATGTTTATAATCAAAGAATATGACTTAGCTGACATACAACTTCTGTCCATGGAAATAAAGTCTTTTTTAATCAATTTTTCAAGATGAAAACATAAAGGTGACAATGGTTAGGACTGTCTTTCATCAACTAAAACAAAAACCTTACTGTGCCTTATGGGAAATTTTTTTTTTTTTTTAGAAACTCAAACATAAAAAAAAAAAAAACCTTTCTAGGTTATTTAGAAGATTGTGTCTACAATTTGGAAAAACCAGGAACTTACCCATTTTATAGATAGGCCTTATTGTGGACTAAATGTTTGTGTCCTGCCAAAATTCATATGTTGAAGCCCTAACCCCAAAGTGATAGCATTTGGAAGTGGGATCTTTGGGAAGTAATTAGGTTTAGATGAAGTCATGTGATACGGCCCCCTCCTTCCATGATGGGATGAGTGTTCTTGAAGAAGAGAGATCAGATCTCTCTCTCTCTCTCTCTATCTCTCCCACACACACACCCCACCCCACCACCATGTGAGAATACAGCAAGAAGACTTTCCTCTGTAAGCCAGGAAGCAGATGCTCACTCAGAACCAAACTGGCCAGCACCTTGACTTGGAACTTTCTTGCTCCAGAGCAGAGAAATAAATTCCCATTGCTTAAGCCACACGGTTTATATTATTTTGTCGTGGCAGCCTAAGCTGACAGGTCCAAAACAATGTTATTCAAAACTGACTTATTTTTAACAGTGCTCGATTCTTTTCAAATAAATCTTATATGACACCTATGGGATGAAAGAGCTTGTTAGAATATGAAAAATTTGGAGCAGAGAAAATGTTCTGAATGAGAAAATCAACTCTGCCTTCCCATGAATAAGAATATAGCCTTGTGAATGCTGAATTTGCTCAGTAAATTAATAAATAAATAAACACTAGATATTTAAAAGTTTCTCTTGAAAGAATGTATAGAGATTATTAACATAAATCCTCTCAAATTGGCAATATAAACTTGCATAATAATAAAGGAGCAGTGACCTAGCAAGCATTTGGCTTCATCCTCAATGCTAGTACCATGCTCCCCAAATGGAGAGTGTCTCTCTCATGCCTTCCCCTTACTGGAATGTGGAGACACAGAAAGATATGCTGTAGCTGCTTCTGCTGTGTTTAGGTATCTTTCTTGTGTTCAAGAAAATTCTTAAGAAATTATGAGAGGTGTTTCTGGTATGTTCCTTCCTTCGAATCCCAACCTAACTTGCAATGCTTCAGATTATTGTCCTATTAAACTGGGGACAGTAGAGCTACTCTGGCTAATGTAAGCTGGGAAGGCTGGAATCTAGGCTGTTGTGAGACTTACATGAAATACTATATGCAAAATAACTAACGTAAGATCTGAAACATAGTCCCTAGTCACAAATGCTAGTTCTCTTATTTACATCTGACCAGCCTTGTCCCCATTCAGGCAATAGAATTGCCTCTCAGATTGAATCCAAGTTGCAATTTCAATTTTATTGTTACCTTTTCTTCCTATCCCTGAATTCCTGTATTACTATTCCATTGTCTCATACCTTCATTAAATATTAACAAAACAATCCTTAAAGTCCTTTAATACCTAGTTTTGTTTAAAAAATGTTTGCCCATTCTACAGTTACATAACTAAATTTTTAAAATATTAGTTTAGTATTTTAAATCCTCTGTTAAATGTGTTCATGATTTCTGCCCACCATTTCAGATGGTAATCTTGTAAATGATCTTGTAAATGTGACAAGCAAATAAATACTATATATTTATGGACACCCCCGTAAAAGAAAGCACAGAGTATATTGGCAAATATCCTCCCAAGGTGAGTTTGCAAGGAGAACCTACAAAATCTTAGATGACAGTCCTGCCTACGCATCTGGTTCTTTCCACACAAGCATTAAACAAACTTGATTTTAAAAATTTGATTCTAAATTTCAGTATGTTTACTATTCTTTCATGATTGTGTATTATCTGTGAATTTAGTTAGTATTCATTCCATGGATTTAACTAATTTTAAAAAATGTTAAAAAGGGACAAAACAAAACAGAATTTACTGCAGCATGATTAGAGAAGGTGTTGGCAGTTAGACTTAAGTAGAATATTTACTGAATTCCTACTGTATGACTTGCTAGAAAATTTCCTATATCCAATCTCATTCAATGACTACTATTAGTTGATATAATCTGAGTATGTTTTTTTCCATTGGTAATAATATACCAAGTTGTAATGTCGTTGAGGTTATTATTTCAAGCATGATAATTGATTGTGGTGTAGAGAACTAGAAAAAATTCAACACACAATCAGAATTGCGGAATGAAAGACGGTTATTATGTCTGTATGTGTTAGTAACATATTACATATTGCTTTGAAACATAATAAGAGATTACCAACTTTTGAAAATGATTCACTCATTGCTGTGAGTTTGGCTTTAAAATCTCTCTGCAAGAATGTGAAGAAAGAAAAGATTATAATGATCTAATGATCTTACAAATACCTTGTGAAGACAATGGAGTATATTTACCTTGAAAATAAAGATATTCAGATTGAAAATTATTTTTTAAACAAGAGAAAGTACTTCCACAACAAAATCAAGAAGCTGCCAAAATTCAGGCCTGCATGCATCATTATTTGGAAAGATTATGTGTTTGATAAACTGTGGACAATAATCCAAAACAATCCTTCTTCCTGGGTTTGAGAACAGTCCTTCCTATGTAACATGAGACCCTTTGTAAAATGCCTCACTAATATCAAGTTATGGCGCAGACTAGTCCTTAATTTATTTTTTAGTAGTCCTACCAAACATTAAATGAATGTGATGAGATTAGTTCTTAGGGAATCTACAATATACTCTGGTCATCACTGCTTTTTTTTTATATCCTCAAACCATGGTTTAATAAATCCATGTAGAATTTTGCAAGAATACTAACCTTTATATACCTTTCATTATATTTTATTTTTCACTAAAGGGAAGAAAATGATTTAAAGGGAAGTAGTCTGAGTTCGGAGTTATGTGGTCCATTCTCTGAACTATGTCATCCAGAGGGTTGAAAATATTTAGTGAAGATCATATAACTGGTTAGTTGCAGAGGTAAGCTCAGACCTCAGGTCTCCCCATTTGAATTCTAATCTTTCACTATCAACATGCAGGGAATGACTTTCAAAGTCAATAGGAAATGTGTGCCAAATAACTTCAGGTATGACACATTATTGAAACAAAAACAACAGTCATGATGTTCTCAAAGATTTCATCGGCAAAATTTTCATTACCGTAAGATACAATTTGCATAAGCTTAGAAAATTGCAGGAAAAAATGCATGTGGTTCATTTCCACAAGGATGCTCCACAACCAAAAAATATGGTTTAGTTTATATATGAAAAATACTAGTTTTTGATTGACAAGAATGTTCTAAAACTGTTTTTGGCTAAAAACAAACAACTACGTCAGTTTTTTCAGAACAAGCTAGAAATAATCTATATATAATCAGAAAATATATTCTTATTTGCAAGTTTATCTTAAAATGATATAAATGGGATAAATTCTAAATAGTAAAAATGATAAATATTGTGTTTCAGTAACTGCCTTACAATTTCCATCTGACTTTGTCCAAAATAATATGTACACCTTATTGTTTTGACTCCATTTATAGTTACTCTATTTTATAGGTCATATTTATGATAATCCCAGCAAACGTCAATAAGAATCAAGCACCTAGTTCCCAGTGCAATCACTGGAGGCAATATAATGAGCCTGAAAAAAGAAATACCTCCCAATGACAACAATGTCTTTTTAACCGTGTCAATAAAAAGAGCCATGGGAGGTTTTGAAAAATATAAATTGAATCTTGACTCAGTATGAACTTCAGAGGTTCACATGATCTTCTGAAAATGGTTCACTCATTGTATAGCCTGCCACTACTATGAAAGATACATGTCACTTTTATATGTCCTCAAATGTCATAGAGGATTGTGAATTGGGATCTGAGAGGATGTCTAACACTCACTTCTATTTATGGCTCCTTCAGCAAGAAAGTTATTTTCTGGTCCTAAATGAGAAAGTAAGTCCATGAGATGCTCTGTATATCCTGAGCTGAATTCTTGGTGAAAATATTCATCCATGAACTCAAATAGTGGCTATTTATTAAATGTAGAAGACATGATGCTAGCATAGCAAGAGACCCTGTTCTACCAAGTCAGAGAACCTACTAGTATCTTCTCTCTAGTGAGCCAAGCAACCCTTCCAGTGCAACCGAGGTCTTTCTCCACACCCCTGCATTGACATTAGTTCCACATCAACAGCAGTTTCTCTTCAGCATGTTCATCATATCCTACATTTATATACATGCACAGGTCTTAACCACTGATCAAAACAATCATTGGTAGTTCGTAGAAAACATTGCATTTAACACACAGTGATATTTGCTAAAGCTTAACTTTAAGTTTGACTTATTTCCAGTATACAAAAGAAACTACCATGCATTCATCATACATTGATTATATGCCAGGCCCTATGCTAAGAGAACAACAACTTGATGAGGCAGTTCTTATTATCCACATTTAATAGACGATGAAGCGGCAAGTGAAATGATATAACCGGCTAACGGTCTCACAACCAGTTAGCGAAAGAGCCGGCATTTTAACTTAAGCTCATCTGACTATAAAAGTCAAATTTTCATTTGTCTTTTAAAAGAAGAAACATGGATGAACCTGGTAGATATTATGCTAAGAGAAATAAGCCAGACTCAGGAAGACAAATACAGCATGATCTTATTTATATACAGAATTTTAAAAAGTAGAACTCACAGAAATATAGAGTAGAAGATTTCCAAGGATGACAGGGAAATGAAGACATGTTGTTCAAAGGGTGCATAAGTTCTGGAACCCTAATGCACAGCACAGTAACTATAGTTACAGATAATAACGTATTATACAGTTGAAATTTTTAAGAGAGTAGATTTTCCATATTCTCATCACACACACACAAAGTTAACTATGTGAAGTTATACATATGTTAATTAGCTTGATTGTATGAATCACTTCACAATGTCTACATGTATCAGAACGTCACATTGTATACTTTGAATATATACAATTTTTTGTCAGGTATACTTAGTAAACTTGAGTAAACAAAAAGGAGAAACGGTATTGAGAGCTGGTAAAGAGGAATGAAAATACTGAAATAATCAGGCATCTGCCAATTTCTGTCCTTCCCTGCTTTAGGCACACTGAATTTTAAAATTCATGTTAACAATGAGAAAGGAAGGAATGAGGGTTAAGAAAAACACAAAATAATGGTGGAAATGGCTATGTTGAAGGTATTATGCTGAGCACTTACACAAATATTAATTAATCCTCTTAGTGTTGTTTCTATTTTCCAGTGGGGAAGTCACTCCATAACAGCACCAGGATTCAAATCCAGGCCTGACTCAGAGATGATGCATTTTTCAAACACCCTTTTACTGCATGCGTTGAAGTCCACTCATTTCTGTCGGTCTTAATCAACACAAGAGGCAATGGAAATGTTCTTCCTCTCATCAGAGTGGAATAGGAGTGTAGCTGCTCTCTAAAACTTTATTTCATCTTCAGTTATTCACCACTGAACTCAGGAATGCCCTACACCCTGTGCCTGTAAAATTAACATAACCCACACTTTGTCACTTACTTCTTTGGGCTTTTCCATATTTGTTACAGTCAAGTAATTTCTATTCTACTCAATTTTTTTGAAAAACTAAGACAAGCTATTCAAACCCAACATGCACATCCATTATTTCTCAAAAAATGTTGGGATGTCTCGAACTTCATATTTAGAGTGGTTATTAAGCAGGAATACAGGACTATTTGCTTGAAGATGCTTTTCTAGTAATAATGACAAATAAATGCTATGGGACTTCCTGTGCAATATCTCATTTTTCTAATAACATTTTTATGAATCACATTTTCTCTGTTTAGCATATACTAATCTCCTCTTGTCATTCAGTTAATTTTGATACATTCTCCAATTTCTTCTAGGAAAGTTTTGATCTGATTTTCCTGAGTAGGCCACATCCCCTTAGTCATCCTTTACCATGTTTATGAGAGTTACAACTGTACATTTCTGTGAGGAATTATAAAATTTTAGTACCTCAGGATAAAACATAAACTCCAGAAAGTCAGAGACTTGACTACTTTTACTCTGCATTGTATCCCTAGGTGTCTGGCAATGTTTCTGTGGATAGTACGTGTTCCAAAAGCATTTGTTAAATTAATTAATTTTCAAATTAATCACCTAAAGTCAAGGTAAAACAAATATGTACCCATAAAATATAATAAGCTTACGAGATTTGAATTTTACTGTAATTGTTAGTGTCCCACCCTATCTACTTTAGCCAAGACATGTTTAGCTCCTAAATTATAAGATGTTCTGAAGGAAAGAAAGGAGGCCTGCCTGAGTCCTGCAGACAATGAAAAAATAGTGGAAATGTTTCTGTAAATAGAAAGACCAGAGATAAAGAAGGGTCTTACAACCCAGTCTGAGATTTTAGTTGATGGAACAGACCACAGAGAGCCACTTCCAATTCTTAATAATGGAAGGACACATTGGAATTTGTGTTTTGAAAAGGTTATTCTAACAAGTGTCTCTTTTAAAGAATAAAGGAGCCTGGGCCCTGGGTGTGGTGGCTCACAACGATATTTTCAGCACTTTGAGAGGTCAAGGCTTGTGCCCAGGAGTTTAAGACCATGGCGATATGCCATCTCTACAAAATAAAAACAAAAAAATTAGCTGGGTGAAGTGACACACACACATACACCCAGCTACTTGGGAGACTGAGGCAGGAGGATCACTTGAACCCAGGAAGTAGAGGCTGCAGGGAGCAGTATTCACCCCATCACACTACAGCCTGGAGGAGCCTCTCTCAATCAATCAATCAATAAAAGAGAAACATGCAAGTTTAGGCAACTTGGAGGTATGAGGAAAACAGGTCAATATGCTCTTTTAGAATGGCAACTTGGCTTTATAATAGGAAACGAAGTCAAATGGATATATGAGTGTGCATGTGTGTGTGTGTGTGTGTACATGCATGAAAAGACAGTAAGAGGCGACAGTTTATTTTCAGCATGTCTCAATGTTTTCAGCACTCAGGTATCAGTGCGTTTAAACTCAGTTCGATGCATCAAAATCAAATTTGTGGAATCATACTAAAAACAGATAGGATGGCAGTCACGCAGTGGTGTATATCACTGTCTGTTCCCTGATTCCTTAGTCACCTCTTGGCCAATAGCAAGTCAGACGCCTTCACAATGATACATTACAATCAATCCATGAAAAGAACATGTCAAGCCCTAATTTATTTCCAGTTCTACTGATAAAAGATAGTTCCAGGACAACAAAAGAACAAGCACAAAACTTGAGGGCTAATAGTAACATCTGACCCTTAAAACTGAAGTTACTCTGTCATCCAGAAAGAACACAAACAGCCTAAAATAACTGAGTTGTTATTTTTCTAGACACTTCCCAATTTATCTTTATAACAACCCTGATTCAACTAAAGTGAAAAAGTTACGCTTAGCCAGTAGTGAAAAGTGCACACTATTTTTCAATATTTTTCTTTTGATTATTGATTGTTCTAAAAATTTGCTCAAAGAACTGTAACTAAAGGCTAGCTGAGCTTTAAGGAGAGACTTGTATAAGTGTAGCAATAATGTAAAAATGCTGAATAGAAAACATTGACATATCTACCTCCAAAAAATAATGTCTGCATGTGCTCAGGTAAGCAAGCATTGCTGAGTATCAAGAAAGTGAATATATTTACAGTTGGTTACTGAGAAGTAGGTACAGTTTAGGAAACAAAGTAAATGGTTATGTAAATCATGTCTGATCTATCTACAGTATTTGAAAATAGGGCCATACATTTTTGTGTTTTTTTCTAAAATCAAGGTTCTTTACTTGAAAAACACTTTCTACTGTCCTCAGTATCTCTTTAGACTTAGCACTGTCATTGCCAGCAAACAGAGGCTGAGGAAACTCATCCTAAATCTATAATTTATCATAGTTATTCATCATAAAGTTTGGTATTTTTATTCTCATTATCTGGCTTTTTTTTCATATTGCTAAAGTAAACTTCTATGAAAATTGAATAACATGTCTCATCTACTGCCTGTATGGGTGCATTCTTTTTATAAAAATTGGTAAAGTCATTGGGCATTTTAATCAATTTCTGAAGAAATAAGTATATATTATATCCATATAGACTCAGAGATCTTCACACTCCTTTGAATGTTTACAAGTCTCACAGTATGAAAGGACTTGCTGTAGAAATTTTTAAGTATTTTCAAATAAGTAAGTACTTTGCTCACTTCAGTGACTGACATTCTGTTCTTTTAACATCCTGTGGCAGATAACAAAACACAACCTTGTTGTTATCAATATGTTCTTACAGATAATGCCAAAAGATAGTAGCTACTACTGTAAAAAAAAAAAATGAAAATGCATCGAAATGAGGATAATTTGCCTTCCAAGGGCAGAAACACATATAAAAGTAAACAGAGGCTCTAAGTTTAGAGAGACTCAGCCAACCTTCTTAAGTAGGCCATGAGTGTATGGGATTCGGTGAAGTATCCTTGTTTCCTGTCTCACTTGGAAACCAAGATTATATACCAAGAATTTACATATTGCCACCCACCCATTTTTAAAGTACTTTCTCAGGAATAAAGGATTTAAGACTCTAGGAGTATTTTGCCAGCCTTGGAAATGGATAATGGTTTGGGCTCTTTAGAATTCATCAAGGCCTGCTTGAGGTAGGAGATAGGCCTCACTTTTTTTCTGGTTCTGAGCATGCTAATTGGAGTAGGATCTGGTCAATGAGTAAGCCAGGTAAAGCCTGGAGATGGTGACAAAAGGAATCTCTAGTTGCCCTAACTGCTCATTAACATGAAGACACTCCCACTTCCCTCCAGCACCATGACAATTTACAAATGCCATGGCAATGCACCATAGCAACATCTCAAAACTTACCTTTTATACTTCCAGCAACTCCCCATCTCTTTTCTAGAAAGTTCTAAATGACCTTCTCTTAATTGGCATGTAACTAAGAGTGAGTATCGATATAACTAGCCGATAGCCCATATACTGCCACTCTGGAGACACGGCCTATGGGTTAGTGCTGCTAGGCAAGGAGAAACATCTCTACTGAACACTTAATAACATTGCTTTCTTTTACCAGTGGGCCACCCTTGAGGTCTTTTCTGGGTGAAGCCAAGAACCCTTCCAGGCTAAGTCCCAGTTTGGGGGCTTGACTGCCCTGCATCACTTCCATTGAGATGACTGAATTTCCATGTTCACTCTCAATTCTCCTAAGAACTGAAAAAAAAATCTCTAGCTGAATCCTTGTTCATCTTCACACTGTGTGCTTTTACTTCAGCAGATTAAGCAGTGTTAGTTGACAAATCATGATACCTGTCTCCTCAAGTTAAACACTGACATGCAGGGATGATTTCAAACTATATAGCAATCAATTGACCAAATCAGCCATTCAGAAACAACCTGGGCCTGAGCACAGGGCCATGCTGTTGCTGGTTCCTGCTAATAACAGGCAATCAAGAATCTTCTAGTTTTTAATGATGGAAGACCTGTTGAGGTACTGGGGAGAGACTTTGAGTGGTAGGGAGGGAGCACTATGGAGCAACAACTGATTTTGATTTATAAAAATTTGCAGTATTTTCATAATCCACCAGGTACATCATTACCATTGTGTATTGAATGAATATTAACCATGCTTATGTATATAACCATTCCCACTGTATTCTAAGAAGTGTGGTGATGTAATTATCAGCAGATTGTGAGTAGATCTTTGTTACACTAAATATGGATATAGAGCAACATGATACTTAAGAGCATGGGCTCTGCCACTAACGTTGCAACACTGTTATTAACTCCAGCTTCCTTACTAGTAAAATGAAAGTGATAAAAATACCCTTATGCCAATGGTCTCAGAATTAATAATGTATGAAAATCACTTTTCATCGTGAGAACTCAACAAATGCTGGTCCATGTCGACCTTAATAGTAGAAGGCCATACCATCACCTAACCATGCTATCAAAATCAATACAAAATAGAGCCTCTGGGTATATTTTAAATTACTTAATAAGAAATTGGCAAGAACTCATCCTACTTTTCAAGCTGTTGAGGAATGACATATTCCTTCAATTTAAGTTTGGGAATTAGGAATCAAATGTGTTTTAAAGAAAGTATTTTTAAAAAAAGATCAAATCTAAGGCTACCCAAATTTTTAAAATTTTATTTGTGATGATACAAATGATTCACTAAGAGCAGTGTAATATGGTATTAATATTCAATAATTCATTAGCAAAATATATGGTTTTAGGATATTTCTCCACAGATATCTATAAAATTATAAAATACACCATGCAACATTTTCAAAAGAATTTAATTCATAAAGCACTAAATACCTTATTTAGTGCTTATTTTATATATGTTTAATAATTTTTATCAGTAAATGTAAGCCCTATTCACATGAAGAATAAAAAGTATAAGGTGAGCTTTTTCAGACTTCTTTGTGACATTATAAAAGCCACCACCATACATGAGTTTTCAACTGTAAAATTATAAGATATGAAAGCTGAAACTTTACTGATGAACTTGACATTATGTAGAGAACACTGATTTATTTCAAATAAAGTGTCTAGTAATAATATAAATCAAATGGACAGAATCCAATCTATAATGTCACGTATAATTATTATCTAACGAAATCTAATTTTATTTGCCAGAAAAACACTAAAACATTTGGAAGAGACAAGGATGCTTATGGACACAGCTCTGTGCATGTGAATAAGCACGAAAAAAATGCCATCTGTAGGCAATTAAAAAGAAGAAAAAATGTGATGTTCAAATTTAGATTCCTAAATAGCATATCTCTGTCTCTTCTCTCCTACCTCTGTGCTCAGTCTTGTCTTCTTGGAGACACTACTATTTCCCAGTGTACTGATGACTTGGGCTACAAGGAAATCTCAAATCATCAGCAAACAATAAATATACAGTGGTTTTGGAATGTTTCTTAAGATTAAGCTGAGAAAATCACTTGTGAGATATTTCAGATTTCTGATCTGTATGTGGGAAAATCATATTCAAGTACCAAGAATACTGCCATCTAAATTTTTCAAAAGAGTACTGAACAAGAAGTCAACCCTTGGCCAGGTGTGGTGGCTGACACCTGTAATCCCAGTATTTTGGAAAGCTGAGCTTGAGGCCTCCTAGTCTCAAAACCAGCCTGGGCAACATAGTGAGACCCTATCTCTACAAAAATAAGTCAACCCATTGGTAAATCACGAATGACTTTATGAATGTGAGTGTGATTACTTTTTTCAAGAAATAAAATAAAAATATACAGAACAGAATTTAAAAATGTCATATAGAATAAAATAGAAAACACAATTGTATTATATATATTATTGTATAAAGTTTTGGTTTTAGTGTCATATACATAAATAGCTGTACATATACACACATGCATACACATACATGTGTGTGCATATACTAGGTTTTGATGAGAAAGGCATTGCTTAATGTTGGAATGAGCAAAAATGTTTGAAGTCTACTGAAATAGAACAGAAATTACAGACTAGCATACAAAGGATGGGTTCCGGCATACTGAATATTTAATTTAGTCCACAGAGTGAATTTCTTTAAATAAAATTATGTGCTAACATTTGAAGATTGTGAGAGTTCACATAAATAGCCTTTTGTGTAGCATCCTTTGAAAGGTCAGAAGATCTGGCATTCCTCTGGGCTACAGTCCCTAGCAGCTGAGTAATAACTGCACCATTAGAAAGAGCATGGATTCTCTGGGTCATCAGGGCCCTGTGTTTTCCTTTTTCACTCAGTTCTGTACCTAGCAGACAACTTCAAGCATTTGTATTTGTCACTTTTGGTTTAGACCTCTGCTCCCATGATGATCGCACAGACCAAGGGGTTATTACAGAAATCCATGATTTAGCCTAGATTATCTCCACAGCCAGACAAACACTGAATAACAACTCTTCATGATTAAAAAACAAAGAATTACCAAATCATCCATCTGTAAAGCCAACACACTCCTTAGAGGTTTTTAGTCTAAACTTTTCATTTCACAGATGAGGCAACTGAGACTCAAAGAGGACAAGTAAAATACCAGAGATCACAGAGTTAGTGTAATAGCTCCATGATGAGAAGTAAGTTCTCCTCACTCCCATCCTAATGTCATTTGAATTATGCATAACTGCCCTTAGTTACATAATTTTCAGAAATAAAAGGCAGTAAAATCATTGCTGAGGCATAACAAAGCCAATGTAATGTGGTTATGTGTAAATGATCTATCAGTAATATGGACATTTCTGATAGAAATAAAATATTAGCAATCATTATTCTGTTCTTTCCGACATCATATTTTGTTCACATCAGTTTCCTTATTTAGCTACAATTTCCAAGTGTATGTTCAATTGAAGGACTATATACTGGTATAGATTAATTACTACATAATGTATATTCTTAAGTATGAACAATCCAGTTACACTGCAATATCTAGAAATAAGTGACTGATTTCTAAGTGACTAAAATGAGAAGTGTTTCCATAATATAATTTGACATAATGGTCCCCAGATAAAAGTCAACACCAGGCTCATAAAATTACTGCATCAGTTAAGGAAGAAAATAACCCCACGATATGCTCACCAAATGCCACACTCTTGCATCTACATATAATTCTTAAACACCTATTAAGTAGTTTTAAGCAAGTTTTCATCCGTTTTTGACGTATTTTACAAAAATTTCCCAAGCAAGTATTTTACAATATAGGAAAAGCTCAACCGTTTTCTTAAGAGTTTGATAATTACAAGTTGAATCTCTGCATCTGAAAGGTAAGGGGACTATATTTCAGCCTATGGATTTATAATAAAAACAAGTCATGCCATACATATTACAATCAGATGAATTATTTAAAAGGACAGAAATGTAATAATCCTCAGTAAAGGCTCTATTCTTACCTATTCTAAAACTTAGAATCTTCAAAAGTCATCAAATAGTTTCCTAATAGTTAAAAACACAGCAATAAAACCACACATTGAATAATCACTCGTTAATGACTGTATTATTTCTATTCTTGATTCTTTAAAGAATGACTGCTAATAATATAAACACTATCTTAGGTGTCGTCACAAGAGAGACAAATAAATGTGAATAAGCAAAAACTTATCCACCTTCAAAGAACATTTTCAGTACCAGCTACACAATACTGCAAGGGGATGACACTGCCTTCAAAATACATACTTATGTAATTATAAGATATACCATCCTGGTTCTTCTCATTACTGACATAGACCATGACACCTTGGATCCATCAATCTTTTGGTTAATCTCTATCTCA
The DNA here is from genome assembly GCF_000001405.40 of Homo sapiens. NCBI lineage: Eukaryota > Metazoa > Chordata > Mammalia > Primates > Hominidae > Homo > Homo sapiens. The sequence continues at coordinate 120,542,620 of NC_000005.10, read as the reverse complement.
TTTTTTGTCTGTTTTTGTTTTTATGTTGAAAAGATGGAGATTAAATGAGAGGTGGTATCTTGGTTTGGGTCCTGAAATAGAAGAACATTAATGGAAAAACTGGTAAATTCCAAATAGAGTTTGGAGTTTTGTTAATATTAATTTATCCATGTTAATGTCTTAATTTCTGACAAGTGTATCATGTAACGAAAATGTTAATAGTGATAGAGGGTGAAGAGTATATAGGTACTCCCTGTACTATCTTTGCAACTTTTTTATAAATCTAAAATCATTCCAAAATAGAAGGAATATTTAAAAATACTGAGAAACCATTAATAAAGATGAGAATGCCATACGAGTTAGAAGTAAAAACAGAAGTTATATATTTATCTTGAAGAAAATATTTATTTACTTTTTCAAAAAGCTACTCCAGCATAAGTATCACCACTCAAAACCTTGCAACAAGCTGACTCGAGGCACTAACAAGGCCCAAAAGTTGCTGCAAAAATTGAATTACAGTGCCCCTGAGAAATATAACACACACACAAAAATAGTTTCAGCTAATAAAGTGGTATCCCTTTCCGAGGTTCTTTGTAACACCTAGAGGAAAAGAAATGTCAATCATTTGGTTTCAACAAGGGAGTATCAAGAAGCTATATTGCTTATTTTTAATCTGTGGCTAAAATGAGTGCTCAAAACTGTAATTAAAAAAAAAAAGAGGAAAGGAAGGGGGTAAATTCTGCCTGATAACTCAAAAATGATCAAGAGAATAGGAAGTGGCAAAGATATCCTGGAGGAAATGTCTTTTTGGTTGATGAAAATATCTATTCCACAAAGCCTATTTAAGCCCTGAAAGTTGTATGACCCCAGTTATACTGGCAGGAACACTCCCATATCTAGAGCCACAATTCTTTCCAAAGACTAACTTTCATTATAAAAAAAGAAGGCAGAAATGAAAGTATAAAACTCTAAATATTAGGAAACAGATATATTTTTAAATGCCCTTGAGCAATCATTTTAAAGCCCGAATCTGCTGTAGCTGAATATATTATTTAATTGCTTGTCATTAGTTCTTGAAAGTAGAATGCACAGTTTAATGTCCATACTGGTCTAGACGTAACAAAATCACACCTTGTGACGAGAAATGACACAGAGTTGGGAAGCAAAAACATTCAGGCTTTTAAAAAACAGTCATTGGCTGGGCACAGTGGCTCACGCCTGTAATCCTAGCACTTTGAGAGGCTGAGGTGGGCAGATCAGCTGAGGTCAGGAGTTTGAGACCAGCCTGGCCAACATAGTGAAACCACATCTCAACTAAAAATACAAAAATTAGCTGGGCATGGTGGCATGTGCCTGTAATCCCAGCTACTCAGGAGGCTGAGGCAGGAGAATCACTTGAACCTGGAGGCAGAGGTTGCAGTGAGCCGAGATTGCGCTACTGCTCTCCAACCTGGATGACAGACTGAGACTCCATCTCCAAAAAAAACAAGAAACAAAAATAAACAACAACAACGAAACAGTCATTTATTGTTATATATCTAGTCTGTATTACCTCTGTCCTGCCTCAAATACTAAAGCAATCAATTATAAGACCTCTAAAGAATCTCTTTATAAAATACATGTATGTGTGTATGTGTACGTCTAAATGCATTTGTTGCATATCCCCATGCTCATGGCACTGTTCCAGGTGCCTAAACAGAGCTTACATTCTGTCAGGGTGGGCTGAAAATGAAGTTCCAATCACAAAATTAATAATTTAATTACAGTTGTGATATGACACGTTAGAAAGTAGCAGTATATAATATTAAGAGCAAAAAGAGAGTGTTGATCTATTCTGTGGTCACTAGGAGGCTGAGTTCTTATAACCCATTTATTCCTGAGGTTGCAATTTTTGGAATTTTTGCAATCAGACCTTGGTGATGACCTTGAGCAGTAGGATATAAATAACTCCCAGATGCTTAGCGTTCCAATAATGGAACACTAGGCATAAATAAATTGTCTTGAAGGATGGGAAAGAGTTGGTCAGGACAGACCAAAGGAGAGAGGAAGGTGGAGGGCAATACCACATATCTAAAGTCCAGGACAGGAAGGGACATCATATTTTCAAGGGACAGTATACAAGGCTACGTGACCAAAATACTAACTGCCTAGGGGCACATGGTACAAAATGAACCTGGTTAAGAGAGGCCCGGCCAGGGCACATAGGGCCTTATAAGGACTTGAGAAAGAAATCTGGATGGTGTCCTAAAAACCTCAGATTTTCTGATTAAAGCAAGACCAAGCCCGAAAATCATGTTAAGGAGGAAAGAGACATTTCTAGATTTGAATTCAAAAACATACAATCTAGCTGCTGTGTGCAAACAGATAAGAGGTTCCTCAGGGGCCTCTGCAATTGCCCTGCTGAGAATTTGTGTCCTGGCCTGAAGGGAGGCTCTCCAAGAACAAAAAAATGGAATGTGTAAATGTGCTTGGCTCAATTTAAAAAATAAATAAATAAAATAAAACAAAACACTGTTACTGCTGTCTTTTCTTCTAATGAACCATCAAAATAAGAAGCCCTGTTAGGTTCACCAAAAGTAAACTGGTTTCAAAATAAACTCAAAACGTGGCAAGCTCTACCCAGGTATGAGCCTCTGGAAAGGCAGCTGTACTCTCAGGCTTTAAAAGTGCCAGGCATGAATTTCAACCAAAAAGGGATTTTGAAACAGCAAGAACCTATAATATAAAACACAATAGACTCTAAAAATGACTCGGTCATCTCTACCATTACACATGTTAACTACTCATCCAAAAAAAAGAAAAAAAAACCTAATATTCATACAGTGTTTTTCACAACATCCAATTACATTATACACAACTGATAATTTAAATACTCATTAACCAATGAATAATACAAGAATCTCATGACTCAAAATGCTCTTCCTACACCCTTTTTTACTGACACAGATAGCATTGTTTTTTTTTCTTTTCAAGTTCTATTTCAGGTTCAAGGGGCACATGTGCAGGTTTGTTACATGGGTAAATTGCATGTCTCAGGGGTTTGGTATGCAGATAATTTTGTCACCTGGTAATCAGTATAATACCCGATAGGTTGTTTTCCATTATTCACCCTCTTCCCATCCATAGCAAAATTTTTCCTGAAGATAACATATAAATCCACTAAAGTATTAGATGGCTATTCAATAATTATTTAGTAGTAATTTAAATAAATTTCAGAATAAAATCTATATTAAAATCCTTTGGAATATCTATGGGCATTACTTCTTGGCTTTGGTTTCTTTGTTGTTATTATTTTAAATATTTGATATTAATTTAAAATATTTTTAATCTTCCAGGGAAAATATTATTAGAAAATAATATTTAGAAAATATTTAGAAAAAATATTATTTTCTAATATTATTAGAAAATAATATTTACTGTTTCTTTGTTTTGCCAATACTATGATTTTAAAAACCTAGCATTCTTCAAAAGAAAATATTCATGAGAACCTCCTTCAGTTTTTCTCTTTATGGTGTAGAAATGGCGTCAAAGTTGCCTGTCAGAAATTTCACAAAATGCTAACAGCCATACTGAGCCACTCCTTTCTGTTTTCTCAGGAGCCCAAGTACCTTCTCTGTCCTTGGAGTGGTCTCGTCTGCTCCTAATTTAGCCATTTTCCTTCAAACCAATTTTCCTTCTCTGTATTTTACTTCACTCATTTTTTCACAGTCTTCCTCCAGGGAACAAACTCACGATGCAATTGCTAGTCAGCAGCCAACACTTTCTCCCAGCAGTAGCCCTAAGCAGGCTGCACATGCTCAACCTACTCCAGGCCCAACTATAACTACTGGGAAAGAGAGCAGTGAGGTAATTCAGATGACTGATACCTTAAAGAACAAGATTATTTGGAACCATTTAGGAGAGTGTGGGAAGCAAGGACAACCTTCTTTTTTTCTGCAACTGCAACACATTAATGCAAATGCTGAAGATGCTTTCAGTTTATAAAAGCACCCTATAGACCTGTACTTCTTTTATTTCTGAGAAATTCAAACCACCAAGCAGTTATCAAAATGTTTTAACAGCAGAAACCTTTATTTGGTCCCCTATATCGCCACTAAAAGTGGCATTTTAATAGCATATATTAATGTTTGTAAGTTCGAAATTGCAGTATGTGTATCCAATAAATTGAATTACATGTATTTTAACAACACAAAATTTTGCAGTTGAGGTTTATAGATGACTGTTGTTCCTACAGACAAATTACGTGTGGATTCCATTTTGGTTGCAAAGTAGTGACAAATCCTGACTCATAGAAATACAACTGAAAATGCTATGTTTTCTCAAGAGCTTCCCTTAAAAATCTCAGAATGCTTATCAATTAAACTAAACCAGTAGCTTGAAAGAGGATGGTAGAAATATCTTGTTCAAATTTAAAATGGAAACAATAATAACTTGCTTGTATTTTCTAAATATTAAGTATTCAACATAAATGAAATCAATGAATAGACAACTCAGTCTTAATCTCTTTATTTAGCAGAAAGTATGTTTCAAAGTATCTTCTAATATTATGCTTATATTATAAACAACGGCCGGGCGCGGTGGCTCACGCCTGTAATCCCAGCACTTTGGGAGGCCGAGGCGGGCGGATCACGAGGTCAGGAGATTGAGACCATCCCGGCTAAAACGGTGAAACCCCGTCTCTACTAAAAATACAAAAAATTAGCCGGGCGTAGTGGCGGGCGCCTGTAGTCCCAGCTACTTGGGAGGCTGAGGCAGGAGAATGGCGTGAACCCGGGAGGCGGAGCTTGCATTGAGCCGAGATCCCGCCACTGCACTCCAGCCTGGGCGACAGAGCGAGACTCCGTCTCAAAAAAAAAAAAAAAAAAAAAAAAACATTAAAAATTCCAAGTTATATGGGTCACCATCTCTGACTACAAAATTATTTGAAAGTTTAAAAACAATTTATTTTTTGCTGTCTCCAATTTTATTTCACTTCCACTAATAGCACTTTAACTTCAGTCATGGGCAAGGTAATTCTGTAATCTTGCTTGGCCAAATACAGCTCATTTAGCTTAATAGCAATTGGTGTGGGGGTCGGGGGCGGGGGAAGCTTCCAATATAATAATAACCACTAGTACAATGAATAAAATATTTTTATATTGGTATGGGTAACATTTGTGCAATACTTGCTGGAGATTCACTGAGTTTTGCCTGGTATGCAACATGTGTACTGTAGTAATTGAGGAATTTTATATGGTGGCAAATTAAGCAAATGTAACATTATACCCTAGTCTAGTTAATAACACCTCTTCCAAAAGTGCTAAATATATGCCCAAACATATTAGGGAAAGTTTTATTTTAAGAGTTAATTTAGTAAAACGAATATACTTGTAATTTTCCATGTATTCAAATTCAATTCATAAATGAATGTTCTTCTGGGATTTTTATATGGTTAACATTTTAACTTTTATTTTAGGTTCAGGGGTACATGTGCGGGTTTGTTATATAGATAAACTCATGTCTTGAGGGTTTGTTGTACAGATTATTCCATGACCCAGGTATTAAGCCTAGTACCCAATAGTTATTTTTTCTGTTTCTCTCCCTCCTCTCGCCCTCCATCCTAAAGTAGATTCCAGTGTATTGTTCCCTCCTTTGTGTTCATGAGTTCTCAACATTTAGCTCCCGCTTATAAGTGAGAAAATGCAGTATTTGGTTTTCTGTTCCTGTGCTAATCAGCTAAGGATAGTAGCCTCCAGCTCTACACATGCTGCCACAAAAGACACGATCTTGTTCTTTTTTATGGTTGCATAGTATTCCATGATGTGTATTTTTAAAATTATATTTGAATCAAATAATTATCAATCACATTACAGTGCTAATTGCTCAGATTAAAAACATTAATCTAAGTAAATCTTAAACAAAGGGAACTATATTAGTGGATCAAAGGCAGACAATAGGTCATCCTAGTATTCTGACTTAATTCATCAGTGCCCAATGAGGACAGAGGTAGATGTACTAAAATGTAAACATATATCACACCTTTTTCCACATAACAAAACTGCCATCCTTTCTCATGAACATGTTTTCTCTTCATTCATTCACATATGTTTTGTGTAAACTATACAATGTATATGTGTACTTAACTTTTAAAAAAAAGAGACATTTTTGGACATTTCATCTGTAGGAGTCTTTGAACTAGATAGTGTCAAATATTTAACTGGAAAAATAAAGTAACTTTATAAAGTTTATTGTAATAGAAAATATGTGCAATATTGTAGCACTAAAAAAGAGGTGACTACAACCAGCACAAATTTTTGCAGCTGAGGTTTATAGATGACTACTGCTTCCATAGATGAATTACTTGTGAATTCTATTGCTAGAGTCCCAGCATTATGGGAATCAGTGCATCACTAATATTTAAATCAATTGGTTACTAAGGAGATCCAAGCAGTAAGAACTCTCACTCTGCTGATCACAGAGAGGTTACACACACAATGTCATTTGCTAACTAACTATGCCAACTATCACAATTCTGTAACTAAACACCAGCACTAGTTGATGTGATATTTTATAAACAAGGTTGGTCACTTAATGAAAGTAAATGATGTGTGGTTAGTGACTAAACATGAGATAATTGGTGAAATTCGGCAAAGGTCTATAGACTACATAATACCATTGTATAAGTGTTCATTTCTTTTTAAATAATTTATTTCTTTTATTAAAATAGAGATGGAATCTCACTATATTGCCCAGGCTGGTCTTGAACTCCTGGGCTCAAGACATCCTCTTGTCTCGGCCTCCCAAAGTGCTGGGATTACAGGAGTGAGCCATCGTGCCTGGCCAAGTTTTTTGTTTGTTTGTTTTTTGACAGGATCTCACTCTGTCACTCGGGCTGAGTACAGTGGCACAATCTTGGCTCACTGCAACCTCCGCCTCCCAGACTCAAGCAATTCCCATGCTTCAGCCTCCCAAATAGCTGGGATTACAGGAGTGAGCCACCACACCTGGATAATTTTTGTATTTTTAGTACAGACGTGATTTCACCATGTTGGCCAGGCTGATTTTGAACTCTCGAGCTCAAGCGATCCTCCCGCTTTGGCCTCCCAAAGTGCTGGGATTGCAGGCATAAACCACTGCACCCAGGAAGTGTTAATTTCTTACTCTTGGTTAAGTGTGTTGTTGTTATATGTAAGTGAAAGTCATTATTCTATGGAAAATGTACACAAACATAGTTAAGAGTTAAAGGGGCATCATGTATACAAATTACTATCAATGTTTTGATAAAACAATTACAGAGTAAGAAAGAATAAAGTAAATTGGTAAAATATTAACATTTGAGGAATTTGGGTACACAAGAATTCCAATTACTAACTGTACAAATTCTTTGTGACTAAAAACCTTTCAAAATAAAAAGTTTTTTAAAAATATCTTACAAAACATATTACTCTTCCTCATGACGATACTCAGTAAATAAATTATTGCCAAAATCTGCAATGCTATTCATGACTTTGAGGACTGGAGCAAAGCAATAGACAACAGCATCCTCACATAGGCTTTTACACACACACACACACACACACACACACGTGTAAAGTGAGTTCAAATAATCATTTCAATTACATATCCCTTACAATCTGGTTCATTACATTATTTAGATGCATGTATGTTACTCCTCACGATACATACTTTTAAAAATAATTATGCCCTGCAAAGTCCTGATAAAATATTTAGTTCAATATAATGTCATTTCTAAAACAATAAACACTTCAACTACCAAGAAAATCAAAATCTTTCATGTAAATTTTTTTATTTTACACGTACTTACATGACTTAAGAAACTGTATTTCTCTCCTCTCTAACTTGGCCAGTTGAGGCTCACATCTAAATACATAGAGGCAACAAACATGCAAAGATTTTACATTATAAAGATCTGTTTTAAGACAATCTTTGGAAATTCACTGAATCTTTAGAAATATGCTGAAAACAAAATGATGGACCAACTTATGCTGAGTGTGTAAGGAGAGAAGAAAAAGGTCAGAGATAGAAATAAGGTGACAGATAATACATTTCTAAGTACAGATAGATTCATAATTCCATCTATAAAATGATATATACAAAAAAGATACATTCCATCTATAAAATGATATATACAAAAAAGATACAATAGGATACTTCAGGTGCAGTAGAGTGTAAAACAGTTGTTAGACTTAAGTCTAACATGAGCATTTCTATTAGGTGCTGTGAATATCACATTTATATCCCTTATATAGACATATTATCAAAGAAGGAATATTGGAATGTAACAGATAAAAGGAAAAATATAATATCTTTTAAGATATTCAAAAACCAATAGATGTGTGTGGGGCAGGTACTCATTCTCCTAATGCTGAATGCCCCAGACTCAATCTTTGACCCTCTGCTCTATCTCTCTTAGTGATCTCATTAGTTTTATGGCTTTAAATAAAGAGTATCCATTTGCCAATGGCAACCCAATTTATATCTCTCAGATCTCTGCCACAAGCTCTTAAATTGTTTATACAATTGCTTATTCAAGATGTCTATGTGGATGTCTAATAAGCAACTCAATCTCCACCCGTTAAAACCTGAACTCCTGATTTATCTCCAAACCTGTCCCACATGCAGCCTTCTCCATCTTAATGGAGGCACCTAAAAATGCTCAGGCCACAAAACTTAAATTCACCTTGAACTCCAATCTCTCAGGAAGCCTTGTTATACTTTCAACACATATCCAGCACCCAGCCACTTCTCACTACCTGCAGGCTATTTTCAACACAAATATTAGAATGATCTTTAAAAATGGAATTCGTGTCATGTGTTGTTCTACCTAACAGTCTGAAGTAGTCTCCTATTTCACTCAGAGAAAAGTTAAAAGTTTTGCAAGGATTGCAACAGCCAGCGGACAGACTCTTTCTGCCTTTTTGTTTTCATCTCCTAGTGAAAACATCTCCTTGCTCCCTCTGTTCCAGCCACACAAGCTTCCTTGAATATACCAGGCACGCTCCTGCTTTGGAAACTTTTCCCTGGTGGTTTTACTGGATAGAATGTTTTTCCCAAAGATAGTCACATGGCCAACTCCCTGGCCTTAAAATCTTTGTTCAAGTATCATCTTTTCCACAATTATTCTACTGAAAATAGCACTTATCCCTACCCCTCCCTTAGCACTCAAATCCCCTTCATGCCAGTCCACCTTTCTTTTTTCACAGTACTTATCATTTTCTAAAATGCAATATAATTTACAGATTTATTATGGTTATTGTTTAATGTCCATCTCCCCTTTTAAATTTTAAGCTCCAACAGAGCTAGAATCGTTGTCTGCTTAATTTACTGATATATCTCCAAGTCCCTACAACAATGCCTAGCACATAATAGACACCCAATAAATATTTCTTGTGGAAGATTAGGTTGATTTGTAATTACCAAATTTGATTCCTTGAAGATATATTCAGTGGATGAAGAGAAAACACATGAAAATTTCTCCGCAGAACTCTAGATCACTCCAAAAGGGCAGGAACAATGGATTACAGGGTAAACTATCCTATTATCTTCTATCTGACACCTAGAGTGCAGTTGCCGTAGCCCCCACAAGGTGGAAACAGCCAGAGATGAAGGGGGGATGCAAAAGCAAGGAAGCAATAATCTGCCTGTGACTTCGGGGAAACTACTGCTCTGAGACAGAACGACCCAGAAACACTAAAAGGTAAAGCGACATTACCCAGGTCCACTCATTCTATTCATTTTATTTGTATAGAGAAAAGTTTCTGTAATGACATTTACAAAAGTTACTAATTACTTTTTGGGGGTAAATGGCTTTTGGGATAGGTTTTTGCTTCTTTGTCATTTCTCTAGTATGTGAATTTTTTCCTAAAAATTCTTATACAATTAAAAGTTAATTCTTAAAAAAAAAATTTCCAATAAAATCCTGTATGTTTCCTAATAAAAAATAAAGTTAATATTCTTGAAAGAGAAAACTGAATATTTCAAATTTCTTCTAAGATCCTTCAGTGCAATATTGTACATTATAAGACTTTTAACCACCTTAGTCTAAGGAACAATGGTTTGCATTAGGAAAATTCTCAAAACCAGAAAAATGAAATTATTAAGAATTGCTATAAAGTCTGATGTCATATAAGATTCAACAAATATTATTCTAATTAATTTAATTATCTCTATAAAGGAGTGTAAATTTTGTTGTTTTTTTCTTATTTAACACCCATAGCATTCAGGGATAGTTATCCTACTAGTCCTTGATAAAAGCTAGCCCATAAACTTAAATAATTTTAAAGACTACTATGTAAATTCAAGGAGAAAAATTATCTTAATATCCTTCAAAGGAACTATAGGTAGTTTTCCTAAAGAAACTATATATAAGTAATAAATACAGAAAATTTTTCCAAACACTTGTATAATATCTTTACCTAAAATGGCATGGCCGGATAAGCATATTTCTGTGTAATCATGCCTAAGAAAGGAATTGGGCAACATTAGTTTCCCTGGATCGCAACCCATAGGATTTTGATTTTGAGAACATATTGTACAATCATCATATAAATTTTATTTTCATTTTCTCTGTTGATAAAAAAATGCAACTCATGCTAACTTTTTCATAATATGAGAAGAGAGCCCAAACATAACCAAAAAGGGAATTTCTAATGGAGCTTCTTTATAATTAGCTCTCTAATTAACTATTAACAAGTTGGATATCATTGTCTTCAATGCATTACATGCTAATTAACAACACTTGTATCACTGTCTCATCAACTTAGTATACAATAGCTCAGCAGTTATGTCAATGAATTAATTATGCTTTGTAGCATATTTACATATTTACATATATTGTACAAATTAAATATTTATAATTTATCATTCTGCTTGGGAGATATTCCCTTTCTGTGATTTTTGCTTGTGTTCTTCTCTATCAAATGCATGCCAATCTAGGGAGTTGTGAAGTATCATTTAGATAGTGACAATGGCAAAACGTCAAAAACAAAGCTACCTAAATAAATGAAGATACAAACAGGAAGGTGGAAATCAGAAGATTCAACTAACTTCATACAGGAAAACACCACAAATGTAGCTTACCTGGAATGACCTGCTAGAGAATGCATGCATCAGTTGATTGGTTCCTTTTATTTGGGAGTGCCTGGCATTACGGATTAAAAGCTGGATACCAGACATGCTGTATCTCACTACAGCCCATCCTGCATTTAGGTCACAATGACCCCTGGCTGTCTGGGGCTTTGCAGGGTGTGGAAGAAGCCAGCAAGCTTCCCCGAACGATCCTTTTATAGATCTGAGCTACTCCCCCTAAACAACTCTATCCATGGTAAAACAATAGGATAATTTAAGTCATTTGCCATCAAACTACCACCACTAAAAAGGAAAATATGGCAACCTATCATTTGCCATAAAACTACCACCACTAAAGAGGGAAAAAATGTTATATTCTACAAAGGTTCATGGTGGACAGTTTTACTTCCTATGCATGGGAACAGACAACTTGTAATCTGAGTTTTTAAACTACCTAATTTTCTGAGCTAGTATAATTTGAATACAGAGAAAGTTAAGCTAAGCAATGAGAATGTTTGATCTGGCAGAAAGAAGAGGCTGCCAGTGCATATCTTTAATATTTCAATTATTTTTACCAACTGTATATCTATTTCTGTTTCTAACTTTTGTTGCACTAAGGTATGCACTTCATGAAATGACATAGGTAAAATTGCAAGATTCTATCTTACTCGAATAAAGCCTCATGCTAAATCCTTCTACTATTTTGGTAGCAGGGATTGTCTTAAGCTTCCTGGCTTAGATGGGAAAACAGAAACTTCCACCCTGGGTGATGGCAGGCAGTCTCTTTCCTATCCCTCAAATAACCTTTACCTTTCTCCTTTGAACTAATTTCACCCTACCATCCCTTTCTCTTACCCATCTCCCCAATATCTCCTATACCTTACCTCATCCAGAATCAAATGCTGCTCAGTTACACTGTTTTAACAATATGCTGCTTTATGACCATCAAGTTATCCTAGAACTAGCTTCATGCTAGTCGCTCACACTTAATCTAATTTTTTAACTAGTTAAGAAAAACATAAGTATTTAAAGGAAAACAATGAAGCAAACAAAAAAGAAATTAAGAGGCAATATGGGGGACTACAAAAAGTACACAGAGATATAATGAAAGAAAGTGAATGATGAACAAACAAAAAGAGAGGAGAAATCAGAAGAAAAAGGAGATCGGGCAAGTAGAGAATTATTGACATTCATGTATACTGACAGCTTACTCCGGGAAAGAATTCTGCTAACTGTTTTACATGCAGTGTGTGTAGTAAAATATAAATAAATAAATAAATAAATAAATAAATATATATATATATATATATATATATATATTTACACACACTTCAGGTAAAACAGCACAATTCTTTGCTAATATATAATATTATATATATATTCTATATATATAAGCACTGCATATATACACACACACATATATATGTCTGTAGCATATTTACAAGGTCAACATTTTTTACATGAGAAATATGTGTACTTGATTCTTAAATAGGCCTTGTTAGCTTGCTATATGACAGAAAAATTGTTTTAAGAATATAAACTTCATAAAAAGTGAAACAAATATGTTACAACACACTTTCTTTTTCTCATTTCCTCCCAGCACCCAAAACTCAATTTTATATTATTTTTGCATAGTAAAAAAGTTAATGTTAAAAAAGAAAAAAAAAGCCTGCTGTATTGTGTTTACTATTTTCTGGTCTTATAAGAGTGACTTTACTTACATGCTCTTGAAATATGGTAAGTTACCATGGTAACTAGATCCTTTGACAATTATTCTATTTTAATACAAACCAATAAAAGGGGTTAAAAATACTCTATTCTTAAATCCTTAGACTCACAGTCACTACTAAAGTTTGTCCTTACCTTCCTTGCCACATTTTTCAAGTGGATGTTTAAGGATTTTTTCCCTGTCCTATTTCACCCCTCATCAAGCTGATTTGAACAGGAACACTTCTCAAGCCATGAAAGCTGATGCACTCTGCGATAGTAAATGCCCAGCAGGAATTTTTGCACTTAATTCAAATAGATAAATATCACCAGAGTTTGTTATATAACCAAGAAGGTTATGTAGTGTGCTCGTTGTTTTACAGAGGACAAATCAGATTTTTGTTTTAGAGACAGATACTTTTTAAAAATAAAGACACAGCATAAATTATTTTAGTACACTTATGGTCTAAAACATGATTTGAGTTGTCAATAAGCCATTGTTGAACACTATCAGAAAGAAAAAAATAGGTAGCTACTATCCCCCTGTGCCTCCGCATCAATTTTATGTATCTCTTCGCTAGTAGTGATCATATCATAATTAACAAAATTTCTAAAGCTATTTTATTCAGAAATCATGTCATATTTATCTTTATAACCCAAGTATATCACCTGGTATTTAGTGGGTTCTCAATTAATGCTATAAAGAGAAAAGCAAATATAGTGAAGATTGGTTGCCTTGTTCTTCATCAATGGAAGTGTACTGTTCTAATACATATTAAGAACTAATGCTGCTAAGTTGAGATTAAGTTTGTTTTTCAGGGAGGAGACAAAAATTGAATCATAAAAAAAATGATTTAATTAAATGGAAAAATATGATTTTCCACTCAAGATACAAAATACCAGCCAAGTAAATCTGTGGCAGGCTAAGCCAAACATTGCCTCTTTTCACAAGGGCTCATAGTTTTAGCTAGCTTATGAAGAACATCAAAACTATTCTAGATATTTGTGCAATCCATAATAATCTGTCTCTTGTACTCCTCATCAGTATGTCCATCCCCATTCAGCGTGTGGGTGTTAGGGACTGTCAACCGTCTCTAGACAGCTGCCTCAGCCTGCCTCTCAGGCTTCAGGAGTAAAACATGGTCTTGCATCATGCTCAGACTGAACTTTCCATAAATCACCTCTGGATTTGGGGTCTCTACTATAGCTCCTTTGTACTCTTAAAATTGAGGTCCCCCATCCTTCCCCATTCTGCACTGGATCCCTAAGCCACATCTGGAAACTTGGATGCCTTCACTGAGCTCAAATTCATAATTGATTTACAGATTATTTGTATTTCCTCTGAGATACCACATTTTTCCCCATTTTCTCCTTTTCCACAGCCTCCCTGTTATGTCAGGTTCTTTTCTCTACCCCATCACCAGAATATGGCAAAGTTGCCAGAGTTGGTCAGTATCTTGAGTCCTACAAAATAATGTGTCTGGCAATCACCATTCATTGTACTGAAATGCAGGTCTTCGTAAGGTAACACCAAATCTACCACACTTCACCTGACTTTCCTCAACTATTGCTCTGTGTCTTCCTCTCTCTGACTCTCCATGATGCTGACTTAGTTCAAAAAGCTAAGTATTTTTGTCCTGGTTGATGACATATTTAGATTCCATTTATTGACCTGATTTCTCCATTCTACCTACCTTTTAGAATGTGCCACAGCATCAGGCAAATGACACTCTATCCATCCCAGGATCATAAGATGTTCAACATTGCATGGCAGGAGAATATAAGCATCCTATCACTATTAAGACTTCTGTACACCTCTCCATTCTAACTTTTACCTAAACTAGTATTTACCAAATAACTCAATTTGAGATCTTTAAAAACTATAAGAAAGGAATCTGGGGAATATCTGTGGATTTCCCTTCACCTCTTCATATTGTTTTTACATTAGGCATATACAAAGGCAAAGTTAATTTCCATTCTTATTGTCAATTTCCCTTCCAGGCTAGCATGTACTTCTAGGGAGGAACTGAGATGAGCATCATTTGGCATTGCCTTTGATGTATTCTCTCCCTTCTGCTAAAACAGCCACTATATCTGGGAACACTCAAATAGGAAGGCATTTGTCAACCCTGTCTAGCCCCTTTGCAGAACACTCATGCAAGTGCAAAAAGCAAAAGGAAATTCAGTTGTAGATCCAAGAACCTTCTTTTAGAAATCAGGAACCCATGCATATTCCCAAATTTTGTTTCCAATTGCACTCTACATCTAAATATGTTCAGACACTATTACAGCTATACTTCTCACTCCATAACTCAAAATTAGCCTGAGGCTACTTAAACTGTTACTTGCTGGCGTGTTAATTTGATCAGAATGTCTCAGAGCTCTCCTGCTTTCTTAATCCTTTTAAGACCAGGGTCAGCAAACCACAGCTGTGTGCCAAATCAGGCCTGCCACCTGGTTTTGTGCAGCCCATAAGCTCTAAGAATGGCTTTTACAGATGAACATTAGCAATCAATTTGATGATAGGGAACATTATGTTTGACCAATAATTAAGGAAAACACTAACCACACGAATAAAGAACTCAGTTACTCTCATCTGTAGACTTACGTACAAAAAGTTGGACTCAATTATTTTGAATTTCATCATTAAAATTGTGGAAATTTGTTTGTTATACAAATATTGGTGATTTTGCCTCTCAGACACAAAGCCTAAAATAGTTCCTATCTGGCCCTTTACAAAAAAGGTTTGCTGATCCCTACTTGATTCCACTTACATGAGGTATCCAAAAGAGTCAAATTCATAGAATCAAAGAGTAGAATGGTAAACAGCAGGACCTGGGGGGAGGAGAACTGAGTAGTTACTAATCACGGGGCATAAAGCTTCAGCTAAACAAGATGACTAAGTTTTACAGATCTGCTGTACAATATTGCCACTATAGTCAACAACAATATATTGTATACTTAAACCATTTATGGAGGGGCTGGGAGTGATGGCTCATACCTGTAACCCCAGCACTTTGGGAGGCCGAGCCAGGCAGGTCAGGAGATTGAGACCATCCTGGCCAACATGGTGAAATCCCGTAGATACAGTCTCAGAATGCTGGGAAACAGCAAATAATTACTGTATATTCTTTCATCTTTTTACTTTGCTATGATTTTTCAGAGATCAGGGCATTCACAATTTTAAGAGTGTGATTTAACCAACTATTGCACTTCCAGACAATATTATTTTGTGATTTCCAATCTCTGGTAGAGAGCAGAGTTGATACATGTGGCAGTGGCTCTACTACCAATTATGTTCCGTACCCAGGGTTGGACACACAGTTGAGCTCAGTAATACACTATAACACGAGTAAGTGAAGGAGGGAACGGCAATAATTCATGTTATTGCCAGGATTTGTTGCCTGAGGGGAAAATATAAATGGCACAGAAATGTATTCCAAATTCAGAAAGAGAAAGAAATGGCATGCAATTATATTTAAATAACATAAATGCTTATTTAAACACAGATCTGAAAGTCATGATATGAATAGATTTAGGAATGACAACAAGAGGCTAAGATGCCCTAATTCGTGTTCTTACTGGGAAGGAGAAGACAGGTGGAACGGAATCTGGTGTATGAAAAGGAAAAAGTCTGCAAAGCTTACATATTAATGACAAGGAGCTGACCACAGGATGAGATCTTTATTATCCAGACCCACAGTACCTGTGGGAGTTTTTCAACTCTGCAGCTCATACAGTTGAATGACCTATACAGTTACTTTGCAGCTCATACCATAGGTAAACTTCCACCTCAGAACAGAAAGACTAGATCTGAAATTGTGGATCTAACTGTTTCTCGGCCCCTTTCCCAGCCAAAAATGAATTAAATCAAATTTTTTCTTCAGATCTGGTTTAATCTGTTGTTATTGCATGGGGAAACACCTGTCCAAAAATGTTGTTTCTTCTTTTTAATTGTTGAAGCAGGGAGCAAAGCTTATCATTGCCTAATAATCATAATCAATTTGTTGCCTCATTAAAAAATGTGCTCAACATCTATTGCACCAACTTGACCCTTTGAACTATCCCGGGTCCTCCTAAAGGCTTATGTTTTAAAGTCTACTAATGACTTTTAAGCACTGACATGTTCTTTACCTGTTTCATGTGTGTCCATTTTATCTACATTAATTACTTTCAAGTAAAAATTTCACAAGACAATGTCCCTGACAATACCTAGCAGAATTTCCTGCCTAAGAGTTACAAAAAAAAAAAAAAAAAGCAATATTGATGTTGCTACTAAAGGAAATACATGTGTTCTTAAATTAGGTCAATATTGTATATTCATAGTAGTCTGTGGAACTGATCAGTATTATATAAAACTTCTATTTAATATATTTATTTATAGTAAGCTATGTTCCAGATATGATTTAAATGGCTTGCACACATTCTTAAAATACAGCAAGATAGCATAAATTTAAAAGGGAAAGAAGAAAGAGAAACAACAATGAAGCTACAATTCATATTTAATTTATTAAGTTCGAGCCTGGATATGGAAGAACTGGCAGAAATAGGGAGCTATAATGTGTCCATGTAATGTAGCCTAGTCATTAAGAATGAAAGAATTTGAAAAGAGTCTGGTGAATTTGAAGACAACCTGATTTAACATACTAAAATATATAATGGGGCCCTCTCATATTTACATATCACTTTGAAGTTTACAAAGCATATTAAGTATATTTATTTCCTTATATCAGTAAGACTGCATTAGAAATAAGGAAACTCTCATAAGAAAGAGTGACTTGCCAGGACAAGTTGCCTTCTAGAGGTTATCATGGCAAATATTTTCAAGAAGACTTATAGACTGGCAAAAGAGGATTGAAAGACCTACTATAAGAAACCTCCATATGACCTTACTAACAAATAAGATATTTTTATATTATCATATTTTAAGATACTCTTCTAATATTAGGCTGAGCAATACAGTAAAAAATGGTTAACCTTTTTGCCAGCCATTTCAAATGTTCAACCTAATAGTTTATTTGCTTTTTTAATTTTAAAAATGTGTGGGTACATAGTAGGTGTATATATTTATAGGGTATATAAGATATTTTGACACAGGCATACAAGGCATAATGATCACATCAGTGTAAATGGGATATTCATCACCTCAAGCATTTATCCCTTCTTTGTGTTACAAACAACCCAATTATACTCTTTTAGGTATTTAAAATGTACTATGAATTCTTGTTAACTGAAGTTATCCTGTTGTGTTATCAAATACTAGATGATATTTATTGTATGTAACTCTATGTTGTACCCATTAACCATCCCCACTTCCTCCCCTGTTCCCCACACTACCCTTCCCAGCCTATGGTAATCATTCTTCCACTCTCTATATTCATGAGTTGAATTGTCAACATAATAGTTTGGATATCAGTGAAAAAAATGTGTATCTGCATTTCCTAAACATCAAAATCCGTTCAATCATACTGAATTTTGTAGCTTGTACATTAGATATGTTATATCTTTACTAAGGAAGAATTAAAAAGAAAGGCGTGATTTCAATTAGCATTAAATACACTAAGAACATTTTTCAGAATGGTAATTCGGCTACAACTCTAGACTTTGGTACTATATTTTCTGTAAGAACATTTTGGGAAGATATTAAAAACTATATCCTGCAGAAAGATTTTAAGAGTTTAGACACAGGAGTCAGCTTAGCAGTGTTGAAATCCTGGTTCCAGCTGCTATGTGCCACTGAGGAGTTTACATAAACTTCTGTGTCTTAGTTTCCTCATCTGTACGTTGAAAATAATACTATTACTCTAACAATGAATGTTATATAACTGAGCAGTTTTCTCTTTCTAGTTTGGCTCCTGGAAAAGGCAGAGCCAAGTTCAAAGTTCATATCCAAGTACCACATTGACCCTTGTGATCTACATATGAACATTCTTCCCTCTCTGCTTTTCAAATATTAATTCTGTATATTTCTCTTGGGTTGAATTATCTATTTCTTCTTTGCCCCACTTTTATTAGAGTGTTTCTGACATGAGCTTAAATCTTTTATGGTATAAGTTAGCTTTAAAAGTATTCAATATATCAATACATATATACACACTCACTCTGAAAATTTTGACTTACAGTGACTTTCACTAGAAAAGATGTTGTATTAATTTAAATATACATATAATTTTAAGCATAATAAGTCACTGACTATAGGTAGTAATGTTTATAGTTTAGTATAATGTTTATAGTTTAGTATGAAGAAAAAATTCAACTTGAAAATAAAAATTAAATCAGAATTTAAAATAATTTTTTCTTCAGTGAATGTCACTGCAACTTAAGGATAAAACAAACAGTATAAAAATAAACCATATTCATTGACATGGACATTAAATGCTGTTTATAATACTCACAAATACAAATAAATGTATTATACTGTGCTATGGCAAAGTTCATATCTGCAACTCAAGACAGTACTTGCCTCATTAGTAAAAAATAATAATAATGATGATGTCAACCATTAAGTAACAGACTTAATACCATAGGCTACAACTAAATTACTCTAACAAAATATATCTAACCTAAGAGGCAATTATACCTTTAAAAACCTTCAAGTATTTTCATAACACCAGTGTTGAGCTATTTATTAAAATTAGATCAGAACCGCAAATAAATGTAATGATGAGATGGACTACTTTCCAAAAATGCACAAGCAGTGAAATCCACCTCTATAAGATAGCAACAAATAAATGAAAGATTTAAAAGCAAATCATTCCAGTTAACTCTTTTGAAGTTAATTTAGAATCTTAGAGCCTGGGATACATGTCTATGATTCCAAATTAAGTCAAAAAGCAGATAACAAGCTCAAAGTTTTAATATAAAAATGACTCCTATGAATAAGTTCTATACAAAGTATGGTGACTACAGCAAATTACAATGTAGTATATATTTAAAGATAGAAGAGATTTTGGGCCGGGTGTGGTGGCTCATGCCCGTAATCCCAGCATTTTGGGAGGCCGAGGCAGGTGGATCACGAGGTCAGGAGATCGAGACCATCCTGTCTAACACGGTGAAACCCTGCCTCTACTAAAAATACAAAAAAAATAAAATAAAATAGCCACGCATGGTGGCGGGCGCCTGTAGTCCCAGTTACTCAGGAGGCTGAGGCAGGAGAATGGTGTGAATCTGGGAGGCAGAGCTTGCAGTGAGCCAAGATCGTGCCACTGCACTCCAGCCTGGGCGACAGAATGAGACTCCATCTCAACCTACAGAATGGGAGAAAATTTTTGCAATCTACCCATCTGACAAAGGGCTAATATCCAGAATCTACAAAGAACTTTAACAAATTTACAAGAAAAAAGTCAAACAACCTCATCAAAAAGTGGGCGAAGGATATGAACAGACATTTCTCAAAAGAAGACATTTATGCAGTCAACAGACACATGAAAAAATGCTGATCATCACTGGCCATCAGAGAAATGCAAATCAAAACCACAATGAGATACCATCTCACACCAGTTAGAATGGCTATCATTAAAAAGTCAGGAAACAACAGGTGCTGGAGAGGATGTGGAGAAATAGGAACACTTTTACACTGTTGGTGGGACTGTAAACTAGTTCAACCATTGTGGAAGACAGTGTGGTGATTCCTCAAGGATCTAGAACTAGAAATACCATTTGACTCAGCCATCTCATTACTGGGTATATACCCAAAGGATTATAAATCATGCTGCTATAAAGACACATGCACACGTATGTTTATTGCAGCACTATTCACAATAGCAAAGACTTGGAACCAACCCAAATGTATGACAATGATAGACTGGATTAAGAAAATGTGGCACATATACACCATGGAATACCATGCAGTCATAAAAAAGGATGAGTGCATGTCCTTTGTAGGGATATGGATGAAGCTGGAAACCATCATTCTGAGCAAATTATTGCAAGGACAGAAAACCAAACACCACATGTTCTCACTCATAGGTGGGAATTGAACAATGAGAAAACTTGGACACAGGGTGGGGAACACCACACACAGGGGCCTATGGTGGGGTAAGGGAAAGGGGGAGGGATAGCATTAGGAGACATACCTAATGTAAATGACGAGTTAATGGGTGCAGCACACCAACATGGCACATGTATACATATGTAACAAACCTGCATGTTGTGCACACATACCCTAGAACTTAAAGTATAATAAAAAAAAGAAAAGAAGAAGAGATTTTGAATGTTATTACCACAAAGAAGTGATAAATGTTTAAAGTGATACATATGATAATTACCCTGATTTGATCATTGCACAATGTTTGCAAATATTGAAACATCACACTGTACCCCATAAATATGTACAATTATTAAGTGCCAATTATAAATAAAAAGTTAAGAAAAAAAATGAGCCCCATAAAGATCAGCAGACTGTAATTTGTAGTTCTAATCTTATACATATACAGGTCATATGGAAACAAAGTACACATATCCCATTAGAACCAAATAACAATAACAACCACAACGATTGTAATAAATCAAAAAATCTATAGGATTAAAAAATGGTGCTACTAAAGACCTGTTCTTTCTGATTATTCTAATCCATTTCATGAAACATTTTAGATAAGACCATAACATACATTAAAAAAAAACACACACAAAAAATAAAGGACTCATCTTGTCCCGAGCCAAAGGCAACTGGCTCATCCAAGGTTATGCTCCTTTCATTGGGGAATCCTGTATCCTTGGTTTGGTTGATGCAGAGGAACAAAGATCTTTGTCTCAAATCAGACATTTCTAAAGGGCCGTACCAATTTTAGAGATTCCACTAGAATTGACTGTATCCACCGTCGCAAATACAACACAGTTCAAATTATCCCTCTGCTTTACTTATTCCCTTATTGATGTTTCCTGTGGCACTTCTAATAAGCCTCTTGTGGACAAATTTCCATCTAATGGGGGACCATGACCTATGATGCTGTGTATAAAAAAAAAAAGTAATGTTTCCCAAATTCAAAATAAAATAAATTAAAAGAAAATATATAATCAATACAATATTTAAGAGTTTTTTTGGTAGAAAGAGACAGAACTCCAAGTGGAATAGATCCTCAAAGCTTTAAACAAAATACTACCATTTTAACTCACACATTTTATAATACTGGACTTTGTAATTTTCAGATGTAACACATATGTGACAACTCACGTAAGATGGTCAAATTGAGAACAATAAAATGCAACAGTGAAAACTTCACCCAAACCAAAAAAGACTCCTTCTTCATGCGCTACAAGTAGTAAAAGTATTAGAAACTTCAGATGTTAAAATACGGAACCATCATGAACCAAGATTTGAATAAAGAGTTTCTCTCACCCTGGGTTCTTTTAAAGTAAAGTTCTGATCTACCTAAACGTGCCTTTGTCTTGCTTCCTTCTTATTCTGATTTTACTATAATTTCAGGAATAGCAAACTATGCACAAAATTATTTTTTATTTTTATTTTTCTTTTGGAGACAGAGTCTTACTCTGTCATCCAGGCTGGAGTGCAGTGGCATGATCTTGGCTCACTGCAACCTCCACCTCCTAGGTTCAAGCGATTCTCCTGCCTCAGCCTCCTGAGTAGCTGGGATTACAGGCGCCTGCCACCATGCCTGGCTAATTTTTGTATTTTTAGTGGATACAAGGTTTCACTATGTGGCCAGACTGGTCTCGAACGCCTGACATCAAGTGATCCACCCGCCTTGGCCTCCCAAAGTGCTGGGATTTGTGTGCAAAATTCTAATAAAATATTAGACATTACTGCTTCAAAATAGGAACACTTGATTCTACACTTTAATAAACCTATTGTGCTTTCATTCCTGCAATGTTTCTTAACAATGTTCAGGATTAATGGTATCTAAAGAAGATTCAGAATAAAACTACTGAAGAAATGAGTGTATGGATGTATCAAACTAAAAAAAAAATTAGATTTCTTCAGTAAAGAAGGAGAAACCTGAAAAGTGGTATAATGAAGTGTTTTTTAAAAATGAGAAAAAAACCCATAAAAATTATTCTTTTTCAGCTCTAGGAAGCTAGGGATTTTATTTATGTTATTTACCCAGAATCTTAAGGGCCCCCCAAAATATCTGGCACATATTTTTTCTTTTCTCTTAATTTCTATTTTTTTAAAAAATAAAAGCTGCTCTTTCATTGTTGGCACAAGAGATGTTTATGCTGAGACATACAATAGCTTCCTGAGAGTTTTAAGTTTATAAATGAAAATAATCATAATTAGCATTGCTAAAGTTAATTTCAGGAAAGAAAACTGGCCTTTTAACATCATATGATGTGGAATTTTCATTGAGTGAAGTAATACAGGATTACTCTTCAAAAGCTTCATATTTGAAGTAGAATGCTCATGATAGAAAAACAATTACTTATATATAAAATTGCTAGAGAAAAATGGTTTATTTCATCACTCAATGCCTATCATATAAAGATTCCTAACACAAATTCTAATCAGTTCACGTCTAAGAAGCTAGCATTCTTCTTTTTATTACGTAATTATCACTATACAGAATATCATTTTTTATATTTGCCATTAGCACATCCAAAGCTAACTTGTATACTCAGTTACAATGATAAATTGTAACTGATACAATTTATTATTCATTACTAAATAATGAATAATAAATTAATACTGTATTGAATCAGCATGGATCTTTCTCCTGAGAAGCACATACCTGCTGTCTTTCATGTCCTAGGGTCTAGATTCTCTCTCCATGCCCTCCAAACTCAATGATCTATTGGGAAATAAGAAGGTATACTCCCTCCTTGCAGGTTATATTCAATTAGGAATGGGAAGAATGGGGGAAGGTTCAATCGTAGGCTTATTTATCGCCAAACTATTAAGATTGTATTAGTTAAGACATAGGCTTAACTAATAAAATAAAATAACTACAGTATCTTAAACAAGATAAGTTTATTACTGCCTTTTCTATCTTGTTCTCAAACATCCTTAAAAGGTGATTTCCATCTCACAGTTCAAGATGACTCCTCTAGTTCCAGCCATGACATTCATAATCTAGCCAGCAAGAAGGGGAAAAGAGGCAAGGGGAAGTCACATACATTCCCTTTGCATTCCATACATGCATTTGAGAACAAAGTGTAGCAATTACACACATCACCTCTGTTCAGACCCGTTGTTCAAAATGTAGTCATCTTGCCACACTATACTACAAAGGGGGTTGGAAATGTGATGTTTATTGTAGAAGGCCACATGTCCAGGAAAAAATTTATTACTACACAAGGTGGGCTAAATACTGGAGACAACCAGCAGCCTCTATTAAAAAAAAAAAAAAGATTTTAATGAGGATAGCCTTTCAACTCACAAACACAATTTTCTTTCTCTGAAGGTAAACAAGCTTTGCAAAGATGACTGGGTCAAGATGCATTTGGGTACCAGTTTCCATGCCACTCCTGGAACCCAAATTGAAGCCTCATCCCTAGTCTCCTTCTTATACAAAGAATTCCCTCTCAAGGACCCCACAGTTATCATAATTTGTCTCCTACAGAGTCAGTATATTCCTTTACAAATATATATATATACAATTAAAACAAATAATTGAAGATTAGGAAATTATTGCTCCAGGAAGTGAATAGATACCTGCAAAATTTAATGAGAATTAAGATGTATTAAAAACTTGCTTTTCTGAGTGTTCTTTATACATTACCTCATTTAACCCATAAGCTGCCTATGAGCGATATGTATTACTGTCACTCTCTTTCTAGATAAAAAAGATTGACGTAAAAAGAGGGTAAGTCACATGTCCGGGTCATAGACATCTGAAAGCAGACAAGATAGTTTCAAGCCCAGACAATTTAACACCAGATCCTGTAACTCAAGAGCTATCTATCCATCATTATAGTGACACAAAACTTTTTCCCCAGCCAAGATAATTTATACAGCTTGGAAAAATACTGATGCATTTTAGAGAATCCTAGAACTTTACAGTACAGGAAGTCCTCGTAGATCTCATAGAGGTCAAAAGTAGAAAGATCACAAAGAGAGCAGTGGCAAAGATGAAATTACAACCCAGGCCTTCTAGTACTGAAAACAGTATCCAGCTACCACTTCACACTGGCCCCTCCCTTTAGAAACAGAGTAAAGAATTACTGAGACAGATATAAAGCCAAGTTTTCCCTAGGAACACTCTTCTACTATCTACAAAGTATTAACCAGGATATTTTGGAGCTCTACTGTCGAAAAAGAACAATCAATAAAACTGTAGCTAAGTTTTAAAAGAAAAGAAATCCATGAAATTATTAGTTTATTAAACCCTGGAGATTTTGTAAGACATTTTTATCAACATCAAATGTTTCTTTCCTTACGATTTATGTTCTTTAAAGAAGAATAGAAAACTATATATTTTCTATGGGAACCCATTTCTATATGTGAAAAGGTTTTTTAAAAAAACATATGTCTCCAGGAATACAAGCAAAAGTCTCAAGCATAGTTAGTGAGGGTTTGTGGGAATGGGTAGGGGTGAGGGAGAGTAGGAAAATAAAGAATCACTCTGTGGTGGATGGTCAGAGCAGAATTCTGCTTCAAGTGTAATGTTCTAATTTATTTACATGGAAATAAATTGAATTCATGCATTGATTGTACTACTCTAGTAAAGTAAATTAAACATTAAAATTAATAATTTAAAATGAAGAAAAGTAGCCTTCCCAAAGGGATTCAAATCAAGCAAATCACCCTCAGTATATTCTCTGTTGTAATATTTTCTCCCAGACTATTCCTGCACAGCGGGATAAAAGTATCTGCTGCCAAAGATTTTTTTGCTAGCAATTTTTTACTCTGACTCAGGGAAATCCCAAAGCAGCCTTCTCTTTGGGCTGTATTTACCTCATGAGAATTTTTCACAGAATTTGCTAACAATAGAAATTGTTCTTGGTTATGATACAAACCCAGCAGGATGTTCAAAATGCCACAGGTGACTCAGTGGCCCTGCCTGACAAAGCCTGCTGGTAGGTACCATATGAGCCATATGGAAATTGCTAAAACGGGAAATAAAGCAGCAGGTTCTGAAACCACCAGCATCCCTTGCTATGGTGAATTAACATTAGTCTATGGTGCAAAATATCTCTGCCTTTGAAATGTCCAAGATCTATGAAATATCACCAATCCATGGCAACATACCAAGTAGTTTTTCAGTGTATTCTGCTGATTCCCGTTTTCGCTTATTTGATTAGAGCCTGACATAACCACGTTTTTAAAGAAAAAATATATAAAAGCGTCCATGCACGCCATACTTTTCTCTGCAGCATTCATATTCTTTAGAAACCAATGTAGTGACAGGATGACTTTAAAGCATAGTATAAATGCCTTCTAATTGTTAATGTATATGCGTGTGTGTGTGTGTGTGTGTGTGTGTGTGTCCTTCCCTCCTGAGAAATAATATCACAAGACATCTTGCTTTTTTTTTTTTTTTTTTTTTTTGAGACATAATCTCACCCTGTCACCCAGGCTGGAATGCAGTGTGTGATTTCGGCTCATTGCAACCTCTGCCTCCTGGGTTCAAGTGATTCTTGTGCCGCAGCCTCCCGAGTAGCTGGGACTACAGGTACCCGCCACCACACCCAGCTAATTTTTGTATTTTTTGGTAGAGATGGCGTTTCGCCATGTTGGCCAGGCTGGTCTCGAACTCCTGACCTCAAGTGATCCTCCCACCTCCACCTCCCAAAGTGCTGAGATTACGGGCATAAACCACCACGACCAGCTTTTGTTTTGGTTTGGTTTGGTTTGGTTTGGTTTTGCTTTCTAGCAGAAAATTTTCAGTCTTGAACTGCATTGTGGAGACAATCTAGGGAAGCAGTTGTACTAAAAAGAGGGAACTTTCAGGAAAGTGAAAATTGTTTACACAAAATTGTCAATATAGAAAAAGAAAAACACTACAGATTTAAATTTGATAGATATTTTAGGTGAGGCTCTCTTAAACAAGAGATTCTTGAAGAAAGAAATTCTATCAACATAATATATACAAAAATAACTTCCAACTGAATAAAGCATAAAATTCTCATAATACATAAATGCTATAAAGGCAATTAATGCAGCATCTTTGCATAAACCTTGTTCCACACAAGGCACACTGTACTTCTATCACAACATACTCCTTCAAATTGACTGTGAGAAACATGCTGTATTTATCATTTGAATAAATATCCACATACATACAAGTATAGATTATATCAAAGATTGGTAAAAAATGCTATTAATCTGGGTTTTTTTCAGTGAGTAAGAGAATAAAGATTTTAAAAAGAAAGTGATCAGAATGTAGGGTATCCCTGAGGTTATTTAACACAAGTGGTTTCTAAGGAAAGGTGCCATGCTCAGTTACATTTTACAAAGTTCCCATCATCCCTTTCTTCACCAGTTTATATCATTATTATTAATCAAATATCAATTTTCAATGATTTATAAGAGATTATTTTAGAAAGGGACTTGTGTTGAAAATAGGATAAAATATATGACATTTTTGCTATGGTTTGAATGTGTCTCCCAAAGCTTAAGTGTTGGAAACTTAATCCTCTGTGCAAATGTATTGAGAGGTGGGACCTTTAAGAGGTGATTGGGTTATGAGGCTTCTGCCCTCATAAATAGATTAATGTGATTATCATGGGGGTGGGTTTATCATGAAAGTGAGTTCCTTATAAATGCAAGTTTGGACAACCTCTTGCTCCCTTATGTGTTCTCTCTCACCCCTTTAATGCCTCTGGGATATTATGACACAGCAAGAAAGTTGTCACCAGATGCAGCACTTGATCTTGGCCTTCTCAACCTCCAGAACCATGAGCCAAATAAAATTCTGTTGTATATAAATTATCAAGTCCCAGGTATTGTTACAGGGGCACAAAACAGACTAAGAAAGAAAATTGATACTAAGAAGCTAAGTGGGACTGTTGCTATAAGAAATATCTGAAAGTGTGGAAGCAGATTTGGAAGTGGGTAACAGATACAAATTGGAAGAATTTCGAAGAGCAGGCTAGAAAAAAAACCCAAATTGCCATAAACAGAGCATCAGTGGTAATTCAGGTGAGAGCTCAGAAGAAAGAAAGAAATGGAGAAAATATCTGGAGCTTTTTTCTTAAATTATTGTGATCAGAATCTGGTAGAAATGTGGACAAAAAAGGACATTGTGATGAGGTCTTGGATAGAAATGTGGAATACGGTATGGGAAACTAGAGTAAAGGCTATCCTGGTTACACTTGCAAATAACCTGGTGAAATTGTGTCTGTCTTATGACTTTGTGAAAGGTAGAACTTAAGACTTAAGAGCTAGGACATCTGGCAGAAGAAATATCTAAGCAGCAAAGTATTCAAGGTACTTACTACATGACTTCTTTTGGCTGCTTAGAATAAAATGGCAGAAAACAGAAATAATTTAAAGATGGGATTTATAATTAAAAAGGAAGCAGAATGGAAAGATCTAGAGAACTCTCAGCCAGGCTATGTAAAAAATAGAAAAGCATGCTGTTCAGGAGAGAATACTAAGGGGACCAAGCAACCCTTTGCTAAGGAGATTAATATGGATGGTAGGAAGCCACGTTCTATTCATCAAGACAATGGAAGAATGACACCAAAGGCATTTCAGAGAACTTCCAGGCAAGCTACCACCTTGAGAGCAAGGTTTCCAGAGTGCTGCCTGCTCCTTTTTACAATGGCATAGAGAATCAGTAAATCATTAGGCTAAAAATGGCATCTTAGGTTCATATATTCATCATTATTCATAAAATACTTATTGGGCACCTAATATATGTGAAACACGATGCTAAATGCTGGGCATATGATAATGAATAAAACAGATGTGGCAAGGTGCGGTGGCTCACATCTGCAATCCCAGCACTTTGGGAGGCCGAGGTGGGTGGATCACGAGGTCAGGAGTTCGAGACCAGCCTGACCAAAATGGTGAAACTCCGTCTCTACTAAAAATACAAAAAATTAGCCGGGCATGGTGGTGGGCACCTGCAATCCCAGCTACTCGGGAGGCTGAGGCAGGAGAATTGCTTGAACCCAGGAGGCGGAGGTTGCAATGAGCAGAGATCATGCTATTGCACTCCAGCCTGGGCGACAGGGTGAGACTCCATCTCAAAAAAAAAAAAAAGAAAACAGATGGGATCTCTATGTTCTTAAGTCTGGCCATCAATTGAGAGAGACATTAAATAAAACTATATATAAATGTATGTAAGTCTAATTTGTAACAAGTTCTATGAAAAAAACACAGAGATGTAATAGAGAATACTGTGATGAGGAGGGCCAGTAGGGGGAAAGGTGGGTAACGAATGTCTGAGGATCAGAAGCCAGGTAAAGAGAAGAAGAGACAAAATTCCAGGTGGAGGAAACATGTGAAGGCCATGAGTCTTGAGAGTATGAAGTATTCAAGAACTGGAAGAGGGTCAGTGTGGTCACAGCACAATGAGCAAAGGAGAGTGAGGTTTGAGAAAAAGTTGGAAAAATAGACAATAAGACATTACCATCAGGAGAAGTCCGTCTTCATCAGGAATTCAGTGAAAGGATATAAACAGAGGAATTGAGGCAGGCAGTTAGCAAGGGAACAAACATGATTACCTGCAGGTAGCTAAATACAAATGGAATCAACGCAAGTACCAGTCCCCTAGTAGAAAGAAACTGTTATGAGAGGTTGCAACAATGAAGACAGGTTGCAGACATCCTGCTTTAGGCATAGATAGGAATGCAGCAAAGAAGAAACCAGCCACAACCGGTTAAATCCAAGACGGCTGAAAGCTTGACTGACCCCCATCACTTGGCTGTATTACTCCCTTATTACCCTAAAATTTCCGAACGGAAGCCTCCCACTCCCTTTATACACCTGACGCCATGACAGTTCCGGAGTGACCATATTTAGTCTAGAAAAAGGTGGCACCCCGATTCAGGGAATTGCCTGTCCATTTACAGGAAATCCCCTCCCTTTATTATAGCATATTCTGCACCTTCATTATGCTTATCTATATAGTATGTGAGTCCTGACCACGTCATGCTGTCTTATTCTTTTGAACACGCCTGCGCTCCTCTCTTGAGTGTGTACTTGCTTTCCCTCCCCAGTAAAGCTTCTATACTCTCACTTTGGTCTCCTTTTCAAATTTTTTTGCGTGGTGAAGACAAAAACCTGAACCTCCCTACCAGCAACGGAATGGCTTCATTGTTACACAGGCTGTTTGGAGAGTGCCTGAAGGAAAGATAAACTGAATATCCTAGACAAGCAGAAAATATTCTAATATAATTAGATATCTTAGATCTTTACGAACATTCCCAATTCCATATTCTTGTCACAGGTAGGAAAACATATGATTCTAGTCTCAGATTCTTTTTTCTATGCCGCCAGAAACCACCGACCCATAAGATGCAATTCATCCCTTTCTGATTACTGGGAATAACGGTCAGAAGCAGGCCTCTCAGAGCAAGAGATGTCACCTCATCTCAGAGCAAGAGTCTCAGAGCAAGAGTGAGAACTGCCACCTCCTCTCCAAGATTGCTGACTTTTCTAGCTAGGAGCAGAACCACAGCCAGGCAATTGTGATCTTTAAGGGATTTGGTCGCCTGGAGCCCTCACAACCTCAAGCTCTCAAAGCTACCAGGAAAGTCATGTCTCACAGAAAAATTAAGGACAATAGGTGGGGGAGGGAAGGAGATGTGTCTCTTGAATGCTATCTCTGTATCTGGAGGGGAAACAAGGTCAATGGATGGGGATTCCAGGAACAGCAGGATGCCTGAATCTAGGGCACTGCTGAAATTCAGCAGCGCTGTGGTAGGGAAAGTTTGTGAAACTCCATTAATGCCTTTCCTCTCAGGGTTCCTTGACTACACTAATAAAATATTACCTAATTGCAAGGGTGAATGATAGAGCTGAATAATTTAACTGTGGAGCTTAGAGGCTTCAGACAGATTTCTCTTTCATCAAAACGTTTAAAAACAATAGCTCTTCATTTTCCTAGAAGACCCCTAGAAGGAGCAAGCTTTCTCACTTTTCTAAGGTAAACCAAATTGATGTGAAGCACACAACTGCAGCAGTTCCTCCAGGTTTCTCTTTGTCTTGTTATTCGACACTAAACTGTGTCAAAAAGATAATGCTATTTCTCCTCTGTTGCCTAGCTAGTGTTTCAAACAAACTTTTTTCTATAGGATGAGACTAAAATCTGAAAAGTCTAATTGTCTCTTAAACACTAAGAACTCTCAAAATAAATACATTAATTGAGTAGAAAGTTGCCCTAGATCTGAGTTCTTTAAATACTGAATTAATCTACCATAAGCAGTGACAGTAGGGGAGCGGAGGCAGCAAAAACTTCCATGAAGAACTTAGAAATAAGGGAGATAAGCTTTCCCTCTGAAAATTAAATTATAAAATCACTACATAATAGGTCAGAGATAAGACAAGCCATTTGGTAAAGCCCAAAGTGGCTCCCAGACACAGAAAACTGGCTATAACGTGACTAAAATAAACAATAATAAATGAGAAGGAGAGTCAGCAATGAAAGTTTGGAAAAATGTGGAAAATGAACATTCTCAGAGGCTCAGTCCAAGAGAGAGTCCATTTTGGCCCAAAAATATGGGTTTTTTGGTCCCAGTGACAGACAAAACTTTATTTGCATGAATTAAGTTACCTTAGATTGATGTCATTCATCCTAAACTGATTCCATGCAACCTGTACAGGCTTTTAATTATATTCTAGTTCCTCCAGGCTTTAGGGAGAAAATCAGATAGCTAAAAATGATAGCCCCTTTGGCAGTGCTATTTCTCGTTACACATTTAATACACTGACATTCTGCTTTGATTCATTAGTTTCTGGGCGCTTGTGTATGGAGCCCTAAGAGACAGATCCACATTCAGTATGCCAATAAGTCAGGTTTCTGAGATGGCAAAGCTGAGAACCAGACCATATCACATAATATTGTCCTGTACTCTCATCCACATCATATTAGTTTCCCCAGGCAAGTAGGGATGAGGCAAGCCACATATTTCTCAGATGAAAGAAACACAGTCACATATGACAGAACCAGGATCATAATCTGAGCCTCTAATTTTTTGTTTACCTTTCATTCCATTACAAACTTAGTGCATCAGAAATCTATATAACACTGTATTTATTGACTCTGTCTCAATTTCAAGATTTGAGGTAAGCATAAATCCTGTAGATATTCCAATCTGGAGACCATGGTAAATAGAAGTCATTTATGTAATTAAATCATTTTTAAGTCCCCACCCATCACCCAGTGCATTCTATTTCCTTCATTTGCTATATGTAGGCTGCTACCGATAGTTTGAAAAATTGTAGCATCACACAATGTCTAATATCTAACATGTGAATACAGATGCCATTTCATGGGACATAGTCTTTTTCTACAAATGATAGGAAGTGCAAAATAATCTCTCACAGATAGCAGGCTCTGTTGCACAATGATAAGCATGCCAGGCAGTAATTTTTCATTTTAGCAATTTCAACTAAGGAGCAGTTTCAACTGTCAAGACATATCCATTCTCATATTTCCATTATGAACTGTAATCTCACATACATTAACAAGCTCCTATGTAACACGTTGAATGTTATTATTTGGTATTTAAATAGCTTTCTGAGAACACAAAGTGTTCTGCCAATCATAAATACTTTGCCCACAATGCCATTGCTTCAGAGACAGGTGTAAATCATTCTCTTACTTTAACAGTTGAGAAATTAACACTAAGTCAGAGTAAGTTAATGACAAAAGACAGGGCACATTTAAGTGATAAGACCAGCTAAAGCAAAATGTGTATTTACCCAGTTTTGTGCATTCTAACCTAAGGACCTTTAACTCTTCATAAACTAGCTCTTTTTGAAAGCCTCTTTTGCTAGTAAAAGCCTCACTTATGCACTAGTCCAAACATGGATGTGTAAAGAACAGTATACTGAATAGGGAATCAGTTATCTTGTCATATCAGAAGCTCAGCCTGTCCAATTGGGATCACGTCGCAGAAAAAAAACTTGAAGACCTTCAAGGCCATTATGAATTAAATATTACTCAATGCTGACACAAAATTCCAATTTAGAAGGTAATTAACTCCCTGTTAGTGAAAGTTTCTGACTGAACAGATTAAAAAAATGAATTGCCTTGATATTCACCTGACGACTTCAGGCCAAATTAATTTCTTCCTGCTCTAATTCAAATACTATAGGGTAAAACTCTGATGTCTATAACAGCAAAAGACAATTGAAAATTCGAAAGCAGTCGATAGGCTAAAATTTATAGCTCCTCTTCTCAAATTTAACCCCTTCCAACCAGATAATGCCTAGATACTACTACATTTAACTATGAGAAATGAACAAAGGAACTGGCAATGGATAGATAAATTCTCAGTGGAGGAGCCCTTCTTAACCATTCTTATTTACGCCTCACTCTGAGAAAAACAGAACCTCAGCAACCAAGCAGACATTCTAGCATGTGACTATACCCAAGCGAACCATCTCAGTAGCCCCAAAGGATTGGCCATCCTTTTTCTGGTGGCCTCAGTCAATCCTTTTATTCTCACTTGATACCAAAAGCATATGGTTGTAAACAGTTCTACAGACGGATGAAGAGACCTCAACAGAAACCAAGGAGAAAATCTGGCCTACAGATGTATGATTACACCATAGAGGGCCTGTGGTGCTTATAAACCATGTGAGCTAAAGTATTTACAAGATGAATACTAGAAACACAAAACACATGTGTACATAAAAGACAAAGATTTACTGTGCTACTACATTTTGCCAGCTAATTAAAAATTCACTATCGAGATTCACAGGCAACATAAACATAAGACAGAGCTATATAATCTAAACAACCTATTTTACAGAAAGCTAGTCCCATCAGTGTATATTTTCAACTTCACAATTTTTATTTGACTAAGCAAATTATCTTTACTATCCCCCCCCTCACCCAACTAAAAGTTACAGGTTATATACAAAAAGGAGCATATAGTAATAAATATTTATTTTCAGACAATGATAGCCCTAGACCTTCTTATGACATGATTTAGCTTATGCCAGGGCAGCATTTATATATTTAATATATTCAGTGGTTGATAAAGTATATAATTGTATGATAGCTATTGTCCTTAAACTAATGCTTTAAAACCTAAGATGATCCCTGTATATGGGGAAAACACTCAAAGTAAAAATGTAAAATATTTGCAGAATGACGTTATCCAAATAAGTCTCTGTTAATTAAAGACACAATTTATAAGGATATTCTGGATATACTGGAGAAGATTGAGCCCTACAAATACGGAAATCTAATGATATGGGGAGGGGCTAACACCATTGTTCTAAAGCCTTTCTTTTTTCTAATTTCTAAAGCAACTGAGGCTTCCTGGGTTGTTACCCGTCTGAAGAAAGCATCAAATACACTACTTATATAATATTGCAGCAGACTGCTACAGAGATTAAATTGTCATCAGACTCCACACATTCTCCTTTAAGTTATTGTAACAGTTAAAAATTGTGTTCAATTGCATATAAAAGAAAACCCAAACAACACTGTTTTCAGCACACAGAGTTTTGCATAACAAGAAGTCAAATTTCAAGCAATCCAGGATGATGTAACAACCACAAGTGTATAGTAACTACTGCAGATGCCATTCATCTCAGCATATAGTTTTCGTCCTCATCTTCTCAAGATGGAAGTTTTGTCTCCTTGCATGATATTCCTATTTTTATTCCAGGAAGGGGAAAGGGAAGAAAAGGAAGGAAAAAGAGGAAAGGTATGTGCAGCTGAGTCTGCTCCCTTTAAAAGCTTTCCCAGAAAACCCGCCAATGACATACTTAGGCACCACCAGTCTGACTGCACCACAATTTAGTAGGAGAGGTTGAGAAATATAGTTATTTAGTGGGCACATTAGTGTCTCAAACCAAAGTGAGGTTCTGATGTTAAGGAAGAAGGAGGGAATAAATAGTGGGTAGGCAAGTAGCAGTATCTGCCCTTGTTATAAATGCACTGCTTTGTCATCCAGCTGTCATCTAACCCAATAGAATATGGTTTTGAAAGTCTCTGAAAAATAGAAAGTTTACATTGATTCTTGCATCAGACAGTAATTTTTTTTAAAGACACCCAAGCTCAAACTGTCATATTTAACAATTCAGACCAACCTTAAAAAAAATGGTTAACTAGCGTGCCTTTTCCTTAGCAGTTGTTGGTAAGAAAATAAAAAAGCAACTTTTAATTAAAAAAATATAAAACAAAGCAAAATGAAACCATAACAATGACAAAAACACTGAATATGAGTCTTCAGGCTTTATATATACAAACTATGTCTAAGTCATGTCAGTCCAACATTTTGTCATCGTTCTCTCCTTACTATTAATCCTGAAGGAATCACACTTTTCTGTAAGATGATCAAAATAAATTGATGAGGTACTCCATCTGTTCTGCATGCAGTCACACATTTGCCACTTTTGCTAACTGTAAGGTTTTTCACACTGAGAAACACTGCTGATAAATCAGGAATGATGATCACTGAAACATTTGTTTCGCAATTTAAGTAAAATACTTCATGTACATATTCCATCAAAAATGGAAATAAGTTGTTCATGTCTGTTTTATTTTTCACAGCATAGGTATATATAACATAAAAATGCCTTAAAGGGTAGAAATCTTTAAATATTGTAGATGCAAGGTATTATATATCTCATACAAACTGCATTTGTGGCATACTATGCAAGGGATGGTGCCCTTATGTTTCTAGTTTCTTTAGGGATTCTAGATATATTCTCAAAAATAAAAATAGGAGTGTCCTTTAAGACAAATCATCACAGAAAGGATTTCTCCTATTGTATTTCTTTAGCCTGGTATTACCACTGGTAGAAAGTTGAAATGAATGGAGCAGTAGACATTAAATTTACTTCCCAAGGCCATTAACAGTTGCCTTGCCTTCTTCTATTGAGGCCAGAAAGCTAAAATACTGACCCCCATTAGCCTCCCTTCTGATCTTGGGACCCCACTGTGCTCAAAGATAAGATGGGAACAAATGGGAAACTTAAAAGTATAGGCTCAGTTGGCAAGCTCTTCTTAATATTTTTTTAGTCTTTTCCTCCTCTGCCTTTTTTTTTGGCCTGGAAACTGATGTGACACATAGAGATGCAGCAGCCATCTTGCCACCATAAGAGAAAAGTCATACAACATGTCTAGAATAGAAAGGATGAATGGATAGAGAAATAGAAAGATAGAAGATGCCTGGGCCTTTGATAACACTGTGGACCTGTTGCTGTATCCCTGGACTGCCTGCCCCAGAGTAATGCAAATCAAAACTATGATACGGTATCATCTCACTCTGGTTAAAATGGCTTTTACCCAGAACTTCTTGTTATATAATAAAAATGGCCAGCATAACTTTAAGCCACCGTTAATCATGTTTTCCATAATTCATGGCTGAATACAGTACTAACTGATACAAATCAGTTGAGCTTACGTTATATTTATTCATTGTACATCAGGCCATATCTCTAACAGATTTTTATTTATTTATCTTTAGAAATAGGTAATCAAAATACATTTCAATATATTTTAATATTGTTATGCAAGAATTTATTCTAAAATAAAATTGTATTTATCTTTTCCTTAAAAAAAGATATATGTGAAATAAGTTATAAAGAATACCTAAAACCTACTTTTTATGAAAATTGCAAATTAAAACAAGCATACCCACATGGTAACTCAATGAGAACTCATGTGAAAGACCCTCCACAGCCTCTGTACAGAATATGTATTTGTGTACTTGTTTATTTGTAAAGCATCATTTCTAAGAAATCAATACTTTTAAGTTCTGAAGGCAAGAAAAGTTTCATTGGTTGTCATATGATACAGGCTTACAAGTGAACATGATGAAGTAAATGTGATGAAACTAGATGCACTCTATG
The DNA here is from genome assembly GCF_000001405.40 of Homo sapiens. Classification (NCBI taxonomy): domain Eukaryota; kingdom Metazoa; phylum Chordata; class Mammalia; order Primates; family Hominidae; genus Homo; species Homo sapiens. Next base: position 120,505,983 of record NC_000005.10, on the reverse strand, counting down.
TAGAAAAAATGTGTATATATATATATATATATATATACACACACACACATACACACATATATATCATCCCTATGTATGTATATATATACATATTACTCATACACATATGTATACGCGTGTGTGTATATACATACATATATACATACTTTCAGAAGAGAAGCAGTAAATTTAAAATGTATATATCTATATCAGTTTAAAGTAGACATGCTAAATAATTCATGAAAATTTATTTGTTTTATAGCTTTTGAGAAATTAATCAAAGACAAAGGGACAACAGAAGGTTCTGAACTGTTTAAAACTTGACTCTGCAGCAATCTGTTATAAAATAAAAGTGTAAAATCCCAATTCACTTTTTTCATTGAAATAACTGACACTTGTACAGTCGCCAAATGCATTCAATCTTCATCCTCCAGTGATGGATAGCCTGATCTTTCTTATGATAAATAATCTCAAAGTAAATTTTGAGAAACAAGTTCTGGAATTTCAGTTTCAACTACTCAAGTCCTCTCCAAGTATAAAGTGGGGTACAAAGGAGCCCATTTGGGAAGTCCATTTGTGATTGGACACCTGCCCAAGCAGGAGGCAACAGCCACATTCAATACCTTTTAAGCAACCTATTCCCTGCCCTGTAAGTGTTCTTATCCAGGACTTGGATTGTTTTAATGCATTTGCTCAGGAATGCTTTAATAACCAAATGCATTAGAAATTGTTTCTTTATTAAAGACCCCTTCAGTATTTCTTTAGACATTAGAGTTTTCAATTCAAATATTTATGAGAAGCTTCATTAAGTTTATATTATCCTGCAACTCATTTCCACTAGTCAGAAAAGTGTTTGGAAAGGGAGAAGAAAGAAAGCAGAAGGAAAAGAGGGGAGGATTAAATTAATCACATGAAATTCTTTTTTAGTATTATTTTGAAATGATTGAAATATAGCATGATTCCCCAGATTATATTCCAAATGTCCAGGAACAAATAACAGCCTGAAGAACCTGAGAGGTGCTACAATAAAAGTATTCTTGCCTTCTATTATCAACCCCTCCTCCTGTTCCCATGAGTTTCTGCAATCAAATCCTTGAAGATGCAAGGCATTTCTTTGCCTACAGATCTGTAACTATGGGCCTTGGGGGATTTATTGGAATGGCACAGGTAATCCCAGGGTATGCGACTCTTTGGCACTCAATATACCTAAGAAGCAATATGAAAATTCCTCAGTTTTTGTCATACCTTTAAGAGTCTTGGCTTCAAAGGGGATCCCTGTAACTGAGGGACCTGCTTGGCTGGGAAGCAAGAAACTGGCTCAGTGCCCTTCTCTGAATTTTTGCTTGAGCTCCTCTCTTCTGACCACATCATTTTCTTCCAAAGACTGACCTTCTTACATCAATGATCACCGCCCATGTCAACCCCGTGAAGGGCGACTCACTGCTCTTTTTAAATTGGAACTACTTCTCAAAGACATGTCATCCCAGTCAGTATGTGACAGACTACTTCAAAGCAGGCAGTCTCAAGACAGTAGATGAAAAAGACTTTAGATATATCCCCACAATTTCTTCAGTAAATTATCAGCTCCATGTTTAAGAAACACTTGGCAGGAATTCAAAATAATTCCTGACCCTTTTGTTTTGTCTCCACTAGAATCTGAATGTAAGACTTCAAAAGACTACTGATTCGAGTGTGTTGCCAATGCCATTTTTACAACTTGAGGTGATGCAACATGGTTGGTTGTTTACTTCTAGCAGAATCAGCACCAAGGTCAGGGCAGAGGGAAGAAGAGAGTGGGTGAAGAGCCTGAACCTCTGCCAAATATCGGGAGTGGGGAGGGATAGCATTAGGAGATATACCTAATGCTAAATGACAAGTTAATGGGTGCAGCACACCAGCATGGCACATGTATACATATGTAACTAACCTGCACATTGTGCACATGTACCCTAAAACTTATATAATAATAAAAGAAAAGAAAAGAAAATGTGGCACATATACATCATGGAATACTATGCAGCCATAAAAAATGATGAGTTCATGGCCTTTGTAGGGACATGGATGAAATTGGAAATCATGATTCTCAGTAAACTATCACAAGGACAAAAAACCAAACACTGCATGTTCTCACTCATAGGTGGGAATTGAACAACGAGAACACATGGACACAGGAAGGGGAACATCACACTCTGGGGACTGTTGTGGGGTGGGGGGAGCGGGGAGGGATAGCATTAGGAGATATACCTAATGCTAAATGACGAGTTAATGGGTGCAGCACACCAGCATGGCACATGTATACATATGTAACTATCCTGCACATTGTGCACATGTACCCTAAAACTTAAAGTATAATAAAAAAAAAATCACTGCCTCCAACAGCTGGATTATTATGCAAACAGGTTTTCCCTAAAGAAGTGTAACTCCTACTTGAGTGATAACAAATGTTCTCAGCTCGTAAGTTTTCTGAATCTCATTGCTCTCTCTTTTATCTTACCACACAATAGGTCAGAAAAATTCCATATTTACATAAGAAAACTTCCATGGTTTCCCTGCAATAACTCTGAGTCTATTATTATTTCTATTAGGGCATTCACACCACATCAACAAACTAATTTTTCTTAGCTCTAAGTGAAAACATGGAAAATTAGGGCACTTTACAGAAATTATAAATGAATGAAATAATATTATTTAAAGTAACTTCAAATCTTTAGAATTTGCACCCCTTTTTAAGTAAATATTTTTCTACAATTTTGCTCCTTTTCCCTCACTCATCAAATATGAAATTTAGGCCCTAGAGTCTGAAAACTATGCAAGACTTAAGATTTTTTAATGATATTTACAAAAATGTTCAGTACTCATATTTACTAATTTATTCTTAAACTTTCTTTGATTTATTGAAGGGCTTTCAATGTCTTTAACCAAGATTAACTAAAATTGTAACAATTATCTTTTTTAACCTAGTGGCTTCTAATATTTTATATGTTTCAATGCATAACATGGAATTGCGAACAGAAAAAAATCTTTTTTTAGGTGAAAGAATAGGTCCTAGGTTTGCTGAGCTATATGATATGAGAAGGTTTCTGAATGGCCAAAGGAGCTCATTTGCCTCCTAAAAGTAGACTATCTGAATAAGAAGAAACCACTTACTATTATTTTTTGGGACGCAACAGCATTAACTTTACAATAGACCCATAGTTTGTTGGAGTTATGAGACAGTCTATTACTCATTTTTATTAGGTTGAACTAGAAATTGCTGGTATGAAACCATTTTGACCGACAAAAATGGCAAGGTCACATGCTTCGACTAATAAAAAGAAAATTGTCTCCAATAGGGATTAAAAGATTTGCCCAAGGTTAGTAACAGGGCTAGAATCTAAACCAAGACCTCTGAATTCCCACAGTAGATGGCCTTGCATTTTAAGCACACAGAGCCTCTTCCTGTATCGGTTATCCTTCCATTATAGTTTCTGTTTTCTACCATTTAAAACATTCCTGTCACAAACACATAGAAGATATAAAAGAACTATTTTTTGGCCTGAGAAGTAACAAAGACAGTAAGAAAAAAATTTAACCCTTGAGTGACTATTACATGTAGTTCAAATGGATTAGAATTCAATTTCTAACATATATATATAATATATAAAATATATATGGAAATAATATTTATTGGGGTTCTTTACTAATTAGGAATTAATATTTTTGGTTGGCTAAAGTTGAAAAACAAGAATAGAATAATGAAAATTAAAGAACAAAGGAAAACATATAAAAGGAAACTGTTATGGATATTCTGATGTATACTCTTTTATTTAAAATTTTCTATGCTTCTCTGATTATTTCCTTAGGACAGATTTCCTTAAGTGAAATTATTGAAACAAAGGGCTTCCAAAGCTTCCAATAAATTTTGGCAAACTTCCCTCCAGAACTGTTGTTCCAATTCACACTTTTATTAACGTACTTCATTTGAGGAGTACTTGAGTCCCCCTTCTCTTCCACAGTAATTTTTTATACTAGCTATTTCTTTCTTTTTTTTTTTTTTTTTTTTTTTTTTTGAGACGGAGTATCGCTCTGTCGCCCAGGCTGGAGTGCAGTGGCGCGATCTCGGCTCACTGCAAGCTCCTCCTGCCAGGTTCACACCATTCTCCTGCCTCAGCCTCCTGAGTAGCTGGGACTACAGGCACCCGCCACCACGCCCGGCTAATTTTTTGTATTTTTAGTTGAGACAGGGTTTCACTGTGGTAGCCAGGATGGTCTCAGTCTCCTGACCTTGTGATCTGCCCGCCTCAGCCTCCCAAAGTGCTGATATACTGGCCATTTCTTTTTCTTATTTTATGAGCAACTGGACTACATTATGTGTTCATTTTTCAATTTGGATAGTTCCACTCATTTCTATGAATGACATCTGCACCAAAATACGGAAATACCATCTTAATGTAAATATCTTTTAAACCATAGGGAAAATGTTGTTTATAAAAGATGTTCCCTAAGATGACAAACAACTACTTCTTTAATATACTACAAAAAAACTAGACTTATTTTTACTTTTATCGTCATCAAGATTCAATTTATTTGAGTGTGTGTGTGTATGTGTGTGTGTTTAATATCTCCAAGTCACATTTTGTTTCTTTCTAGACAAAAGAAATATCTGGCAACTAGTTAAGCTTTTGATGGATATACTCCCTCTTTTCCAATAATATTCCAATGTATATTTAAACCTATTTTCACATAAAAATTAATGGTAGAATTCTCCAATTAATTTGTGTTATTAAATTAAATGTGACACCTACAAAGAGTTAAGCCCAATTCTGAGGATTTTGTCATTAAATTAATGCTACGCATTTTTCTAAGCCTTTTCACCTTTGCTTTATATATTCCTGCAAAACCTTTTGTATTATTTTAAATTAAAAAACTTTATGCTTCTGAAGTTAAATGTTTCCTCCCTGAATTCTTTAGGAGAAAATACTTAATCTATCATTTTATATTTCTGTTGTATTTCATTTAATAGTCGCTTCCTTTTTTAAGTATTCTGAGTTGTTATATAGGAATAAGATCAGAAAAAAACAAAAAAGGGAGTGTTATCCAATAATTAAATTCTATCTAATTTATAAGATAAAAAAAGAAAAAACATAAAATTTATAGGATATAGCAAGAACTTAATAAATTATGATTATCTCCTCATGGATTTACTTTGTCATGCTTAACAATGTGTTATTTTAATAACAGAAAATAAAACATGTTATGTCCTTTAGTAAAATTTGAAAGTTTGGATTTTATTTAGTGATACTGACAGGATATCAAAATCTTATAAAAAAGAATAAGTTTTCCATGTGGTGTTTCCATTATCTAATTTGGAATAGGCAAGAAATCAAGAATAAATGCTTCTCTTTGGCACCTGCCATACTTTTGAGATTCATGACATAAAATTTAACATTTTAGGCAAAATTTTATTTTTTAGGACATTCATGTCTTCATTATCAAATACAGAATAAGTTTAATGTTTTGGTCTTAAAATGGAAGGCATTAACGATTCTGCTTCCAGACAGACGCACTAAATGTAATCTCGTCTTTAACTTCCACAAAGTACAACTAAAAACCCTGGACATTATATATCACACTAAGATAAGACACTTCGAAAGGGTGATAGAAGAAGAAAGACAAGCTAGGGACTTCAAGAACCAATCCCCAGCCAAAAAAAAGAGATGGTGAGTTCCCTTGGGTTTTCTTTTTGCCTAATGTATTCCAGACTTGTAGCTGAAGAAACTAGTAACCTGGAAATATCATAAGGCTTGAGAAAAGAAACAGTCTAGCAAGACAGAAAACTTTCAGACTATTGTTGTTCTAATCCCAGCAAACAGCACAGAAAAACTGGAGTCCCACCCTCATGTGCACCAGCAAAAGACAAGAGGGTAGGCTAGAGTCTAACCCTCAAGAAACTGTAAAGAAGCACCTCCACTCCACATTGGCATGGTATCAGAAAAAGCTGAGTAAGGATAGAGACTGGAGGTTAATACTCAAAAAACAGTAAAAAGTAGCTTCACTCCTCCACTCTACTTTCCCTCTTTCCAGTGTTAACAGAAGAGTGTTGGGAAACTGAGCTTCTATACGTTCCTGGGAGTAGTGACATGTTACACCACCTTCCGAGACTCTCATAATGTAATACCTAAAATGTCCAGGTTTTATTTTGAATCACTCATCACACCAAGAACCAGGAAGATCCCAAATGAAATGGAAAAAAAAAAAAGATAATCAGTAGATATCAACAGCTTGATGACAGAGGTGTCAAAGGTTTTAAAGCAGCTGTCACAGAAAATGCTTCAAAGAATAATTATAAACATGTTGAAACAAAATAATAGAAGTAGAAAAGAAAAAGAAAGCCTCAGCAAAGATATAAGATATAGAGAGGAGTCAAATGTAAGTTATAGTGGTGGAAAATACAAAAATCAAAATTAAAACCCCAGGGAATAGAATCAATAGCAGAACAGAAGAAACAGAAGAATCCATGAATTGAAGATATAACAATAGAAGTAGAAATCATCCAATGTGAACAACAGAGAGAAACTAGCCTGAAAACAACAACAAAAAGAGACTCGGGAATCCATGGACCATAATCAAAGAGCTAATATTCATGTCACTGGAGTTCTAGGAGAGTTGAGAAAGAGGGTAGGGCTTAAAAAGTGATTACCAGCCTGACCAATGTGGAGAAACCCCGTCTCTACTAAAAATACAAAAAATTAGCCAGGCGTGGTGGTGCCTGCCTGTAATCCCAACTACTGGGGCGGCTGAGACAGGAGAGTCGCTGGAACCCGGTAGGCAGAGGGTGTGGTGAGCCGAGATCACGCCATTGCACTCCAGCCTGGGCAACAAGAGCGGAACTCCGTCTTTAAAAAAAAAAAAAGTGATTAAAAAAAAAAGATGACTGAAAATGTCCCATATTTGGCAAAAGACTTACAAACCTACAGATTGAAGAAACTGAGAAAACCCCAAATAGGATAAATCTGAAGAAATCCAAACTAAGATACCTCATAATCAACCTCAAAACTAAAGACAAAGAGAAATAATCTTTAAAGTAGTAAGAGAAAAATAACATATTATCTACAGGGAAAAATATAATTTAAAAGACAGCAGAAATTTTTATTAGAAACCATGGAGACAAGAAGAAAATGCCATACCATTTTTAAATGCTAAGAGAAAAGAACTAGCTACCTAGAATCCTATAAACAGTGAAAATATCCTTAAAGAAGAAAGAGTAATCAAGATGTTCTTGGATTAAAAACAAACAAATAAAAAATAAGAGAACTGGTCACTAGACGACCTTTCCTAAAAGAATGACTAAAGAAAGTTCTTTAAACAAAAAAGGAAAGAAAAAAAAAACAGCCTTCGAACATCTGGAAGAACATAGTAAACAAAAATACGGATAAATGCAATTCCTTTCCTCTTGAGCTTTCTCTCTTATGTTTAATGGTTGAAAAAGAAAGTATGGCACTGTCTGATGCGCTTCTACATATATGTAGAGAAATAGTTAAGGCAAATATAATATAAATGAAAGAAAGTAAAGGGAAGTAAAAGGAGTTTTAAGGTTTCCATACTTCATTTAAACTGACAAAATGGCAATACAAGAAGACTGTGGTAAGTTTTATATATATATATACATTTATAGATATATATGTATATGTATATATGTATGTGTATATATATAACATAGGTATTTTTATATATATACACACACATATATCATATATATAATGTAATACCTAGGAAAACTGTTAGAAAAACTACCCAAAAAGACTCTATAAAAGGACAAACACAGAAAACAGATGTCAAAATAGATCTCTAAATAATAAGTAAAAATAAACTTCTAAAAATTTTCAAGTAACCCACAAGAAGTCAGGATGAAGAAAACAGAGAGAAGGAATGCCAAAAACAAAACAAACACAAAAACAAAAATTAAAATGGCATACATAAACCTTAACATATTAATAATTATATTAAATGTGAATAGCCTAAATACATCAATTAAAAGAGAGAGTTAGTAAAATGGATGACTATATTCTGTCTATTAAAAACTCACATCAATATAATGATATAGACAGGAATTAAAGATGGGAGAAGATATGCCATGCAGACATTAATCAAAAAGCAAGAGTGACTATATTAATATTAGAGCAGGTAAATTTCAAATAAAAAAATATATATAATGTTATGTATATGATAATATTAAATAATATGATATGTTATTTTTATACAATGTTGTCTATGTTATCATTATATGATGTTCATTTCTGAGGAGAGACAAATATTATGTAATAAAAGAATCAATTCAGCCGGGAGCTGTGGCTCACGCCTGTAATCCCAGGACTTTGGGAAGCTGAGGTGGGCAGATCACAGGGTCAGGAGTTCGAGACCAGTCTGGCCAACATAGTGAAACCCCGTCTGTACTAAAAATACAAAAAATTAGCTGGGTGTGGTGGTGTGCACCTGTAATCCCAGCTACTTGGGAGGCTGAGGCAGGAGAATCGTGTGAACCAGGAGACGGAGGTTGCAGTGAACCAAGATCACGCCATTGCACTCCAGCTCAGGTGATAGCGTGAGACTCCATCTCCAAAAAAAAAAAAAAAAAAAAAAATCAGTTCATCAAAACAGGGGAAGCAAAAACTGATAGAACTAAAAGGAAAACGAGAAAAAAAAAACACAATTATAGTTGAACAGTTCAACATTCCTTCCTCAAAACTGACGGGGTAACTAGAAACATACAGCAAGGATACAGAAGAAGTAAACAGTACCATGAGCCAATAGAATCTAATCAATATCTGTGCAACACTCCTTGAAAGAGCAGAATGCACATTCTTCTTAAGTGTCCGTGAAACATATACAAAAATAGACCATATTCTGAGCCGTGAAACAAGCCTCAGCTACTTTATTAGAATTGAAATCATAACAGAGTCTGTTCTCTTACTTCAATAGAATCAAATTAGAAATTAATAACAAAAAGAGAACATTAAAATCTCTAAACTGGTGGAAACTATACAACACCCTTTCAAATAATTCACAGGTAAAAGAATAAATCTCAAGGAAAATTAAAAAATACACTGAACTGTGTAAAAGTGAAAATACAACAAGTCACTATATGTGGAGAACAGCTAAAGCAGTGCTGAGTGGGAAATGTGTAGCACTGCACACTTAAATTAGTTAAGAGAAAAAAATCTAAAATCAATAATCTAAGCATCTACTTCAAGAGCCTAGGAAGAGAAAAATAAACCAAAGCAAGCAGAAGGAAGTTAGCAATAAATATAGGAGCAAAAACCAATAAAATCAAAAACAATATAGACAAAATCAAAATAAATCAAATATAGAGCCCTTTTTCTTCAAAAAAAAATAAATTTACAAATCTCGAAAAAGATCGACAAAGAAAACAAGAGAGAAGATACAAATTACCAATACTATGAATGAAACTGGGAATATCACTACAAGTCTTGAAGATATCTAAACAATGAGAAGGGAATACTAAAAACAACTCTACAAACATAAATTTGGCAACTTACATTTAATACATCAGTTCCTTGAAAAACATAAACTACCTCACCATATCCAATATGAAATAAATAATTTGAATAACTCTATAACCATTATGGAAATTGAATTAATAATTTTTAAATCCCTAAGTAAGAAAATCTGCAGTTCCAGAGGGTTTCACTGGGGAATTCTACTAAACATTCATAGAAGAATTACTACAAATTTTATACAATATTTTCTAGAAAATAGAAGACGTGGGAATGTCCACACCATATCTACAGATACAAAAATCCTTATCAATTGTTTTTACCAAATAGAATTGAGCTATATACAAAATTAATTATACAGCATGATCAAGTAGCATTTAATCAAGGGATGTAATACTTTTTTAATCAACCATATTAAAAAGCTAAAGAAGAAAAATCACATAATCGTATCAATTGGTGAAAATATTTGTGAAAATTCCATATCCATTCAGGATAAAAATTTTCAGAAAAGTAAAAATACTGAGAAACTTCTTTAAGTTGACACAGAGCATCTACAAAAAAAAACTACAGCTAATAATTTAATTTTAATTTAATTTAAACAGTGAAAGAATAAACACATTCCCCCCAAAATTGGGCAAAGAAAAGGATATTCAATCTCACCACTCTTATTGAACATATTCTATTCAAGGGAATAATGCAAGAAAAGGATATAAAAGCCATACAAATTAGAAAGGAAGCAGTAAAACTGTATTTGCAAAGGGTACGATTGTCTACATAAAATATCCTAAATAATAGAAAAGTCACAGAATACAAGGTAATCATATATATCTCTCTACACTAGCAATGAGCAGATAGATACCAAAATTAAAAATAACATACTACAGTCAGTCTTCTGTATCTGTGGATTCATCCAACTGTGAATGGAAAATATTTATGGAAAGAAATTCCACAAAGTCCAAAAACCTAAACTTGAATTTTCCATGTGCTGAGCACTATTTTGAATCCACATGAATGAAGTGATATTGTAGGCATTGTACTAAGTATTATAAGTAATCTACAGATGGAGGCTGTGTGTAGGTTATATGCAAATACCATACCATTTTATATATGAAACTTCAGCATCAACAAATTTTGGTATTCTCAGGGGATGTGGAACCAATGCTCCATGGATACCAAGAGACTAATGTATTTACAATCACTCAAAAAAATAGGTAGAAATCTAACAAAACATACACATGACTTGTACATTTAAAACTACAAAATGACAATGAAATAAATCTAACATGATCAAATAAATAGACAATCATGTTCATGGATAAGAAGATTTAACATTGTAAAGTTTTTAATTATGCTCGAAAGTATACAATTTCTCTAACTCCAGCAGTATAGTAGATATTGACACAATTAGCCTAAAGTTTTATTCTGAAATGAAAAAAAAACATAAATTATAATAGCGAAAGCCATTTTGAAAAAGAATATAGTGGGAAGAATCAATCTATACAGTTTCAAGACTTACGTGGCTACAGTAATCAACACTATGTGGTAACAGCAGAAGGACAGACACACAGAACAATGGAACAGAATACAGATCCATAAATAGTACAACAAAAAGGTGGAGAACTGATTTTTTTATAAAGGACCAAAAGCAACTCAATGGAAGAAAGCTAGTTTTTTCACTAAATGGTGCTGAGCAAATGGACATCCTTAAGCAAAACGACACACCTCAACCTATGCCTCACACTGTATACAAAAATTAACTCAAAATAGATTACAGAATTAAATGTAAAATATAAGGGAAAAGATAGAGGAAGACCTTCAGAATTTAGGGCTAGGTTCTTATACTTAACACCAATAGCCTGATTCATAAAATTTGCAAATTGATAAACTGAACTTCATTAAATTTAAAACTTTTGCTCTAAGAAAGACCTCGTGAAGAGGGAGAAAAGACAAGATACAGTGTGAGAGAACATATTATCAAACCCTATATCTGACAAAGAACTAATATCAGATATATAAATAACCCTCAAAATTCAATAGCAAAAAGAAAAACCAAATTTTAAAATGGACAGAAGACATAACAGACAAGGCAAGAAGATCAATTAAGGCCAGGAGTTTGAGACCAGCCTGGGCAACATAGCAAGACCCCATCACTACAAAAAAATAAAAGACATGAACAGACCCAGAGACGCTATGTGTACAGCATATAAGCAAATGAAAAGATGCTAAAACATTATTGCCATCAGGGATATGCAAGTTAAAACCACAATGAGGTAGCACTACACTCAGAATAACTAGAAAAAAGTAGTGACGATATCAAATGCTGGTGAGGAAGCAGTGAAACCAGATAACTTATACATTGACGGTAGGACTGAAAATAATATAGTCACTCTGGAAAACTATTTGACAGTCTCTTATAAAACTAAACATGTAACTGGCATTTGATCCAGTAATTGTATGCTTGGACATTTATTGTAGAGAAATAAAAATTTATATTCACACAACAAATTTACATAAATGTTTATAGTGGCTTTGTTAATAATAGTGCAAAACCAGAAACAACCCAAATGTCCTTCAGCCGGTGAATGTTTAAACAAACTATGGTACATCTATACCATGGAAAATGGGTTAGCAAAAAAAAGAATAAACCATAGATACACATCATAACCTGCATGAATCTCCAGAGTATTATGTTCAGTGAAAAAAGCCTAACCACAAAAGATTACATATAATTTTATTCTGCTTATATAGCAATCTTGAAAAGATAAATTATAGAAATGGAAAACAGATTAGTGATTGTCCGGGGCTAGGAAGTCTATGTCAACAGTAGAGAAGTGGGTATAGCTGTAAAAGGGCAATAGGAGAGATCCTTGTGGCAATGGTGCTGTTCTGTAACTTGCCTATATCAATGTCAATATTCTGATCATGATCTTATTCTGTAGTTTTTCAAGATGTTACCACTGGAGGAAATTGGGTAAAGAGAAATGGGATCTCTCTGCATCATTTCTTATAACTGCATGAGAATCTACAATGATCTCAAAATAAAAAGCTTAAATTAAAAAAATAAACAGTATCAACTTATTAAAGACTGGTCAAATGAGAAGAAAAAAGTGTAAAAGCGATGCTGTAGTCTATAACACAATCACATTTCTCAAAAAAAGATTACAAATAGCCAACAACCATATGAAAAAATGTTCAACATCACTAATCATCAGGGAAATGCAAAATAAAACCACAATGATATACCACCTTATTTCTGCAAGAATGGCCATAATTAAAAAGTAAAAAAACAGTTGATGTTGGTGTAGATGTGGTGAAAAGAGAACCATTTTACACTGCTGGTGGGAATGTAAATTAGTGCTAACACTATGGAAAATAATATAGACATTCCTTAAAAAACTGAAAGTAGATCTACCATTCAACCCAGCAACTCTGCTGCTCTGTATCTATCCAAAAGAAAAGAAGTCATTATATGAAAAAGACACTTGCACACACATTTATAGCAGCACAATTAACAATTCCGAGGATGTGGAACCAAACTAAGTGTCCATCGGCCAACAAGTGGATTAAGAAAATGTGGTATATAAACACCATGGACTACTACTAAGCCATAAAAAGGAATGAAATAATGTCTTTTGTAGCAACTTGGATGGAACTGGAGGCCATTATTCTAAGTGAACTAACACAGGAATGGAAAACCAAATACCATATGTCCTCACTTATAACTGGGATCTAAGCTATGAGGACCCCAAAACATATAGAGTGATATAACGGACTGTGGGGACTCATGGGCGATGTCAAGGGGCAGGGATAAAAGACTACATTGGGTACGGTGTACACTGCTCAGGTGATGGGTGCACTAAAATCTCAGAATTCACTATGAAACAACTCATCCATGTAACAAAAACCTCCTGTACTCCCAAAACTACTGAAATTTTAAAAAGTAAAACATATAGAAATAAAAATAAATTAAAAGAGTGGTCTATAACACAATCAATATGGCTTTTAAACTAAAAACCAAACAAATAAGCAAAAACCAGTAATAGTTACAAAAATTATCCTTGGAAAACTGAACACTATGTGTTTTCCACATATGAATTAAATGTAAAGATGGCTTGTAATACCAGCATTTTGGAAGGCTAAGGTGAGACAATCACTTGAACTCAGGAATTAGAGACCAGCCTAGAAAAAATAAGGAGACCTTGTGTCTCTCCACACACACACACACACACACACACACACACACACACACACACACTCAAATTAGCGGGCATGGGGATGCATGCCTGCAGTCTCAGCTACTTAGAAGGCTGAGGTTGGTGGATCACTTGAGCCTAGGAGGCTGAGGCTGCGGTGGATCCTTATTCTACTGCACTCCAGCCTAGGTGACAGAACAAGGTGCTGTCTCAAAAAAAAAAAAAAGAAAACAAACAAATAAAAAACAGTAAAGGTGAACAAAGAGATTGAACACTATAATGTACAAACCCTATTTACATTTTGTAATAATATTTATATTGGTAATTGTGTCATTCTAAATGCATTGATTCAACCAAACACTCCTCATGAATTTTGTTATCAAAGTTGTATGATTTGGGAAGTGACATAATTTCCTTAAAATAGGAGATAGTTTTAAAAAATGAAATCAATAAAACGAAGAAAAAGTGTATGTCAGCTGGGCACAGTGGATCACGCCTGTAATCTCAGCACTTTGGGAGGCCAAGGCGGGCAGACTGCCTGAGGTCAGCAGTTCAAGACCACCCTGGCTAACATGGTGAAACCCTGTCTCTAATAAAAATACAAAAATTAGATGGGTGTGGTGGCGGGTGGCTGTAATCCCAGCTACTCAGGAGTATGAGGCAGGAGAATCGCTTGAACCTGAGAGGCAGAGGTTGCAGTGAGCCAAGATTACACCACTGCACTCCAGCTTGGGCCACAGGGCAAGACTCCATCATGTAAGGAAGAGAAAAAGAGAGAAAGAGAGAAAAAGAGAGACAGAAAGACAGAGAGAAAAGAAGGAAGGAAGGAAGGAAGAAAGGAAAGGAAAGGAAAGGAAAGGAAAGGAAAGGAAAGGAAAGGAAAGGAAAGGAAAGGAAAGGGTATATGCCTTTAGATCTTGTACCTAAGTTAATATAGAATGTACAAGAAGGGAAAATGATTAAGAAATATTATAAATAGTATTTATAATGCACTTTCAATATCAGGCTTACAGATTTCCCAGAAAATTAATCTCAAGGCCGAGTTATTTTCCATTCTTTTCCAGTGACTTCTCATGCTATATTCAGTGTAACACCAGGGAAACATTAAAAACTAAATCTAGAAATGTCCCTGTCTGACAGATTTGAAGAGAGTAGTGGTTCTCCCAGAACATAGCTGGAGATCTGAGAACGGACAGACTGCCTCCTCAAGTGCGTCCCTGACCCCGAGTAGCCTAACTGGGAGGCACCCCCCAGTAGGGGCAGACTGATACCTCACACGGCCGGGTACTCCTCTGAGACAAAACTTCCAGAGGAATGATCAGGCAGCAACATTTGCTGTTCACCAATATCCGCTGTTGTGCAGCCTCCGCTGCTGATATCCAGGCAAACAGGGTCTGGAGTGGACCTCCAGCAAACTCCAACAGACCTGCAGCTGAGGGTCCTGACTGTTAGAAGGAAAACTAACAAACAGAAAGGACATCCACACCAAAACCCCATCTGTATGTTACCATCATCTAAGACCAAAGGTAGGTAAAAGCACAAAGATGGGGAAAAAAACAGAGCAGAAAAACTGAAAATTCTAAAAATCAGAGTGCCTCTCCTCCTCCAAAGGAACGCAGTTCCTCACCAGCAACGGAACAAAGCTGCACAGAGAATGACTTTGACAGGTTGAGAGAAGAAGGCTTCAGACAATCAAACTACTCCGAGCTAAAGGAGGAAGTTCAAACCCATGACAAAGAAGTTAAATACCTTGAAAAAAGATTAGACGAATGGCTAACTAGAATAACCAATGCAGAGAAGTCCTTAAAGGACCTGATGGAGCTGAAAACCACGGCACGAGAACCACGTGACGAATACACAAGCCTCAGTAGCTGATTCGATCAACTGGAAGAAAGGGTATCAGCGATGGAAGACGAAAAGAATGAAATGAAGCGAGAAGAGAACTTTAGAGAAAAAAGAATAAAAAGAAACGAACAAAGCCTCCAAGAAATATGGGACTATCTGAAACGACCAAATCTACATCCGATTGCGGTACATGAAAGTGACGGGGAGAATGGAACCAAGATGGAAAACACTCTGCAGGATATTATCCAGGAGAACTTCCCCAATCTAGCAAGGCAGGCCAACGTTCAGATTCAGGCAATACAGAGAACGCCACAAAGATACTCCTCGAGAACAGCAACTCCAAGACACATAATTGTCAGACTCACCAAAGTTGAAATGAAGGAAAAAAGGTTAAGGGCAGCCAGAGAGAAAGGTCGGGTTACCCACAAAGGGAAGCCCATCAGACTAACAGCTGATCTCTCGGCAGAAACTCTACAAGCCAGAAGAGAGTGGGGGCCAATATTCAACATTCTTAAAGAAAAGAATTTTCAACCCAGAATTTCATATCCAGCCAAACTAAGTTTCATAAATGAAGGAGAAATAAAATACTTTACAGACAAGCAAATGCTGAGAGATTTTGTCACCACCAGGCCTGCCCTAAAAGAGCTCCTGAAGAAGCACTAAACATGGAAAGGAACAACCGGTACCAGCCACTGCAAAAACATGCCAAATTGTAAAGACCATCGAGGCTAGGAAGAAACTGCATCAACTAACGAGCAAACTAACCAGCTAACATCATAATGACAGGATCAAATCCACACATAACAATATTAACCTTAAATGTAAATGGGCTAAATGCTGCAATTAAAAGACACAGAATGGCAAACTGGATAAAGAGTCAAGACCCATCAGTGTGCTGTATTCAGGAAACCCATCTCACGTGCAGAGACACACATAGGCTCAAAATAAAGGGATGGAGGAAGGTCTACCAAGCAAATGGAAAACAAAAAAAGGCAGGGGCTGCAATCCTAGTCTCTGATAAAACAGACTTTAAACCAACAAAGATCAAAAGAGACAAAGAAGGCCATTACATAATGGTAAAGGGATCAATTCAACAAGAAGAGCTAACTATCCTAAATATATATGCACCCAATACAGGAGCACCCAGATTCGTAAGGCAAGTCCTTAGAGACCTACAAAGAGACTTAGACTCCCACACAATAATAATGGGAGACTTTAACACCCCACTGTCAACATTAGACAGATCAACAAGACAGAAAGTTAACAAGGATATCCAGGAAATAAACTCAGCTCTGCACCAAGTGGACCTAATAGACATCTACAGACCTCTCCACCCCAAATCAACAGAATATACATTCTTTTCAGCACCACACCACACGTATTCCAAAATTGACCACATACTTGGAAGTAAAGCTCTCCTCAGCAAATGTAAAAGAACAGAAATTAGAACAAACTGTCTCTCAGACCACAGTGCAATCAAACTAGAACTCAGGATTAAGAAACTCACTTCAAAACCACTCAACTACATCAAAACTGAACAACCTGCTCCTGAATGACTACTGGGTACATAATGAAATGAAGGCAGAAATAAAGATGTTCTTTGAAACCAACGAGAACAAAGACACAACACACCAGAATCTCTGGGAGACACATTCAAAGCAGTGTGTAGAGGGAAATTTATAGCACTAAATGCACACAAGAGAAAGCAGGAAAGATCTAAAAATGACACCCTAACATCACAATTAAAAGAACTAGAGAAGCAAGAGCAAACACATTCAAAAGCTAGCAGAAGGCAAGAAATAACTAAAATCAGAGCAGAACTGAAGGAAATAGAGACACAAAAAACCCTTCAAAAAATCAATGAATCCAGGAGCTGGTTTTTTGAAACGATCAACAAAATTGATAGACCGCTAGCAAGGCTAATAAAGAAGAAAAGAGAGAAGAATCAAATAGACACAATAAAAAATGATAAATGGGATATCACCACCAATCGCACAGAAATACAAACTACCGTCAGAGAATACTATAAACACCTCTACACAAATAAACTAGAAAATCTAGAGGAAATAGATAAATTCCTCGACACATACACCCTCCCAAGACTAAGCCAGGAAGAAGTTGAATCTCTGAAGAGACCAATAGCAAGCTCTGAAATTGAGATAATAATTAATAGCTTACCAACCAAAAAAAGTCTAAGACCAGATGGATTCACAGCCGAATTCTACCAGAGGTACAAGGAGGAGCTGGTACCATTCCTTCTGAAACTATTCCAATCAACAGAAAAAGAGGGAAACCTCCCTAACTCATTTTATGAGGCCAGCATCATCCTGATACCAAAGCCGGGCAGAGACATAACAAAAAAAGAGAATTTTAGACCAATATCCCTGATAAACATCGATGCAAAAATCCTCAATAAAATACTGGCAAACCAAATACAGTAGCACATGAAAAAGCTTATCCACCATGATCAAGTGGGCTTCATCCCTGGGATGCAAGGCTGGTTCAACATACACAAATCAATAAACGTAATCCAGCATATAAACAGAAACAAAGACAAAAACCGCATGATTATATCAATAGATGCAGAAAAGGCCTTTGACAAAATTCAACAACGCTTCATGCTAACAACTCTCAATAAATTCGGTACTGTTGGGACGTATCTCAAAATAATAAGAGCTATCTATGACAAACCCACAGCCAATATCATACTAAATGGGCAAAAACTGGAAGCATTCCCTTTGAAAACTGGCACAAGACAGGGATGCCCTCTCTCACCACTCCTATTCAACATAGTGTTGGAAGTTCTGACCAGTGCAATGAGGCAGGAGAAGGAAATAGAGGGTATTCAATTAGGAAAAGAGGAAGTCAAATTGTCCCTGTTTGCAGATGACATGATTGTATATCTAGAAAACCCCATCGTCTCAGCCCAAAATCTCCTTAAGCTGATAAGCAACTTCAGCAAAGTCTCAGGATAGAAAATCAATGTGCAAAAATCACAAGCATTCTTATACACCAATAACAGACAAACAGAGAGCCAAACCATGAGTGAACGCCCATTCACAATTGCTTCAAAGAGAATAAAATACCTAGGAATCCAACTTACAAGGGATGTGAAGGACCTCTTCAAGGAGAACTACAAACCACTGCTCAATGAAATAAAACAGGATGCAAACAAATGGAAGAACATTCCATGCTCATGGGTAGGAAGAATCAATATCGTCAAAATGGCCATACTGCCCAAGGTAATTTATAGATTCAATGCCATCCCTATCAAGCTACCAGTGACTTTCTTCACAGAATTGGAAAAAACTACTTTAAAGTTCATATGGAACGAGAAAAGAGCACGCATTGCCAAGTCAATCCTAAGCCAAAAGAACAAAGCTAGAGGCATCACGCTACCTGACTTCAAACTATACTACAAGGCTACAGTAACCAAAACAGCATGGTACTGGTACCAAAACAGAGATATAGACCAATGGAACAGAACAGAGCCCTCAGAAATAATGCCACATATCTACAACTATCTGATCTTTGACAAACCTGACAAAAACAGGAAATGGGGAAAGGATTCCCTATTTAATAAATGGTGCTGGGAAAACTGGCTAGCCATATGTAGAAAGCTGAAACTGGATCCCTTCCTTACACCTTACACAAAAATTAATTCGAGATGGATTAAAGACTTACATGTTAGACCTAAAACCATAAAAACCCTAGAAGAAAACCTAGGCAATACCATTCAGGACAGAGACATGGGCAAGGACTTCATGTCTAAAACACCAAAAGCAATGGCAACAAAAGACAAAAATGGCAAATGGGATCTAATTAAACTAAAGAGCTTCTGCACAGCAAAAGAAACTACCATCAGAGTGAACAGGCAACCTACAGAATGGGAGAACATTTTTGCAATCTACTCATCTGACAAAGGGCTAATATCCAGCATCTACAATGAACTCAAACAAATTTACAGGAAAAAAACAACCCCATCAAAAAGTGGGCGAAGGACATGAACAGACACTTCTCAAAAGAAGACATTTATGCAGCCAACAGACCCATGAAAAAATGCTCATCATCACTGGCCATCAGAGAAATGCAAATCAAAACCACAGTGAGATACCATCTGACACCAGTTAGAATGGCAATCATTAAAAAGTCAGGAAACAACAGGTGCTGGAGAGGATGTGGAGAAACAGGAACGCTTTTACACTGCTGTTGGAACTGTAAACTAGTTCAACCACTGTGGAAGTCAGTGTGGCGATTCTTCAGGGATCTAGAACTAGAACTACCATTTGACCCAGCAATCCCTTTACTGGGTATATACCCAAAGGATTATAAATCATGCTGCTATAAAGACACATGCACATGTATGTTTATTGTGGCATTATTCACAATAGCAAAGACTTGGAACCAACCCAAATGTCCAACAATGATAGACTGGATTAAGAAAATGTGGCACATATACACCATGGAATACTATGCAGCCATAAGAAATGATGAGTTCATGTCCTTTGTAGGGACATGGATGAAGCTGGAAACCATCATTCTCAGCAAACTATCACAAGGACAAAAAACCAAATGTCGCATGTTCTCACTCATAGGTGGGAATTGAACAATGAGAACACATGGACACAGGAAGGGGAACATCACACTCTGGGGACTGTTGTGGGGTCGGGGGAGGCAGGAGGGATAGCACTGGGAGATATATCTAATGTTAGATGACGGGTTGATGGGTGCAGCACACCAGCATGGCACAGGTATACATATGTAACTAACCTGCACGTTGTGCACATGTACCCTAAAACTTAAAGTATAATAATAAAAAAAAAATAACTAAATCTAGGCATAATTTACACCAACATCTGCAAGTCCCACTAGTAACTCATTATGAACAGTTCACTGTGTTTTACTCTATTCTGTGCACAATACGTCATTGCTTCCATTTAAGAGAACTTCAGCAAATACATTGCAAGAACAAACAGCATATGTTGTAAACATGTAGATAATCACGTCAATGTCTGCTTAATGTTGGCATTTGCCATTAACCAAAATGCGTCTAAGAAACGTGCGGAAAAGTATACCTAATTACTTATATGGTCTTTTTATAATATTTCATTAATAAAATGTCTGAAACAGGATGATCAATATTTATCCTAATAATTTTTCTGGAATCATGCAAAACATTTTAAAGAAAAGCATTTCACAATTATTTACAAAAGCTCAATTATTATATAAAACATAGGGAAATACTTTTAAATCCACTCTTCTAAATGGACTAAGACATAAAATATAAATGTTTAGCAAGTTAATTAATATTTCATTATAATTGTAAATTAGGAGTGCTTAACTGCTCATTTAAAATGCGAACAAAATTGTGTATGTGAAATAATTACACTAAAATCAGATAATCAGCTACACTATTTAAATCAGAGTAAAGATTACTTTCCAAAAGTTCAGGAAAGAAAAACCTTATCTATTCCTTCTCCCATGGAATCATATGTATTTTTATTGACAAAAATATATACAATGTTTTAAATCGCAGAATTATATTTAAATGATATAAGAAATTAAATTACATTAAAATATATGTATGTATACTCTTTAAAACAGCTCCTTACAAGAATAGACACCAACTTCCTAATTATTCCATCATCTTACTAGGAAAGAAAATAAGAAAAAAATATATATGACACATTTTATTTTACAAATTCAAGACCACATTATGACATTGTGTTGCAATTTAACATTGATGGAAAAAATGATATACTCTGAAAATCCCATGTTTCTGAAGGTTCCAGTTTTTAGGAATAAAATATATATATAAAAATGTGTATATATATTATATATAAGTGTATATACAATATATGTATAATATATTATATATTATATACTATATATAAATGAATATATTTCATATATACAATATATAATTATATATGACATATTGTACATACATTTATATATACAATATATAATTATATATTATATATCATATCTAATTATATAAACATATATTAGATATAAAATATATCTAACATATAAGGTATATATTATATATAAGAATTGGTATATATTCTTATATATTATAAATGATATATATAATATTCATGTATTATATATTTTATATGTAATACAAAGTATATACATTTATATATAAGATAAATTATATATTATATATTATACATAAGACATATATTTATTTTCTTTTTTAACTTTCAGTACTAGAGTCGGTAATCATTTCGAATGTTTTATACATTTGCCTCACATTTTAAAAGTGAGTATGCTAATGGTAATTAAACTTTGTTCAGATAACTTGAGTAGTTAAGAAATAGGAATATTTTCTTCTATTAAACAATATTGTTAGTTATACGCTTGCTTTTTTAAAAATGTCATCCTGGGTTTTTCCTGTGTTGAGCTATATGCTGTTTCATACCTCTGACAGTATGCAAATTTTTAGAAGGAAAGAAGACTTGTAACCCCTTCTAATTTGGTATCTACAATCTACTATAGGCTGAAAATTAAGATTGTTAATGTTCTGTGCCAATTAAGGCCAAGTTGGAACTGAATGAAATAAAGTAAGTTTGTTTGAGTGCATGATCTTCATGCAAATTTGTTAAGAATCACTTACACCAACTGTAGGTATTTCTTTGCCCACTTAATTCCAGGTTCTTGGCCAGATTTGTTATCTGAGATATTCAGAAATTTATATTCATGATAAACTAAACAATATTTTATTTTTTAATTTAAAATTTTACTGACAAGCACAATAAAAGATGATATATTTGTGAATTTACTATAGGCTAAAGACTGCATTAAAAATTAGTTTCTTCTGTTTATGACACATTCTGACATTTATTCAATCAACATGATCAAGAACAGTGTTTCCTAAAACTGCTTCATAGAATGCTAGCTCTGACATATGGTCTCCGAAAATCAGAATCTTTAGCCCAATAAATTTGAGAAATAATGTCAAATGTATTGAGTTTAGCAAATCTTCTGTGAGAAGCTGTGTTTGTATGTATGTATGTATGTTGAACCTATCTGATAAAATAAATATTCCATAAACCTTACTTTGAAAAGGAAGAATCCAAAAATAGTAAAGTTCTGGCCAAGACAATACAGGGCTCACCAAGTCCAAACTGATTTTTTTTCATCATAGATTTATAAGAAGGCTTTATTTCTCTTGCATTTCACTTGGGGATACAGTTCTGTATGCACAGGTAATCTGTGTCATTTACAAACTAAAACACATAGGTGTGGGTATGAATTCTTGCATTCTTTTTTCCCTGGAAACCATGTGTTGAAATAGGGTATCACAAGAGGCTGGATTCCTGAGTGACTCTTTGGAGTAGAGCTCCTCGCCAACTTGCACTGGAGAATATACCATGTTAGACAAATGAACGTTTGTTGATTTAAACCACTGAAATGTCACGGTTGATTTATTACTGCAGCATTCCCTAACCTACCTAACCTACCATAACCAATAATATAGTTGAATTCTAAAATAATGAAAGTGACACAAAGGGAGCTAACTTAAAACTAAAATTACAGTTGTTCAGACACTGAAAACTCCTTATTCATCCTATGCCATCTAAATATACTTGCCAAGAAAAAATTTAAAATGTTATGTTCGCAGATCGTCATTACATATACTTTGCTATGTTGCTACATGATCAGCACTATGGTAAGCTAACAGGGTAAAATAACATAAAAGGCATACAAGGTTCTTACTCTGATGGAGCTATAAATTAGTTCAGTCACTGTGGAAAGCAGTTCGACATTTCTCAAAGAACTTAAAATAAAAATACCATTAAACCCAGCAATCCCATTGCCAGGTATATATCCAAAAGAAAATAAATCATTCTACCAAAAAAACACACATACTCATATGTTCATCGCATCACTATTCATAATAGCAAAGACATAGAATCAATCTAGGTGCCCATCAATGGTGGAATGGATAAAGAAAATATGGTACATATACACCATGGAATACTATACAGTCATAACAAAGAATGAAATCATGTTCTTTGCAGCAACATGGATGCAGCCGGAGGCCATAATCTTTAGCAAATTAACACAGGAACAGAAAATCAAATACTGTATGTTCTGGCTTATAAGCAGGAGCTAAACACTGGGCACTCAAGAACATGAAGACAGCAGTGATAAACACTGGGGACTAATGGGGGGAGAGAAGAAGCGGGAAAAGTGTTGAAAAACTATTGGGTACTATGCTCACTACCTAAGTGAAGGGATCAACTGTACTCCAAACCTCAGCATCACACAATATACCCATGTTAAAAACCTGCACATGTACCCCCTGAATGTAAAATAAAAGCTGAAATTATTTTTTTAAAAAAGAAACAAAATATCCAGTGGGCAATAAGCTCATTTTTTAAAAAGGTGACAAATTTTTCATTCTTTGTATAACATACTAAATTGGATAATAATTTAGCATGGGAGTAATTTCTGCTCCCATGCTAAATTTCATTTAAAGACACATTAAAATTATGGCACTCATAACAACAATAAAAAAGAACCATTAGTCAATTTTCTGTTAGAGTGACAGATTGTGACCAAATCAAATTAGATACTTCTTGGTTCTCTCGTGTAATGGAGACCTATTTGAATATAACCATTAAACAATTTCAAAATTTGTTTTGAAACAAAATTATTCTAGGCAAATTGAAACAAATTTCACAAAAATGCTACAATTTAAAATTTTATCACTAACCAAATTCTGTTTTTACGACACAGTACATGAAACACCATTTTTGTTAGAAAACTTCTCTTAAATGTGCAGAAACATCTTATTTTTAAATTATATTTCTAGCCATGTTAATCTAACATATTCCACTGTATTGATTAATGTAATCTGCTTTCTACAATTAAAAGGAACGTTATTAAAATAATACAGTATTATTTTTCAAAAAACAGAAGCTCTTCCAAAGACTTCCATAATTTTATAATGCATACAATACATGTATGCTAAATTCCTTTCCTATACTAATCATGGAAACAACATCGGCAATGATATATTTTAAAACGGGCCAGGCGTGGTGGCTCACGCCTGTAACACCAGCACTTTGGGAGGCTAAGGCAGACAGATCACCTGAGCTCAAGAGTTCAAGACCAGACTGGGCAACACAGTGAAACCCCGTCTCTGCTAAAAATACAAAACTTACCCAGGCGTAGTGGCGCACTGAGGCAGGCTGAGGCAGGAGAATAGCTTGAACCTGGGAGGCAGAGGTTGCAGTGAGCCCAGATTGTGCCATTGCACTCTAGCCTGGGCAACAGAGTGGGACTTCATCTCCAAAAAAAAAATAAAATAAGATATATTTTAAAACATTGGTAAAGTAGCTGTGTTTAATTTGAAAATTCACAAATATCAAAGGGAATTAGATGGGCCAAAGTATTGCCTGCCATGTACTTTATATTGAAAAATACTTCAAGTCAATGCTAATTTGATTAGTGTGGTTTAAAGGAAAACTTCTGAAGACATGAAGTGAATCGGACCTCATCTATTTACTGTTAGCACAGAGTGAAAAAAAAGAATATTTAATATTATAATTGCATAGGAAATCAAAGTTTCTTAATAAAAAATACTTAACTGGTTTACTTTCCTCACAATTTAAGACAATCATCATCTTGTTTCAGCTCAGTAAATAATGGTCTATCTGTAGGTTCACTAAATATTTTAACAATAGTATCTTGTTTATACAAAACAAGACTTAAATATATTCTTCATTCCCTGTTTTTCCTTGCTCTCTGCAACTCTGTTCAGTTGCCAGTGTTTTTTCATTAACTCTCTTTCTTCATCAGTTTGCAGACACATTATCAGAAGCCAAAAATAACATAATATGGTTAGAAACATTTCAAATCTAAGCAACAGCTAATCTGTATAGTACAGGAGTTAACTCCATTAGATAGTACTACATTGTCAGTATACTAAGTATGACTTCACTTTTTCTGTGGGAGCACAAAAAGAAAAACATTATGAGCAAAAATTGTCTTGGATGGTTTCTTGGTAACTATCCCCCTCCCTGCAAAAAAGAAAATTGTATAAATATTATTGGCTAACGCAGTACTCACGCAAAGTAAATCTTAGGTTACCTGAGCTACAGAACTAAGAGGTTATTGGTGAGTATTGGAATTCATTGGACAGTATGAGTATTAGTAACTTCAGGAAGCAGATGTTAAACTCTTGAACATTTTGGTGCATACTCTATGATTAATGAAACAATCACAAACACTGGGCTCACTGCAACCTCTGCCTCCCAGGTTCAAGCAATTCTCCTGTCTCAGCCTCCTGAGTAGCTGGGATTACAGGCTCGTACTGCTGTGCCATATTATTCTGTATTTTAACAAATGTTAGTTTCCCCAAGGGCATACAATGCAGCCTGTTATGAATAAGGTTTCAGTATCGAATATAAATCTCCCGAAAAAATGTTACAGGGTGTATGTCTAGTTTTGAATTTTATTTTAAAATGAATTAATCATTATAGCATAAAGTACTTCCACAAGTGAATACAGCTTACAAAACAATGTCTCATAAAGTTATTGAAAGTAATTTATTCTATTTTTTTTTACTTCATCTAATGATGACTAACTGAACTAGTAGGTATCACAGTTACTTAAGAACTAGTAGGTATCAAAGTTACTTAAAAACTATGGGGCATCAAACAAATTTGAATACTATTAGATGTCAATTTAGAATAACTTAATTCAAACACTAGTCCCTGATTTTAAAAAAAACAGTAAACGGCAATAAGTTACTTTTACAATGTAAAGTTATCTTCTTCTTTACAAGTGCTAGCAACTATTAATATTCTATATTAAATGCCAATAGTATATATTTTTTCTTTGACTCATTTTTTAATTCCAGGGATTTCTTGGTGATTTGTTAAAGCAGTTTGAAATCAATATATTTAAATAACATTTTAATATATTAAAGCAAAATGATCTCATTAGCTTATTTAATTTCTATGTTCAAAATAATCCAGTAGTGGTTATTCCGGTATATAATATTTCTTACTTTGCATAAATATAGCATGCTGGAAGGTTTATGTTCATATTCAAACTGCACAACTAAAACCTGGACTTCAGTTATAAAAACTGAGGGAGAGTTTGCAACATAGCATGGTCTTTAAAGACAGAGGTCCAACAGTCTCCCTGATTGAAGTGGACAGATTGAAAACGCATATGAAAAGGCCTCGCATGACTCAATCCCCACAAGCAATGAAAGAGAGCATGTGTTCTTAGACAATATACTGAAAGTTCAGTAACTTGATAGGATAATCTCCAAACAATATTAGGTTAGGAAAGCCCCATTTCTACCTTAACGACTGTAGTACTTTAGTATCTGAATAGGCTGATTATAAGTACCCATATTTTTGAACACTAGAGGAAGTATATAAAAGAGAAGAAAAAGAAGCCAGAGTGATATTACCTAATTTCTCGGTGTTTTAAATTGCATTAGGTCTTACCAATCTGCTTGCTTGTTTCTAAAGCACATAAGTAGAGTGCTTAAAACTTACTTAAACTATATCCAATATCCATTTTTAAATGTCATTTTCCAGTTAATTTAAAATTTGTAATGGCTAAAGGCAAGAAAAATGCATGATATTCCAGAAGCAGAAAAACAGAGAAGGTTGTAAAAAGTAGACATGCTTTCTCCCCATTTTAGTTTATATATTCTATTAGAAGAAAATAGAATTACATCTGATTTAGAATATATAATTCTAAGTGCTTCAAAGAGTTTAAAATTACATTCCTAGGCAAAAAGGAAAAATGGGCACTCCTAAATCAGAGTCAGACTTTTGCCTAAAGATGAAATCCTGAGATTACAGGCCACGTTTAGGGTTTACATAGACAAAATGTCTCCAAAATTTCTACATAGGAGGGACAATGTGGGAGCCACTGGTTGGGAGGTGAGAGGTGTCAGGACTTCATGAGTTAATATTTTTTAAAAACTCAGAACTATGACACACAATAAGCATTCAGGATACTAGCTATTGCTGAGAGATCCTTTGTCTATTCCAAAAAACAAGAACATGGGTTGAGTTGAATGGGAATGAGATGAGTTTAATGAAACTAGTAGATTATGGAATCAAAGTAGGAGAAACAAGAGCTCCCGCCAGCCAATCCAAAAACCACCACCATATATATTAGGCAAGAAGATAAATAATTCATATGAAATCTTTAATAAGTATCTATTTCTTGTTCCTTCTCTGCAAATATTGGATTGCAGTAGAAACTAAAAGGTAATAGCTTTGATCCTTGAGAACTTTGGAAGGATGAGTTTAGAGCTGAAAGAGATCCAGTAATTTATTAATTCATTTAATGAGCATCTACTACATGCCAGCCACTGCTCTAGAAACTTGAAATATAAAAAGAGAACAAAAACAGGTCACTGACCTTCAGAAGCTGGAGGCAGGAAATAATAATAAATATGAGAAATAAATTGTTCGGTATATAAATAACTGATGATTATTAAGAAAAAAGGAAAGAAGAACAGGAAATGCTGCAGCATTCAGCAACATGTGGAGTTGCCTGAACAGGCTGTGGTGTTCTGCCACTGGAGCAAAGTTTGAGTGAGGTAAGCGTTTGCTCAGGTGGGGATATAGGCGTGAAAATGTACATAGCGCCTTTGTTCCTGTAACAGCCGACTACTGTGACTGAGCCTGAAGTAAGGAGAGCCACAGAGAAAGTAGTAAATTGGGGAGGACATTAGAACCATAACAAGGAAGGGAGGACAACTGTGAAAGGCCTCAAAGCTACAGTAAGTGCTCTGACTTTGAGTAAAATGAGAAACTGCTACAGGGATCTGAAAAGAGTAATGTGGTCTAACTTCACACTTACTGATAATGCTGAGAAAGGTTTAAGAGAGCAAAGGAGAATAGTCAGGAGGCTATTGTAGCAATCAAAGTGAGAAATAAAGTGTGGCTTGGACCAGGATGGTAACAGTGAAAGAGGTAAAAATTGGTCAGACTTTGGAAACATTTTGAAGATGGGGCTAACTAGGCTTTCTAGTGAATTGAACATAACGCATGAGAGAAAGAGGAATTAATAAAGACTCCCAGGTCTAAAAGGATGGAGATGCCGTTAACTGACAAGGGAGGGGAAGAACTGCATGGGATTAGGTTTTTGTGGGAGGGGGGAGATCCGGGTTCAGTTTGCTATATGGTAAAATTAAGATGTCTCTTAGCCAAGTAGAGATAGGGAGTAGACTGTTGGCTACACAAGCTCAGAAAAAAGGTTTGGGTTGGAGATACAAATTTGGGAGTCGTGGACATATAAATGGAATTTATCCACAAGGCTGAATAAAACACCAAGAAGAGTACCTTTTTTTAAAGAATAAAAATTTCAGTTTAGACATCCTAGAGGAGGAATAAGTGAAGGTAACAAAAAGAAAAATCAGTGAAGTGAAATGGTAATTCTTCAAGCTAAGTGAAGAAAGATTATTAAAGAGACTGTCAACTGCTGCTAGATTAGGCCTGAAGGTTGACTATTGGATTAAATAACATGGAGTCACTGACAACCGTGATAGAGGCAGTTTTGGTATGGTAGTGAGAGTACAGATATGACTGGATTTAGGAAAGAACAGGGAAAAATAGGTGACAGCAAATACAGAGAACTCTTCCAAGTTTTTTTTTATTTTTTATTTTTATTTTTGTAAAGAAGAACTGAGAAATCAGATAGTAATTTTTAGGGGAAGAGGGCTTAAGAAAGGGTTTTAACACTTATTTCATTTGTATGCTGGCAGGAATCATTTAGGGGAGAGAGAAAACAATGATGGTATATGAGAGGTAGGGGAGGATTGTTCATGATGTTCTTGAGTAAATGGGAAATAACAGGCTCTCACACACAAGTAGAACGATTGGCTTTTGGTCCCTAATAAGTATTACATGCAATTGAATTTTCAAGTTCAACTTCCTGATCAGATAATAACAGTGAGACTTTCAAAATGTTTTCTTGAAGGTTACATAGTTAGTAATCAATAGAGAAAGATTACTAGATCTTAAAGTAATGCACAACCAGGGAATAACTGTGAAGTGACATAAGCAAATCCAAGATAGTGGGGTAATGATTATAAACATAAGGAGCACAGATATCAAGTTGGGTAAAATATTGTGATAATATCAAGATTGCCTGGGATGGTCTCTGTGTTACTCACTGAAGGAAAGACAGAGACAAGGCCAAATTGGAAAGACGGGACCACTGGATGTCAGGCTGGAAGGCTGGGTTTGATCATTTGACATTTTAAGTAACAGGAGATAGTGGGTGATCTTTTAAGCAGGGGACTGGCCCAAAGAAAGCAGTACATTAGATTAATCTGGCAGTGTTTAGAGAATGAACTGGCAGAGGAGAACAAAAGGCAGATAAATTAGCTCTAGGGCTATTAAAACACCATCTATGAAATTAACAGCATAGGGATTAGAGAGGTGGCAGCGGGAAAGAAAGCAGCTAATCAAAATCCTCTTCTCAGCAAGAATCAACAAGACTTATCAATGATTTTATGCTCTTGTTGCATCATGTACTTTTCTTTTATAACCCTTAATACTCTTCCATAAATATTATTTATATTATTATTTGAATAATGTCTCTCTACTAAAATATAAGTTCCAAGACGGCAGGGGCTACATATGTTTTGCTGACTATTTTATCTATATGGAATAGCCCAGTACCCTGCATATAGTAGGCAATAAAAGAAATATTTTTCTGGGTTTATTTTTATTTTTTGAGGCAGAGTCTTTTTCTGTCACCCAGGCTTGAATGCAGTAGCATGGTTACAGTTCAGTGGAACCTTGAACTCCTGGGCTCAAGCGATCCTCCCAGCTCAGGCTCCAGAGTGGCTGGGACTATAGGCACATACCACAGCACCCAGCTTATTTTTCATTTCTTATAGAAACAGGGTCTTGCTCTGTTGCCCAAGCTGGTCTTGAACTCCTGGCCTCAAGCAATCCTCCTGCCTCTGCCTCTCAAAGTGTCAAAAAAAATTTAGTAAATAAGATATGGATTTCAAAGAAGAGGATAAGGAAGCAAAAGGCAGAAAAACAGAAGAAAAAAAGTAAGACAGAAAGTAGAGGAGAAAGGATAAAAACAAGAAAGGAAAAAGAGACGTGATTTAAAGAAGGTAGAGGATGAAAAAGAGTAAAAAGTAACTATGTTGAAGTTAGAAGACTGAAAAATAGCAGAGCAACTGTGTGGCTGCCAGGAATTGGGAAGCAGGTCATGGACTTCAGCTTAAAGGGGGAAATATCAGGAGTTCAACTCCAACACTTGCTCTTAATTAACCTCTCTGTCTGTGCTTCTTCATCTATAGAATAATTATAGGTACCTCAAAGGGTGGCTATGAGGATTAAGTGAGTTAACTCACAATAGTCCCTGGCACATAGTGAGAAGTTAACAGTTGTCAGTCATCTGTATCATCATCATCGTCATCATCATCATCTATAATTTGTCCCCCACTAGACAGCAGTGAAACCATTCTAAATTCTCTTCTGTCTACAGAAATGAAAATGGCAGAAGCAGCATAAGACTAATTGATGGATGAGACAAAAGTCCTTCCACTAGTCAAGGTTGCCTCTGATCTCACTCACAAACTAACTGGCAAGAAGACAAGCAGCTCAGCCTCAACTGCTCCCTTCATTCTTTCTGAGTTTCTCCTTTTTTTCTCCCAAATCCTAAAACACACATATTTACCCAAATCCCTTAAAAAATACCAATTTAACTTTTATTTCATTGTGAAAACAAAATGGAAAGCAAAAAAATGGAAGTGGTGGATGGAAATTGGAAGGCATATTTTTAAAGTAGGTTGAATTAAGGGAAAAAGAATGAGGTAAATGTAAAGAAAAATACAGATAATGGGTTTTTTTTTTAAAAAAAAGATAGCAAATACAAGACACAAAAGAGACATGAAGTCTGAATGTTTGATGGCTAAGCATAAAGAAAGAAAAAGGTAGGTAGCAAAAACAATATTAAGTAATATGGAATAAGATGGAAGAGCAAGAGCAGTAGTTCTCAAAGTAGTCCTTTGGGTTCCTAGTTCTACTATTGCAAAGTAGGAAGAGGACATGTGGCATCATCTAGAAACATTTTCCATTGTCACATTAACATTTTGGTTGCTACTGGCATCTAGTTGTAGATGCTGCCAACCATCCTACAATGCACAGGACAATCCCCCCAACAAAGAATTATCCACTCAATATGTCAATAGTGCAGAGTTTGAGAAACCCTGAGCCAGTGATTAAAGGTAAAAAGATGAAAGTATAGCAGATTTAGTCACCTCCCTGCTCAGAAGTCCCATTTTACTCTAAGGAAGAATCAAAATCCTTAGACATGTCCCCCATATCTATCTGACCTTATCACTGCTACTCTTGCCCTGCTCGTCCACTCCTGCCACCCTGGGCCCTTGTTCTGCTGCAAATGCATGGGAAACTTGTCCACTATAAGGCCCTTGGGCTGCTATTCCCTACTTGGGAAAATGCTCCCCTAGATTTCCTTACTGCTTGCTCCTTCACCTTCAAGCATTTTCCCCAATGCCACCATGCCACTTTCTCAGTGAGGCTTATTCTGAACAATCCTATTTAAAATTGCACTTCCTCCTCATCACTATTCATCCCATTATAATCTTCTATTACTTCATAAGATAAATCACCTTCTAATATTTGATGTAAACTAGTGTTTATTTTACTGAGCTATCTTCTCCCTACCCTCCCCATCCACTATGTAAACTCCATGAAGGAATTTTGTCTGTTTTGTTCCCCACTATATCCCTAGAAACTAGAACAGTGCCTGGTGTACAGTAGGTGTTAAACACTACTTGTTGAATAAATGAATAAAGGGGCTCAGACAAATTCAAATAATAACACTAATGACAGACACACATACAATGCTTGCTTTATGCATAGGAACCATTCTAAACGTTCTACAAAGAACTCATTTAATCTTCATAACCAACCTATACTGCACATAACACTGTCACTATCGCCACACTATGGAGAAAATGAAAACAGAGAGAAATTAAATAATGTGCTCAATATTGCACAGCAGAGCAATTTGAAAAAAAGCAGACTGGCTTCAGAGTTTGTGCTCTCACCCTTCTATACTATGCCACCTTACTGAGCAACACAGACTAAAAATTCTCCTATTCTTTAAAACAAAAGATAACCCCAAATATTTATCAAAAACATTGAGCTATGCAATAAAGAGGCAATCAAATTTATACTTCATTCTATATATAATTGGATAAACATAAATATACCTCTGATATTTGGGCTTTAAAATTACAAAGTTATGTCAATTCATAATAGCCTACAGTGTTATCACTGTCATCAAAAGTAAACAGAAAATAGTTACTTCAAGGGCAGATCACTAAGCTTATTCATATATGCATCTTTTACTTTCTTCAGCACAGTGACTTACACATATCAAGAATTCAATATGTCTTTCATAATTCATGTTAATGTGACATAAGAAAAAAATAAAACAAATAAAAATGCTGATCTGCAATCAGTTTTAAGAAGAGAATATGCTTAATTTACAATGAGTTCTGAAAACTTTTTGTCCATCTATTTACTGATATACTATGGCAAACATCATAAGAAACGACAAAATGAAAGAGTTAACTTTCAGACACACAAGCATTCTACAGCTTTTGCAAAGTCGTGAATTATAAATATACCACCTATTTTCACACTGACATCACATCCTAAGAGAAAGAAACTGTTGATATGCCACTCATTTTTTTCCCCTACATAAAAAACATCAAACCACAGCCATCAGTATTTCTTTTTTTTCTTTTTGTAGGGCCAGGACTTTTAATTCTGAAAATTATGGAGCCAAACCTCAAACAATTAGCTAAAATTTCTAAAAAATAAAATGGCAATCAACCACTTGTTTTGTCTCTTTACCTGAGTCATTCCCACCCACCCAAGATTCCCTGAACATGTGCAGGAACCACGTTTGTGTGAGCTTTTGTTCCAGAAGAAATAATCCCAACTTTTTTTCCTTTTTTCAAAGGGGTTTGTGATATGGGGGGAGGGAGACTATTAAGAACCACTGATGCTAGAAGGCAATTGATTTGACTGATATTGTTTAACCCAGTATTTTTCTCTCATATAAACACACAGTTTGAAATCTTGAGATAAGGTGATATTATGAAAGGGGAAAATGCACACCAATGTATCTGTTAACATTTGTGTGGTACTACAAAAAGAACCTGTCAGAAATCATCAAATTTTCTTTTTCCAGACAAGGATAACATATGTTATCTGTAGTTGAAAATCTATTTATAGTGTCCCAAACATCATGATAACTGTGTCATTGAGCATAAGTATGTAATTTGCCTAACTTCAATTATTCTACAAGTAAACATTTATCTCAAACACCAATCTGAAGCAGCATTTGCAAAGTAGAAAGAGAGAAAACAAAGATGATGAATATAAATTCAGTCCTAACAGTGTTAATATTTCTTGCCTGAAAGTGAGGTCTGGGAGTTTAAATTCTTTGGAATCCTCATGTCTTTCCATTCTAAATAAATAAATAGCTTATCCCATATAAGCAAGACAACATTTGTCCTGAGTTGACAGACTACCTTGTGAGTCTACTTTGATTTGGATATTAGATATGTCTTTATTTTCTCATTTCAGTTAATGCTACTTTCTGGTTCTTGTTTAAAGATGAATTTCTGCTGACTTTGGGTTCCCAGTTCCTGTGGGAAATTTAATTCAGAGTAATTATCCTAATGAACTAACTTTTAATACAATAAAAACATTTCTATTCATAACATACTGGAAAAGAAAACAAACAATTTTAGAATAAGGCCATTTCTTATAACCCTTATATGTGGGAGAGAGGAGGTGGTTTATAATCGATAGCACTAAAGTTAATACAAGAAATCGAATTATAATATATACATATGACATCATTAGCCAGTTCAATAATGTTGTTCCTAGTAAAGAATTCAACAAGATTCTCTAATTCATCAGTCATAGCAGAAAGCAAGAGAACTGTCAAACCTCAAACATCTCAGAAAACTTAAGGATAGTGCCTCTCTTCTAAGGTAATTTGATAGCAACAAAAGAGAATAATATATTCCAAATTATTTGTATTCTTTGAAACAATTATATACAATGCTAAGTATCAACGAGCTTCCATATTAGTTGTTCCTTTATTTTCTCAGCCAGAATATTAAAAATCTATGTAATATTCTTATCAACATTTTTGTTGAATAAGTTAAAGGTAATTAATCACAGCACATCTTTATTTGCAAATTTTAAATTGCAAGGTCTAATTTATTCACTATTAATTTTGTCTCAATACTGTTTTCTGCAACCTACAAAAATAATGACTGTTACCATGAAGATAATAAACTACACAGCAAGCCTTAATGAAATAATGAAATGGTTTATTAGCTTCACTCCCAATTTAAGAAACAGTGTCCATACATACGCTGCTGCTGCAAGCAAAAATTTGTGAAAACTCCCTGGAAGACAGTTTGGCAATATGAATTGAGAATTTTAAAGCTTTTAGATCCTTGACTTCTAAGAAAATGTTAAAAAAAAAATAGGAAACGTGAAAGAGCTTGGCGGTTAATGCTGTTCTTTGACACCAAGCTACCTGGCAATGAAGCTTCACTTCTCCACTTACAAGACAAGTGAGTTGGGCAAATGACTTACTATCTCGGACCTCAGATTTCTTATGTGTAAAATGGGCAATATCAGTAACTTCCTCATCTACCTGTTTTGAGAATTAGATAATTTAATATAAATAAATGCGCTGAGAAGAGTACCTGGCAGAGAGTAAGACCTCTGTTAGATATTCATATTGCCAAAACTGCTCTTTCTAGTGACGTTTAATAACCATGAAAAGCTGGAAATAAATAGAATACCCAATATTAAGGGAAGTATGAAGTAACTTATAGCAAATCTGTGTAATAGTTACGATCTATATCATTCAAGAAAGTAGAAAATGTCATTGCTTATAATTTATAACTTTGTATAACTTCATCTATGTTAAAATATGCATACAAAAAGACTAAAAGAAAATATGACAAAATGTTTAGTATACTTATTTTTATGTGGTACTAAAGATAATTTTTGTTTTCTCCTTTATATTTCTTTAGATTTTTGCAAACTTTCTATAATATTCATGTGCTGCTCCTAACATCAGAAAAAATAAATTTGATTTTTTTAATAGTGCCCTTTGTTGTTTGTTAACTTTGTATTTGCAGCTTGATGTCAGTCATGTATATTTCAATCAGAGTTGAATCAGCGACCTACTGGAATTTTATTACTCTAAATCTCTAAAATTGCCCCTGAAATTTTTCAAGAACTATCTCTACAGAAGAAAAGTTCTATAGTTTGGGAAAATATGTTTTGCTCAAACTTGCATTTCTATCTTTTTTCCTACATTTAGATTTAAGTACCTGAGATCCTCAGAGAAGCAAGGATGAAAATAACATAATCCAGGTAATAATGAAACCTATTACACTGGCTTTATTATCTATTACTTCACTGTTGCCTGAAACACACTATCTATTACTTTAAGGCTGCTTGAATTTCTTATCAGCTAATTCTCTAAGTGTTGAATGTTTTAATTCATTGGAAATAGACAGTGATGGATGATTATTGGCTACCTCTATGTTCTCAAAATTATTTTTGGTAACTGCTAGGCCATCATGCCTAAGTAAAGAAAAATTTCAGAGCATTTTAGCATTTGGTAAATATACCACAGTTTGGGGAGGTAGACTGTGGTATAAAGTAGTAAAAGTATGACTATTGCTACAATTAAAAGAACTACTAAATTCTATTTATACACAACTTTAGAACTTGGAAAATACTTCAAGCCAGACATGGTGGCTCATACCTATAATTCTACCACTTTGGGAGGCCTAAGCAGGAGGATGACTTGAAGACAGGTGTTCAAGATCAGCCTGGGGAATATGGCAAGACACCATCTCTATCAAAAAAAAAAAAATTAAAAATTAGCCAGGCATGGCGGCGCATGCCTCTAGTCCCAGCTACTCAGAAGGCTGAGGTGGTAAGACTCCTTCAACCTAAGAGATGGAGGCTGCAGTGAGCCAAGATCTCTAACACTGCCCTACAACCTAAGTGACAGGGCAAGATACTGTCTCAAACAAAAAGAAAATAGTTCCGAGATTATTCTCTATAATTTTTTCTTGTAACGAATTTTTTATGCATGGGCTCATTAACCAAAAAATACTCGGTAGGAATTTCCAGACAATAAACTATAGAACATCAAGTGGTTAAGACATTAAAAGAGGGAACATTTAGAAGTGAAAATATTTTTCAGATAATTGTTAATTCTGTTTTCATCAGTTCAAATCAGACTGTTTCCTATGGGGTTCAAATTGTTCAAAATTCAACTTAAATTTATTTCAGTTTATGCCATTGTAAGACAAATTATGGGTGCTTTCCAGTCCATGGCAACAATGCTGACATACTTCTCACCAATGGAGATCCAGTCACTGAGTGATTCTAAGGCAACAACAAAACAACTTTATTTTAGTTTCTCTGTTAGAGTCATGTCTATTCAGAAAGCCTCTCAAGAAATTATTTACATATGTTTTTCAACTCATATAGTAGCCTTGTTACTTGAAATCATAAAAATAAACACTACAAGAAAAGCTCAAGGTTATAACAAGTCTAAACTAAAAGAGAATCCAGCTAAAGCTGCAATTAGTTTTGTTTCCAGATAAAAGGCTGATTATTACAGATTCCAGTGTCACTCTGACCAATAAGATATGTGATCCCATATTAATACCAGCATTTAATGCAAAATAGTTTACCAGTGAGATCTTCATAAAAGAACAGGCATATTGCTACTCAAAGGCATTAGATTATTTGAGAACTATTTTAAAAAGCAATTGCTTTGTTTCTACATTTCTTAGTGAAAAAGTATCACTCACACCTACTCTACCAGTTATGGTTAATTTTATCACTAAAACTCTAGAGTTTCACCACTATTTTCTTCTTTTTTTTCAATGTGTAGAAAAATGCAACATGGATTACTCTTGTAGTCCAAACCTATTTCCTTTTACCTGTGACTACCTCTTAAAACCCTATTTACATTAAGAAAAAGAAGAATTCAAAATCTTCCTTTTTAACTCTCCATTTCTCCAAAAGACTTAGCTTTCATGGAAATCTTCAGTATTTAGTTACAACATTTGAATATG
This sequence comes from Homo sapiens, assembly GCF_000001405.40. NCBI lineage: Eukaryota > Metazoa > Chordata > Mammalia > Primates > Hominidae > Homo > Homo sapiens. Next base: position 120,468,277 of record NC_000005.10, on the reverse strand, counting down.
TAATCTCCTGTATATGGTATTGATCCATTTATGTTAACCATGACAATCTAAGTCAACTGTAAATTTCTTAAAATTCATATATTTTCATCTTTTTAAGCTTATTTCTTCATCAAAGACTTGCCATACTACTAAGTATGCAGCACACATCATTTTATAAATCAACATATACTCACTCTCATTCTCAATTCTCGATTTCCCCAAGCCTGCAGTGAGAGTGGCCACTAAAGGCCACAATGTCTTTTTATACTGCTGATGTTGGAAGACAGGATAAATATATCCCTAACTAACCTTTGGAGCTCACTGAGACCAGAAACTATGCCTTATTCATCTTGGTAGCAATTTAAAAGGTGTTATAGTACTTGGAACATGGTAGGTGCTCAATAAGTATACTGAATTATATTTAAGGCTTTTCCAATATATTAATAGCATAGAAAACAAAAGGACCCATATTATTTCTGAAAAGTCAAATTATTTGAGATTTTACTAAATTCTGAGAGTAGAATAAGGCTGCTCTTTGACTTTCTAGAAAGCCTGTTCCTCTGCTTCTAATATATAATCCAATTATAACTGATTAAGTAATTATAACTAAATAATCATAAAACAGATACCCAAAATAACAACTCTTCTTGCTGAGCAGACTAGAGTTTTGTCACTACTTATTAAAGTGTTTCAAGCAATTACTATTATGTTTGATTCTATCCTACTACCTGAGTTTTCAGATGACTTAAGCCCAGAAAACTTCTATGAAGAAAAGCAATTTCAGAGTAACCTCAAACCAAAGTTTAATATTGTTGGTGCAGAAATTACACAAAAACAAAGAACAGAATTAAAGAAGATTGCATTTTAACTAGATATTTTTTAAAAGCAGAAAGAAAAAATAAATACTATATGATGACTGCCATAGTGATATAGTCATAACTACTTTTTTATTTTTAATTTCTGTTGCAAGTTAAGAAGAGCTCGCCGATAATTTATATTAAAATATATTATGGTCTAAAAGCATAGCATTGCCAATAAAGGAATTAGAATTCTAAATATAGCAGTTTATATTTAACACGTACTAATTTTAAGCTGCCAGAATACTGAATATGATGAATAGCAACATTCATGTACAGCAACCAACAAGCTTTGTAATGTACAAAGTTTTGTTATTTCTTTATCCAAAACTATACCAAAGACATGTTCACTCACATATGCAGGATTATCCTAAAAAGATACATGCTGGACAACTGCAAGATGTCATAGGTTAAACATACCCTATAAATACTTTGTTCTCAAAATATTTTCATTCATATTCTATGAATAGCCGATGTTTTGGGATTTGGCCATTGTAGGTACATTTTCTTGTGCAAATCTAGGATGATGATACCCACACAAAAGTAATTAACAATCACATCACATTATTTATGTCATAAATTTCAGTTTCATGGTGAGATTTTTACTCAAACAGATCCTTAAGACAAACAAATCTTCCAAAATGTTGAGTCAAAATTGTATCTCTAGATCTGTCAGATAGTTTCATCTACTGGGTTGTACATTATCTCTGCTTTTTATTCCTCTTATAAACAACCTTTTTTTTAACCTTAAAAAATCTTCAGTAATGAAGACACAGAAAGTGGTATCAACAGATTTCCTGACTTACATTTTTGTGATTCTAACCAATAACCACAGGGAGGTTGAAGATTTCACTACTTAATCTCTAAATGTCCATAAATAATGATGCAAAGCAAAACCAGGACCATGTGCAGTTTCTTGTCATTTATTCTGTGCAAAAAAAGTGAGTGGACTGACATTAAAACATAAGGAAGTATGGCTCACAGATGCAGAATTCTGTTTAACTACCTTTCTTTTAGTCTCAGCCTCATGAAAACAGTAAATACGTTTCTGTGCCGCTGTAGGTTTTCCACATCGCCCATAGAAACCTCACCAACTATTAAGCACAATTCTGCCGAAAGGAACATGCCCAATTTCATTTTTTAAAACGCCATGTTTCAGATGAAAACACAGTCTACCAAAGATGTCATATAAAAGAATAACAAAGAAAGGGACAGCATTTTTAGAATTGAATTTCAATGCATAACCCCACCATCTGTCAACCAGTTGTGAAGCAATAATCCTACAGAAACCCTGAAAACACGAACAAGTTTTATCCCTGAATCTATGTATACTAACAGCCACTCTCAGGACCTCAGTACTAATTATGTTCTGTCTGTGGAGTAACCTACAGGAACGACATTTACCACTGGCAAACTTAACCCTGGTGACGAATGGCCCATTTTAACAGACTTGCATTAGGTAACAAATGCAGAGTTCAGTTCATAGAGGTAACGGGGGAAGGGGAGGAAGACGAGGGGGCTCTTGAAATTTGGTTTGGAAATTGAATACAGGAGGTTAATCTCTAGAGGCCAGTCATCCAAACAACCCTCAGTCTCCTCCCCGTTGGCTTCAGAAACAGGATTACAATTTTGGACCTAGACTACGCCCCACCCCTTTTCCCGCTGCAGCCACCGCCACCTTCGAAGTTCTAGTCTTAGCTCTCACGCAGCGGAGCTGCGGACTCCCTCACCGAGAACCGCACCAGGACCCCATTCAGTAGTGAGCGGCGCGCTGGGACTCTGCTACCAGCTCCGCGACGCCGCCGGCAGCCAGCCTGGCTCGGGAGACCCCACCCCTCCCAGCCCGGCCCCCGCCCCCGCCCGGAGCCGCCGCCTGAGTTACGCAGCCTCAGCCCTGACACCTTCTCTGCTTCTTTCCATCTGGATCACCTGGGGCTAGGGGCGGGCGGGAGTAGGGCTGAACCGAAGTGGGATAGGAAAAGCGGGGAAGAACCGAAGCAGTCCCAGCTGCAGAGAGCCAGGACGCCAATGGCAAGACCCCGGCCACACATACACTCTCCTGCGCGTCCTGCTTCTCGGGTTCAATGCCAAGTGGCGACAGGGTGGAAGGAAGGAAGCAGAGGTAGGGTGGCGGGAAGGCCCAGAGTTACTGGTAACGACGTTCGGAGGAGAGCAGGGGATGCTTCAGAAACTGAGAAAGTGAGAAAGTCCCAGACCCCCTCCTTAGCCCCAAGGCTGCCAGCAGCCCGGGTCGCCTTCCCTACAGCGAGGCTCGAGAGACAGGGAGGGTAGTCTGAGCCAAGCTTCCTCCAGGCTGCCCTCCCTGATCTGGCCCAGGGCCCAGAACCCGGCCCCTCTTCAGCCCTGACTTGGGGAGGCTGACAGATAGGCAGCGGACTTGCCAAAGGACTCTGGGGAAGCAATAGGGCAGGAGAGGAGCATCTTGCACGCTCCAGCCGGGCTGCTCACGACTTCCTCTGCCGACACACCCCCAGCTAACCCTCTCCCCCGTCGTCACACACACAGATTCAGAGACACGCGTGCGTTCATCCCTCCCACCAGCCCAGGTCCATCGATTAAAACACTAGTTGATTTCTTCCTGATTAAAAAAAAAAATTAAAAAGTGCAACAACAACTCCTCTCAGGACTCCAGGAGCAAAGAAAGTCCGTCTGCAGGCGCCTTTTCTGTAGTTTCCCAGGAGTTTGGAAATCTGGCTGTCCCTGCTGAAAATCGGAAAGGGGACCCCGGAGGGGTCGAAGGGTGCCGAACTCCCTCCCCACCCCTGCGCCTCTCACCTCCTTAAGTTCCTTGGCCACGTCCTTCAGGTCGCCCAGGACTAATTCCAAATCCTCCACGATGATCTTGATCTGTTCCTTCACCTTGGTTTTGGAGGCTGCCGGCGGTCCCTCGGCTGGACAGGACGAGGAGGGGTTCCCCTTGGACTTGGCTGACATTCTTTGGGGGCAAGCGAGGCAGGTCAGGACAGGCGGGCGAGCGGAGGCTGCTGCGTGCCCCCGTCCCTGGCGCTGCTACGGCCGCTGCCGCCCCGGTCCCCCCACATCTTGGGCGCTCCCTGGGCAGCGGCGAGTGGCTGCGCTCCGCGCTCGGCCGGGCGGCCGCACAGTGGTGCTGCCATCAACTCCCGAGACGCGGCGCTCGGCTCGGGGCTGCAGACGGGCGAGCAGCGCGCCTGCGCCTCCTCCCGCCGCCGCCCGGCGCTCTCGCGCACACGCGCTCGCTCCCCGCCCGCGGAGAGGGGCGCCGTGCTGCCGCGCCAGGGTTGACGCTTGCAGTCCCCTCGACGTTGCCCTTCGAGATATCTCCCAGATGCCACCTTGGCATCAAGGTGGGGGAGACAAGTCCGTGTCCTGCCCGCCCCCTCCTCTTGGTTCTGAAATGTCCCCATCATCTCAGCCTGCTTGCTGTATGTCATCTCACAACTAGCCTGGATTCTTTCTGCTTCACTTGCTAGCAGGGACCTGGATCAATTCAGAAAGAACCACAGTGGGATCAGGAGTTGGAGACAGTCTGTAAAGTGGCCCTACAGATTTATCCAAACCCAAATGATGTCCAGAGGCCTTTAATCAATCTCTTGGTGACCTGCGAGTTAAGCAGACTTCTTAACTTCTGCAAGAAAAAAGGGGGGGGGGGGTGCACATAACAGCTAATGGTCATCTATTGAAACCATGAAATTCAACCAGTGTTCTTGAAAGAGGTACCCTAATCCTGCTAATTCCACAAAGCTAATACCGGATTTATTAATTTGAAGTCCCCACACCCCAAATCCTCTCTGATTGTCTCAGTCATCTTGGCTGTATGTCTTATTTGGCCCAACTCTTTTTTTTTTTTTTAACTGTCCTTCCTCTTTTTGTGACCTATGCTGATTTACATTTTGAGTGGAGTGGGGGAGACATCGTATTTGGACCTCGTGAAGGAGCTGAGTAAGAGATTGCCTCCAACTTCTCTTTCATCATTTTTTAAACCTCCATTTCAACTCTTTTGCTACTAAACAAATAGGAAACAACTTTCTGACTGTTCTGTCAAAAAGACCCAAGAAGGGAAGTTAATAGGAAGCCTTCGGTTCACTCTCAGTAGGTGTCTACAATTCTCATTAGCTAGAATTTTAACTTCCTTAGTTGTAAACCCATGGGCTATTAGCTACTGACCCAGCAGGCTGGCTCTACTTTATTTTCTTCACTGCACACTCCTCCAGATCATTCTTTTAATAGGCTTCCCCTTTTCGTCGTGCCTTAGCAAGGCTCTCTGTTTCTTGCTTCTCACACTCTGGGTAGCTCCACTGTGCTACACATAAAGAAAAGCTTGGCAGCTCTCCTCTTCCCAGTTCTGTAGGCTCTTAATCAATCACTCTCTTAATCCTGGACAATTCATCTTTACAAAACCTTTGGAAGTCATATGTGGAATATAGAGGAAGAAAGAGAACAGAAGAAAAAATTGAAATTTGAAAGTGGTGTCAAAAGAAAACCATTGAAAACTGCATTGAAAAATCAGGGGAAGAAATGAGAAAAGGTGAAAAGCAGATGCTGCTGGAAAGACTTAAGAAGAGATTATAAGAACAAGTCTGCAGCATGCAAACTGGAGAAAAGAAAAAGAGAAGAAATGATTAAAAGTGTGAAATAAGTAATATGCTTGAGTTCTCTGAGGTAGGGAGAATTAGATTTTTAAAACATCCTTTTTCTCCTCAAATTCTTTATTTTATAAAAAATATAACATTAAAATAATTATATCAGGTTTACAGACTCCCCAAAATTGTCAAAACTAGCAAAAGCTAATGGTAGGGGAAAAGAGAAAGTACTATTCTTCTAGATTGGAATTATTTTTGACTCTTAATAGTAGGCAAGTGTGTAAGAAAGCCGCCAAACTCAAAGTTAAGTGACTTTAGACAAGGATATGGGAGAGGAGGAAAGGAAATTGTGATTTCCCTCACAGTGACAAAATAATCCTCCCACAATATAAGAAGATGTCCATGCTACTCTGAATCTCATTCACTAAAGATTAAAAAAAAAAAAACAAAACAGGCTAGGCACAGTGGCTCATGCCTGTAATCCCAGCACTCTGGGAGGCCGAGATGGGTGGATCACAAGGTCAGGAGTTCAAGACCACCCTGGCCAAGATGGCAAAACCCCATCTCTATTAAAAATACAAAAATTAGCTGGGCATGGTGGCAGGAGCCTGTAATCCCAGCTACTCAGGAGGCTGAGGCAGAGAATTGCTTGAACCCGGGAGGTGGAGCTTGCAGTGAGCTGAGATCGTGCCAGTGCACTCCAGTCTGGGTGACAGAGCGAGATTCCGTCACAAAAACAAAACAAAAAAAACTGTTCTCTTCTGATACTCTGATATCCACTGCTGCTACTGAAACAAATAATTCTGACTTAAAATCAAATCATAATTATTGCTTAGAAACACACCACCCACACCCATATCACAGTTCACTCTGAAATAATCACTATCATCTATCTATCTATGTCTTTATACAATATAGAGTTAACTGAATAGGGAAAAGTTAAAATTGGCTTCCAGGCCCAAACTGAGAAAGCTGGTAGGATTGCAGCAGTGGTGTCTGTCCCTATCTTCTAGTCATTAAGGATCACTTAAAGCAAATCTCCATAAAATATGTCTAAAGAAGAAACTTTTATAAAGGGAATTATAAATATTGAGGAGAAGAAGACAGAATAAAAAGGGCCCATGAATATAAATCAAGTGTATTTACTTCCTATTTTTGTATTACCCTATGGAAAAATCTTTCATTCCTTTGGGTAATCCTAGACTCTCTCAGAGATCAGTATATAGGATGTTTTAGACTCCAGTTATAGAGACCAAACAGCAAAAGTGACACCTAATAAAATTTCTGGTAAATCTTTCTGTAAGTTCGTTAATGTACTAGTGCTAGCTGCAAATGTACACAACCAAACCACATTACTTATAAACTTAGACAGGATAATACATTTCTAAATAAAGGAGAGTCTTACTCATTTATAGAAGTGATTGCAAACCCAGGATTTTATTCTCCCTGTCTCTCTATTCATCATTTTCTGAGTTTTGTAACAGGAAGAATTGGATAATTACAGGAGATCATCTAGGTTTTGTTTCTTTAGTTACAAGCCTTTATCAGTATTCTCATGTGTATGCGTGTGTGTGTGTGTGTGTGTGTGTGTGTGTATGTGTAATCCACTGCAGTTGATCCCTAGTAATTAACCCACAGGAAAAAACTCTGTGACACTGACATAATTTTAAATTCACAAAAAGCATAAGAATATTCCCAAAATATTTTGTCTCACAGTTCAGCATAGCTGGGGAGGCCTTAGGAATCTTACAATCATGGGGGAAGGTGAAGGGGAAGCAAGGCACCTTCTTCACAAGGTAGCAGGAAGGAGAAGTGCGGAGTGAAGGGGGAAAAGCCCCTTATAAAACCATTAGATCTCATGAGGACTCACTCACTGTCATGAGAACAGCATGGGGGAAACTGCCCCCATGATTCAATTACCTCCACCTGGTCTCTTCTTTGACGCGTGGGAATTATGGGGATTACAAATCAAGACGAGATTTGGGTGGAGACACTAAGCCTAACCATATCAATGATATAGTTATGAAAAATTAGAAACGTTTTCCATACATATATTTACTATTAAACATATTTTATATGTCCAGGCAGTGGTTGAGAAAGCCTAGTACCCATCAGAACTTCTTTAAAAAAAAGATTGCTATACTCCCTGCCCCAAGGTTTGTAGTTCAGTATGTCTAGGATGAGGTCTAAAATGTGTATTTTAACAAATTTCTAGGATGCTGGTAGGGGACCACACTTTGAAAACCACCAATTTGAGAGATTAAAATAAAAACTTTAAGTTTCTTTTTACCTGGAATAAGCCTTAAAAATAATTTAGTTAAATTTCTGTTTGTTATAAGCTTTAAAGAGCATCTAGATAAATCTTAAATAAGTATAACTCTAAAGAGCATCTACTTAAATGTTAAGGCCTTAGTAGGCTAAATGGCATATCCAATATATCACATCTAGGGAACAATAAATTGAGAGCTAGAACTCCTTGTTCACTCATACATTTTATTAAATTGTCTCTATTGTTCTGGAGAATGTCTCCTTTTAATGTATCAACTGCTTCTGGCATGATGGCTATGTACTGTTGATGTATATAGGTTTTAAAAAATGAGATCTGGGAGTTTAAATGCAAGTACTCAACACAATATCCTGAGTAATTAGAACTGTGTCTATTGCAAAAAGGCTGATCAATAAATACTTAACAAAATGAATGAATGAGTAAACAGTTGTCTCTGTGTGTTTTGAAATTAATTCAACAAATATTTTTAAATGCTTGAGCAAGAATCAGTGCTAAGAGTAGTTGTGCCACTAGGTTTAATTAGACATAATCCCAGCAGGAACCACTAGATAATTCTCTACATGACTCTAATAAATACAAAGTGGGATTACTCCGAGTATCTCTTCCTGCCCTCATTCTTAACTATAGTGAGTTCATTTTATTTGACCTCTCCTATGGTCTGACTATCCCTCCAAAATTAATTTGAAATCCTATCTCCCAAGATAATGGTATTAGAAGATGGGGCCTTTGGGATTTATTAACTCATGAGGACAAAGCCCACATGAAGAGAATTAGTGTCCTCATAAAGGAGGTGCCAGAGAGCTTCCTCCCCATTTCCATCATGTGAGGCTATAGTGAGACCTGTCTCTAAAAGGAGGCAGAACCTCACCAGACACGAAATCTGTTAGTGCTTTGACCTTGGGATTCACAGGCCCCAGAATTGTGAGATATGAATTTGTATTGTTTATAAGCCATCTAGTCTGTGGTACTTTATTATAGCAGCCCAAATGGACTAAGAGAACATCCAATGTATGTTAATTGGAAGACTTTTTAACCATGTGACAAAATCTGAACTTTTGCACAACTCAACAGAAAAAATCGTCTCATAGTTGAACCATAGAAAAGTGAGGATAAAAATATCCTCAGGTAGAATTGGAGGCAGAAATTCTAGAATCATTGGGACTATTTCTTTCTGACTCTATTTCCCACTCCTCTTTTGTGGATTGGCCTCTTGCCTGTATACCATTTTCTCCACAAAATTGAACCTTGATCACTAGTAAGTTCAGGCTCACATTTTCACAACTTTACAACTAGAAAAGGATGGTCATCACAGCAAGCTCCCAGGAGAAAATTTTTATAGATCTGGCTTAGATCATGGACACACACTACAGCCAATCACTGTGATTTGGATGGGGTTGTAGAGTACAAAGCTACTATTACATTTGTGCCATTCTTATAGAAAAGTCATGGGTGTGTATATTTATTACTATGATTTTCCAGCAGATGTCCGTGAAATGAGTTATTCTCTCAAAATATGTATATTATGATAATTTTCTGATAGTTGGAAATTATGTATTTTTAGAAAGTGATTCTATTTTCAAAATTAATGCAAAGAAAGACAACATATGAATTAGCAGTCATCCTTCATGGGTCAGTAACCGGTAGTGAAGAAGTATAATGATTCACTCAAATTGGATAAAATTGCCTACCCTGCGGCCTATTTCTTCCCCCTCAGAAGGTGACATACCTCTGAAAAAATAAAAACTATATATATATATATATATATATATATATCTCCACCATATAGTATTTATATTGGATTATTGTGGGCAGCAAGCCACCCAGGTGCCAAGGTAAGAGACCGAGGGCACAAGCTGTTCCAGTATCATAAAGAAAATATATAGAATAAGAATAGTTATACTAGAAATAGAATATAGATATGATTACATATGAATATTATTAATCATTAATTTGTAGCATTACTCTTTATTCCAATATTATAATAACCTCTGTTCTACAATTATAACCTAGGAAAAACCAGACCATACAGAGATAGGAGCTGAAGGGACACGGTGAGAAGTGACCAGAAGGCAAGAGTATGAGCCCTCTGTCACGCCCAGACAGGGCCACTAGAGGGCTCCTTGGTCTAGCGGTAACGCCAGTGCCTGGGAAGGTGCCAGTTGCCTAGAGGACCTTGGTCCAGCGGTAGCGCCAGTGCCTGGGAAGGCACCCCTTATTTAGCAGACGGGGGAAGGGAGTCTCCCTTTCCCCGGGGGAGTTAGATAAGACTCTGCTCCACCACCTCTTGTGGAAGGCCTGACATCAGTCAAGCCTGCCTGCAGCCATCTGGAGGCCTAAATGTCTCCCTGTGATGCTGTGCTTCAGCGGTCACACTCCTGTTTCACTTTCACGTTCCGCTCTATACACCTGGCTCCGCCTTCTAGATAGCAGTGGCAGAATTAGTGAAAGTGTTAAAGTCTTTGATCTTTCTGAGAAGAGTGTAGAAGAAATAATGACGTAAGCTGTCCTCTCCCCACCTCAGCTACCTAAAAGGGAAAGGCCCCCTGTCCGGTGGACACGTGACTCACGTGACCTTATCAATCGTTGGAGATGACTCACACTGCTTACCCTGCCCCTTTTGCCTTGTATACATAAATAGCAGTGCGGTCAGCCATTCGGGGCCACTACTGGTCTCCGCGCCTTGGTGGTAGTGGTCCCCTAGACCCAGCTGTCTTTTCTTCTATCTCTTTGTCTTGTGTCTTTATTTCTACGATCTCTTGTCTCCGCACATGAAGAGAAAAACCCACAGGCCCTGTAGGGCTAGACCCTACGGATTATATACTTTACTTTTATCTCACAGATGGACATTTTTTAGTTGTTTTTGCTTCCCCAAATTAGCATCTATCAAGTCCTAGATTTGGCATTCAGTTTACCCATGCCAAGAGCCACCAACCCCCTCATCCTTTCCAATCTCAGGCTCAGGTCCCATCTATAAATATCTCACCTCAAACATCCCAGTCCTCTGTTGAACTGCCTACCAAAAGAGCAAGCAATGCTCAAACGATTACTCCATTTCACTCAAGTTTTTAGGAATTACCACTTGTCCAGAAACCCTGAGGCCAGTGCCTAACAGGGTAGTCCCAAACTCATTCTACCTCACAGCTTCAAATTGCTGGATTAAGTGGTAAGAGAACCTAGGACTTTACATATTCCAGGACACTCACAGCCGTGGCCAGGGAGTTGTTCCTAAAATTTGGCCAATTGCCACTCTACACAGCTTAACAGCCCCTTTCCTTGGAAGTGGATTCAGCTAGAACAGAGGACACCTTAATCACTTAGCAGAACTCAATACACGCATGCATCAAGATAATTGAAAGCCCTATACAATCATTCAGATACCCAGATAATTTTGAAGGTACTTGGAGATTTCTGTCCTTATTAAGTTTCAAGGTCCTTTCCCCGCTCCAAGGAAATGAGTAACTGTGATCAAGGATAAAATCACAGAGGACAAATAAGTTGTCAAAAGCTATACCCCATGACCTTCAGATATAAAACCATACTCCATTAGGTGTTAGGTGGTCACCAATACTGTGTGTGACCACATAGAGTATGCAGTTTTAGTTCTTCATCCAGGAACTGGAATGGAATGACTGACATAGATCTGCAGCCTGGCAAGTACGTAAGGGCATTCTGTGTAAGGCTAAAGTGTAAGGCCTTAGACAGCATGCCAATCTGAACTGGTGGACCTTGATAAAATCATTTCGATCTACAATGATGCCACTAATCTATTTAATTGGCATGCTGCTTCCACTATCTACCCCCTCCTTACCACAAGTCGGTGAGCTATGATTTATGCCTCAAGCCTGTCTTCAACTGTATAAAATGATATTGTTATCGATTTGATGTTTGTGTCTCCTCACCAAAATTCCTATGTTGAAGCCCTAACCTCCGATGTGAGAATATTTGGAGATAAGGCCACTGGGAAGTAATGAAGGTTGTATGAAGTGGTGAGGGTGGGGCCTTTAATCTAGGACTAGTAACCTTATAAGAAGAATAAGACCTCTTCCTTTTTTCAACAGTAAAGCAGCAGGTTATAACGGAAACGCGATGGATTGGACATTTTACATTTGAGACTAATGTTCTGCCAACAGCTTTGTAATTTTAGACACTAAAACTCCAATAGCATTTGCTTCTTTATCTGCACACGTGGATATAATACTTATTTATCAAAAATGGGTGGAGAATCAGAAGAGATAATTATGTGAGAATGTTTTATTATCTGTGAATTACTGAACAAACGTTAGCCATGGTTATTCTTTTCGGTGTTTACTTTGATTGATCTTCTGTGTGCATCAAGGAACTTGCTAACTTCACTGTTTAGGATTTGGCTGCTTTCCAGAATTACTTGATTAAGCAAATCCCTCTATAACAGCATTTTTCAAAGTATGTTCCAGCAGTTTCAACTGACATAAAATTTTGGAAACTCTGCCTTCTCTATACCCCACTTTTTGTAATGATGAGGTTAAATATCAGGATATTAAAGTTTGAAAAATCTTACCAGTTTAAATTTAGTCTCCAAATTTATTTTATTTGACAATGGAATCTCCCTTTTTTTGTCTCTCCCTCTCACCCTCCATCCTTCCACTCTTCCTTCCTTTAACCTAACACTTATAAATAGCCTGTTAAAAGAATTTCCATGAAATACATTTTGGTCAATATGGTAATAAAAGTTTATATTAATTACTTTCATCATATTTTGCCTTCACAAATGATTGATTCCGTAAGCCTTGATTATTCTGTATAGAAAGGCTTTGTTGGGAATCGTGTGTGTGTGTGTGTGTGTGTGTGTGTGTGTGTGTGTGTGTGTGTCAATAGTATTTTTATGTCCATGTACATTTTCATATAACAATTTATTTCTGCTATTTTTATTTATGTTGTATTTGTACAGAACTTTACTATTTCTGTAGCATTTTCCAATGTCATAATACAATCTCCCTTGATTCTCAGTATAATCCAATAAACTAGAGCAGGGAACTGCTATTATCCTCAATTTTCGATAAGGTTTCCAAAGCTAAAAGATTTAGTTGGCATTGTAGGACAGAATTAAGAGCAGAACTCAGGTGTCTTTATTCTTACTCATTGAGATTTCTCCTACAACACATGGCTTCTTAGACTCATTGCCTCATATTCTGCACCTCCAATGTCTTTTCTGTCCTTGAGTGCCAAAAAGTAGCGTATTTTCTTCTTCAGTACAGAAATGTGAGGGTAGAATTTGACTGGGTATGGTAGCTCACACCTGTAATCCCAGCACCTTGGGATGTTGAGGCAGGGGGTTCACTTGAGGTCAGGAGTTTGACCAGCCTGACCAATATGGCAAGACCCTGTCTCCATTAAATATGCGAAAATTAGCCAGGTGTGGTGGCTTATGTCTGTAGTCCCAGCTACTGGGGAGGCTGAGGTGGGGGAATCACTTGAACCTGGTAGGTGGAGGTTGCAGTGAGCAGAGATCGTGCCACTGCACTCCAACCTGGGCAACAGAGAGACTCTGTCTCAAAAAAATAAAAAAGGGTAGAATCTGCATGCTTAGTTTTAGCTCCCTGATTATTGAACTCCTATCTTTATTTGCTTCTGGATATTTAGAAATAGGGAAAGGAGGTTGGCCAGTAGATACTTGGTTTGAATTACTAAAGGAAAAGTCTCCTATTCTCAACTTCAGACTGAGAATTATTCAAGAAATTTCAAAGCCTGTGGCTATTTCCGATTTTTGAAACACAAGACTGAATCCTCAAGGGTTTGGGTTAATAATATTGTAGTAAAACAGAATGTACTACAACAATGGATATTTCCCTGTCATAATGGCATGGCAATATTTTACAAAAAGAAAAGCACTTCTTCAAGTGGTGCCCATCTGGAGCCACAAAGGAGCTCAGAATACACTAATGTAATCAAGAAAACAAAAGGGAAAGCTTTCCACCATGTACTTTCTACCATGCATTTGACATATTGGCAGCTCAGTAACATTCCTGACATTTCTGAGCTGTTCTGTGGAGCAGCACATGAATAGAAAGTGTGACTTAGACTATGTTGGCAAATAACCATGCTGCAGCACACGGTAAGATTCAGTCAGCTTTTCTTTAATAGGCTGAATGCCTGGTAATTTACAGCCAAGTGAATTAATGGTTGAAACTCTGTGAAAAAACATACTGTGTACCAAATTCTGCAATAATGTGACCATTGGATTCAACTTCTTCCTGACCCAGGAGTTTTTTTGATCTAGTAAGTGCAGCATAAAAATCAGTGACTTATGCAATATTGTTTCTAATGGGGTACATACTGTTCCTTATCTAACTGGCATCATATATGTTTCCAAGTTTGAAAATCATTGAAAGGTATAGTGTTTCACTAAATCTAGTGATAAATTGCATATTAGAAAATTAATTTTATTATTTGTATTTTGACATAGTATATACATTAAAAATTTTCATTCAATTTTGTAAGGATAACCCTAATAAAGTTATAAAAATAAAATGGGAGTCATATGTCAGTTTCTACTGAAATTATCCTACTGTTATAAAATATTAACTGGAGGGCAGGTGGAGGGTAATAATGTGATGTATGGAGCCTGACGGGGGAGTTACCAGAGTGAGGATTTGAATTAATAAAACCAGATGCGCTGTCTACTTTTCTTTGCAATGATCTGTGCACAGCTGACTTATCCATATAGACTACATCCGTGTGTTCTTTTGTTCTCTGTCTTCCAGATTGGATCAGGTAGTGGGAACTAGAGAAAGAATATTGATTTATCTTGCGTATTTTCTGTAAGTCTGGCTGTACCCCTGAGTCACATATCTTGACAAGGACATTTCTGGATTCTGGTTACCTTTATTCCCTTCAGACCTGATCTTCTTCTGAGTTTCTGCATCACTGCTTGGTTTTACTACACCCTATGCAGAATTTTGTCAGCTGTCCCTTATTAAGCTCTTTTCAAATTATTCACTAGGAAAGTGCCATCTTTTACCTGACTGTGCCTGATATAGACATGTTTGCACATATCTGGCCACCCAACCAGTTAGGTCCCTATTTACAAAAATATGAAAGAAACCCAAAGTCATTCAGTCTATGAGAAGAGAGACCTGGAGTCCCCAGTCTTGGTCCAAAAGTCATCCTCCCATCAACATTTTAGCTTATCCTAAAATGTGAGGGCATTTGTAATCAGTTTATTTAATAAACCAGTTATATATTAGGTCAAAACGTAATACTGATGAGTTTATATGGTGCATACAAACATGTTTTTACAGGTGCACAAAATTTCACGTTTTTCTTGTGATTTTTTTCTTCAGTATTCATGAATTGTGCAAATAACTCTACCATCATAGACATCTAGTACAGATTATATTCCTAAACCATTAGATATATTCAGAAACCATTACTGTGCAGAAGTAGTGTCAATTGTTTCTTCCATAAGCAACATAAGGCAAATAAAATATATTGGATAACCTAATCATAGATGAAAAGGAATATTTTAAAGTGCACTTGGATTATTTTTAACTTTTGTGCTTATACGTTTTCATAGAAGAATAGTCAGTTAGACTGCTGATGAACTTGAAAAGAACATATTAAAATTTATTTATTTGTTAATTAGTTTAGAAAGTCTATTAGAGGTTCAAGTTTCTTTTCATGCTGTGCAGGCAAATCTTCTCATTTGAGTGTTCTCACCTAGATACTTTATAATGATACATGTATCTCTATATTGTATGGTTTCTTATATCATTCTAATGTTTAGAACAGTGTTTAGCATGCTTTTGTATAGAGTTTTGTACCGTTGGACCCCTCCAATCTCCAAAATATATCTATATAATAGAAGACTGGAGAAGAAATGTTGAACAGATTCTCACTGGGGCATGAGGAGGGTGGGAATGTTGCTGACCATATCCCTAAGGAATGTTCTCAGGGCATGTAGAGAGTGTGAATTTGTCTTTATCCTTTGGGAAAATGTAGCTAAAGTTAACACTACATTGAAAAATATCAAAATGCAATTGATTGGTTATAATTTTAAAAAGTTTCTTGCTAGTATTGTTTGATTCTGCCCTCCCCCCAATTTTCTTTTCAAATTTCTATAAAGACAAAGAAAAAAAGAAATTAGGTACCTGGCTACTAAAATGATATTAGGCAAAACCAGTCTCTCTATCTATTTGGGGGGACTTCTTTTCGTGTGATCAGAATACTTCTAATGTACACTTCTACAGCTCCACATCCATGCAGACATTGTGGCTGACAGATAACAATGGACCTGCTCTGTGAAGAGGACATGTAGATTAAAATGCTGGTGGAAGGGTAAAGTCCTTGAGAACAAAATGAGTTAAAAAATGAAAGGACCATGAGGTACCCCTGGATACTAGAAATTGTACTTATTAAAGTTGGAAATATAAGAAGAAAGGCAGAGGATAAAATAAGACCATCTCTTAAAGCAGAAATACACCAAAGAGGTACCACTTATGCACCAAGAATTAGCCTGAAATCACTTATCCCAACCTGCCTTATTGGTTATGTACTAAAGTTTTCAACAGTACCCAAGAAGAATGTGCAAAGAACAAGGAAACTGACATACCGTGATTGTTGGCAAATTCTTAGGTAGAATCCATAGAGAGGAGAACCAAAGAACACAGGGACTATGATTAAATACTGAACAAAATAAGTAAAGAAAACTATTAAATTATGAAAAAACAGGAAGAAAATGATTGAAGAAATAATTTAATGAAGAAACCAGCCAAACAGTATTTTAAAAGACACCTCTTTAGTAATTTCAATGAGTAGCAATATGGCATCTATGTGATGGCAGTGGTGGCCCCAGACGCGGCTGCTGCCATGATGCCAGCAGCAGTAGGGGAGGTGCAGCTTGGGCTTCATGTGTACCCAGCTGGTGGGAGCCAGGAACAGGAGGAAGCCCTACCCCCTTCCGAGCTGGCAGGATGGAGCCTCTCGATCCCTGGGCGCAGTTGCAGGCACCTAGTTGCCCCTGCAGACCCAGGCATCCCTCTGCTCTTGCGGGTAGACAGCAGGCAAGAGACCTGCCCTCCTGGGTGCAGCAGCAGCCGTCCAAGCTGTGGCTGCGGATCTGGCCACCTCTGCACTGTCGGTGGCCCTGGAAGTCAACAGAGTTGAAACACACCCCTTGCTTGCCACATTACTGGGGACAAGAAGGAGAGAAGAGCTGCAGCCCTTCAGGAAGCCCAGACCTAGGAGTTCTCCAAGCCAGGGCTGTGACACCCTCTTTGGAATTCTTTCGTTCCTGGCATCTCCAAGCTTCTGGGTGACAATGTGTTTCTCCGGTGCCAGCCATGGAAGCTGCTAGCGTTACGCCTGGTCCAGCCACAGCCTTGCAGGGAGCCAGAGCCCATGCCAGTGCCTGGAGCTGCCCACCCCACCATAGCCCTCAAGGAACCTGGCTGTGTGCAGTGGCTGGACCCCATGCTTGCTCACATACCCCTCAGCACTCCACTCACCCTTGGCAGGCATGGGATCCAGGCCAGTAGCGCAAACCAAGCACAGTCCACCAGGTTGAGTGGGCCCAGTGGGCCTGAAGAAAACTCAGGCAAAGGCACCACTGTCCACAGTGGCTCCTGGCTGGTGAAGCAACACCCCAAGGATCCCATAATATATGGAACAAGACTAGAAAAGTATGGTAAAAACCAGGTTGAGGAGTCAGGTAATATACTTTCTCTCTGAATATTTCTAGAATACGTATGAAATGTTTTAAGCTCCTAATACATTTTTCCTAAAGCAGATCTTATATGACATATTCTATGATCAGATTACCATAAATTCAGAAGCTAATGTCAGAATAATTATGACATTAACAAAGGTATTTTTACAAACTACTATCATTTTTGATTAATAAAATACCTAGTAAATAACACTAGTGAGACCACAAGCCTCTGAGCCCTGTGAAACTGGGTAAAATGTTTGTCTTGTAAAATGTTTGTCTTGTTTGCCACTGCATGTTGAATGTAGGCATGTCTGGCACTTGACACATATTCACTAAATAAGTGATAAACATCATTACTATCCTAAGTTGGGTCTTGTAGGAGCAGATCCTGAGATGGGAACTCTTGATTGAGAGAGTGCTCTCGGAGAAGCCTGTAAGGACGAGAAGAAAGCAGGACGGAATATGAAGAAACCATGCAAATGCATTGTGTTAGCTTGGGCTGCCATTACAAAATACCGTAGACTGTGTGGCTTAAATAACAGAAATTTATCACAGTTCTGGAGGCTGGAAGTTCAAGATCAAGTTTCCACCAAAGTAGGTTTTATTCTGAAGCCTGTTCTCTTCACTTGTAGGCAGCCAACATTTCCCTGTGTTCTCAGATAACCTCTTATTTGCATGCTGGGAGAGACAGAGAGAGCTCTCTGGTATTTCTTCTTACAAGGACATTAATTGCTTCATGAAGGCCTGACCTTCATGACCTCATCTAATCCTTATTACCTCCTAAGATCTCATGTCCAAATACTATCACTTTGGGGCTTAGGGCTTCAATATATGAGTTTTAGAGGAACGCAATCAGTCCATAACATGTAGTTTCAGACAAATCCCAGCCCTTTGTTGAGACTTAATCTTGTCCCACCAAGAACTCTAAAATATAAATTGAACCACTGACGTTTTGTAGCTATATACAATCAATATTCCTGTTGGGTACCTCTGGTATATCGTGCTTTATGTGTCATCTTCTGGGTCAGATATGAGATATTTCAGGGCTACCATTCTAACTTAGATGCCCATTATGATCATTACACCCACTTTACTTCTAATGATTAAGGACTTCTCCCTGGCTGTTGCTATTCTGAGATTCTCTCACCCCCACTGTTAAGGGGAAGTGACAGAATCTCCCACGGTCAGCCCTGTCATACACAGGACAACCATTACTAAGGCATTCAGGAATTCTGGTGCTTCTTTTGCCAGTGCATCCTTTATTGCTTTGACATATTCAGCTGGTGTGTCTTTGAGTCTTAGAAATATTCATTCTAGCATAGGCTCTTCTCTGAGACTTTTGATCCATTCTTGCGTATTCTTCCACAGCAGTTCTGCTATTTCCAACTCCATGTAGGTCACTGCCTTTTCCAAGTTTCTAAGAGTCATCCAGGAAGTATATTAAAATCATCTCCAAAGGCCTGTGTGTGGGTCTTAATTCCTGGCATGGTGGATGGACTCCAAATGGAAAACTCTTTCATGTTCATAATTATATTCTTGTGATTTCTGGTTCAGTACCTTCAATATATATTCCCAGTCATACCTACCAATTACTTTGGGTACGTATTATACATTTTAACCAGATCTGATGGTTCCTTTGGTATAAAATTCCTCTTCTCCTTTCACATGGGGAGCTCTTCCCCATTCAGCTTATTCTCAGATATGACAAAATTATTGGTCTGGTGGCAGGAAGGGTAGGTACTTGTTACATTTAAGGCCTCTACAGAGTCTTCAAACAATGGGTACCATTACCTTCTCACAAGGCAGAGTAGACCAATCCACAGGCCTAGAGGTCTAAGGGGAATCTTGAAGCAATGTATTTCAGCCACCTCAGGACCTCTAACTGAAATGCTTTTCTTTCACTCACACAGCTACAAGATGCACTTCCTCACATTTTGGTAGTTTTATTTATTTATTTATTTATTTTTAGACAGAGTCTTGCTCTGTTGCCCAGGCTGGAGTGCATTGGTGCCATCTTGGCTCACTGCAACCTCTGCCTCCCAGGTTTAAGCTATTCTCCTGTCTCAGCCTCCTGGTTAGCTGGGATTATAGGGGCCCACCACCACACCCAGCTAATTTGTTTGTATTTTTAGTAGAGACGGGGTTTCACCGTGTTGGTCATGGTGGTCTCGAACTCCTGACCTCAGATGATCCACCCGCCTTGGCCTCTCAAAGGGCTGGGATTGCAGGAGTGAACCACTGCATCTCACCTTTGGTAGCCAGTTTTAAAATAGTATCTTTATAGTGATATCTTCCTGGACCACACTACTTTTGCCTTTATGATGACTACTGATAATATTGATTATATTTTTTTCTAAATGAATGCTAAGAATTTGAAAAACCCATGACATGTTTGCCTTGACTTTGAGATAAATTATGCCTATCATGCCTGGCACAAATTCCAATTACATATCGTTTGATCCACTGTATTACAACAGAACTTCATGAACACCAATCATATACAAATCATGTTACTAAACATGGCCTCCTTTTTTTTTTTTTTTTGGCTTATTTTGTATTAGCAGTGTGGCAGAGAATTGCCCCAGACACTCATATCCACCCCTCAGTGCAGAAGCCACCTAGCGTTGTCCCTACTGAAACTCCTCATTACTGCATCTTTAATAAAGGCTTAATTTGTCCAAATATTCTAAAGATTGCAGTGGCCAGTTTGCTCTTGGGTAGCCTGTTTATTATGGGTAATAGAAGCAATCAGGGTAGAAGAAATCAAGGCTGGATAAGAATACCTTCATGATAGTGGGAAGACATTGGAATGAGTCATAAAGAAAATATTACAAGAGCATTTGAGTGACTGCTGCCTCCCTCTATAGGTCTCCATAGGGATGTAGACCGTATTTTCAACTTGAATGCTTAGCTAGTCAGTGCTTGATGGAAAGTCAGGGAGTGATGCAGAACAAGAATAGGATAACATCTGCTGTGTCCTTATGTACTCTGCTCAGTGCATTATATGCATTATCTCATTTCATCTTTACAAATCTCCTATGAGTTAGGTAATACATTTATCTTTATGTACAGATGAGAAAAGTGAGGCAAAATAGTTTAATTGTGTATGATCACACAAGAAGAAGTAGCAGAGCTCTGAATGATTTCCCAGTTCTGGCTGACTACAATGTCAGCTCTGGGACCAACTACAAGCATTTGAGTCAATAAAAGGAACTCTTTTTTAACTGTTATGTACATACAAACTGGAATATGTTTTGTTCTTTTTTGGTCTCATTTTTCATCTACACAATAAGGATATTTTACTTGATGATGTCTAAGAAATTTTCCACCTGCAAAACTTCAAATATTTATTTAATCATTTACCTACTGAGCTTGCATCAAGTGCCCAGATATTTTAAAATACAACACTAGATTTTCTTAGCAATATAAATTCAATTTATTCATTTTTTTCTTGCATTCCCTTTTTTTAATAGGAGATTGTACAATGAGACAGAAATAAGATATCATTTGTGGTTTTACTTTCTTTCCTGGGTACCTTTGATGTCAATATTACAGATACACAAACATGTAATTTGTTTCACCAAGAGTAGGCAACATCCTCTTTACCCTGATAATATTTTCTTTATTCTAGAGACAGAGCCTGCTTGTTGAATACCCTGCATATTTATGTAATTGACTATGTTACTCTCATTTCCCTTTTAGCTCTTTAATGAAAACATGCAAATAAAAAGTCTGGAATGTTTTCTCTGATGGTTGAAATTTATTACTTGCACCATAAATTTGAGGTCCGAGAAACACAAGATTGTTCAGGATCACACAGTTTTATATTCCAGAAGCTGTAAATGTTTCCCACTTAAGTAAAAGCAAATACTTTTGCCATTGTGCGTTTTGTGTTTCTAGCAGCCTTACATACTCTACATGCCAGAAATAATTACTCTCACCATGTTTCTTCTTTGTTTATGGGTATAATCCATTTCACTAATTACTCAAAACATGTTTTCCTATACATCATGCTGGTAACATCTTTTGAACAAGTGTAGATTTAATGCCTGTATAACACTTTCATTTCTAAATAGAAATATTTTGTTCCATTCTCTTTTGAAATAATAATGTCAGAAAAGACATCTACTCTGAATTTTTCTATACTGAATTATTTTTGTGTTCCATTGGCTGCAGGTTAGCTCCCTCAGAAATCAGTCTACCAGGTAGCTTACAGGATCCACTGTAGTGGGCATTTGTTAATGACTCTAGTAATCATTTTCCTGTCCCTTTCTCCACTGTTCTACATCACAAGGAAGGCCATTTTCCTGCCAGCTAGCTTTTTTTTTTTTTTTTTTTTTTTTTTTTTACCAGTCAGCCTCTGAGCAAGTTTATTAATGGTGAAAACTGGAAAAGAGGAGTAAGAGAGAAACAAAAGTATTTCTTCATCTCTTAGGAGAGAGTTAGATACCATGGCAACATCTTTAGCAGTGGCTGTATCATCTCAGCTCATAACAGAACAGCCCCTCTCTCTAGGATATGATGGTTCCTGGCAAGGAATCTAGCTTCCCTTATAGATTTGTTATCATCATTTCTTCCCTTTGTCCCTGCTCCAGGGTTGTCCTGCTTCCAGCTGCTGTTAATCTCTGGCTTGCCTCACCAACCCTTTTTGACTCACCAGCTCTTCTATCACCCATGTAAACAATTCCATGAATTTTATTTTCTCTGTTTGAAACACTTAGTAGTTTCCGTTTCTGGGCTGTTTATGTTTTTACACAGATTAAGCCACACTTACTCATTTGACAGGCATTCACAACTACTGCATTATGAATCGAGCTTGGGTAAGGCATTGTAAGAAATCTATGGTTAAGGGTGTCCCTATGGATAAGTACACATTTTTCCTATCTTTTATGGAAATTATAGTCCAGTATGAAAGGGGGTATTTTATAATAAATTGAGCCTACAATTAATTATTGAAATAATATATATTTCTCTTTACATATAATTAATGATCTGATATTATCACTTTTTGGTTCATAAATGGAACATTCTAGCTGTGTCTTTACATGGTGGAAGGGGTAAGTGGTCTTTAATGCCTCATTCATAAGGACATTAATCTCATCTCCCAAAGTGTCTACCTCCTAATTCCACCACCTTAGAGATTAGCATACAATAAAATAATTCTGGGGAAAGGGAAGGAACACAAACATTCAGAACATAGCACTTACCATTCTTAGTTTTCATTTCACCAATGCTGAATTTTTATCAATACTAACGTATCTCAGTGTAGATAACAATGCAGTTGTTCCTTTCCATGGGTAATTATTTTACCTTGGCTCTTCTTCACAGCTAGGACTCTTAAATAAACCTGTCAAATTCTCCTCTTTCATTGTTCCACTATTTTCTTTTAATTTTCCCTGTCTATTGTTAATAAACATGTGATTGTTTCCACTTTATACAAAGGGCCACTGCTTAATTCCACCTGTGTATGTTTCTGTCTGCTTGCTTCCAACTTTGTTTCTCTCTCATACAATGTGAACACATTCAAAGTAACATTTACACAAATTGCTATACTAACAAAGAACAAGGAATGAGCAGCTGTGGAGTCAGGAAAAGGCTTTTTAAGACTGAGGTCCTGCAAAATGCATAAAATATTTCTAGAGTAGTGGTCCTCAAACTTTTTGGTCTCAGAACAATTTTATACTCTTAAATGTAACTGAGGGAGCCAAAATTCTTCTGCTTACATGCATTATATTTACCTATATCTACTATATTGTAAATTAAAACCAAAATTTACAACATATTTTTGTTTATTCACTTACAGATAAATAAAAATCACTGCATGCTAACATTAAAACATATTTTTCTTTTATAAAAAGTTGCAATATTTTCAAATAAATCAGTGATATGAGTTTGAAGAATATCATTGTTTTACAATTTTGTGAATCTTCTTAATGTCTGGTTAACACTGCTGGTTTCTCATATCTGCTCTGTATTATATCTGTTGCAGAATATTGTTTTGCTTGACATATGTAAAGAAAGTCCCACCTCATACAGGTATATAATTGAACAAGGGAAAATAACAGTGTTTTCAGATAACTAAAAATAGTATTACACTAAAACTCAAGTAGTAGTAAGTTCTTACATGTTCATTGTAATGTGCATTCTGAAACTGTATCAGTAACCTTATTTTACCCTGCCCGTTTCATTAAAATCAATTGGTCTGTCCTGCACTTTAATAGTTTATCTTTAAACCATTATATACTGATCATTTGAAAAATATTTGTTTGTGGAATTATGCAGAATTAGAATTTCAAAATTTTGACACATTTCATTATACACTATAAAAATCACATCCATTAATATCATTACCAATATTCTCAGAAAGGTCTTTAAGTACTGAGAAACACTCAAGCTCACAGTGGAAAATAGAAGTTTTTCAATATTCAAATTTTCCTGTGAAAGCTCAAATGTTATCCTTGGTTGTGTATAACATCAATAATTTGTTTTTTTGGAGTGATAGGGTCACTTTGTTCATTTTCCAGAAAATGTCTGCCAAACTCCCAATTCTGAATAACAATTTTCAGTTATTCCTTTGAGTAAAAATGATGATCAGATCACAACTCAATTGCACAGTGTTTTTGGAATAACCACTGTTTTTTAATGCCCAGCCTAAGTGCTTTATTTGTATTTCCCCTTTTGTCATACAGCATATTTTTAAGTTCAATAATTGAGTCAAAATTTAATAAAATTTATAATCTTAATAGCCTCATTAAAGACATTCTTGAATAAAATTTTCTTTTTTAAAAAAAGCTGTAAGTGCCTGGCTGTGAAGACTACAATAATGATGTATGTATTTCTGCGCCACTGTCTTGATTGGTGCTGTTTAATCTACCATGGATTGCATAAAATCAGTACCATGTCAGCATACAGAAAAAGCCAAATAATGTCATAGTATATTTTGAAAATATATTTGACTTCCTGGAACCCTTGAAGGGATCCTAAGAACCCTCAGGGTTCCACGGACCAAACTCTAGATATTGCTGCTGTATACAGAAGCCTGAAGAACATTCTGGCAGAAGTAATTGCATACCTAAAGACTGAAACCACACATATTTATCAACAGCACCTAGTTAACAAGAGCTTATAATTATAAATAGCACACAGTCTGCCCCCATACATGATTATTCTTTTTCGTCTCCATGCCATTGTACTCTCAAAAGGGCAGGGTAGATAGTAAGAAGGCCAGAAAGATATATGGAGAAGATTATGAAGTTTGTTTGCATCCTTTGGTCCACTTTGGTGGGAGAGTCAGCAATGTGCTACCTTGCTCTTAATATTTTCAGTTCATTGTTCTTACAGATCTGTAGAACTATACAGTCCAATATGATAGCCATTAGCCCAATGTGCTTATTGAAATTAAAATTAAATATACTGAAATAATTTTAAAAATTCAGTTCCTTGGTTAAACTGGTAATATTTCAAGTGCTCAATATCACATGTGGCTAGTAGCTAGTATACAGCATTTCCACCACTACAGAACATTCTATTAGAGAGGGTTGCTGTGGAATATCGTACTTATTTTCTTCCTCACAAAAAAAAAATGTATTTCATTCCCCTTATGGTAGTTACCTCAAATGAAAAATTTTACATAATCTGCCTTATTGTTGGTACTTTGCTTTGTTTCTGTTATTTTGTTTAATATAAACCCCCATGAGAATGCACTTTCCAATACACTAGACTCACAATTTGTTGATGTTCTATATTTCCAATCTCCTTTACCTCTGTGTTTCTCCTTAAATAAGCCAGAACTGCTCCATCTCTGAAACTTCATTGTCTCATTCCCAGATCACATATCCATCTTTTATCTCCCATTTCCTTATGTCCATCTTACTTGGTATTTGAACTTATTAAGAACAGAGCATAGCCATAGACCTATTTTACATGATTAAGTAACCGCTCTCTCTCTCAAAATAGAAAGAATTTTCTGGCCTGGACTCTTGGATGCTATCACTTGAATGGAAACTCTGCCAAGTACCTCAAGTGGCGCCCATGAATAGTATCATCCATGCCAGTTTAATTGTTTTAGGGCCTGCATTTTTTCTTTTCTGTCTGTGTTCTGTCTGATGTTCGCTCTACTTTCATTCTACCCCTTTGAAGTTGAACATACATCAAGAATTTTGAAATATAATCATGACAGTTACTGAAGCCTTTTAATCCTCTTCTCTTCTCCCCACCTACTTGAATTCCTATACTCTGTCTTCTACCCACGTGCCTATAGCAGAATCCAGAAAATTGACCATAACTCCATCCAGTCTACCATACAATACATACAACTGGTCACTAAGTTTTGCCCTTTCTGCCTTCTAAATGTCTCTCATATCAATTCTCTCCTCTCCAAACCTCTCAAAACAAATTTGCTGGTGGCATTGGGAAGGGGGATTGGTTGACTAGAATTAGAAGTTGTTCCTGGAACAGATGAGGCTCCAAAAGGGTAATTTGGGTTTTTAATGAACTTCCAGAAGTCTTCTAGAAAAAAAGGATATAGAGAGAATTTCAGATCATGAGACAACAGGATCAATAATTTGTAAACATGTAGAGGCAAGTTGGAAAGGTATAGCCCACAGCTTCTTGAAGCTGTACAGAAAGAAGAAAATAAGCTATTACAGGCAATGAAAAGAGCATTTTGTGGAGAGATTTTGCAATGAAAAATCTATGCATGATGGTAGCCAGCGGTGAACGACGGTGATGGTTGTGTAGAATACAGCAGCTGTCTCAGAGGGAGCAGAAGCCTTGGTATTAAAACTCTTGTTTCAGTCTGTGACATAAAATTTTGCCAACTTTATCTGCACAAACTCTCAGCACCCAACTTCCTGCCTAAGGCAAAGGAAGAGTATGTGTGGAATAGCATCCCTTCACATCTCCTAATCCCTGTTGCTGCATGGGAGGCTGGTGGCTGAAACAGCTGATTGTGAACTTTTCCAGCAGCACTTGATCCTCTGAGAGATGTTGGGGGAAACCAGGAGTAGGACAAAGTAGTAGAAGACATCCAAAAAATAATCCTTGTCCCTTAAATCCTCCATTATCCTTGTTGAGACAGAAGGAAGTAGGTGAAGAATTTTCAGCATCAGAGCAGCTATAGTGCTAACTTCTTAACATGACTCCTATGCTGGTGGCCTGGAGATATGAACTTTACAGGGCCATTTCTGTAGTTTTATTGTTTCTACTATAATACAAACTCCTTGAAGACAGGGTGTATGTCTTAATAATAATTACATACTCTCTGATAATGTATTTAATGAAATCTCACTGTTTGTGATTTACAGAGAATATTCAAGAGGGCATTCTGTCATCTGCGAGAATACTGCATAGAAATTAATTTAGTAATTAGCTCTCCTATGTAATTTATATTATATTTTATATTTCCTTCTCTTTTCAAAGTTACTCTCAAGATAATAAAATCTGACATCCACAATATTTTAACACCAGTAGTGGTTTATAGCATTTATAATATATTTAGTCAAATCTCCCTCACTCTCTCTGTACTCCCATTCATATATATCCCACACCTTTATGTCATAGAAGTACAGAATTAGAAGGCAACAAGAGTCTATTATACTATCCCACACTTTCAGGCAGGCTTGAACTTATAAGAACAGAGGCAATATGTAAAGTTTATTACGTTTAAGCATTGCTGTGGAAGCTTAGCCTCTGTTGCAGCTGAATATATATATATGTATATATATTTTATATATAGTATATATACGTACTATATAGTATATATAAAAACTATATATATTTATGTATATAAATATATATATGTGTATAGATACACATATATATACACACACACACACACATATATATTCACCAGGTCCATATTTACTAGGAGGTGTTGGCAAAAGATATTTGTTCTACTTCTAAAGACAAAAAGCATTTGAATGGCAAAATTTGAACACTTAACCTTGATGAATTAATGGAGAAAATAGGCCATTTTCTCCATATGTCCATTTGTATGTATGGCAGCCTCATATAACTTTCTAACTCTTCATGTGTTTTCTTTTTCTTTATCATATTGATCAATCCCTGACATCATTTTATATATTCACTTTTTATTGTCTATCCCTTCCATTAGAATAAGCTCTGTGAAGGAAGCACCTTTGCTTTGCTCAAAATTTCCACCATCTGGAATAGCACACATATCTGGTGCTCAAGCCATATTTGAGTGGATGAATGAATACATGACATATAATCACTTTTCTTCAAAGACAGGAATAGTTTTTTTTTTACAAAATGTCTTCCATATGACAAAAATTACATTAAACACTTTATGCACATTTTCTTCAATGCCAATAAAATCTTGAAAATTAGACAATATTACATTCATTTTAAAGAAAAGACAACTAATCTCAGAGAAGGTGAGTTGATTGTGAAAAATCAAAAGCTGGTTAGAGGCGGGCTAGTTCTTGCATTACAGCATAAAGATCTCCATGGATCCACTCCCCAGTCAAACTGGCAAACATTATTTTTATAAAACAAACATTTAACTTTCTAGGGTTGGTTCTAAGAGCATAGAACAAATGAAGAAATATTTATTAAAGAAAATATACTAAACTTCACTATGGCATTTGAATTAAGCCCCTACTCCTTTCATTGTCTCTCCCTGGTCTGGAAGAAGGAAACTCCACCCTAGGCTGGTGCAGCCAAGAACAGAGCCCTCTCCATGCAGCTCCCAGCTTATGTTCTAGGGAGGGGAAGGCCCTCATTCCTCATCCTTCCCCCAGATTTCTGATGCTGAGGATGTTTTAGGGAAGTACCACCAAGGGATGGCAGTCTTCTGGGCTCCATTTTTCTGCAAGGCCCCACTGGAGGGATAAAGGCTCTACTTTGGGTATGCCACAGCTAAAACTACTGGACACTGATTGTCCTTCCCCTGGCTCATGTTATTTTTAAAATTAATTACATTATTATCAAAGCAATTACTATCAACTCTCTTAACTGTTGTTTATGGTATTCGCTGAAAAAAAAATACTTAGATAGTTAAATTTAACAAAGTTAATTTGAACGACAAAAAAAGATTCTAGAAGCAGGCTGCTTCCAACTGAAGATGGTTCAAAATGCCCGTGCCTACAACATGAGCAGCAAACTGATTAGTACAGTTTGGCCTTTGCCTTATTTGGGCAAAATTTGGCAGCTTTCTGTTTGAGATCAGTGAGACTAAGCTGCCTAATTATAAGGATATACTACTAGTTAGGTTACAACTTGTTTAACCATCAAGCTAAGGTACAGCTCATTGTGTATGGAGGCCACTTTGAGCCAAACTGAATTTAACATATTTATATCTGCATTTCTAATTAATAGGCTTATACTGTTATTTCACGATTCATCAATATTACAGATGACCCCTTTACTTCTGGCCATGATGGATGATGCTTTAACTTGTCAATACTCGCCTCAACCACATAATCTCTCCAACCTCCTCCTACATAGTTATAACTTGTGCTTTCTTTTTTTTAGTAAACCACTAGTCACTGATTACATTACATGATTATGACTATGCAGGTGTTTTTGTTTACTGATAAAACAACTAAGATATGAAATGTATTTTTCCATTCCTGTTTCTCCATTTTTTTCCTGGAATTGATGATTGCCAAATTGATTTATTCACCTTTTAAAAAAAGTCTATCATTTTTTCCAAATGTGGAACATTTTTCACCGCATTTATTATTGCCATTTATATACTGAAGTACATTATTTCTATTTTTTCCTCCCTTGATTCTTCAAATCCAATTAAATTCATTTCTTTCGGCACTTGCTATGCATTTGTCCATTTGGGATGTTTCTTTCTCATTGTCTTGGAAATTAGTTTTTTCAGTATCCTTTAATGAGTTGCCTTTTTCCTGGATCCTAAGTCTATCATTTTCTTAATTTAATGCTTCATTTGGCTACAGTACATCCTCTGGAAATGTCCTAAAAATGCATGCATAGCAGACACATTTTTAGTCCTTGTATCTATGTCTTTATTTTGCTACAACAGGTGAATAAGAATTAACTTGGAATTCTAGCATAGAAATAATTTTTCCTCAGAATTTGGATGGCATTTTTATGCTATCTTTTAGATTCTGAGGTTGAATACGTGTTGCCAGTGTGTACGATATTGATATTTCTTGAAATATCTTAGTGAGCCTTTTTCTTTTCTTTTTTTTAGTATTTAACATTGTCTCTAACATATTGTATTTTATTTTTCAAAATTATATAATGTAAGAACAAGCAATGGTTTTTAAAATTAAGCCCCAAATAGATGACTTCAATCCCTTCTAGTTTATCCCAGAGTATCTTACAATTTTTTTTTTTTTTTTTTTTTTTTTTTTTTTTTTTTTTTTTTTTTTTTGAGACGGAGTCTTGCTCTGTCGCCCAGGCTGGAGTGCAGTGGCACGATCTGGGCTCACTGCGACCTCTGCCTCCTGGGTTCAAGCGATTCTTCTGCCTCAGCCTCCTGATTAGCTGAGATTACAGGCATCCACCAGCATGCCCGGATAATTTCTGTATTTTTTTTTATATATACTTTAAGTTCTGGGATACATGTGCAGAACGTGCAGGTTTGTTACATAGGTACATATGTGCCATGGTGGTTTGCTGTACCCATCAACCCGTCATCTAAATTAGGTATTTCTCCTAATGCTATCCCTCCCCTTGCCCCCCACCCCGCGACAGGCCCCGGTGTGTGATGTTCCCCTCCCTGTGCCTGTATGTTCTCATTGTTCAACTCCCACTTATGAATGAGAACATGTGGTGTTTGGTTTTCTGTTCCTGTGTTAGTTTGCAGAGAATGATGGTTTCCAGCTTCATCCATGTCCCTGCAAAAGACATTAACTCATTCTGAAGACATATGTCTTTAGTTTCAATATTTTTTCTTGTGTAAGCCTTGTTAGTACTTTTCCTTCCTTTTTTTCTGTTACTAAAAATATCATATTTCATATGTTGGCTTTCTTGGATTGGTCCTGAACCACTTTCTTATTTTAAATATTTTGATGTATACTCAAATTTCTAGGCAATTTCTCTGATTTTATTTTCCAAAACTTCTATTGATATTTTTCTTATGTATTTAATTAATTTATTTATTTTGTTGTTATTGAGACAGGGTCTCACTCTGTCACCCAGACTGAAGTGCAGTGGCACAATCTTGGCTCAGGGCAACCTCCGCCTCCCAGGCTCAAGCGATTCTCCTGCCTCAGTCTCCTGAGTAGCTGGGATTACAGGTGTGCACCACTATCGCCTGGCTAATTTTGGTATTTTTAGTAGAAACGGGGTTTCACCATGTTGGCCAGGCTGGTCTTGAACTCCTGACCTCAAGTGATCCACCCACCTCAGCCTCCCGAAGTGTTGGGATTACAGGCGTGAGCTACAGCACCTGGCCTCTCATGTATTTTAAATTCTTAGAATCATGTTTTTGCTCTCTGATTTTTATTTTTCCTTAGAATTCTTCTCTAGTTTCATAAATGAACTTTATATCTCTATGATGATATCTAGAGCTGTACTCTAGCTGTACTTTATGTTTTTTTTCTTCTTAATATCTGTTTTGGTCTCTTTCATGTAGGAGGCTTCCTTCAAATGGATGGTAATTTTTATCTGTCTACTCATATTCAAGAATGAAGTAGTAAAAAGTGGCTAGTTAACTCTGAGTACAAATGTACTTTGTTGTCTTTTGCATTTTTATTCAAAGTGTGACTCATGGACCAGCAGAAATGCAGAAGTATTAGAAATGGTGAATCTGAGGCCATACCCCAGAACTAATCAACTAAAGTACGTATTCCAGTAAGACCTCAGGCTCTTGCAATGTGCACATTCAAGTTTGAGATGCACTGATTTAGTTCATTTCACTATAATAATCATAAAATCAGGCTTTTCATTATCCCCATCTCATTTATCAATATTAGTAGGTATTTCTTCCCTGGGACCCTTTAGTTTCTGTCATTTTCTTGATTTAATAATTTTTTCATTTTGAGGGGATGGTGGTGGCAAGCAGTGCATGCTGGCTTCCGGATTCTGGGAATTAAGATAGTAATGGACTCCAAAGATCTACAGAACTTTGCTTTTGACCAATCCCTGTTTTTAGTTCCACATATTCCTCGCACTTTGTCGATTTGATAGCTCTAAGGTTTTAGCTTTTCTGGAGTTATTTAGGGCAAATTGCCTTACTTGTCCTTTTATGCATCCCTGAAAGTTCTTTGGTTTTAACTTCCTCCATTTTGTTAAGTCAATTATGATTCTCCATTCTATTATGTTGTCTGTGCTCCAGTTCTTTTTCTTCAATGTAATGAAGCCATTGCAAAAACTCATTTACTGTCATTGAATTGAGTATTTGAAAAGAGAACACATAAACACCAATGGTCAATGAGGGACGTAATTTTGAAGCAGTGGAGGAGTAAGTGTTGGAGTAAGAAGGCTCTGAATAAGAAGAGAGAAGGCTGCCCAAGGGTTCCAGGGAGATGGTTGGCTGGAATATGAGAGTAAAGGAAAGACACTGAAAAAGGAGCTACTAAAAATAAATCACCGGCTTTGTATTTTTGCCTGCTTTGGTCCTAATGTCAGGTGTCAATCCTTGCATGAAGCAGAATCCTTGTTAACTTAAGAGAGAGGAGAATTTGGGTTAATGCAGGTCACTTTGCCCCATTGCCTCTAACTGTTCAAAGAATAAGACCTCTTTGGTGTCACTATGTGTTGTAAATGCTCCTTGGTCCTTGTATATTCTAGGAAGGTGGCTGAATTTTTCTTTTATTAGAGAACCCTGAGACAGCCACATCAGACTCCTAGTTATTCTGGGGAATTGGTGGTGTTAGAAGCTTCCAAGCAGGAAAAATATTTTAGTATCTTTAGATGAACAGAATGGCAAATGTGGTAAATGGGATTTTGAATGCAAGTCTGTAAACTTGTTCCATGCAACATTACCCCCGGTAGATCCTCCTTGAAAAAAGAGTTCTGGATCAATTCCATTAAAGGCCGTTAGCACTGAAAAAAATCACGTTTACACCCAGTATGCTTACCAAAATAAACAC
This sequence comes from Homo sapiens, assembly GCF_000001405.40. Taxonomy (NCBI): domain Eukaryota; kingdom Metazoa; phylum Chordata; class Mammalia; order Primates; family Hominidae; genus Homo; species Homo sapiens. Next base: position 120,435,851 of record NC_000005.10, on the reverse strand, counting down.
ATTAGACGTGGAACAAATGTAACCAATCCAACCAAATTTTTATTTTTCCTGGTGTTAACTTCTTTGATGCCTTAAGCAAATATCAGATAACAAAACAATTTTTTCCAACTTTGCTTGTCCCAAACATATATTTTATCTAAAAGTTAATGGTTATTCTGGCATGTGTTCTATAATTAAATAATTTGGGGGAAGTTATGCATTTTCTCTAAAAAATCCATAATGCATGTGAGTACATTAAAGAGTTGACAATTCATTGGAGAGAAAAATGTGCAAGCTTAACATAGCATTTCCAAATCCTATGTGATCATAGAACTTATTTTTTGACAAAATTCCTATTAGTATTTCATTGAACTAATGGTCTGCAGAAGATACTTGGAGACCACGGCTTAGCGGACTAAAGTTGAACAAGACAGATATCTGGCTCATGCAAGCCACCCTGTGTCCAAGATTATGCACAAATAGACATGATGGCACCAAAGACTAATCTTTCAGAACATTTGTTCTTTTAATATGGAACATGAATCTCAACCATCTAAATATAATTCTTGCTTTTACCAGACAAAATATTTTCTGCACCTCACTGTAGTGTAACATTACTGGTGCTATTTTAATTGCCACTTGATATCATTGCAGAGGCAGCTGGTTATGTTTAGACTGTGACAGAATTGACAGAAGTTGTATTTGTGTAATATAAATTGTAATTCTCTGAAGTTTTCATTTATGTTTTAAAAGTGCCATGCACTTCAATAAGTGATAGATTTCTCAAGGCATTTGAGAGTCCAACAATCTGGTTTTAATTAGATAAAATGTAGATTTAACTTATGTGTAAATTGAAAGGTAAACAAAAATAAGTATGTTTTATTGGCTCAGTTATATTCTATGTAGTATTACAAGGTTATTGAAGATTATAATTTTAGATTAAGTTCATCAAGGTCCAATGTGCTAATGTGGCTTCCTATTGGATGCACTAGAATATGTATCCCTGATATAACCATCAAATAAAGCAAAACCAGCTCGAGGATTGAATTCAACTGTATTATGTAGTAATGAAATGCTAATAAGGAAGTTGGAGTTAACAGCACTGAATAACTCTGCTAGACATATATTTTGAGCTATTTTTTCTAGTATAATTTATGGATGTGTTTTCATTCATCACATTTGTTCTATTTCTTCTTTTGACCAACTGAATGAATAAAATAAGTCTGATGGAGATTCAGGGTGTGTTCTATGATTATTAAAACCATTCAGCTAACTTGTTTGAGTCAGTGTTATATCACTAATTAGCACTTTATTACCAAATAAATTAATGAGCTACAATATATGGCTTCATAGTGCATATAATATAGAAGTTCTTAGTGTTGTTCTATTTTTAAAATGGAAGCTAAATGGATGCTAGGAAATCTAAAAGCACTGTGTTCCCTATAGTCAAGAGAAGACTGTATTCATGACTATAATGATAATGCTAATATGAATAATGGCCTACTGTTATTATAAAACCAGTCTTAGGCTATTTTTAGAGCAATTTTACGTTTACAGCAAAATTGAACAGAAGATACAGAAATTTCCCATTTACCTTCTGCCCCTATGTATGCATAGCCTTCCCCATTATAACCATTCCCCACTAGAGTGGTACATATGTTACAACTGATGAATCTGCATTGACATATCATTATCACCCAAGATTCCACAGTTTATTTTAGCATTCACGTTTGATGCTGTACAATCTGTGAGATTAAACAAATTTTTAATGACATGTACCACTGTAGAATATTATACAAAGAAGTTTCCCTGACTTAAAAGTTCTCTGTGCTCTGCCGATTCATCCCTATCTTCTCTCTAATACCTGGAAACCACTGATTTTTAAAAACATATTTATTTATTTCAATTGACTGATCTTTTCATTGTGTCCATAGTTTTGCTTTTTCCAGAATGTCTTATATTTGGAATTATACACTATGTACCTTTTTCAGATTGGCTTCTTTCACTTAATAATACACATTTAAGTTTCCTCCATGTCTTTTCATTTTTGATAGTTCATTTCTTTTTAATGCTAAACGGTATTATCTTATCTGTATGTATCAGTTTATTTATCCAGTCACATAGTGAAGGATATCTTGGCAACTATGAATAAAGCCTCTATAAATATCTGTGTACAAGTTTCTGTGTACTTGTGTGTACACATCAATAAATATCTTGGTACAAATTTTTGTGTACTTATGTGAAAATGTAAGTTTTCAATTCTTTTGGGCAATTACCAAAAGTGTGATTGCTGGATCATATCATAAGAGTACGTTTAGTTTTTTAAAAACTACTAAAATGTCTTCGAAACTGACTATACTATTCTCATTCCCAGCAGGACTGAATGAGAATTCCTGTTGCTCCATATCCTTACCAGCATTCGATGCTCTCAGTATTCTAGATTTTGGCCATTCTAATAGGTGTGTAGCGGGACCTCATTATTGTTTCCCTTTGCATTTCCTTGATGACATATGATGCGGAGTGTCTTTTTCTATGTCATCTGCACATCTTCTTTGGTGAGGTGTCTGTTAAGGTCTTTGGTCCATCTGTCAATCAAATTGTAGTTAAAAGTTCTTTGTATGCCCAGAGTTTCAGGACTGAAAACTACACAAATAATACCATTATTGTATAATTTATTTTTTGGCCAGTGAAGTAAAAGAGACCATTCATGACTTTTTCTTAATTTTCCAAATGCCATATCTTAAAACCTTGCTTAAGAAATTTCTTCCTCTTAACCACACACCAGTCAGTACTAAGCCCTAAGAGGCTGTTGGAACTATGATAGTTTATTGGAATGACCTAAAAATAGAAAAAGGATCCTGTTTCAATGACATGTCTTTAATTCAGTCCTAGCATAAATAAAAATAATTCTTATACTGGAATAGATATAAAGTAAATCTGGATTTCTCTATAAAAATATGAAAAAAATATGAAACACATTTTATTAAACTTATTAATTAAACCACTAAAAAACAGTTTTGGCTGATGGCCTCCATGGCAGCCTGTGTGGTTCTGGGCCTAGCCTCATTCTTCTCTCAAAGTGGGGGCTGCCTTGCCTATTCCTCCATCCCCCGTTACTTAGCAACATTGGTGGCACCCCATAAGTGGTGACACAGCCACATCAATTTGCACAGTTCTGGAGAGTGAGAAGTCCAAGATCAAGGTAACGGCATTTGATGTCTGGTGAAGGCCTTCTGGTTGCATCGTCACATGGCCAAAGGGATGAAAACTATCCTCACATGGCAGAAGGTGGAAGGGCAAAAAAGGACCTAAGCTAGGCCTTCTAGCTCTTTTATAAGGCACTAAACCATTCATGAGGGGTCTGCTTACCCAAACTCTGCCACAACTCTCAATGCCACCACAATGAGGATTAAGCTTTAACAAGAACTTTGGAGGGGACACATTAAAATCATAGCACTGGGGGAGCAGCTGCTGAATAGAAGCAGCTCTGCTCTGCAGCTCCCACCAAGAAGGGTCAAAACTGTGAGTAAGCTCTGCGTCTTCAATTGAGGAACGAAGATTCTCTCACTGGGAGTGACTCGGTGGTTGGTGTGAATCCCGGAGAATGCAGAATAGCAGGGTGGAGCGAGGGCCCACACGGGAGCTGCATGGGGGAAAAGGGAACTCCCTTCAGCAACCAATGGAGACGGTGAAGGATTGTGCTTCCCCTCCCTGAAATCATGCTTTTCCCGTGGATCCTTTCAACCCATGGATCAGGAAGTCCCCTCCTGAGCCCACTCCACCATAGCCTTGGGTCCCAAGCATAAAGATGTAGAAACTCGCCATAGGCGGAGGGGCAGCTGTGACATCATGGATCAGCAATCTTAGTCTTTTCTGCCTCTTGGTACTGGAGAGTCAGAGGAGCCCAGATGAGGAGATTTCCCCCAGTGCAGCACACCTGCTCAGCCAAGGAGCAGCCAGACTGCTTATTTAAGTGGGTCCCTAATTCTGGTCCTCATGACTGAATGAGACCTCCCAACAGGAGTCTCCAGGCACTGCATAGAGGGGTGTTCTGGCTGGCACCAGGTCTGTGCTCCTCCAGGACAGAGCTCTGAGAGGAAGGAGCAGTCTGCTCTTTTTGCTGCTCTGCAGACTCCACTAGTGATATCTCCAGGGGTGGGAGAGACCCAGCAGAATAGGGTCAGGAGTGGACCCCCAGCAAACCTCAGCAGCTCTACAGAAGAGGGGCCTGACTGCTAAAAGAAAAACAAACAGAAAGCAACAACATAAACATCAAAGAAAAAGACCCTACAAAAATGTCATCCAAAAGTCAGCAGCCTCAAAGATCAAAAGTAGATAAACCCATGAAGATGAGAAAAAAATCAACACAAAATGCTGAGAACTCTAAATCCAGAGTGTCTCTTCTCCTCCAATTGATTGCAACATGTCTACAGCAAGGGCACAAAACTGGGCTGAGGCTGAGATGGATGAATTGACAGAAGTAGGCTTTAGAAGATGGGTAATAATGAACTCCACTGAGCTAAAGGATTATGTTCTAACTCACTGCAAAAAAGCTAAGAGCCATGATAAAATATTAGAGGTGCTGTTAATCAGAAGAACCAGTTTAGAGAGGAACATAAAAGATCTGATAGAGATGAAAAACACAACAAAGGAACTTTATAATGCAAACACAAGTGTTAATAGCTGAATAGACTAAGCAGAAGAAAGGATATCAGAGCTTGAAGACTATCTTGATGAAATAAGACAGGCAGACAAGATTGGAGAAAAAAGAATGAAAAGGAACCAACAAAAGCTTTGAGAACTATGGGATCATGTAAAAAGACTGAACCTACGACAGATGGGGTACCTGAAAGAGATGGGGAGAATGGAACCCAGTTATAAAACACACTTCAGAATATCATCCAGGAGAACTTCCTCAACCTAGCAAGACAGATCAACATTTAAATCCAGGGAATCCAGAGAACCCCAGTAAGATACCCCATGAGAAGATCAACCCCAAGACACACAATCATCAGATCCTCCAAGGTCAAAATGGAGGAAAAAATGTTAAAGGGAAGCCAGAGAGAAGGGCCACATCACCAATAAAGGGAAACCCTTCAGACTAACAGCAGACCTCTTAGCAGAAACACTACAAGCCAGAAGACATTGGAGGCCAATATTCAACATCCTTTAAAAAAAGAATTTCCAATGTAGAATTTCATATCTGGCCAAACTAAACTTCATAAATGAAGAAGGAATAAGATCTTTTTAAGACAAGCAAATGCTGAGGGAATTTATTACCACCAGGCCTGCCTTGCAAGAGCTCCTGAAGGAAGCACTAAATATGGAAATGAAAAACCATTACCAGCCACTACAATAAAACATACTGAGTACACAGACCAATGACACTATGAAGCAAATACATAAACAAGTCTGCAAAATAACCAACTAGCATCATGATGTCAGAATCAAATTCGCACATAACAATGTTAAACTGAAATGTAAATAAGCTAAATACCCAAATTAAAAGACGTAGAGCTGCAGGCTAGAAAAAGAGTCAAAATCCATCAATGTGCTGTATTTAAGAAACCCATCTCACATGGAAAGGCACACATAGACTCAACATAAAAAGATGGAGGAAAATTTACCAAGCAAATGGAAAACAGAAAAAAGCTGGGGTTGCAATCCTAATTCCTGACAAAACAGATTTTAAATCAAAAAAGATTAAAAAAAAAAAAAAAAAAGAAGGGCATTACATAATGGTAAAGGGGTCAATTCAACTAGAAGAGCTAACTATCCTAAATATATATGCACCCAATACAGGAGCACCCAGATATGTAAAACAAGTTCTTAGAGACCTACAAGGAGACTTAGACTCCTACACAATAATAGTGGGAAACTCTGGCACCCCACTGTCAGTATGAGGCAGATCATCGAGACAGAAAATTAGCAAAGATATTCAGGACTTGAACTCAGCTCTGGATCAAGTATACCCGACAGATATCTACAGAACTCCCACCCAAAACAACAGAATATACATTCTTCTTGGTGCCACATGACACTTACTCTAAAACTGATTACATAATTGGAAGTAAAACACTCCTTGGCAAATGCAAAAGAAGTGAAATTGTAACAAACAGTCTCTCAGACCACATCACAATCAAATTATAACTCAAGATTTAAAAATTCACTCAAAACAACACAACTACATGGAAATTGAACAGCCTGCTTCTGAATGACTCCTGGGTAAATATGAAATTAAGACAGAAATCAAGAAGTTCTTTTAAACCAATGAGAACAAAGATACAATGTACCAGCATCTCTGGGACACAGCTAAAGCAGTGTTAAGAGGGAAATTTATAGCATTAAATGCCCACATCAAAAAACTAGAAAGATCTTAAATTGACACTCTATAAAAGAACTAGAGAACCAAGAGCAAACAAACCCCAAAGCTAGCAGAAGACAAGAAATAATCAAGATCAGAGTGGAACTGAAGGTGATAGAGACATGAAAACCCCTTCAAAATATCGATCAATTCAGGAGCTGGTTTTTTGAAAAAAATAATAAAATAGACCACTAGCTAGACTAACAAAGTAGAAGAGAGAAGAATCAAATAGACACGATAAAAAACGATAAAGGGGTATCACCACTAACCCCACAGAAATACAAACAACCATCAGAGAATATTATAAACATCTCTACGCAAATAAACTAGAAAATCTAGAAGAAATGGATAAATTCCCAGACACATACAACCTCCCAACATTGAACCAGGAAGAAATTGAATCCCTGCATAGACCCATAACAAGTTCTGAAATTGAAGCAGTAATAAATAGCTTACCAACCAAAAAAATCCCAGGACCAGATTGATTTACAGCTGAATTCTACCAGAAATATGAAGAGGATTTGATACAATTTTTTATTCTGAAACTACTACAAACAATTGAAAAGGAGGGACTCCTCCCTAACTTATTCTATGAGGCCAGCATCACCCTGATACCAAAATCCTAGCAGCACAGATACAACAATAAAAGAAAACTTCAGGCCAATATCCCTGATGAACATTGATGCAAACAATCTCAATAAAATACTGGCAAACTGAATACAGCAGCACATCAAAAATCTTATCCACCATGATCAAGTTGGCTTCATTCCCAGGATGCAAGGCTGGTTCAACATATGCAAATCAATAATGTAATTAATCACACAAACAGATCTAAAGACAAAAACCACATGATGATCTCAATAGATATAGAAAAGGCCCTCAATAAAATTCAACATACCTTCATGTTAAAAACTCATGATAAACTAGGTATTAAAGGAACATAACTCAAAATAAAAAGAGCCATTTATGATAAAACCACAGCCAATATCATACACAATGGGCAAAACTGGAAGCATTTCCCTTGAAAACCAGCACAAGAAAAGGATGCCCTCTCTCATCACTCCTGTTCAACATAGTATTGGAAGTTCTGGCCAGAGAAATTAGGCAAGAGAAAGAAAGAAGGTGTATTCAAATAGGAAGAGAGAAAGTCAAATTGTCTTTGTTTGCAGATGACATGAACCTATATCTAGAAAACCCCTCATCTCAGCCCGAAAGCTTCTTAAGCTGATAAGCAACTTAAGCAAAATCTCAGGATACAAAATCAATGTGCAGAGCATTCCCATACACCAACAACAGGCAAGCAGAGAGCCAAATAATGAATAAACTCCCATTCACAATTGCTACAAAGAGAATAAAATACCTAGGAACACAGCCAACAAGGAAAGAGAAAGACCTCTTCAAAGAGAGCTACAAACCACTGCTCAAGGAAACCAGAGAGAACACAAACAAAAGGAAAAATATTCCATGTTTGTGGATAAAAAGAATCAATATCATGAAAATGGCCATACTGTTCAACGTAATTTATAGATTCAGTGCTATTTCCATTGAGCTACCACTGACATTCTTCACAGAGTTAGAAAAAACTATATTAAAATTCATAAGAAACAAAAAATGGGCTCATATAACCAAAAAAAATTCTAAGTAAGAAGAACAAAGCTGGAGGTATCATGCTACCAGACTTCAAGCTATACTATAAGGCTACAGTAACCAAAACAGCATAGTACTGGTACAAAAACAGACACATGGACCAACGGAACAGAACGGATAACTCAGACATAAGACCGCATATCTACCGCACATCTGATCTTTGACAAACCTGACAAAAACAAGCAATGGGGAAAGTATTCCCTACTTAATAAATGGCGCTGGGAGAACCGGCTAGCCATATGCAGAAAACTGAAACTGGACCCATTCCTCACATGTTATAAATTAACTCAAGATGGATTAAAGATTTAAATGTAAAACACAAAACTATATAAACTCTAGAAGAAAGTCTAGGAAATACCATTCAGAACATAACCACAGGCAGATTTCATGATGAAATCACCAAAAGCAATTGCAACAAAAGCCAAAATTGACAAATGGAATCTAATTAAACTAAAAAGATTCTGCACAGCAAAAGAAACTATCACCAGAGTGAACATGCAACCTACAGAGTGAGAGAAAATTTTTGCAATCTATCTATCTGACAAAGGTCTAATATCCAGAACCTACAAGGAACTCAAAAAAATTAACAAGAAAAAAACAACACCATTAAAAAGTTGGCAAAGGATCAGAGGAGCCAAGATGGCCGAATAGGAACAGCTCTGGTCTACAGCACCCAGCATAAGCGACGCAGAAGACGGGTGATTTCTGCATTTCCATCTGAGGTACCGGGTTCATCTCACTAGGCAGTGCCAGACAGTGGGCCCAGGTCAGTGGGTGCACGCACCGTGCGTGAGCCGAAGCAGGGCGAGGCATTGCCTCACTCGGGAAGCGCAGGGGGTCAGGGAGTTCCCTTTCCTAGTCAAAGAAAGGGGTGACAGATGGCACCTGGAAGATCGGGTCACTCCCACCCGAATACTGCGCTTTTCCGATGGGCTTAAAAACGGCGCACGAGGAGATTGTGTCCAGCACCTGGCTCGGAGGGTCCTACGCCCACGGAGTCTCACTGATTGCTAGCACAGCAGTCTGGGATCAAACTGCAAGGCGATAGCGAGGCTGGGGGAGGGGCGCCCACCATTGACCAGGCTTGCTTAGGTAAACAAAGCAGCCAGGAAGCTCCAACTGGGTGGAGCCCACCACAGCTCAAGGAGGCCTGCCTGCCTCTGTAGGCTCCACCTCTGGGGGAAGGGCACAGACAAACAAAAAGACAGCAGTAACTTCTGCAGACTTAAGTGTCCCTGTCTGACAGCTTTGAAGAGAGCAGTGGTTCTCCCAGCACGCAGCTGGAGATGTGAGAATGGGCAGACTGCCTCCTCAAGTGGGTCCCTGACCCCTGACCCTCGAGCAGCTAACAGGGAGGCACCCCCTAGCAGGGGCAGACTGACACCTCACACGGCCAGGTACTCCAACAGACCTGCAGCTGAGGGTCCTGTCTGTTAGAAGGAAAACTAACAAACATAAAGGACATCCACACCAAAAACCCATCTGTACATCACCATCATCAAAGACCAAAAGTACATAAAACCACAAAGATGGGGAAAAAACAGAACAGAAAAACTGGAAACTCTAAAAAGCAGAGCACCTCTCCTCCTCCAAAGGAACGCAGTTCCTCACCAGCAACGGAACAAAGCAGGACGGAGAATGACTGACAAGCTGAGAGAAGAAGGCTTCAGAAGATCAAATTACTTCGAGCTACAGGAGGACTTTCAAACCAAAGGCAAAGAAGTTGAAAACTTTGAAAAAAACTTAGAAGAATGTATAACTAGAATAACTAATACAGAGAAGTGCTTAAAGGAGCTGATGCAGCTGAAAACCAAGGCTTGAGAACTACATGAAGAATGCAGAAGCCTCAGGAGCTGATGCGATCAACTGGAAGAAAGGGTATCAGTGATGGAAGATGAAATGAATGAAATAATGAAGTGAGAAGGGAAGTTCAGAGAAAAAAGAATAAAAAGAAATGAGCAAAGCCAGCAAGAAATATGGGACTATGTGAAAAGACCAAATCTACGTCTGATTGGTGTACCTGAAAGTGACGGGGAGAATGGAACCAAGTTGGAAAACACTCTGCAGGATATTATCCAGGAGAACTTCCCCAATCTAGCAAGGCAGGCCAACATTCAGATTCAGGAAATACAGAGAACGCCACAAAGATACTCCTCGAGAAAAGCAACTCCAAGACACATAATTGTCAGACTCACCAAAGTTGAAATGAAGGAAAAAATGTTAAGAGCAGCCAGAGAGAAAGGTCAGGTTACCCTCAAAGGGAAGCCCATCACACTAACAGCAGATCTCTCAGCAGAAACTCTACAAGCTACAAGAGAGTGGGGGCCAATATTCAACATTCTTAAAGAAAAGAATTTTCAACCCAGAATTTCATATCCAGCCAAACTAAGCTTCATAAGTGAAGGAGAAATAAAAAACTTTACAGACAAGCAAATGCTGAGAGATTTTGTCACCACCAGGCCTGCCCTACAAGAGGTCCTGAAGGAAGCGCTAAACATGGAAAGGAACAACCGGTACCAGCCGCTGCAAAATCATGCCAAAATGTAAAGACCATCGAGGCTAGGAAGAAACTGCATCAACTAACGAGCAAAATAACCAGCTAACATCATAATGACAGGATCAAATTCACACATAACAATATTAGCTTTAAATGTAAATGGACTACATGCTCCAATTAAAAGACACAGACTGGCAAATTGGATAAAGAGTCAAGACGCATCAGTGTGCTATATTCAGGAAACCCATCTCATGTGCAGAGACACACATAGGCTCAAAATAAAAGGATGGAGGAAGATCTACCAAGCAAATGGAAAACAAAAAAAGGCAGGGGTTGCAATCCTAGTCTCCGATAAAACAGACTTTAAACCCACAAAGATCAAGAGACAAAGAAGGCCATTACATAATGGTAAAGGGATCAATTCAACAAGAAGAGCTAACAATCCTAAATGTATATGCACCCAATACAGGAGCACCCAGATTCATAAAGCAAGTCCTGAGTGACCTACAAAGAGACTTAGACTCCCACACATTAATAATGGGAGACTTTAACACCCCACTGTCAACATTAGACAGATCAACGAGACAGAAAGTCAACAAAGATACCCAGGAATTGAACTCAGCTCTGCACCAAGCAGACCTAGTAGACATCTACAGACCTCTCCACCCCAAATCAACAGAATATACATTTTTATCAGCACCACACCACACCTATTCCAAAATTGACCACATACTTGGAAGTAAAGCTCTCCTCAGCAAATGTAAAAGAACAGAAATTAGAACAAACTATCTCTCAGACCACAGTGCAATCAAACTAGAAGTCAGGATTAAGAATCTCACTCAAAACCACTCAACTACATGGAAACTGAACAGCCTGCTCCTGAATGACTACTGGGTACATAATGAAATGAATGCAGAAATAAAGATGTTCTTTGAAACCAACGAGAACAAAGACACAACATAACAGAATCTCTGGGACGTATTCAAAGCAGTGTGTAGAGGGAAATTTATAGCACTAAAGGCCCACAGAGAAAGCAGGAAAGATCCAAAATTGACACCCTAACATCACAATTAAAAGAACTAGAAAAGCAAGAGCAAACACATTCAAAAGCTAGCAGAAGGTAAGAAATAACTAAAATCAGAGCAGAACTGAAGGAAATAGAGACACAAAAAACCCTTCAAAAAATTAATGAATCCAGGAGCTGGTTTTTTGAAAGGATCAACAAAATTCATAGACTGCTAGCAAGACTAACAAAGAAAAAAAGAGAAAAGAATCAAATAGACGCAATAAAAAATGATAAAGGGGATGTCACCACTGATCCCACAGAAATACAAACTGCCATCAGAGAATACTACAAACACCTCTATGCAAATAAACTAGAAAATCTAGAAGAAATGGATAAATTCCTCGACGCATACACCCTCCCAAGACAAAACCAGGAAGAAGTTGAATCTCTGAATAGACCAATAACAGGACCTGAAATTGTGGCAATAATCAATAGCTTACCAACCAAAAAGAGTCCAGGACCAGATGGATTCACAGCCGAATTCTACCAGAGGTACAAGGAGGAACGGGTACCATTCCTTCTGAAACTATTCCAATCAATAGAAAAAGAGGGAATCCTCCCTAACTCATTTTATGAGGCCAGCATCATCCTGATACCAAAGCCTGGCAGAGACACAACCAAAAAAGAGAATTTTAGACCAATATCCTTGATGAACATTGATGCAAAAATCCTCAATAAAATACTGGCAAACGAAATCCAGCAGCACATCAAAAAGCTTATCCACCATGATCAAGTGGGCTTCATCCCTGGGATGCAAGGCTGGTTCAATATACGCAAATGAATAAAACTAATCCAGCATATTAACAGAACCAAAGATGAAAACCACATGATTATCTCAATAGATGCAGAAAAGGCCTTTAACAAAATTCAACAACCCTTCATGCTAAAAACTCTCAATAAATTAGGTATTGATGGGACGTATTTCAAAATAATAAGAGCTATCTATGACAAACCCACAGCCAATATCATACTGAATGGGCAAAAACTGGAAGCATTCCCTTTGAAAACTGGCACAAGACAGGAATGCCCTCTCTCACCACTCCTATTCAACATAGTGTTGGAAGTTCTGGCCAGGGCAATTAGGCAGGAGAAGGAAATAAAGGGTATTCAATTAGGAAAAGAGGAAGTCAAATTGTCCCTGTTTGTAGACTACATGATTGTACATCTAGAAAACCCCATCATCTCAGCCCAAAATCTCCTTAAGCTGATAAGCAACTTCAGCAAAGTCTCAGGATACAAAATCAATGTACAAAAATCACAAGCATTCTTATACACCAACAACAGACAAACAGAGAGCCAAATCATGAGTGAACTCCCATTCACAATTGCTTCAAAGAGAATAAAATACCTAGGAATCCAACTTACAAGGGATGTGAAGGACCTCTTCGAGGAGAACGATAAACCACTGCTCAAGGAAATAAAAGAGGATACAAACAAATGGAAGAACATTCCATGCTCATGGGTAGGAAGAATCAATATCGTGAAAATGGCCATACTGCCCAAGGTAATTTACAGATTCAATGCCATCCCCATCAAGCTACCAATGACTTTCTTCACAGAATTGGAAAAAACTACCTTAAAGTTTATATGGAACCAAAAAAGAGCCCGCATCGCCAAGTCAATCCTAAGCCAAAAGAACAAAGCTGGAGGTATCACGCTACCTGACTTCAAACTATACTACAAGGCTACAGTAACCAAAACAGCATGGTACTGGTACCAAAACAGAGATATAGATCAATGGAACAGAACAGAGCCCTCAGAAATAATGCCGCATATCTACAACTATCTGATCTTTGACAAACCTGACAAAAACAAGCAATGGGGAAAGGATTCCCTATTTAATAAATGGTGCTGGGAAAACTAGCTAGCCATATGTAGAAAGCTGAAACTGGATCCCTCCTTACACCTTATATAAAAATCAATTCAAGATGGATTAAAGACTTAAACGTTAGACCTAAAACCATAAAAACCATAGAAGAAAACCTAGGCATTACCATTCAGGACATAGGCATAGGCAAGGACTTCATGTCTAAAACACCAAAAGCAATGGCAACAAAAGGCAAAATTGACAAATGGGATCTAATTAAACTAAAGAGCTTCTGCACAGCAAAAGAAACTACCATCAGAGTGAACGGGCAACCTACAAAATGGGAGAAAATTTTTGCAACCTACTCATCTGACAAAGGGCTAATATCCAGAATCTACAATGAACTCAAACAAATTTACAAGAAAAAAACAAAAAAACCCATCAAAAAGTGGGCAAAGGACATAAACAGACACTTCTCAAAAGAAGACATTTATGCAGCCAAAAACACATGAAAAAATGCTCAGCGTCACTGGCCATCAGAGAAATGCAAGTCAAAACCACAATGAGATACCATCTCACACCAGTTAGAATGGCAATCATTAAAATGTCAGGAAACAACAGGTGCTGGAGAGGATATGGAGAAATAGGAACACTTTTACACTGTTGGTGGGACTGTAAACTAGGTCAACCATTGTGGAAGTCAGTGTGGCGATTCCTCAGGGATCTAGAACTAGAAATGCCATTTGACCCAGCCATCCCATTACTGGGTATACACCCAAAGGGCTATAAATCATACTACTATAAAGACACATGCACACGTATGTTTATTGCGGCATTATTCACAATAGCAAAGACTTGGAACCAACCCAAATGTCCAACAATGATAGACTGGATTAAGAAAATGTGGCACATATACACCATGGAATACTATGCAGACATAAAATAAGATGAGTTTATGTCCTTTGTAGGGACATGGATGAAATTGGAAATAATCATTCTCAGTAAACTATCGCAAGAACAAAAAACCAAACACCGCATATTCTCACTCATAGGTGGGAATTGAACAATGAGAACACATGGACACAGGAAGGGGAACATCACACTCTGGGGACTGTTGTGGGTTGTGGGTAGGGGGCGGAGGGATAGCATTGGGAGATATACCTAATGCTAGATGACGAGTTAGTGGGTGCAGTGCACCAGCATGGCACATGTATACATATGTTACTAACCTGCACATTGTGCACATGTAGCCTAAAACTTAAAGTATAATAATAATAAATAAATAAATTAATTAATTTAAAAAAAGTTGGCAAAGGACATGAACAGACACTTCTCAAAAGAAGACATTCATGCAGCCAAAAAACATGTGAAAAAAGCTCAACATCACCGATCGTTAGAGAAATGCAAATAAACTACAATGAGACACCATCTCATGCCAGTCAGAATGGCAGTTATTAAAAAGTCAGGAAACAACAGATGCTGGTGAGGTTGTGGAGAAATTAAAAAAAATAAAAACTGGACCCCTTCCTCACACGTTATAAATGAACTCAAGATGTAGTTTTACACTGTTAGTGGGAATGTTGATTAGTTCTACCTTTGTGGAAAACTGTGTGGTGATTCCTCAACGATCTGGAAGCAGAAATGCCATTCAACCCAGCAATCCCATTACTGGATATATACCCAAAGTAATATGAATTATTCTGTTACAAAGATACATGCATGTGTATGGTCATTACAACACTATTCACAATAGCAAAGACATTGAAGCAACCACAATGCCCATCAATGATAGACTGGATAAACAAAATGTGGTATGTATACATGATGGAATACAGTGCAGCCATAAAAAGGAATGAGATCATGTCCTTTACAGGAACATGGATGGAACTGGAAGCCATTATCCTCAGCAAATAAATGCAGGAACAGAAAACCAAACACCACATGTTCTCATTTATAAGTGGGAGCTGAATAATGAGAACACATGGACACAGGGAGGGGAACAACATACACTGGGGCCTATCGGGGGTGAGGTGGGGTGAGCAAAAGCATTAGGTAAAATAGCTAATGCATGCTGGGCTTAATGCCTAAGTGATGGGTTGATAGGTGCAGCAAACCACCATGGCACATGTTTACCTATGTAACAAACCTGTGCATCCTACACATGTACCCCAGAACTAAAAATAAAAATTTTTAAAAAAGTAAAACCATAGCACCTTCTGAAAAAATTTTTAGGATGAATGGCATAACGTTTTGTCTCTTAGCATAGAAAAAAATATTTACTGAATATAAGATATAGAAAACAATCAGGTTTTATAATATGCAGTGTTTCCCAACAAAGTCTATATTTCTGGAAAATAATATTTTACATGTTAGGATAATATTCATGCTTTTGAAGATATCAATCTTTATATGCACTAGAGCTTTTAACATGATGCATGATACCAGGTAGATTTTCAATAAATATTTATAGATTACATTATTTTTCAGCAAATGTATAATTTTACTTTAAGAAACTTTAAATATTCTGTCTTACTAAAGGTGATTATTAAATTCTCAAACCAAACATGTATTACCTGCTTTGGACATTTCTCTGAATGAGAAAAGGAAATCTTCACCCGTGATATTCACACCACATCCCCTGTCACTATATCCCCTTAACATCAGTTAAGTAGACCCCATCAAAACCACTCTCAAATCCTCTCCTCAATTGCCTCTTAGCACACTCCAGCTCCTAGTCACTTAAACGTCACTCCCAGAGACAGTGCCCAGGCCTTGCCCAAATTCTTAGACTTACAGCAATTTTCTCACCTGATAAACCTATACGAGAGTCTCATTTTCTAATTTAAAGCCCTGTTTACCTATCCCCATCTTCTCCTCACTGCACCACAGCTTCTAAATTGATGATTTCTTCTACTTTTATTCTAATAATTAAGAGATGGGTTCCTCTTTTAGTGTTTGACCTGGCGGCTTTCAGATTCCCATCTTTCTTTCCTGCTACCCGACACTGGGCAACTAAGATAAAGGAGTTTCTGTGCTCCACTCATCCTTTGCAGCTGGGTACAAACTCTGTGGTGAATTCCCACCCTGCATGTGGTCTCTTCTCCAGCCACAACCCCTAGCCATTATAAGGACCCCAACGTCTGCTCTCTGCTTTTCTCTTGTTTCGCTTCTTTCAAAATCTGAGCCCTTCACCTTGGGAAATATTTTTGTGGCTTACTGTGTGAGTAATAAAATTCATTTCATACCCATTAGTGCCTACATGTCATTTGTCCTGGCATCTGTTATAAATTCTTAGGAGTAATTTATAGCAGGAGACACTAGTCACCCAAATAAAACAATTCTTTTACATTTTTTTATGCCAAATAAATCTTAACCTTGTTATTCATACTTTTCATTCAAAATATTAAAATTATTACTTATTTTCTTTGTGTCCAATGCAGACATTTATCTAACAATGCAGGATATAATGTATATAATAAATGTCTCCACCTACACAAATGGTTCTCTGTCTTGTTGTGAAGACTATTAGTAGCCAAAATTAAATCCTATGTTCTTATGTGATTGGTATATTCAAATAGTACTTAATCGATTCTACTTAATTTGTACATATATGGATTTAATTAAAATGGAAATAAACAGCATAGCAAAAATATGGTTTTTTTACCCTCTAAAGACTAACATTGTATCTTACACTTGATTGTTCAGTACCATTTCTTGATAATACGATATTCGTTTTTTCAGTTTGTTTTGTATCATGGCTTAGTACATTCACATGCCTCAAGGTCTAATCCCTCATTGAAGTTATTCTTTCAAGCACTCATTGAAGTTATTCTTTCAAGCCCCCTTCCTCAGTTTGTTCTCCTTGTATATTAATCTAGTGGCAGATTTGTGTGTATAGCTCTTGTGTGGATTAGCAGTCATTTCTTTAACATTACAACCTTTTCTAACCACACCTCTTTATATTATTAGTAAATGTAACTTACAAACTATTTCCTGTGAAAAATTGTCTTCTTATTGTTAGAGTTTATGCCAGCCACCAATTATTCCATATATGTGGAAAAGAGCAGAAACACTTGGTATCTTTCCCAAAAATGTCTGAAAGACTAAGAAACAGTATTATACAGTCAAATGAACAGTATAAATGTACAATGGAGAAAAGTGTAAAATCATTGAGGTTATTTAAAGATGTGGAAATGTAATCACATAGCTTCTTTCATGTGACAAATGTAGCAATTATACAGGCTACCTTCATTTAGAAATCACAAAATAATTTTTTTTTGACAGCAGTTTCTCCAGTACTTTTTTACATTTACACAATCCTGCCAAGGGATTGCATGAACACAACATCCAACTCAATGACATTCAAATGACCATGGCATGAATAAAAGTGCTCCAGAGCCAGAAAGGAAAGGTAAAACAATAGTATTGGGTGCCATGATCTTGCAATTCTTGTCTTTCTTGAATCTTGTCTAATAGCAATGACCTTTCTTGTCTAGTAATTTTCTTTGTATTTGACCTTAGTGAAACTTTTTCTAAATAAAACTAATAATTAAATGACTAAATAGTTACTTCAGAAACTTGAGTGCTATTTTCCATTCTCAGCACACTTCTGATAACTTTTTAAAATGCAAATAAAAGTTAGCTCCAGGCAAGTGAAATAAAATTTTAATCTAACAAAATATACATTTTATGGATTTTACATGTGTTGAAATATTTAACAGATACGAAATTAGCTGAAATAAACAGTTCAACCCAACAAGGGAAAAATTTTAATAATACCTTGTTGAATCATGATTTTAGCAAATGTATTAATAAAGAATACAACTGGTAAACTCTCAGAGAGACTAATACATCATCCAAATTTAATGGGCAAAAAAAGAGAATTTTATATATAACTACTGATACTGAGGAAAAAGTAGAGAGGAAAGAAAAACATCCGGGTTAGACAAGAAGTTTCGGAGACTTAAGCATGACCTGTGTCATTAATGATTCACTATCTTACCATGATGGCCTAAGAAAATAGTTTAATATATTCTGATGGCTTCCCTTTCTCTGGAGACAACCTCAACACAGCAGACCCACTAACTCTTAACTGCCATGTCACCTGGCCTCTGCCTTCTCAAATCTACTCTCTTAAAAACAATTTTAAACTGAGTCAATCAGAGAAATTACCCAAGGAATTTGAAAATGGACAATGTAACAAAAGAATTTGATGGAACAGTATTACTTTGATGAACAGTTCTTAGAAAGACCTGTTTATTACTGTTGTGAAGGTCTCCAGAAATTTCCGGATTCAATTTTTCTCCTGGCATCACTTTTTCAGTTGTTTCTTTGATTTCTGTTTTCTACCCCAGCTATTTTTCAAATAAATCTTTGAAATAAATCAAATAAATTTTCCAGCGTTGGTTTCTTTTCCTTGTCAACAAAGTGGAATCTTGAATTACACAGTTATAGGTCCCAGAGAGTGAATATTAGGCACAGATCTTTAGGGACATGTGGAATATTTAGAATTAAATGTCTGGCCAAGGAAGATTGATATGTATTTAGTCCTTTTCAAATCGGAGGATGGCAAGTAACCTATGATACATGGGGACAAAACAAGTTAATCAGGCTGTCTCCTGTGATCCACTGACCATATAAGTTCACTGAGTTTGAAACTCTAGGGAAGTGAACAAATGATAGTGTAGAAAATTTTAAAGCAAATAGAAAGGGGCCAGAACAAGAGAAATACACAATATATTTTTTGACAGCATTAAATAACATAAAAGACTCAAATCTAGATCCCAAATTCTGGACTGATGATGTCATAAAATAAAATTTAAGCTTCTGTGGGTTGCTAAAAATAAGTCCACTCCATCTAGATAGAATCTTGTGCCATTACAGCTTGTATCATTGGTGTACCGAAAGGGCAATTGGCAGAATATTGAGTTGGACACTTTTATTATTTACTTGACTTAGAAGAAGAGGTAGAGCAGCCAGTGGCTAACAGTGTAGTCGGATGGTCAGGGGTTGAGAAGATATCTCAATCTGGAGGTAAAGACAATCTGGAACCCCATGTGGCAACTGAAGTCACACATTTTTAAGCAATTCAACCATTCCTGAGACTCCTTCATGCTAACATGAATTAAGGTATGCTACATGTCACCTGGTGGCAGATTGATTCTACTAGGTCCCTTTCATCATGAAGTGAGCAGTCAACATTTTATTTTCTTTTAAGACATAGTTTGAATTTACCTCTGGCAGTCATTTGTGGGCTTACCAAATTCTCTACATTCCATCGTGTATTTCCACACAATAGTGCATGGGCATACCAATGCACTTAATGGGGAAATAAAGTAAGTTAATAGGTACCTATGTCTGAGATTCACTGGTATTGTTATGCAATCCAATATCTGGAAACATTGGAAAAGTAATAATGTCCTATTGAAGTCCTCTCAGTGGCTTCAGGTAGATAAAAACTGATGAGCTTGGAAGCTCTCTTGCAGAATGTTTTATCTGTTTTCTACTCTGGGCTCTGGTAGAGTAGAGGTTTAATTATTCAGAAAAGAAGTAGTTTTTCCCCAAGAGTATTTTATATTGTAAATGAACTGCTCAATACCCATTCCAAACCACTTCTCATGTGGAGGAGATAGAATAATAAAAACTACATCTTTTTTTCAGATTCTCTTGCAGCTTTAGCTCACTATGTGATCACTGTTGAGCCAATCAGATGTGAACACGGAAGATTTTTTAACACAGAATTAGATTTTGTAAGAATGGGATCTATATTTTTCTGGTTGTGTTGTCACAAAGTCAAAATCCTCTTGGCACCAGCAACTTTTGCTATGGCTTGCTGATATTGTAATAGCCTGACAATGGCAGAATTCGAAGCATCTTTGAAGTGCCTTGTTCTTTGAGGTGCAAACAAGAGTTAATGCTTCAGCTCTGATGATAATTTAGAAAAGCTGTCCATACTCCTTAGAATATTCCTTTCTACTAAAACTAGCCAAAATGAATTCATTTATTTTCAACTAAGAACCAAAAATGATAATGATTGGAAACTGAAACTAAAACTTAAAAAACTGAATCTCATCTGATCATTTGTGATTATTAATGTCATTATGAGAGGAGGCCGAAAATAAGGTCACATTCTCTGGAATAATACCTCTGGAATATCAAAGGAAAATAGATTTGCTAATAAATATTTTAGGAATGTTACTACTTTTATCAGGAAGAACTATAAAGTGCCTTCCATATCTAAAAAATAAAAATATAAATCACTCTGCTTGGCAAAGCATCTAAAAATGCTGGCTAAAGAGCTGCATAAAGGAAAAGTAAATGGGGAAAAATATAATAATATAACAGACCAGTACTGTGTTTTTGCATGTGATGAGCTGCATATACAAGGGTTATATTTTTTCCCTTATATTTTTCTCCTTGAAGGACAGTGATTTTTTTTCATATATTATATGCCACTACTTTGTGTGGTGTTTTTCAAATATGAGTGGGGTGTGTGTGTGTGTGTGTGTGTGTGCATATGTGTTAAACATGCTAACTAGGCTGGTATTTGGAGAATTAAACTTCTGCAATATTAACTAGCTCAATAGAAATTAGACAAACAGCAATAGCTGTTACTGATTATAGATTAATCTACACTTTTCTAAGAATAAGGAAGCAGGGCTTGAATAGGGAGAAGGATATGGAAGACATAGATATTTGAATTTCTATCTATCCATTTCTCAATTAGCTAAGAGGAAATTCTGATTGCAAGGAAGACTGTACTGACATTTACATCATCTTTAATAGATGAATGAACTCTACTTTAATTTCGAAAAATACTGTTCCGTTTGTCTTACCCACATAAACTCTCCTGATCCTTGAAAAATTTGCCTTTATAAAAAGAAATCAGAACAACTGACTTCCTGTACTAATACTACTTTTAAAAAAACTTTTAAGTTTTATATTAGTTTAGGTTTTAAACTTTTATACTTTTATAAAAAGTAGTATTATTAGTACAGGGGTACATGTACAGGTTTGTTATATAGGTAAATTGCATGCCGTGGGATTTTGATTTTTTCATCACCCAGGTAATAAGCATAGTACCCGACAGGTAGATTTTCAATCCTCACCTTCTACCCTCCACCCTCAAGTAGGCCCTGGAGTCCGTTGTTCCCTTCTTTGTGTCCATATATACTCGATATTTAGCTCCCACTCATAAGTGAGAACATGCAGTATTTAGTTTTGTTCCTGTGTTAGTTTGCTTAGGATAATAGTCTACAGCTCCATCCACATTGCTGATAGTACATGGTCTTATTCGATTTTATAGTTGTATAGTATTCCATGCTGCATATGTACCACATTCTCTTTATCCAGTCTACCATTGATGGGCATTTACATTGATTCCATGTCTGTGCCATTGTGAATAGTGCAATTATGAACATAGACGTGCATGTGTCTTTATGGTAGACTGATTTATATTCCTTTGGGCATATATCCAGTAGTGAGATTACTGAGTGGAATGGTAATTCTGTTTTAAATTCTTTTAGAAATTGCCACACTGCTTTCTACATGACTGAACTAATTTACATTTCCACCAGCAGTGTATAAACATTCCCTTTTCCCCACAATCTTGCCAGCATCTGTTATATTTTGACTTCTTAACAATAGCCATTATGATTAATGTGAGATGGTATCTCATTGCGGTTTTGATGTGCAATTCTCTAATGATTAGTGATGTTGAGCATTTTTCGTTTTTGTTTTCTTTTTTGTTTCTTTTTCCTTTTTTTTTTTTTTTTTTTTTTTTTGTTTGAGACAGAGTCTTGCTCTGCTGCCCAGGCTGGAGTGCAGTGGCACAAGCTCGGCTCACTGCAACCTCTGCCTCCTAGGTTCAAGCGATTCTTCTGCCTCAGCATCCCAAGTAGCTGGGATTACAGGCACCTGCCACCACACCCAGCTAATTTTTGTATTTTTAGTAGAGACGGGATTTCACCATGTTGGCCAGGCTGGTTTTATATGCTTGTTAGCCTCATGTATATCTTCTTTTGAAAAGTGTCTGTTCATGTTCTTTGCCCATCTCTTAATAGGGTTCTTTGTTTCTTGCTTGTAAATTTGTTTAAGTTCCTTATAGATTCTGGGTGTTAGACCTTCGTTAGATGTATAGTTTATAATACTACATTTGAGTGATTCCTTTAGCAGTTGATGTTCTATTTTGTCCAGCTAGTTTCAATCGCCAGGGAAAATGAAATGCTCTGATGGGAATTTTTAATGACATCTTTATTGTCTTAGTTCTCTTTTTACTCACAATATTAAACAATTACATGAAAAACGAGAGGAAAATAAAAAAAATAGAGGCTAGTGTTAAAGATTGGCAAAATACTTCTTTGTAAGAATTCTTTTATTATTCTTCTCTGTACTTGAAAAATACACTAATTATTCTCTAGTACCAGCTGGTTTCACTGATGAATTATATTCACTTTTAAAAAATAAATAATATTAATATTGTGTAAACTTTTACGCAAAGACATTGAAAATTATAGATCAAAAACGATCATGAAAATTGATACAAAAATCCTTACAAAATATTAGCAAATTGCACACAGCAATATGTAAAATGTATAATATATTACAGCCAATTGGAATTTATCCCAGGAAAGAAAGCTTGATTTAATATTTAAAAGTTAATCAATTGTATTGATTATTAACAGAATAAAGTAAAAAAATCAATACAATCAACTCATTTATAATAAATAAAATACATTCGCAGCATATTACCTACGGGGAGAACTTCCTCAATCTGATCAAATGTATCTACAACAAACCTACAGTTATCAACACAGTAACCTGCCAGTACAAGGAAGTAAGACAAATAAATAAAAGGAATTAAGATTGGAGGGGAAGAAATGAAGCTACCTTTATTCCTAGATAACATGACAGTATACATTGAAAAGCCCAATGAATCAACAAATCAGAAGTGAATTTAACAAGCTGTGGAATACAAGGTCGAGTCAAAAATTAATTGTATTTCTACATATAAGGAGAAAAATTGGAAAGTGAAATATAGAAGTCATTTAAAATAGAATAAAAATAATACACTTATGAATTAACACAAGATGTGCAAGAGCTCTACACTGAAATCTATACAATATTGCTGAGTGAATTAAATAAGACCTGATAAATGAAGAGATATATCATCTTCATAGCTTGGAAGATAATAATAAAGTATGATGTCAATCACTTCCAAAATAATACACAGATTAAATGCAGTCTTAATCAAAATTCCAATGGGCTTTTTTTTTGGTAGAAATTGACACATTGTTTCTAAAATTGGCTTGAAAAATACAAAGGGCCTTGAATAAAGAAAACACTTGATAGAAGGACAAATTTTCAGGAGATGTTCTAGATTATTTTGGAATTCCAATAAAACTGCAGTAATAAAAACCATGGAAATAGTGTAAAGGTAAATGAATAGAGCAATGGAACCGAAGAAAAAGTCCTCGAATATCCCTGCACATATACAAAGCTGCTAAGGCAATTGAATAAGGAAAGAAAAGCCACTTCAACTAATTGTGCTGGAAATACAGGTTAAAACATATCAACTATTTATGAAAACCCTTACTTCAAATTAAATCTGAATTCAGTACTAGTACTCTTACCTTAAATTAGAATAGGGGTTAGCAAAACCTTAGGAAACTCCCACTGGCCTACCTTTTTTTTTTCCCAAATATAAAGGTCAAGATATCAGTCAAGCATTAGGCATGTGGTGGATTGCTGTCAGTTAGTCCTTAGTTATCTGATATCTGCATGAATAGTTTTTCATTTATTATAATTAATAAACAATAATCGAATAAGCATTATAGCTAAGTAACAAGTAAACTATCATGTGTCAGGCCTTGAAAAATATGCAGTGATGAACAAAACCAAATGTTCTTTGTTCTCAAAGGTATCTCAAATGTGATAAATGTTTATCACATTTAAAGATGGCAGAAACACATTAGTCAAATAAACACATAAATATAGAAACAGTTTATTTTGTAACTGCAATACAATTTGTGCAGTTTTTAACATTCATTTTGGAATTAATCTCATCCATATTTATATGTCAGTCTATTTCCTTCCAATCAACTTATACTTTACGTTTAATCTATCCTTTAAGGAAAAACAATGGAACAAAAAATCTGTCAAGGATTGCTTGAAATAATAGAGGACACAAACAAATGGAAAGATTGAAGGTCACTCAATCATGTGTCCCCCAAGTGCACTGGATCCATTCCCAACACAGTACCAGGACTTGTCCAAGAATTGCAGTCCTTGTGGCCTAGACTGGCTTTCAAGTTTATTTAGGATCCCAGAGCTCTCAAGTCCATGGTAGCAAGCATTAATGCAACTCAGGATCCAGCTGCTGTGATGGGCAAGTTTCCTCTGGCTAGGGCTGATCTAAATGCTCCCTCCATTGGCATCAGCAGAGTTCTGCCTGGTGTTTTCCATTGTGACAGGGCAGCACTGGGTTCCAAGGCAAAAATCTCCCAATCACTGCACTCTCCCTCCCTCAAATGCACACATTTTTCTCTCCACACCATGCAGCTGCTGCCAGCGGATGGGAGACGGGTGGCGTCTGCAATTCAAGATAGCCTTTCCTACCTTCTTCAGTGCCTCTTTCTGTCATATGAAGTTATGACCTTCATATGTTTCTGTGATATGAAGTTAAAACAAGGTACTGTGAGAGCTCACTCAATTTTTGGTTCTCATGAAGGTACTGTTTTGTGTGTGGATAGTTCAATTTGGTATTACTGCAGGGGGGACAATCACTGAAGGCATTTATTTAGTTGTCTTGCTCCAAGTCCTCTGATTTCTATCTATTTCTAAAATAGCTATTTGCATTAGTCCATTCTTACACTGCTCTAAAGAACTGCACGAGACTGGGTAATTTATAAAGGAAAGAGGTTTAATTGACTCACAGTTCTGCATGGCTGGAGAGACCTTAGGAAACTTACAATCATGGTAGAAGGGGAAGAAAACATGTCTTTGATTACATGGCAGCAGGAGAGATAAGTGCAGAGTGAAGTGGGGAAAAGCCCCTTATAAAACCATCAGATCTTGTGAGAACTCACTCACTACCATGAGAACAGCATGGGGGAGCCACTCAATGATCTAACCACCTCCCACGAGGTCTCTCCCTGAACACATGGGGATTACAATTTAGATTACAATTCAAGATGAGATTTTGCGTGAGGACACAGCCAAACCATATCACTATCCTAGCGTTACAATGGTCAGTATTTGCCTGGTGTGCTCTTTTTTTTTTTTTTTTTTTTTTTTTTTTGAGACGGAGTTTCGCTCTGTGGCCCAGGCTGGAGTGCAGTGGCGCGATCTCGACTCACTGCAAGCTCCGCCTCCCGGGTTCACGCCATTCTCCTGCCTCAGCCTCCCGTGTAGCTGGGACTACAGGAGCGCGCCACCATGCCCGGCTAATTTTTGTATTTTTAGTAGAGACGGGGTTTCACCGTGTTAGCCAGGATGGTCTCGATCTCCTGACCTCGTGATCCGCCCGTCTCGGCCTCCCAAAGTGCTGGGATTACAGGCGTGAGCCACCGCGCCCGGCCTGGTGTGTTCTTTTCTCTTTATTTTTCATTCTTTCTGTATGCTTATTGTTAATTACATTTCCTTTAAACAGCACATATCTGAATTTTACACAGTCTCAATAATTGGCTTACATGTTAGGCTATATATAATTATACATTATATATAATTTCAGTTAACTTCAAATTAGGTAATATTGCTGTTTTATATTTTCCCAGTTGTTTACCAATTTCTTTTTTTATTTTTTCATCTAGCACCCTTAGATCTTCTTTATTGAATATTTTTTCTTATTTGTAAATACATCCGTCAGTGCTTTCTGTTATAGGATTTGCTGTTGGTATGTGATCTCAATTTCTATTTGTGTGAAAATTGTAAACTGTAGCACTTACCTACAGGAAGCAAGTTTCCTTTAGCTTTTTTCATAGACAGCACTGTCATTAGGCCGTTTCGCTAAGCACCTTAAATACTGTTTGAAGTGTCTGTGCATGGTAGAGATGATGGGTAAGTCCCACCAGCTTAGCTTGCAAATGGCTTTATGCAATATGGCTGTGCTTTCTGGAAGTGGATTATTATTGTATTACCACCCCACCTGGACTTGGCCCTAAAGAGCAGCAGAGTAAATTTCCTTATAGGCAAAATATAAATTTTTTCTTGGAAATTACATATATATATATACACACATATATATACACGCACACACACACATACACACACACTAAAGTTCAGCTTATACTTAAGTGTTAGAGAATCACCTAAAAATGGATTGTTATGATAATCATGGACTTGGAAGGGATAAGAATGGAGATTTGGCAAAAATGTGGAAAGTTTTGCTTTTGGAATGAGTTCAGTTTGATAGAAACTTTGTCCTACAAAAAAGCTTATGCAGCTGCTAAGGATATGCTCAGTAATGAAGTTAACAAAATAAAGTGTTGTATGGCTATTAATCAGTATTTTTTTTCAACAGCCCCAGAATTTGTATAATGAGTTCATTAACAAATGGTTACAGTAGAAGGAATAGAGGTAATACGTAGACACAGAAGCACAAGCTAGCCATCATTGAAGCTGACTTTTCTCCACCAATTTTTACCTGATTTAATAGCAGTAATTCTGGCGCCAAGCCCTCCACATGGCTATACAATTAAGAAACAAACCACCTCATACCAGATTTCCTTGTAATAGGAAGCGCATTAGAAGGAAATTTGTTCTTATTGTAGTAAACACATATGTGGTATATAGTTATAATTTTCTTGCCTACTGCACTTCTAAGAAGAGTAATAACTGTACTCATATCTTATAAAATATTTAATACCATGATATTTATTTATTTATAATATTTATTCTGATTAAGAAACTCATCTTGCAAAAGTAGTAAGGCAATGGAGCTTATGTTCACAGATTTCGCTGTCTTCATTATGTACCTCATCACTTAGAAACCATCTGAATTAGAAACCACCAGAGGAAAAGAATATTGAAGACAGTTACAGCACCTGCTAGAAGATACACCTTGAGATGCTTTGGAACAGTTCTTCAGGAGGTAGTATACACTCTGAATCAGCAATGAATATAGAGTGCTATTTTCTTCTTTCCCCAAACCAAAATATGTGGTCCCAGAAACGTTGTAAAGCATCAAAATGAGTGTGGCTCCTCTAACTATCATGCCAAAATGCTACCCACATGTTGAATGTCCTGTAATTAATTTCATTTATCTCAAATTAGTGTATCAGTCTGTTTACATGCTGCTGATAAAGACACACCCAAAATTGGGCAATTTACAAAGTAAACAGGTTTATTGGACTTACAGTTCCACATGGCTGGGGAGGCCTAACAATCGTCGCGGAAGATGAAAGGCACTTCTCACATGGTGGCAGACAAGAGAAAAGAGAGCTTGTGAAGGGAAACTCCCCCTTATAGAACCATCAGATCTCATGAGATTCATTCACTATCATGATAACAGCAGGGGAAAGACCTATCCCCATGATTCAATTACCTCCCACCGGATACCTCCCACAACATGTGGGAATTCAAGATGAGATTTGGATGGGGACACAGCCAAACCACATCATTCCACCCCTGGCCCCTCCCAAATCTCATGTCCTCACATTTCAAAACCAATCATGCTTTCTCAACAGTCCCCCAAAGTCTTAATTCATTTCACCATTAACTCAAAAGTTCACAGTCCAATGTCTCATCTGAGACAAGGCAAGTCCCTTCTGCCTGCGAGCCTGTAAAATCAAAAGCAAGTTAGTTACTTCCTAGATACAATGAGGCTACAGGTAAGTAAAACCATTCCAAATGGGAGAAATTGGTCAAAACAAAGGGGCTACAGGCCCTATGAAAGTCCAAAATCTAGCAGAGCAGTCAAATCTTAAATCTCCAAAATGATCCCCTTGACTCTGTGTCTCACATCTGGGTCACACTTACGCAAGACATGGGCTCCCATGGTCTAGGGCAGCTCCCTGTGGCTTTGCAGTGTACAGCCTCCTTCCCGGCTGCTTGCATGGGTTGGTGTTGACTGTCTGTGGCTTTTCCAGGCATACAGTGCAAGCTGTCAGTGGATCTACCATTCTGGGGTCTGGAGGATGACAGCCCTCCTGTCACAGCTCCGCTAGGTGATGCTCCTGTAGGGATGATGTGAGGGGGCTCCAACCCCACATTTCCCATCTGCATTGCCCTAGCACAGGTTCTTCATGAGAGCCCCACCCCTGAAGCATGTGTCTGCCTGGACATTCAGGTATTTGCATACATCCTTTGAAATCTAGGCAGAGGTTTCTAAACCTCAATTATTGACTTCTGTGCATTTGTAGGCTCAACACCATGTAGAAGCTGCCAATGCTTAGGACTTGCACCCTCTGAAGCCACGACCTGAGCTTCATGTTGGCCTTTTCCAGCCACAGCTGGAGTGGCTAGGAGGCAGGGCACCAAGTCCCTAAGCTGCACACAGCACAGGGACCCAGGGCCTGGCCCACAAAACCATTTTTTCCTCCTGGGCATCTGGGCTTGTGATGGGAGGAGCTGCTGTGAAGACCTCTGACATGTCCCAGAGACATTTTCCCCATTGTCTTGGGGATTAACATGCGGCTCCTTGTTACTTATGCAAATTTTTGCAGCCAGCTTGAATTTCTCCTTAGAAAATGGGATTTTCTTTTCTATCACATTGTCAGGCTGCAAATTTTCTGAACTTTTATGTTTAGTTTACCTTTTAAAACTGAATGCCTTTAACAGCACATAAGTTACCTCTTTACTGCTTTGCTGCTTAGAAATTTCTTCCTGCAGATACCCTAAATCATCTCTCTCAAGTTGAAAGTTCCACAAATCTCTAGGGCAGGGGCAAAATGCCACCAGTCTCTCTGATAAAACATAACAAGAGTCATCATTGCTCCAGTTCCCAACAAGTTCCTCACCTCCATCTGAGACTATCTCAGCCTGGATTTAATTGTCCATATCATTATCAGCCTTTTGGTTAAAGCTATTCAACAAGTCTCTAAGAAGTTCCAAACTTTCCTGCATTTTCCTGTCATCTTCTGAACCCTCCAAACTGTTCCAACCTCTGCCTGTTACCCAGCTCCAAAGTGGCTTCTACATTTTCAGGTATCTTTTCAGTGGTGCCCCACTCTACTGGTACTCATTTACTGTATTAGTCCATTTTCATGCTGCTAATAAAGACATACCCAAGGCTGGGCAATTTACAAAGAAAAGAGGTTTATTGGATTTACAGTTTCACATGGCTGGGGAGGCCTCACAATCATGGCAGAATGTGAAAGGCACCTCTCATATGGCAGCAGATAAGATAAAAGAGAGCTTGTGTACAGAAACTGCCCCTTATAGAACTATCAGATCTCATGAGGCTTAGTCACTATCACAAGAATAGCACAGGAAAGACCTACCCCTATGATTCAATTACCTCCCACTGAGTTCCTCTCACAACATGGGGGAATTCAAGATGAGATTTGGGTGGCTACACAGCCAAACCATATCAATTAGCAATAGTGGGTTCTTTTTTATGTAAATAAGAATAGAATGTTGATAAAAATTTGGAAAGGTTTTTCTTGAAATGAGTACAGTCTGGGAGAAACTTTGTCCTATCTCAGTGTTCATCCAGCTGCTGAGGATATGGTCAGTAATCAACAAAATAAACCACTTTACTGATATCAATTAGCCTTTCTTACACAACCATCTCAGATTTTGCTTGAGTTCATTAACGAAGTAGCTATTGCAGGAGGAATGAAGGTAATGCATAGATGCAAAAACATGAGCTGGCCTGACAGATACAGGGGTTAATGATACCTATCCAAGATATACTGATTAAATGTTTCTGAAGCCAAAAATGGGATTATATGAAACCTAAATAAGATAATGTATGCAAACTTTTATAGTCAGTGTGATTCACTGGCCCAATTAAAAAAAAACCCACACATTTATTATTAGAAACTGTGAGTACAAATCTGGACAGTAGTTGCATGACTCATCAAGATTTTCCAGAGCCTTAGTTTTCTCATATTGCTTTAGTTTCCTTTCAGAGTTGAGGGGATGTAAATGCAGATCTTGCTTGTGAAAGAGCTGAATTGTGAATTTCAATTATTTGCAAGGACTATGACTTCCATATTTGGATATACTCAGCATCTACCATGATATCTGACACATAGTGTTAATAAATAAATATTAATAAATAAAACTGGTCAAATTGCAAAGTTTTTGTACCATGAACATGTTAATTATTCATATTAATAAATTTAGCCTTTCAAAATACCTTAATAATATTCATTAATTTATTTATAAGGATCTGGATGTAGAAAAAAAAATTTTCTGTGTGTGTGTATAGTAACAAAATACCAATAGTTTTATTGAGGTAAAACATGATAAACTTGGAATCTGCTATGATTTGAATGTCCCCTCCAAAACTCATGTTGAAATTTAATTGCCAGTATGATGGTATTTGGAGGTGGGGTCTTTAAAAAGTGATTAAGTCATGAGGGCTTCACCCTCATGAATAGACTAATGTTACCACAAGAGTGGGTTGGTTATCATATGGCAGGGTAGTTATAAAAGTGAGGCCAGCCCCTGATGTTCTGCTCTCTTGCATATGCTTGCTCTCCCTTCTGCTCTTTTGCCACGGGATATTGCAGCATGAAAGCTCTCACCAGATATAAGCACCGTGCTTTTGGAATTCTCAGCCCCCAAAATGGTAAGAAATATACTTATTTTCTTTACAAATTATCCAGTCTATAGAATTCTGTTATAGCAACACAAGACAGACTAAGAGAGAAGCTATATGTCCAGGGCTATGGGTGGCACTGTAGTAACAGTGTATCCTGGCACTGTAATAACACAAAGAAATTCTGAATAAGCAATTGGGCAGGAAAAAATAGGTTTAGACTGTGGAAGGAAAGTTGACAGAGAGGTGAAAAACATGTGACAGGTGAAGAAGAAATTTATGGGAGGATTGAAGTGCCAAATGAGATATTTACTAAAATATTTTCCACACGGAATTTGTTATAAACGTTTTTTATCTCCTCTCCTAAATATGACTCCTCTCCCCGCTTTTTTTTTTACTTAAATCTACACACAGCCCACTAATGATGTGGTAGTGGACTTGAAGTCAGAAGGCTTCTCAATCTTTTTCAGAGATCATGAAATAAATACAAAAATTTTTAAAAAGTAAAGTCAGAGGGCTAAGATGAAAAGTCAAGTCCTGCTTCAAGGTTGGGAAATAAAAATTACAGACTGTTTAAGGAATGATACAAACTGGTTACACATTCAAACTGTTGTTTGCTAGTGGCCTCCATAGAACCTGCATTAGAAATGGTTGGCGATATCTAATTAATATAGCAATTAGAATAGTTTACATTTTCTTTCATTAAGCATACAACAAACTAACATACTTAGTATATTTATTTTTAAATATCTTCAATATTTACCATTATTTTGAGTATAATTTGTTCATTCAATCTTTCTTAAACATCTTTATTGAGAAATAATTCATATACCATGCAATTCACCAATTTAAAGTGTAAGCTTTAATGTTTTAAAATATTTTATAGGGTTGTGAAACCATTACCACAATCTAAATTTAGAAAATTTTCTTCCCACCTAAAATCAGCTCCATATCTATTGCCTCTCCACAGCATCCCTATCCCTCACAAATCTCTAATCGGATTTCCTCCACAGATTTGCCTATTCTGAACATTTAATAGTCAGTAATACTGTATGTGGCATTTGTCACTGGCTTCTGTAACTTAGTATAGTGTTTTCAAGAATCATCCAGGTGTAGCATGTATTAGTATTTCATTTATTTAACAAATAATATTCCAGTGTACCAATATACTACTTAGTACTTACCTATTCTTTAGTTGATATTTGCATTTTTTCCACTTTTTGCTATTTTGAATAATACTGCCATGAATATTCACGTAGATTATTTGTATGGACATATGTTTTCACTTTTGGGCAGAATAATTGAGTCATATGATTATTCTATATTTGAATTTTTGAAAGAATTGCTGCCCTTTGGTGATTTTACACCATCACCAGCAAGGTCTGCAGATACTAATTCTCCACATCCTTGCCAACACTTGTTATTGTATGTCTTTTTTATTCCATCCATAATTGATGATTGTAGGAGTAAAATGGTATCCCATTGTGATTTTAATTTGCATATCACTAATGAGTAATGATGAGTATCTTTTCATATGCTTATTGAGCATTTGCATATCTTCTTTGGAAAATGTCTATTCAATCCTTTTTCTGCTTTTAATTGGGTTATTCACATTTTTATTATTGAGTTGTAAGAGTTCATTCTATAGTCTGGATACAAGTATTTAATCAGATACATGATTTGTAAATATTTTTCCCATTCTGCAGATTATCTTTCACTCCCTTGATGGTATTACTGAAACACATAATGAATATTAAAAAATTTTCTTATTCAATTTACCTATTTTTATTATGTTTTTGTTGTCTTTTCTAAGAAAACATTGCCTAATCAATAGTTAAGGAGGTTTATTCTCATATTTTCTTCTAAGTAGTTTATAGATTTTAATTCTTACATTTAAGTCTACGATCCAGTTTGACTTAATTTTGTTTATGATTGAGGTGAGAATTCAACTTCATTCTTTTGCATGTGGATATTCAGTTGACTCAGCAACATTTGTTGAAAAGATATTCTTTCCCATTTAATTGTCTTGACGTCCTTGTTGAAAATCAACTGACCATAAGTGTAAAGATTTATTTCTGGGCTCTCAATTCTTTTCCATTGATATATAAACTCTCCTAATGCCAGTACTATATTTTTTGATTACTGTAGCTTTGTAGTAAATTTTGAAATAAGGATGTGTTGGTTCTCAAACTTTTTTTTAAATTTTGTTTTGGTTATTCTGGATCCCTTGCATTTCTACATAAATTTTATGGCCAGATTGTCAGTTTCTACAAAAAATACCAACCTGGCATTTAACATTCAGATAGGGAATGCATCAACTCTTTAGATGAATTTGGCATTATTGCCATCTTTACAATATTATGTTTTCTAATCCATGAGAACATTATGTTCTGATCCAGGAAATCATGGTATGTCTTTCCACTTATTTATATTTTCACTAATTTATTCCTTTGTAGCTTTCATTGTATAAGTATTGTAAGTATTGTACTTCTTTTATTAAATTCATTACTAAGCCTTTTGTTCCTGATGCTATTTCAGATGAAAATTTTTTCCTTAATTTTATTTTTGGAACACTCATTGTTATTATATAAAAATACTCATATTTTTGTACTGATCTTTTATCCTGAAATCTTGTTGAATTTGTTTATTAGTTCTAATAACTTTCAATAGATTACTTAGGATTTATCTATATAAGTACATGTCATATACAAAAAGAACTAATTTTATTATTTTTTCAATCTGGATGTTTTCTGTTGTTGTTGTTTTGTTTTGTTTTGTTTTATTTTGTTTTTTTGAGATGGAGTCTCACTCTGTCACCCAAGCTGGGTGCAGTGGTGTAATCTCGGCTCATTGCAACCTCTGCCTCTCTGGTTCAAGTGATTCTCCCACCTCAGCCTCCTGAGTAGCTGGGATTACAGGTGCGTAACACTATGCCTGGCTAATTTTTGTATTTTTAGTAGACATGGGCTTTCACCATATTAGCCAGGTTGGTCTTCAACTCCTGGCCTCAAGTGATCTGCCCACCTCCGCCTCCTAAAGTGCTGGGATTACAGGCATGAGCCACTGTGCCCAACCTGTTATTTCTTTTTCTTACTTAACTGCCTTGGCTAGGACCAACTGTACAATTTTAAATAGAATTCAAAGAGTGGATATTCTTAACTTGTTCTTGATTTTAAGTAAAAAACATTCAGTCGTTCACCATTATGTGGCTCTGTTTTATTTTTTCCTGTATGTCTCTTATCAGATCAAGAAAATTACCTTCTATTACTAGCTTGTGAACATTTTTTTCTTTTTTTTGAGACAGAGTCTTGCTCTGTCACCCAGACTGGAGAGCAGTGGCATGATCTCAGCTCACTGCAAGCTCTGCCTCCTGGGTTCAGGCCATTCTCCAGCCTCAGCCTCCTGAGTAGCTGGGACTACAGGTGCCCGCCACCATGCCCACCTAATTTTGTTTTTGTATTTTTAGTAGAGACGGGGTTTCACCGTGTTAGCCAGGGTGGTCTTGATCTCCTGACCTCATGATCCACCTGCCTCGGCCTCCCAAAGTGCTGGAATTACAGGCGTGAGCCATTGTGCCTGGCCACTTGGGAACATTTTTATCATGAAAATGTGTTGGATTTTGTCAAGTATTTTTTCTGAATCATTTGAGATAATCATGTTTTTTTGTACTTATATTATTAATATGGTGGGCTTTTTTGTATTTGATTTTTAGATGTTAAACCAACTTTGCCTTCCTGTGATAAATCCCACTTGGTCCTGGTATATAATTATTTTTATATTTTGCTGGACTCAGTTTACTGCTTGCTTTTATTTTTAGTAATTTATTCAATTTATTAATAAATGACAGGTATTTTTCTACTCCCTAAAGATAAAATTGTGCTCAAAAATATGTATAATCCTTTCCTTCGTAACAGTTTAGTTGGGAGACACATTTTATTCAAATAGTTACACAAATTATTACTATTTACTAAGTAAACCATATAAAGGGAAGGAATGTGGCTCTATGTGAGGCTATAAATAACAGAAGAGACCCAGGTGTGGTCTGTTATTGTATGAGTTCATTCTCATGCTGCTACTAAAGGCATATCTGAGACTAGGTAATTTATAAAGGAAAGAGGGTTAATTGACTCACAGGTCAGCATGGCTGTGGAGACCTCAGGAAACTTACAATCATGGCAGAAGGGGAAGCAAACACATCCTTTTTCATATGGCGGCAGCAAGAGGAAGTGCAGAGAAAAGGTGGGGGAAAGCCCCTCATAAAACTATCAGATCTTGTGAGAACTCACTCACTATCATGAGAACAGCATGGAGGTAACCTCCTCCATGATTTAATTACCTCCCACAGGTTCCCTCCCATGACACATAGGGATTATGGTAACTACAATTCAAGATGAGATTTGGGTAGGAACACAGCCAAACCATATTATTCCATGCCTACCCCCTTCCAAATATCATGTCCTCACATTTCAAAGCGCAATAATGCTTTCCTAACACTCCCCCAAAGTCTTAACACATTTCAGCATTAACTTAAAAGTCCAAGTCCAAAGCCTTATCTGAGACAAGGCAAGTACCTTACACCTAAAAGCCTGTAAGACCAAAAGCAACTTAATTACTTCCTAGACACAATGAAGGGTACAGACATTGGGTAAATACACTCATTCCAAATGGGAGAAATTAGCCAAAACATAGGGGCTACAGGCCCCGTGCAAGTCCAAAATCCAACAGGGCAGTCATTAAACCTTAAATCTGCAAAGTGATCTCCTTTGACTCCATGTCTCAAATCCAGGTCATGCTGATGCAAGAGGTGGGCTCCTACAGCCTTGGGAAGCTCTGCCCCATGATTTTGCCATCCCCCTCCTGGCTGCTTTCACAGGCTGGTGCTGAGTGTCTGAGGCTTTCCCATATGTACAGTGCAGGCTGTCAGTGGATCTACCATTTTGGGGTCTGCAGGACAGAGGCCTTCCTCTCACAGCCCCACTAGGCAGTGTCCCAGTGAGGACTCTGTGTGCAGGCTCCAACCCCACATTTTCCTTCTACACTGCCCTACCAGAGGTTCTCCATGAGGTTTCTGCCCCTGCAGCAAAGTTCTGCCTGGACAACCAGGCATTTCCATACATCCTCTGAAATCTAGGCAGAAGTTTGAAAACCTCAACTTTTGATTTGGTGCACCTGCAGGCTCAACACCATGTGGAAGCTGCCAAGGCTTGTGGCTTGCACCCTTTGAAGCTATGGCCTAGCTGTACCTTGGCTCATTTTAGCCATGGCTTGTGCTGATGAGACACAAGACACGAAGTCTTTAGGTTAGAAACCATTTTTTCCTCCTAGGCCTCTGGGCTTGTGATGGGATCAACTCCCAAGAAGGTCCCTGATATGTTCTGGAGATATTTTCCTCATTGTCTTGGTGATTACCATTCAGCTCCTCATTGCTTATGCAAATTTCTGAAGCTGGCTTGAATTTCTTCCCAGAAAATGTGTTTTTCTTTTCTGTTTCATTGTCAGGCTGCAAATTTTCCAAACTTTTATGCTTTGCTTCCTCTTGAACCCTTTGCCACTTAGACATTTCTTCTGCCAGATACCCCACATCATCCATCTCAAGTTCAAAGTTCCACAGATCTCTAGGGCAAGGTCAAAATGACACCATTCTCTTTGCACAGTAAGAGTGATGTTTACTCCAGTTCCCAACAGGTTCCTCATCTCCAACTGAGAGCACTTCAGCATGGACTTCATTGTCCATATCCCTATCAGCATTTTGCTCAAAGCCATTCAGTAAGTCTCTAGGAAGTTCCAAACTTTCCCACATCTTCTGGTCTTCTGAGATCTCTAAGTTTCTAGGAAGTTCCAAACTTTCCCACATTTTCCTGTCTTCTTTGGAGCACTCCAAACTGGTCCAACCTCTGCCTGTTACCTAGTTCCAAAGTTGCTTCCACATTTTCAGCTATCTTTATAGCAGCACCCAACTCTCTGTGGTACCAATTTACTGTATTAGTTTGTTCTCATGCTGCTAATAAAGACACCTGAGACTGGGTAATTTATAAAGAAAGAGATTTAATTGACTCACAGTTTAGCATAGCTGGGGAGGCCTCAGGAAACTTACAATCATGGTGGAAGGGGAGGCAAACATGTCCTTCTTCACATGCTGGCAGCAAGAGGAAGTGCACAGTGAAGAGGGGGGAAAAGCCCCTTAAAAACCATCACATCTTGTGAGAATTCGCTCACCATCACAAGAACAGCATGAAGGTAACAACCCCCATGATTCAATTACCTTTCACTGGGTTCCTTCCACAACATGTGGGGATTATGTGAACTACAAGTTCAAGATGAGCTTTGCATGGGAATACAGGCAAACTGTATCAGTTCTGTAACTTGAAAGCTATTTAATCATTATAAAATGGAGAAGAAGGAAAGCATTCTATAAAAAGAAGAGCATATTTGAAAAACTGAGGAATAAATATTCCACCAAAACAGTTATTTTTAGTGAGATTTGGGTAAAGGATAGAGGTTTGGACATGGTTCACATTATGCAGATCCTTCTAGACCATGTTAATAATTTTCTACTTATTCCAAGAGCAATAAGAAGCCATTGAAAGTTTAAATAACTGAAATGATATTACCAGATATTCGAGTTTAAAAGGTAACTCAGACTACCTTGTGAAAACAGATTGAAGTGAGAAAGTAACGACTGTCAGGAAGATACTTCAGCAGGTCATAGTAATAGTTCAAGAGAGAGATTCTGGCATAAGTTGATAGCAGTGGCATTCCAGACAAAATGAACTGTAAAACATAAATAAAACTATAGCTCTGGCTTTGTTTGCATTGCTACTAACTATGAGGTGGTATAAACCAAATTCTTCAAATGTTGTTCTTTATGCCATTGCAAAATTCATAATTTTTAGAAAGTACTTATTCCCAAATTATTCTGAGTTTAGACCTTTATGGCATATGGACATAATCATAAGTGATTAAAAAAAGGAACATTTTTAAGTTTGTGAAAATAATTGTATAGCACTAAAGCAATGAAACTATGCTTACACATGCATGTTTAAATGTGTGATAAGGTGAATGAAGAATGAAAAACCTTTTAAACTCCATTTGAAGGAAAAATACTCTCAAATTAATCTAATGTTTTCTAAAGCACAGATGTGCTATCAAGATCATTCTTATACTTCTGCTTTTATAATATCATATTTTTGTTTTTTAACATTCATAAATTAGTTAAGGTTTTCGTTGTTTCAGAAGTTAAGTCCTTTTTTTTAACATGTAATACTGGTGTAAAATTTAATAAGTCAAGAATTTATGTTGTCAGAAATTGTGGCTTCTAATATTTTCATTTTACACATTTACAATTATGAAAACTCTAATTTGCACAAAGGAGCAAGGGAAAAATAATTTAAAAACACATTTGGTTGCACATATGTTTGGAATAAAATTGTTGTTTTAAATGGCTTCATTAGAACAATTGGTCATGCTTATTGGAAACTGGTATAATGGCATTACTTTAACCACTAGTTTTGGCAGAAATCAAAAGAGAAAGAGGGTTAGAGACAGTCTTGAAGCTTTGTTATTCTGTGCCTTTCAGAATAGTTCTGTCTGGCTCGTTATATCCAAGGTGCTTGTCACTATAAAACCAGGATATTCAGAAAGATGTTAAACTAGAGTATAAAGAAAGATGAGTTTCTCAGTTCAGTAAAATAATGTCTATTCTACATTTGGTAGATGCATACACTTTTTAATCTCTGAATGTGAAACTGGTCTAAAGAGAATGATTTCTAATAATAAATTTCTTATTAAAATGTAATGAGTTAAATGCCAGTAGAAGGTCAAAGAGTAGGTACTTTGTTCAACATGAGAAGAAACACAAATCTTAATACTCAACTAGGGTCCCATTTCCTCTTTTGAGATATCCATGATTCAGACTTTTC
Source organism: Homo sapiens (assembly GCF_000001405.40). Classification (NCBI taxonomy): domain Eukaryota; kingdom Metazoa; phylum Chordata; class Mammalia; order Primates; family Hominidae; genus Homo; species Homo sapiens. The sequence continues at coordinate 120,396,865 of NC_000005.10, read as the reverse complement.
ACCTGACTATTCACATGCTACTTGTCTGTGTCTCCTCCTATTATTCTATAGACAGTGTTTATTCTGAGCAAATTAGGCTATTTAATAATCATCACATATAATCCATATTTTCCTTATTTGGTTTCTTCAGAAGATATTCCTGTCACATCTTAACTCCATTTGTCCAAATCCTTTCCAAACATCAAGAAATAGCTTTTCAAATGCCCTAACCTTCCCCTGACCCAGTCCTAAATGGAGATTCATTTGCCTCTCTCCATATTGCCATAGTAATCATCTTTTTCCTTGCTTATATCCTTGTAATACAGTTGTTTATATACTTGTCTAGTTTATGCACTCTATGAGATTATAAACTCCCTTGAGGCCAGTTTCTTCTTATCTTCATATTTCACCTCTTTCTTTGCCTCAAATAATTCCTGGTGCATAGTATAGCACTGTCAAAATGAATTGCCTTCACAGAGTTATGGGTAGGCTTAGGCTTATGATGCATATAATGAGTGAGTGAGTGACTCACAGATTGAACAGAGAGGAGAGGAGCCTACCTCTCTCAGCTTTTAATAGTGCCCTAGGGATGCATTTGGAGAAAGACTTCTTACAGCAAAGTTTCTTACACAGGAAAAGAAAAGAAAAGTAAAGAAAAAAGCCAGGGGAGTTAAAAAATTTGACCCAGAAAAATAACAATGGCACTGAAAATTAAAGAAAAATGGAGATAAGACCAAGAATGAAGGAATCACTGTACTTCCTCAACTAAAGCTGAAACCTTCAACCAAACACTGCTTTTATACTTTCTGATTGAAAGCCTTGAGCCCAGTTTATTTCTGGGAACTTATTTAACAAAAAATTAAATTGTGGATTAAAATATATTAACTATATATCATGGATATTTATTATTTCTTTATGGAGAATCAGTATCTTAACTTCCTATGCTTATAGACCTACCTCCCACAACCTTGTGAGTTTTGATGAGTTTGACTGGAAAGAGTGTGCTTTTCATCATAGAAGCTAAAGTTACTTATACACCCTTGCAGCTAGGATTCAGGCAAATCCACTAGGTTTTGCAAATCAGATGAAACCAACCAATACACAGGGATTTTTGAACATGATGGACTGAAGAAACTCTCTGGTAAAGGGGAAAATTAAAACAAGATTAAATGCCAAGAGCAGACAGAACAGGAATGCTAATGTGAATGTCATATGCTCAGGGTTAACTGCGCTGAGGTGCAAGTTGGAGCTTTTACTGCTTTGTGGGAGTTGGCCATTATGCATCACAAAATGCCTTCATAAAGGAGTTTGGAGAAATTTTCTAGGCTATATAACTTGGAGTCTGTTTCTCCTGGCATTATGATGATTCCACGCACAAGCTAATATGTGTGTGATATGGTTTGGCTGTGTCCCCACCCAAATCTCATATTGAATTGTAGCTCCCCAAATTCCCATGTGTCATGGAAGGGACCCAGTGGAAGATAATTGAATCATGGAGGCAGGGCTTTCTCATGCTGTTCTTGTGGTAGTGAATAAGTCTCATAATATCTGATGGTTTTGTAAAGGGGAGTTCTCCTGCACAAGCTACCTTGCCTGCCACCCTGTAAGACATGACTTTTCTTCTCCTTTGCCTTCCACCATTATTGTGAGGCCTCCCCAGCCACAAGGAACTGAGTCCATTAAACATCTTTCCTTTATAAATTACCCAGTCTTTGGTATGTCTTTAGTAACAGCAATGAGAACAGACTAACCCAGTATGTGTGTTTGTGTGTGTAGTGGTAAAAACACTTAACCTGAGTTATACTCTCTTAACAAAATTTTAAGTGTACAATATATAGTTAACTATAGGTACAGTGAATACAGCAGATCTTTAAAAGTTACTCATCTTGCATAACTATACTTTATACTCATTGAACTGCAACTACCCTCTACCTCCTTCCAGTTCCTGGAAACCACCATTCTATTCTCTTGTTTCTATAAGTTAGATTATTTTAGGTACATCATATAGTTGGAATTATGCAGTATTTCTGTGACTAGTTTATTTCTGTGACTAGTTTTCTTCACTTAGTGTAATGTTCTCCAGATTTATCCTTCTTGTAGCATATGGCAGGATTTCCTTATTTTTTAAGGCTGACTAATATTCCGTCCTGTGTATATGGCACATTTTCCTTATCTATTTATATATAAATTGATGATAACATACATAAATATTTCAATACCTTGGCTATTGTGAGTAATGCCACAATGAACATGGGATTACAGATGTATCTTTAAGATCCTGATTTCAATTCTTTGTGATATATACCCAGAAGTGAGATTGCTGGATCATATGGTAGTTCCTTCTTTAATATGTTAGGAAACACCATGTCTCCTATTGCTTTTTACAGCAGCTGCACCACTTAACATTCCTACCAGTAGGGTACAAGGTTCCAATTTCTTCACACTTTTGCCAATACTTATCTTGCTTTTTAATAACAGCCATTCTAATAGGTATGAAGTAATATCTCATTGTTTTGATTTGCTTTTGTTCTGATTATTAATGATGTTGAGCATCTTTTCATATACCTATAGGCTATTTATATGTCTTCTCAGGAGGATACATGTCTATGCAAGTCCTTTGCCCATTTTAAAATAAGGTTATTCATTTCTTCGCTATTGAGTTGTAGGAGTTCCTTATACACTTTTGATATAAACCCCTTATTAGATATATGGTTTGCAAATATTTCTCCCATTCCATAGGTTATCTTTTCACTCTTGATTGCATCCTGTACTATATAGAAGCTTATTATTTGATGTCATCTCATTTGTCTATTTTTGCTTCTGTTTCTTATGCTTTTGGTGTCATATCCAAGAAATCGTTGCCAAATCCAATGTCATGAAGCTTTTCTCCCATTTTCTTCTAGGAGTTTAACGGTTTCAATTCTTACATTTACATTTTTAAACCATTTTGATGGATTTATTTTTGTGTATAAATAGGGGTCAGATTTTATTTTATTACATGTGGCTATCCAGTTATCCCAACACAATTTGTTAGAGAATATATTTTGTCAAAGGTGCCTAACATAGTTTTAACATCTTATTTTTTAAATGTAGCAGGTGAGTTCTTTATCCACATACCCCTTGCCTTTTAATACCTGCCAACAGACTTCCAAATATCATCAACTTCTCTTTGCCTGAGGGCTTGCTCTGGCTGCAGGAGCCCACTCCACCTGTGCATAAAGCAGGCTGGAAATGCTGGGGAATCAATGTTCCACAGGAGTGGCTTTTAATCATTAGCTGCCAAGATTTGGTTCATACGATGCAATTCTCTCCCCTCAGGGGTAATACGCTTGTGGGACTAAGCTATAGTTGCCCGCTATAGTAATCTGTTTGATGATGCACTTTTATTGGCTTCCTTCCCTTTTCTTTATCGCTTCACCACTCCTCTACTTATGTTTATGGGACCACATCCCAGATGAATTATTTGCATATAAATCCTGCCTCAAAGTGTGATTCTGGGATCCAAACTAAGATACTAAATCTAAACTTAATTTCTGTTACTTACAGCTCCTAAACCTATCCTGCTGTATTCGAGAATCCCACATCATGTAAAAATGTCTATTCACATGATGAAAAATAATCTAAGCCCTCATGGTATTTTTTTCTTTGCTCATTTAGAATTTCGTAAAATAGCATGAGCATTGGTGTTATAGACATCTCAGGTCAAATACCAGGTTTTGCTCTTAATAACCAAGTGACACAGGACTATTTACATAATTTTGCTGAATTTCAGTTTCTTTTTGGAGAAATGAGGGTACTTATAACTCTCTTATTATGAAAATATATAAAATAAGCATTTCCAGACCTACGTTGCACCAGTCACACAAATGCTCACCATATACACATTCCTATTCTCCTTTTACTTTGTTACATTTTTTGACCTCTTCTTAATCGAACTTCTTTCATTTTTACATAAACAATAATTAAACAAAAGTTAAAATACCCAAAGAAATATAGTTTTGGTGAAGTAACTAACTACACAAGGCACTTAGATACTTGATAGAACATTTCACTCAAGGTGACAACTTTATTCTACAACTGAAGATATTTTTACTAAGTGTAAGCCCCTACTCAATATTTAAGCTACAAAAGTTACCTTGCACAAAGCTCATCCTTCTAGTAGAGATATGAGCTGCTTTCTGTACCTACTGCTTTTGGCAGCCCACACTTTGATTGTGGTCAAATATTCAGCAATTTTATCATACATCCTTGATGCCCCAAATATTTCCCCTGACATTGCCTTCCCCATAGCTTCAGGCTCTAAACTTTTCCCTCGACTTATTTTCCTCATCTCTGTCCATTCCAACATCCTCTTGAGTCTGACTAACCTGATAAAGAAATTTAATCCAAAATGTTCTTCCAAATTTTTATTTGGGCTTTGTTAACTCCAAGGAATAGCTAATATGATAACTATAAGCACACAAACAGAAGCTTTAAGGCATATATATTTGGACAAGAAAATATTTTTCAAATTCTACCTCACAGGTGAATGCTTGTTCCTGAAAAGTATAACAGTGGCTCTGAGACTCTTAAGTTAAAATAAATCTCCTATTTCCTCAGCATTTTAGCCATTATCAATTGTCATTCCAACAATATTTGATATACCCTGACTTTGAAAATGAGTGCCTTTTTAAAACTATTTATTTAACAAATACTTGTTAAATATTACTATGTTCATAACATTGTTCTAGGCATTAAAAGTTAGCCAATAAAGAATTCCATACCATAAAAGCTTAGGTATTTGTCTTGTTAGTTCAGGCTGCTACACCAAATTACTATAGACTGGGCAGCTTATAAACAACTGAGATATATTTCTCACAATCAGTATACTGGAGGTCTGAGATCAGGGTGCTAGCATGGTTGGGTTCCAGTGAGGGTCCTCTTTCAGGTTACAGAATACCGACTTCTTGTTGTATCCTTATATGACAGAGAGCAAAGTGAAGCAAGCTCTCTTGGGATGCTTAAAAGGGCACTAATCCCATTCATGAGGGCTCTACTCCCATGACCAAATCACCTTCTGAAGGCCCTACCTTCTAATACATCACATTGAGAGTAGGGTTTCAGCACATAAAATGTAAGGGACGCAAACATTCAGCCTATAATTGTATTGTAGTTGCAAAATCAAAAAAAATATGCTTGAAGTTGTTATATATAAGTTTGAGACTGTATTTGACTTAATGTCTAAATGAATTTGTTTGCCTAATACATTCTATTTGAGTTCTAGACGGGTAAGATAAATGGGCATTAGAATAATTAAGAAAGACTACACTGTGTGTGTAAAGACTGAGTCAAGCCCAAAAGAAGGGGGATCATTTGAATATAAGTACAGAAAGAATAGCATCTTAGGTGGGGAGACTGACTAGCAGAGGCTTAGAAAAGAGATGGAGAATAGCTATATGGAAAAGAAAAGCAGCCCAACGGGCTAAAGAAGTGTTCTAATGCTGAGGAGTGAATAACTTGACTGTGGCTAGATTTCCTATGCTTAGTTAAAAAGATGTATGTGCCTACAGGTTTTGAGATTTTGTGTCAGAGTATAGGGAAGTCATGAGATATATACCATATATCTTTCTGGAGTAACAATTTTACTCACATTTAATAAAAACATTAATTGACATCAACACAAAGAGCACTATTGAGTGTAGGTTGTAAGATTCAAATGAAGCTCAGCTGAAAGACCTAAGCTGACAACATAGATGTAAGCTTTGTTAACATCCTATTGGTAACTGAAGGCCTGACAATGAGTGTGATTATCAAAGACAGTGTTCAGAGTAAGAAAAACAGAGTTTTGGAGCAGACAGAGAAGGAGCTGCACATGAAGGAGCTTGAGAGAAAGTAGTGGGAAAAGTAGCAGGTACCCTAAGACAGAGGTGTGATGGAAGCCAGGATTTCAAAGAAGAAATTGTCATGCTTGTCAAATACTGTAGAGAGTTCAAATGAGATACACATTCAAAGTGTATTCTTTAAATTTAATACTTAATAAGTGATTGGCAACACTTGACAGAAGATTTTTCAGGAAAGTTGTGTGTTGGGAAGCTCAAATAAGGTTAGAATTTTAGAGTGATGAGGAGGGTTTCTTCCCTATCCCCAGAAAGTGGCTCATCTGTAGGTCACAGCTTCCCTTTGATGAAATCCTCTGGCTCCCTACAAGTGAGATTGGAGTTCCTTCTCAACTAGTTTGGAAACCTGTATACCTCCTACGTGCTGTTCAAAGCAATGAAGTGACCTCAAACTACTGGGGTTGGCAGGGGAAAATTTGAAGGAATTATCCTGACGTGAAGAAACGAGCATGTGGAACAAGAGTACTACCCATGCAAGGGTGAAGATCTTACTTGAGGGGTGGATACCCCATGTACCATGATGTGCTTATTTCACATTGTATGCCTGCTTCAAAACATCTCATGTACACCATAAATATATATACCTACTATGTACCCACAAACATTAAAAATAAACAAACAAACACAAAACCAAATTCGCCATTGGGTGATGAGTCTGTCTTTAAGAAAAAATGGAAAAATATTTTCCCAAGAATGGTAGAATGGTTGTTAGAGTCTTGGGTAAAGAAAAATTACTTTGTTAGGAGGGAGGAAGGAAGCTCTTATCAAAAATAAAATAAAATAAACAGGCAAAATACAGTAAAACTATGATACTCATAAGCGTTAGTAACTGTGATTTGAGACTTGCAGATCTTCACCTTTTTCAGTCCTTTACTACCTGCTGTGATCTGAATGTTTGCATCACCCCAAAATTCATATGTTGAAATCCTAACCCCCAAGGTGATGGTATTTAACAAGTTGGGCCTTTGGGAAGTTATTAGTTCTGCAGCACAGCCCTCATCAATGAAGTTGTGCCTTTATAAAAGAGGCCCAAGAGAGATCCCTCCCTCCTTCCATCACATGAAGAGACAGTGAGGAGGTGCTGGTCTATGAACCTGAAAGTGAGTCTTTACAAGATCTGCACTACATTGATCTTGGACATCCCGGCTTCTGGATCTGTGAGAAATAAATTTCTGTTGTTTATAAGCCACCCAGTCTAAGGGGTTTTATGATAGCATCTGAACAGACAATGACACTTCCTAAGGTGATTTTCAAAACTAGGTATTTTCTTATACATTTTAAAAGTTAGAATGTAAAATTTGTATCATATATTTCAATAGCTAAAAAGGATATTATTTCCATTTTAAATACAACTGTTATTTTTTAAAAGACAGCCAAAAGGATTATAAATATAATAGTAATTATGTGATTAACCTATCATTCAGTATATGAACAAATTATTTTTAATATTAAAAAGGCTCATTATTTTTTCTCAATGAAATTATATTTTCATCCAATTTGCCATAGAAATGTTTATCCTAGTATATATTTATGCTTGAATGTTTCTATTAAACACCCTATCATACTTCTTTAAAATATGAATACATAATTAAATATAAAATTACATTATGTTTCTAAAAATAGGCTTCAAGTATCTAAAATGTCTTCTGAAATTAGTTATTGCAATTTTTTTTTTTTTTGAGATGGAGCCTCGCTCCTGTTGCCCAGGCTGGAGTGCAGTGGCACAATCTCAGCTCACTGCAACCTCCACCTCCCGTGTTCAAGAAATTCTCCTGCCTCAGCCTCCTGAATAGTGGGATTACAGGAATGCGCCACTGCACCCGGCTAATTTTGTATATTTAGTAGAGATGGGATTTCACCGTGTTGGTCAGGCTGATCTCGAACTCAGGTGATCTGCCCACCTTGACCTCCCAAAGTGCTGGGATTACAGGCATGAGCCACTATGCCCGGCTATTGCAAAATTTTTAACCAATTTCTCAGAGCAACAGTAGAAATCATTATAAATGAAAATTCAAAAACATAAAAAGTAATAATTTTATTGGAAAGAGATCTATCCATGAGATAACTGGGAAGGAAAGTTATGGTCCCTTGATTAAAGGAGTTTTCCTTTAGCATCTGGAAGTTTTGCATCTCTGGGCAGTGAAACAAAATTTAGGATGAGGAGAGGTACCAAAAAAATAGTGATTGTCAAAGGACAGCCAGGAAAGGAGAAGAGGCATGCAAAAAAGACTGGGGGACACTGAAAAAAGTGGTGCCAGTGCTGGCCAGAGAAGACTGTTACAGAGCACAGCAGAGGCTTTCACATGGCAGGCATAGGAGCAGATGTAGGAAGAAAGGTGTGCATACATATAAAATGTTGTTGCTGACATTAGAGCTAGTGCATCCAACACTAGTAAAAGAAAAAAAAAATTTTACAAACTGACAGAAATAAAGACATTGAGCAAAGTATGAATCATATCCTGTTCTTGTAGAATTTTGTGGTTAATTTGGTTATGGGAATCAGCCACTAGAAGTTTGTATAAATGTCTTTTGACTGAGCTGTGCAGAACCAAAAAGGACAAACAGTTTCAAATAGAGGAAATTGCTTCATCTTTAGAGTGAAACTCTGGCATTTACTTAAATTTGTGTTCCAGCTGTCAAATTCAACAGAAGGCAAAGGTTAGCTGTTTTTAGGATCTAATAAATACTTGAGAAATACACTCACCATAGAGCCTGCCCACTGGTAAAATATTCCACACACATCTGCTTAATGAATAAGTGAACTAATTAATGAATGAATGGTCAGCATCCCCACCAAAGAGGCAGAAGAATCCTGAAACCCTTTATACTGCATATAGGAACAAAGACCTGAGACTTTGACATCTGTGAAAACCTGCTGCTACTGTGATAATTTTAGGAAACGTATCAATTGAACTTCTGAAAGTGATTTTAAAATGTTTATTTTAATTGTATTTTTCTAGCTCTTCCACTTTGTCATCACAAATACTCTTAGTCTAAGGTACTTATGAATTATTTCCCCAGCAAAAACACCAATTCTAATTTAAAGCCTCAAGGCTTTATTTTGAAAGGAAAAGCTAAGCTAGAGAACTGAGATTTAAATTGATTTGAGTGAATATTCAATTAATGTGAAAACATCTATGAATAATAGAGATAAAAAGAATTGGGAATTAAATAGAACTATATCTCTTCAGATTTATTTATTTTAGGTTATGTAAATTAAGGTTATCTGAGAAACAAATGCCAAGATGGGATTAGACATGAAAAACATTTACTGGGAAAACATCTGCTAAGGATAAAGGCAAGAGAGTTGGAGAAGGTGAAAAGAACCTCCAAACCAAGATGCAGATCTAAGCCTGTAGAAGTAGAAGGGGAAGGAAAGATGATGGGGTAGGGAGGATTTCACACTGCAGATCAGTTCTGAGCCAGTTGGGTCAGGCCAGTTGGGGAAGGAGGCCTTACACTCATACCTGTTGTAAACTGAATGTTTGTATCTCCCCAAAACTTGTATGTTAAAGCCTAATCCCCAAGAGGGGTCTTTGGGAGGTGATTAGGTTATGAGGGCAGGGCACTCAAAAATGGTATTAGTGACTTTATAAGAGTCTGAAGAGATCAGAATTCTTCCCTTCCACCATGTGAGGACACAGGTAGAAGATGCCAAATATGAATCAGAAAGTGAGCCCTCCACAGACACTAATCTTCATATTTTTCCATTCTTTACTCTTTGCTGCAGTCTGAATGTTTGTGCCCCAAACAAAATTCATATGTTGAAATTCTATCCCCCAAAGTGATGTTATTAAGAGGTGGGGCCTTTGGGAGGTGATTCAGTCTTGGGGCAGAGACCTTGTGAATGGGATTCTTAACCTTATAAAAGGGATCCAGAAAGAACCCTCCCTCCTTCCATCACATGAGCATACAGTGAGGAGGTGCCATTCTATGAACCTAAAAGTGGGTCTTTACAAGATCTGCAGCACCTTCATCTTGAACTTCTCAGCTTTCAGAACTGTGAGAAATATATTTTTGTTCTTTGTAAGCTACCCAGTTTATGGAATTCTGCTACAGCAGCCCAAATAAACTGAGCCATACCTCCATCATGATGGCTCATTGAGTGTGGTCACTCACTGAGTAGGCCTCAGCAGTACCTGCCAGATGATCCAGTGAGGCAGCAGCATGGAGCACCTCTCAGTTCTGCCTGCAGTTGGAGATAAGAGCCACAGATTTTCACAGATGTAGCAAAACTGGGATAGACATGTTTTTGATATTTTAATGTTTCTTATTCTAATTTCTAACATTTCAAAACAGAACATAATGGTGATTATGAAAAAAATAACAACTTATAATCATAGCCGGGCGCGGTGGCTCACGCCTGTAATCCCAGCACTTTGGGAGGCCAAGGCGGGTGGATCACCTGAGGTCGGGAGTTCGAGACCAGCCTGACCAACATGGAGAAACACCATCTCTACTAAAAATACAAAATTAGCGAGGCGTGGTGGCACATGCCTATAATCCCAGCTACTAGGGAGGCTGAGGCAGGAGAATCACTTGAACCTGGGAGGCGGGGGTTGCGGTGAGCCGAGATCATGCCATTGCACTCCAGCCTGGGCAACAAGAGTGAAACTCCGTCTCAAAAATAATAATAATAATAATAATATCATAGTTCATTAGATTTACTTATAAGCACATGTAAACACATATGAGTAAATGTCACACAGATACAAAGGCACACAGATCAATCTTAGTAATCTGAAGATCTACACTTTAAAGTCTTGGTTATATATTATGACTAAATATTTGAAATATATAGAAGAAACTACTGAGCCCTTTTAAAAAAAATTAACCAAGAAAGGCCAAGAACAAAGATAATGTCTGATGGGCTCTGGAGGTCAGTTTCTCTGCAGAAACAATGACAAACTTTAACCCTGGACAACCAGTGTTTTGAAAATAGGCACTTCTGTTCAATGAATTACATGTGTGTGTTTTTCCCTAAGCCAATATGAGCTACAGTTTTCCTCTGTCATTACTCACATTTCTTGCTTTCTTTTTTGATACTTGGTTTCTAGGGAATTAAACAAATAAAAATATCAAAATTGTTGAGAAGAATTCCATAAAAAAAGAATTGTTTATAGAATATAAAATGGCATTGTGCATTAATAATAGGTACAATGATCTGATTTAAAAAATCAAAAATTAGTCCATAAACGATATAAATAAGGTTGACATTTCAGTTTGATATAGAAAGAATGGATTTAAAAAAATAATCATTTCTTTATAAAGGAAATGTTTGTGCCTCATCTTTATGCTAAAATGAAATTCTGTTACCCAAGTTTAAGTTTTAAAAAGTTGTATGGAAGTGGTACATGCACATGATAAAATATAAAGTAATTCTGGATTATAATAAAAAGCAACAGTTTTTAGCCATATTTTTCCCACTCCTCACAGAGACTTACTTTTATATTTTCCTATTTTAATTCTCCTGCTGATTAACTTCATAACTACAATTTACTTACATCCCTATTTCTTGATTTATTAGCCTTGATATCATATCTGTAAATAACCACAATGAAACATGCAGATTTGGCTCCAGGTTGAGTCATCCTCATTTCAAAAGTCATCATCCACTTTCCATTTAACAAAAAATTTGTTGAAATCTATCACCTGCTGGCTGGGCATGGTGGCTCACACCTGTAATCCCAGCACTTTGGGAGGACGAGGCAGGCAGATCATCTGAGGTCAGGAGTTTGAGACCAGCCTGGCCAACACGGTAAAACTCCGTCTCTCCTAGAAATACAAAAAATAAAAAATAAAAAAAAGTATCTGGGCATGTTGGCAGGTGCCTGTAATCCCAGCTGCTTGGGAGGCTGAGGCAGGAGAATCATTTGAACCCGGGAAATGGAGGTTGCAGTGAGCTGAAATTGTGCCACTGAACTCCAGCCTTGGCCACAGAGCGAGAGTTCATCTCCAAAAAAGAAAAGAGAGAGAAATGAGAAGCTGAATTAAAAACTCGAGAAAAAAATGAGTAAAAATAAAAATACTACATGTATTTCTATAATGCATGTGTGTATGTACAATGTAACCTGGGGAATGTAACCTGGGAGAGCCATTCTAAGCAGAAAACCAAGATTAGAGAGAGAGAGAGAGAGAGAGAGAGAGAGAGATAGAACTTAAGAAGGACTAAATGTGTTTTTATTAAAGGATCAGAAACATAATTCAAAGAATATAATTAACTGAGAAAAAATTATCTGCTCCATACCTAAAGTATTAATACCTTTCTTGTATAAAGAGGCATAAACACAAAAATAAAGGTGGACAACATTATATGAGGGATATAAAGGTAGACGCTGAAGCCAAACTTCTTGGCTTCAAACCTTGAATCTTCCACCTATTTGTCAAGTGGGGATAAATTTAATACTATTTTCATATTAGGAAAGTTTTGAGAGTGTGATGATTAGGTACACATAAAGTACTTAGAAAGTACCTGTAATGTAAAGTACCCAATAATTGGTAGCTATGAATTTTTATTAATATTGTAACTATTTAGGACACATTAATGAAAAAAATGGGCAAAAAATATGAAGAAGAAATCTCCTAAAGAACTGCAATAGTTGTTAATAAATGTGAAGCAGAGGATATAAATTATAGGCAAGATATATCATTATTCAATTACTTGGTTGAAAACAATGTCAGTAGAATTTATAGGCATGTAGGAAATTGAGTATCCTCAAATATTTTTGTGAATTGTGTATAAACTATTCAGTTTTTCTGAAGACGACCTTGACCCATGATTCTAAAGCTTTAAATATGTGCATTCTTTTCATTCTACAAATTCTAATTCTAGATATTGATCTTAAAAAATAATCAGACAAGTTCTTTGGAACTCTCAATGCATTAGTGTATATCATAAAATAATAAAAACAACTTACACTAAAAGCAATGGGGGATGCATACAAAATTACTGAATATTATACGATGATATTCTGTCAAGATGGAATGTGGAATATGAAATAAGATCAAAAGTAAATGTATGGCACATGAGTCTGTACACATCAGATAAAATCAATAAGCAGGAAGCAAAATGGTATATATAATATTATATTATACATTATATACTATATATAAGATATATAAAGTATAATATAATGTATTATATATTACAATGTTAGATTAAAAATAATATGTCTATCATATCTACAATTTTAAATTTTCACCTGGATATTCCAATATTATATAGATACTGTCACATTGTTATCTATATCAAAGGATGTATAATTTACAAATAAAGAATTTGGAAGGTTGAAAACATAATTGTTTATCATTTTCTCTGATTTCATTTTTTTGACAATATTAATATAAAATTCTAACAGCGAAGACAAATTATTTACATAATTAAAATCTAACCATTTATTGTAATAATTTCCATTTAGCATTTTTTTCTTTAATTTAGAAGTATAGAGAAGGGGTCTTAATAACAGTATTACAGAATTTAACTATTGGCTAACACACTTTTTTTAATGTGAAGGCAGAAATGTTCATTAACTTGCGTTCTAAAACCAGACTTTACACAGCTGGAAAAATAAAACTCAATGTGATAGTTAACTCTGGTACCCAGCATTAAGATAACTTTACTTATCTGGAAACTGAGGTTTTGATCTTGTTGTAATATACATGTACTCATATATTAATTTTATAGAACCCTACGCTAAGTCAATTTTGCTCACAGGAGTAGGTAAATATAACAAGATATAATATTTTAAAACAGAAGATAAATACATGACATTTCACTGTCTTCTAAATACAAATGCTCCTCAGCTTACAGTGGGGTTATGTCCCCATACACATAGTGTAAGTTGAAAATATCGTAAGTCAAAAATAGGCATTTTGTAGACATGATGAATGGGCATTTTGTAGACATGATGAACATTTAAACACAATATTCAAATATCTTGGGCAACCCAGTACATTTTTGAATATCATTGTTGAGCCTTGTGATCCTGTGGCTGACTGGGAGCTGTGGTTTGCTGCTACTGCCCAGAATTTCAAAAGAGTATTCTGCCACATACCACTAGTACTATAAAAGATCAAAATTCAAAATTCAAAGTATGGCTTCTACTGAATGTGTATCATTTTCACACCATTGCAATGTTGAAAAATCATAAGATGAGCCGTAGGTAAGTTGGAAGCTGTCTATAGTTAACTGAATTTTGTATCTGAAAAATAAATTTATTATTTATATGATTTCTAATTCAATCCCTAACCAGCATATAAGCCAATGTATTTGGAAAATAGTGTCTTTAAGATAAAGCACATATTCTAAGAAATCTCAAATGCTAGGGCTTTTAATACAGGCATATGTTGTTGCATTGAGATTTTTGTTTGTTTGTTTTTACAAATTGATGGTTTGTGACAATCCTGCATTGAGCAAGTTCATCAGAAACATTTTCCAACACCAAGTACTCACATTGTGCCTCTGTGTCATATTTTGGGAATTCTCACAATATTTAAACTTCAACTATATATAATTATTATTATTATATCTGTTGATGGTGACTTGTGATCAATGATTATTTTAATGTTGCTATTCTAATGGTTTTGAGGCACCACAAATGACACTTATATAAGACCACAACCTTAACTGATAAATGTTGTGTGTGTTCTGACTGTTCCACTGACTGGTCCTTCTCCATCTTTCTCTCTCTCCTGAAGCATCTCTATTCCCTGAGAAAACAGTATTAAAATTAGGCTGATTAAACTCCCTACCATGACTTGTAAGTATTCATGTAAAGGAAGTTTTTCGTATCTCTCACTTTAAATGAAAAGCTAAAAATTATTAAACTTAGTGAGGAAGGCATTTCAAAAATAAAGTTGGGCCAAAAGCTAGCCCTCTTGTGTCAAACAACAAAGCTGTGAATTCAAAGTAAAAGTTCTTGAAGGAAATTAAAAGTACTATTCCAGTGAAGACCTGAATGACAATAAAGCAAAACAGCCTTATTGCCGATATGAAGAAAGTCTGAGTGGTCTGAATAAAAGATCAGACCAGCCACAACATTCCCTTTAGACAAAGCTTAATCCAGGGTAAAGCCCTAAATCCCTTCAATTCTATGAGGAAGCTGCAGAAGAAAAGTTGGAAGCTAACAGATGCTGGTTCATGAGGTTTAAAGAAAGGAGCCATCTCTATAACATAAAAGTGCAAGGTGAAGCAGCAAGTGCTGATGTAGAAGCTGCTGCAAGTTATCCAGAAGATTTAACTGAGATAATTGATGAAGGTAGCTGCACTAAATAACAGATTGTCAATGTAGACAAAGCCTTGTAATGAGAGATGTCATCAAGGACTTTCATAGTGAAAGAAAAGTCAATGCCTAACTTCAATGCTTCAAAAAACAGGCTAACCCTCTTGTTAGGGGCTAATGCAGCTGATTACTTTAATTGAAGCCAATGCTTATTTACTATTCTGGACATCCTAGGGGACTTAAGGATTTTGCTAAATTTACTCTGCCTGTGCCCCCAGAAAGAGAATAACAAAGCCAGGATGACAGCACATCTATTTACAGCATGGTTCACTGAATATTTTAAGCCCATGTTGAGATCTACTGTTCAGAATAAAAGATTTATTTCAAAATATTACTGTTCATTGACAATGCACCTGGTCACTCAAGAACATTGATGAAGATATACAAGATTAATGTTGTTTTCATGGCTGTTAACACAATATCTACTCTGCAGCCCAAAAATCAAGTTGTAATTTTGACTTTCAAGTCTTATTTTCCAGGAAATACATTTCATAAGGCTCTAGCTGCTGTAGACAGTGGTTACTCTGATGGATCCTGGCAAAGTAAGTTGAAAACCTTCTGGAAATAATTCACCATTCTAGATGCCATTAAGAATATTTGTAATTCATGGGAGGATGGTAACATGTCAGCATTAAAAGGCATTTGGAAGAAGTTGATTCCAACCCTCATGGATGATTTTGAGGAGTTCAAGACTTCACTGAAGGAAGTAATGGCAGATGTGATGGAAACAGCAAGAAAAGTAGAATTGTAAGTGGAGCTTGAATATGTGACTTAATTGCTACAATCTCACAGTCAAACTTGAATGGCTCAAGAATTGCTTCTTTTCAATGAGAAAAAAAATGGTTTTTTGAGATTAAACCTGCTCTTGGTGAAGGTACTGTGAATATTGCTGATATGACAACAAATAATTTAGAATATTTTGGAAACTTATTTGATAAAGAAGCAGGAGTGGTTAAGAGGATTGACTCCAATTTCGAAAGAATTTCTACTGTGAGTAAAATGCTATCAAACAGCATCATATACTATAGACAAATCTTTCAGGAAAGGAAGAGTCTATTAATGTACCAAATTAATTGTTGTTATATTTTAAGAAATTGCCACAGCCACCCCAACATTCAGCAACCATCACCATTGTTAGTCAGCAGCCATCAATACGAAGGCAAGACTCTCCACCAGCAAAGAGATTATGGATCCCTGAAGGCGCAGATGATTGTTATGATGTTTTAGCATTAAAGTATTTTTTTTTTTTTGAGATGGAGTCTCGCTCTGTCGCCCAGGCTGGAGTGCAGTGGCACAATCTCGGCTCACTGCAAGCTCTGCCTCCCGGGTTCACGCCATTCTCCTGCCTCAGCCTCCTGAGTAACTGGGACTACAGGCGCCTGCCACCACGCCTGGCTAATTTTTTGTATTTTTAGTACAAAAAATTAAAGACCAGGTTTCACCGTGTTAGCCAGAATGGTCTCAATCTCCTGACCTCGTGATCTGTCCACCTCGGCCTCCCAAAGTGCTGGGATTACGGGCTTGAGCCACCACGCCTAGCCACATTAAAGTATTTTTAAATTAAGGTATATATGTTTTTTAAGATGTAGTGCTATGACTTTTAATAGACTGCAGTGTAATGTAAACATAAATTTATATGCAATGAGAAGCCAAAAAGTTTGTGCATCTTGCTTTATTACAACGTTTGCTTTATTACTGTGTTCTGGAAACAAACGTGCAGTATCTTTGAGGTATGCCTGTTGTATTAGTCCATTTTCACACTGCTGATAAAGATATACCTGAGACTGGGTAATTTAGAAAGGAGAGAGGTTTAATTGACTCACAGTTCAATATGACTGGGGTGGCCTCACAATCATGGCAGGAGGCAAGGGGGAGCAAAGTCACATCTTACATGGATGGCAGCAGGCAAAGAGAGAGCTTGTACAGGGAAACTCCCCCTTATAGAACCATCAGATCTCATGACACTTATTCACAATCATGAGAACAGCACTGGAAAGCCCTGCCTCCATGATTCAATTACTTCCCACCAGATTCCTCCCACAACACGTGGGAATTGTGGGAGCTGCGATTCAAGATGACATTTGAGTGTGGAAAGAGCTAAAGCATATCATTTTGCCCCTGTCCCCTCCCAAATCTCATGTCTTCACATTTCAAAACCAACCATGCCTTCCCAACAGTCCCTCAAAGTCTTAAGTCATTTCAGCATTAACTCAAAAGTCATGACTCAATTAGTCATTTCAGCATTAACTCAAAAGTTCACAGTCCAACATCTCATCTGAGACAAGGCAAGTCCCTTCCACCTATGAGCCTGTAAAATCAAAAGCAAATTAGTTACTTCCAAGATACAATGGAGGTGCAGGCATTGGGTAAATACACCCATGCCAAATGGGGGAAATTGGCCAAAACAAAGAGGGTACAGGCCCCCTACAAGTCTGAAATCCAGCAGGGCAACCAAATCTTACAGGGTAAGTCAAATCTTACCGAAGATTTGACAGGGTAAGTCAAATCTTACCGAAGATTTGACAGGGTAAGTCAAATCTTACCGAAGATTTGACAGGGTAAGTCAAATCTTACCGAAGATTTGACAGGGTAAGTCAAATCTTACCGAAGATTTGACAGGGTAAGTCAAATCTTACCGAAGATTTGACAGGGTAAGTCAAATCTTACCGAAGATTTGACAGGGTAAGTCAAATCTTAACAAAATGGTCTCCTTTGACTCCATGTCTCACATCCAGGTCACGCTGATACAAGAGGTGGGTTCCCATGATGTTGGGCAGCTTCACCCCTGTGGCTTTGCAGGGTACAGCCTCCCTCTTGGCTACTTTCATGGGCTGGTATTGAGTGTCTGTGGCTTTTCCAGGTGCACGATGCAAGATGTCAGTGGATATACCATTCTGGGGCCTGGAGGATGATGGCCTTCTTCTCATAGCTCCACTAGGCAGTGCCCCAGTAGGGACTCTGTGTGGGGGCTCCAACCCCACTATTCACTTCTGCACTGCCCTAGCAGAGGTTCTCCATGAGGGCCCTGCCCCTGCAGCAAACTTCTGGCTGGGCATCCAGGTATTTCCATACGTCATCTGAAGTCTAGGCAGAGGTTCCCAAACCCCAATTCTTGACTTCGGTGCACTCACAGGCTCAACACCACATGGAAGCTGCCAAGGCTTGGGGCTTGCATCCTCTGAAGCCACGACCTAAGTTCTACATTGACTTCTTTCAGCCATGGCTTGAGCAGCTGGGATGCAGGGCACCAAGTCCCTAGGCTTCACACAGCCAGAGGACCCTGGGCCCAGGCCCAGGAAACCATTTTTTCCTCCTAGGCATCAGAACCTTTGATGGGAGGGGCTGCTGTGAAGACCTCTGATATGCCCTGGAGACATTTTCCCCATTGTCTTGGTGATTAACATTCAGTTCATGTTTACTTATGCAAATTTCTGCAGCTGGCTTGAATTTCTCCTCAGAAAAATGATATTTTCTTTCCTATCACATTGTCAGGCTGCATATTTTTCAAACTTTTATGCTCCCTTATAAAACTGAATGCCTTTAACAGCACCCAAGTAACCTCTTGTTTGCTTTGCTGCTTAGAAATTTCTGCTAGATACCCCAAATCATCTCTCTCAAGTTTAAAGTTCCACAAATCTCTATGGCAGGGACAAAATGCTGCCAGTCTCTTTGCTACAACTAACAAGAGTCACCTTTGCTCCAGTTCCCAACGAGTTCCTCATTTCCATCTGAGTTCACCTCAGCCCGGACTTTATTGTCCATATTGCTATAAGCATTTTGAGTAAATTCATTCAACAAGTCTCTAGGAAGTTCTAACCTTTCCCACATTTTCCTGTCTTCTTCTTAGCCCTCCAAAATGTTCTATCCCCTGCCTCTTACCCAGTTCCAAAGTCACTTCCACATTTTCAAGTATTTTTACAGAAGTGCCCCACTCTACCAATACCAAGTTACTGTATCAGTCCGTTTTCACACTGCTGAAAAAGACATATCTGAGACTGGATAATTTAGAAAGGAAAGAGATTTAATTGACTCACAGTTCCACATGCCTGGTGAAGCCTCACAATCATGTTGGAAGACAAGGAGGACCAAAGTCATGTCTTACATAGATGGTAGCAAGCAAAGAAAAATCTTTTGCAGGGAAACTCCACTTATAAAACCATCAGATCTTGTGAGACTTATTTACTATCATGAGAACAGTATGGGTGAAATTGCCCAGATGATGCAATTACCTCCCACCAGTTTCCTCCCACAACACGTGGGAATTGTAGGAGCTACAATTCAAGATGAGCTTTGGGTGGGGACACAGCAAAACCATGTCACCTTTATAACTTAATATGTAATACCCTAAACAATCTCCACACATATTTTAAATTATTTTATGTAAAATATATAATTGGATTGGCTATTGGCTGAGTAGTGTCACCCAAAATTCGTATGTTGAAGTCCTAATTCCCAGAACCTCAGAATGTGACTTTTTGAAGTTAGGGACTTTAAGGAAGTAATGAAGTTAAAATGGTATTATTAGGGTAGGCCCTAATCCAATTTGAATGGTGCCCTTGTTAGAAGAGAAGACTAGGACACAGACAGGCACAGAGAGAAGATCATGTGAAGAAACAAGGAGAAGATAGCCATCTACAAGCCAAGAAGAGAAGTCTCAAAAGAAATCAAATCTGCTGACACCTTGATCTAAGATTTCCAGTTTCTGTAAATTGTGAGAAAATAAATTTCTATTGCTTAAGACACCAAGTTGGTGGAATATGGTCTGGAAGCCACAGCAAACTAATACATTATCTATTGACTATTTGATGAATCCAGATATTATACTTTATTCTTTTTTCTGTTTTGCAATGTTTCCATACAGATACTGTCAACATTGTGTAAAAATGGCCATAGGCCTTGACATACCCAACATATAATGAAGATGCTTGATGTATCAAAAGATCATATAGTAATTCCCAATGTATTATCAAAATCAAAAGGCTGAGAGAATTTTAAGATTACAGTGAACATGCTTCTCCAAAAAGAGGTTTTGTTACTTATTGATTATCTGACCAAAACAACTCTAAATTTTAAGAGCAGTGAAATTATAAGAGTTCCTATTACTTAGGGCTTTTGTATGAACTAAATAATACATGTAGTCAATTATGGCATTGTCTGCCTGAAAGTGTTAGTAAACCCTATCATTATTTTTGTGGAAAAAAAATTAAGCGCTTTTTTTTTACAGTTTGTCTTTAGGAATGTTTTGATTCTTATTTCTACTTGCTTGAATTCTTAACTTTCTACAATTAAATATATAATACATATTCGGAACAATAAAGTTAGTGAGAAAAAAACAAAAAGCTAGTTACAGCAACGTATAAATACATTAAATAAAAATTGTCTATTTTATACATATATATATATATATAAACACATATATTCCTCTGTAATTGATTCTAATTTTCTTTTTTGTATTCTTAACTTGATTCTTTGTTATAGTTTTCATCTCTTTCCTTACCAGATTGTTTATAGTACTTGGAAGTCTGTGCTTATGCTTATTCTGATCCTTTTCCTGTTTTAACCAATTTGCTCCTGATCCTGATTTTCTCCTTTCCATTTAAAAAAAAATATATTTCATTGCAGGCTAATTATTACTAAATATTTTCTAGCTTTTGGTGGCTGATATAGAACTCTAGAGATTGCTACATGACAATCTTTCTAAAATGCTAAAGATAGCTTTGCTGGTTTTTAAAATACTGTTTCTGTGATCCTAAGTCCTAATGGTTGGTATTGAAACTGAGCATAAGTAACCTAGATGCTCCTGGCTTGAATCAGGTTTTTGTACTTAGATATAGCAGGCTACCTAAAGAACCATCTCAAATTAAGTAAACTATGCTTTGACAAAGAAATCCCTCCACTCAAACATTAAATTTCCCTTTATTTTTGGTCTACTATTTTGATTTTTAAATTTATAACAAATGAATTATATTTTTTAATTAAGAAATTAATATTTTGAGCAAATATCAAAGAAAATGGCATGCTTTTAATAAGATACAGCTTTTTCATATTGTATGCTATTTGTCTCCATCACTCTGGTAAGGTTATAGCAATGCATGTTATTTCAGAGAATAATTTACATAAAGGGCAATATGCTGAAAATATTCAATCTTGTATCTGACATGTTTTTGGTTCTTTGTTAATTTATTTCTCTATTTGGCTTCTTTTGTTTTTGCTCATCCTTCTTGCTTCATTTTTTCCATGAACTGATAGTTACTGAGAGCCAACCCAGATAAAATGTAATGAGTCTTCAGCTCCTGAGGCTTGCATAATCTCCTTAATTTATTATTGTCAACGTGAAACATTTTCCAGAATAAAAGAGTCTAATGATTTGTATTTTGGTTTAAGAAAAAGTTTTACTCATGAATAAAGATTCAGGCAACTGTCTGTCCAGGAGAAGCAGCAACCATAACTTACAATTACTGTACATATTGGCTATTACTCATACATCTAAGGCATATAGCTCATTGAACCTATTTTAGATATGACATAAAACAAAAACATAACTTTCTTTTAAAAAAGGAGAATACTAACATTATTAATGATTTGTTTGGGATGAGAAAAACAAGTTAAAAGAAAGGGACTGAAAGAGGTTACATAATGCTACACAATGATCTACTGCAAGCAAGTCCACTACAGAGTGACAGACTCCTTTCACTGCTTTAATGTGATAGTTTTTCCCTTGGCTCTTAAGGTGGAATGGAGCAGTCAAATAAGTTTAATACCCTATGTTGCATCTACTGCAAAAAGATAGTAACTCATAGACATGCAAACAAATAAAATCAAATATAAATCTTGTTTTTCCTTGGGCAATAAAGAAATGAAAACGAACTAATTTGATAGGGTAGCCTATATACATTCCATTGTGTTATTATTAAAATTATATCAAGAAGATAGAACAAAAGCCTTTATCATATTATTCTGACCTCATGTCTTTCTTTGTAAAAAGATGGAAAACGTTCTCCCTAAGTAAATTATTAACTAATAGAAATTCCTTATAGAAATCTTATGAGGATGACATCTGGAATAAATTCAGCAGGCAAGTATGCCATCTAAATATTGGTCATTTTTTCCTACTGAATTGAGTGGGAGCTGAACCCGACATATTCATTATTTGTCTAACATGTTTTATATATGGTTCACACAGAATGGTGTTTATGGTATTGCTGCAAATTCAGGTATTTTGGGAATTCACTTCCATTATAGTTTCACAAACATTGACTTGTGTTTAGAAAAAATGAGAATTTAGTGTTTTAAAAAAGGTGTTCTTTGCAATTTCTCCTTTTAGAGTTAAGCTAATCATAATTTTGATCCAAAACAATATCCTACCTCTGCCAAGTTAATGTTAATGTTCTATTTATTCAACTTCCAGTTTTTAAATTTTACTAATATTTTGCTTCAGTGAATTACACAATATTCTCTCTGTGTGCCTGCAAAATTCCCACTGCAAACAAGATCATTTTAAGTGTACATAA
The DNA here is from genome assembly GCF_000001405.40 of Homo sapiens. Classification (NCBI taxonomy): domain Eukaryota; kingdom Metazoa; phylum Chordata; class Mammalia; order Primates; family Hominidae; genus Homo; species Homo sapiens. The sequence continues at coordinate 120,374,218 of NC_000005.10, read as the reverse complement.
AGTGTCAAATTATTTAAGTAGATTTTTGAAGATATTAAAAGCTCTATATGACTTATTTTTTCTTATAGAAGTGTTTGCTTTATAAATAACAAAGCAGAAAAAGAAACAACTAAATAGGTAACTGCATAAATATTGGTACATTTAAAACATGGAATGAGATGCTTTCATTGTGCTTATATGGAAAGACCTCCTAAGACATATTCAAATGTTTCGTGTAAAATACTTCATTTCTCACATGGCCAGATTTTTACAATTTTATTTTGCATAGACATTTCCCCCTGAATTTATGTATTTGCATGAGTCATAATTTCTCCTGTCTCTTTCTCTTATTTTTCCTTCATTCATTCATTCAACAAATGTTTGCTTAGTGCCTGAAATGTGCTAGGCACTGAGGGACGTACTGATATTGAGTGGTGAATAATAGAGAAGATGCTGGATCTCCAGGAACTTATGTTCTAGACTTTACATTATTATGATACCTATGAAGGCTCAGTTCCACCCTAGACTAATTGACTGAGGTGGTTGGAGAGCTCTGGTACCCCCTCTCCTTCTCCACTCATCCAGTGGTCTTGGACATACACTCATAAGTAGACCAAGGATGCAGAATACCCAACTCACTCTGCCATGCAACTTTGACCATGTAAATGATCGCTTGATGCTGACATTAATCTCCATGTGAATTCCCAATGCTGTTCCCATTCTCAAATGAACTCCAGGCCTCTCCAAAGTTTAATAGCCCTTTTCTAATATCCATTGGCTCAATGCCTTAGTGAGAAAAGTGAACTTTTTATTTGATACCCACCAATATCGCAGGGCTTGCTATAGCAGTCTGCCTGGTTTTTCTCTATTTGTCTGGGGATGAGGCCTCTCGTCAACTGAAAGTGTGCATTTCTGAGGACCGGAGTCAACCCTTAACTTCTGTCTTTTGTTTAGACTTCATCTTCATTGGTGACACATCACAGAAGCTGAGGTCCATCATGGATTTCTAAAGATAATTCATCCAGATGCCTCTTTGGTCAGCTCCACTAACCAGCTGGAACACATCATTTCTTCCTCTCCAATCCCAGCACCAATTATTCACCCAAATAATGACCAGACGTTAGCAGCTTACTTGGAAATAGTGTCCTGTGGTTCCAGCTGATTCTCTGTCTCTGACCACTGCTGGGAAGGCTCCATAGGCCTCTTCCTTCCCACGCTGCGTCATTCCAATCTAGCTACCAGGAAACTCTGTCATGCAGATGATAGATCTCATGTGTCTCTAAATCTGCACACCATCACCTATCTGCCCCTTGTTGCCTATTATGTTCCTTCTATTAATGAATTCATACAAATACATACATTTTATTTATAAGAATTCTTGCCTTCTGTCCCTTTCTCATTCAAACAAAATTTATTGCTCTATTCTGTCTTAATTTCTTATGAAAGAAAACATTTGACCTACTCAACCCTTTGTCTTATAAATAACTACAGACTTCCAAAATAATTCTTCAAAATCTGATATTTTGGGAAATTATATTTTACAATTCATTTCAAGTAGGATCCAAATATTGGTTTTCAATAGTATATGGTTGTTCAACATAATTATTCAAAGATAAAATGTAGAAGTACAAATTTTCTCATGAGGTAAATTGATGGCCGAATTGTGGCTTAATTTCCAGAGACTGAAAATTGAATTGGACTCTATTTCATTTTACTCCATATATCTATATCTTTGTGGGTATATTTATATTCTTGTGCTATTAAACTTGCTAAGTATATTCCTTGTGTAATAGGCAAAATATTTTTTTTGGCCAGTGAACAAAACTATTAGCTCATAGTTTAGTATTTAATACCTACATAGGAAATCCTAATTCATAACTCAAGATTTGGTGTTTTTTTCAAAACTACCTATAATTCTTAGGTTTTACAGAAATTCTGTAATGCAGGCTGCAAAACAACTATTTAAAAGTGAGCGAAACGCCTGTCTACTATTAGTATAAAATGGCCCTGTCTCTGTGGAATGATAGAGGATCCCTGGGTATGCTTAGATTTGTAATGAACAGCTTTAAGAAAATTCTCTAGTGGCTGCCTTGATTTTTCTAAATGTCATGTTCCTGGGGTTAGCACTTTCCTATGTTAAGAACATGCCTACAAAGTGAAATATATGTGGTGCACAGTAGAGATTGGAGTACAATCTGCATTCTATATGTGCAAATACTTACATGGATTTAAATGTGATAAAACAGTAGAATCAAAACTTGAGGTGGGCTAAGTAATATTAGAAAGAACTCTTAGCTATGGGAAAGAACAGAAGAACAGGTTTCTTTCTTTCTTTTTTCTTTCTTTTTTTTTTTTTTTTTTTTTTACACAGAATCTCACTCTGTCACCCAGGCTGGAGAACAGTGGCATGATCTTGGCTCACTGCAACCACCACCTCCTGGGTCCAAGCAACTTTCCCGCCTCAGCCTCCTGAGTAGCTGGGATTACAGGCCCTGCTACCACATTCAGCTATTTTTTTTTCTTTTGTATTTTTAGTACAGACAGGGTTTCACCATGTTAGACAGGCTGGTGTCAAACACCTGACCTCAGGTGATCCACCCGCCTCTTCCTCCCAAAGTGCTAGGATTACAGGCATCGAACAAGTTTCTAATAGAAAGTTAGAATCAAATTCAATGAGCAGCTACTTAATTTACTAAGAAAACAAAAATAAGAACAGGAAATAAATGTATCTGAATTTCCATCAAGAAAAACTTTAAAATGGAATATTTAAGTGCAAGTTAACTATAAAACATACTTATTTAATAACATAAAAGCAATAAATGACCTCTGGATTGATTGACCTATTAATTATATTTTATATAAAATATGTATGTAACCTCCTTCCTCTCATTTTACAATAAAATCAAAATGCTCATCAGCATGTTGTCAAATATAATCCCTACTAATAGTATAGTCCAAATGATGCCAACCTGTCTTTTGATCTAAGTGAATGGAGCCACTTGCTGATTAAATAAATAAACACAGTGGTCCGGACAACATATCTGCCTGAATTGTAATGCCTCTGAAACTTCTGTTTATCTTTACATGAGGCTATGCATTGAGTCACATAGCATATCTAATGCATGTTCTCTGTAGGGTATTGGGCATCATTTTTTAAAAAACTCTGATCATCAGATTATCCTTGTGATTATAGTGCAAGAGAGAAACAAAATCCTTTGATTTTATAAGTTACCTTGATGCAACATTTGATTTATTAAAGTCATTTACACCAAAACTAACTAAAAAAACTAAAAATGTGGAGCTCTATATTTTGTATCTACCATTAAACTCACTTAGAAGAATGGTCCAGGGTAGCACTTGAAAAAACAAAGCAGCATATATTCTGTGTATAAATTTTCATTTTCAGCTCTGAATCTTACCTATTAAAATTAGCGGGTTCCTAAAGCATAGGAGAGATGCATGACCAGAGAATCAAAAATCCTTGATCCTAGTCCTGTTTTTGCCAGTGATGCCCATTATCACCACTCCTATTAAAAATAGTGCTAGAAGCCCTAGCCAGAGCCATCAGGCAAGAGAAAGAAATAAGAGTCATACAAATAGGAAAAGAAGAAGTCAAACTATCTCTCTTCACTGATGATATGATTCCATACCCAGAAAACCCTAAAGACTCTGCCTAAAGGCTACTAGAACTGATAAATGACTTCAGTAACATTTCAGGATATAAAATCAATGTACAAAAATCAGTAGTATTTCTATACAGCAATAATATCCCGGTTAACAGTCAAATCCAGAACACAATCCCATTTGCAATAGCCACAAAGAAAATGAGATACTTAGGAATACAGCTAACCAAGATGGTGAAAGTCCTCTATAGGAGAACTATAAAACACTGCTGAAAGAAATCAGAGGTGACAAAAATAAATGAAAAAACATTCCATGCTTATGGATTACAGGATCAATATCATTAAAATAGTCATGCTGCCCAAAGCAATCTACAGATTCAATGCTGTTTCTATCAAACTACCAATGCCATTCTTCAAAGAATTAGAAAAACCTTTTCTAAAATTCATATGGAACCAAAAAGTAGTCCAAATAATCAAAACAATCCTAAGCAAAGAGAACAAAGCTGCAATCATCACATTACCAGACTTCAAACTATAATATAAGGCTACAGCAACCAAAACAACATGGCACTGGTACAAAAACAGACACACAGGCCAATGCAACATAATACAAAACTTAGAGGGGAAAGGCCACAAACTTACAAGCATCTGTAATGGTTTAACTCCTAAGTATCTTCCCTCAATTTCATGTATATTTTATTCTATTTGGCAGTGACTGTTCCACAGTTTTGTTAAAAATAAAGCTTTATTTTTCTGTCCTTATTTATTTTTATTCCACCAAAATCACAGAGGAAAGTAGAGTTAGCAGTGACTTTAAACAATAACTTTTAATCACAAAACTTCACACTAAGTTTATCAAACAAAAGTTTCCATCAAATACCATTATTGTCACAGGATCCTTAGGGTGTTGCTTCACTATCTGGAAACCTCTGTGGCCAGCGGCTCCTCTGCTTGAGTTTTGCTCATGCCTGCTGGGCTCATTCTTTTCACTCAGCCCAGCAGGTTGCACTCAGCTAGCACTACTGGCATGGATCCCATGACTGCCAAGGGTGAGCCAGGTGTGGAGCAGCAACGGGTGTGTGAGTAAGCAAGTGCAAGGTCCAGCCACTGTGCACAGCCAGGCATGCCAGCTGCAGCAGAGCAGGCAGCTCCAGGTGCTGACACAGGTGCTGCCTCTGTGCAAGGCTGCAGTTGAACCAGGTGTACCACAAGTGGCTTCCGCTGAGGGCACTGGGGAATGAGGTGGTGCCCAAAACTTGGAGATGCCAGGAACCACAGAACCCCAAAGAGGGTGTTACAGTGTGTCACAGCCCAGACTCAGGAAACCCAAGGTCTGGACCTGCAAAAGGGCCACAGCTCTTCTCTCCTTCTCGCCACCCACAGTGTAGAGCACAAGTGGGCTTATTTCAGCCCGTTTGTGTTGCAGCTCCTTCAGTCCTGCCACCCTGCTCTGGCCAGCAGCACCTGGGCTAGCCCAGTCCCACCACTACATGGGCTGGCTCAGTCCATTACGTGGAGCAGCCACCCAGTGCCAACAGAGGGCGAGAGTGCTATAATGTTACAGCAGTTCTGGCTTGGGGAACCCCAAAGTCTGGGCCCCCAGAAGGGTTGCCATTCTTCACTCCCACAGTCCAGGAGTGTGTCACTGCCTGTAGCTCAGTGAGCCTGCCAGAAACGTGTTACAGCTCCTTTTGCTCCTACTGTTTGATCTTGTCCCACGTCCAGGAAGAATGATGTTACTGACAACTGAAGGGTGAGCAAGGTGGAGCGGAGCTTTATTGAGCAACAGAACAGCTCTCAGGAGAACTGAAGTGGATAGCTTCTTTCTGCAGGCAGGTTGCCCCCACGAGTGTGTCAGTCTGGCTAAGTCAGGGATTTTTATGTGCTCAGAATGGAGGAAGTCCATGCTGATTGGTCCATGGGTAGCCATAGGTGGGCCTGGAAAAAGCATCATCCCGTTGCCTAAAAGGTGTCAACGTAGTTCTCACGCCGGGTCATGGACTCCACCTGAAACTGGCAGCCTGGCCCCCAGGCTTCAGGCTGTCCCTGGCTTGAATGTGGGGTTTCACCAGGGACCTTCCCTTCCCCACCTAGGAACCTGTCTGCCTCCTGCTGCCATCAATATGCTATCCGCGGTGCCCAGGCTGTCTGTGCTGAGGGGCGCACACAGGCCTGCCCTCACCACCCCTACCCCAGCCTCCCTCCCTGAGCTCATCAGCATCCAGTGTTTCAGAGGAAGCCAAGGCGATGGTGGGGACTGGCTGTCATGTCAGCGCTGCCCTGAGCACACGCACACCTAGCTGGGTCACAACAGTGCCCAGACTTGTCTACAACTTTGCTCTGCACTGGAGCATGTGCCAAGAGTGGGGAGAGGCCAGGAAGTAGGAGGAGGCACTTCTGAGCCTGCAGGGGCAGGGATCTCCCGGGCCCAGAGAGCACAGGGATGCCCAGGTCTGGAGTCACAGCTGTGAGGCTGCAGCTGTGCCTGGGAGCACAGGCTCCCACTCCGCCAACTCAGTAGGGTGCAGGGCTGCCACTGGGATCACCTGTTCCTGGTCCCCACTGTCTCCATAGATTGCGCAGCCCTGGCTGCACCTCCCCCACTGCAGCTGGTGTCCTCACAGTGGCCACTCCAGACAAGCCACGGCTGCCATCATTATGACGGAAAAAATATATAATTTTTTCTGCATTTGTTATTTATTTTAAAAATTCTTTAGAAATAACTTTTGTTACATGAATAGAAAAAATATACTCATTGTAGGGTTTTTAAGTAATACAAATTAATGTACATGTTAAATCCTATTTAAAATATGGACATCCGAGTACATAATAATACAATTTTTTGGTGATAACACCAATCGTGGATACTTAGACGCAAGTCATCTTTCTTAACCAGAGAGCAAAACAAAACAGAAGGAAAGCTGTTAGGGAAGAAAAATGGCAGAACAAGTTTTAGATAAGCTATCCTTATTGAATACATATGTACAACACATACACACATGCATTTAGATTCTAAATAGATTTTCACAAAATTAAATATAATTAAAAATAATTAAAAGCAAATTGAAGGAAAGAATATGGATATGGAGGAAAGATAACACTAAAACAATATTTCCTTAGCTTCCTAGAAGAACCCAAAGCCCTTATGACAGAATGTTCTAAATATATTAACATATTATACATGTATTCAAGATTCAGGAAACATTAAACAATTTAAGATTGTTACTGATGATTTATATTTATTATTTCCAATGACTATATTCCCTCAGAAATTTATATGTTTAAGTATTTCAATCCACATACAAAGATGAGTATACAATTATGGCTTTTAATATTTAATTCTCTCAACCATTGTGTATTTTTCTCGTGTAAGTAATCTATATTCTGTTACTAAAGAACTTTGGAACCAAGTCTTAGCCTTTTCGGGCACCTCACACTTCGCTAAAATTTGCTAGAGTGATTACATTTGTAAAATGCAAATTAATTAACAGTCTTGTTGCTATTTGAATTCTCAAACAAATGCTTTGAGGTATATCAGATTATGCTAATGTGTCAGTATTCGGGGGACAGCTTGATATCTGACTGTGTTACTTTAAACTAAGTAATTTCAATATTATTTTTACTTATTTTTAATTTTAAATTCCATCTGTCTCAATATCTCATAGTTACTAATAGAATAGAGAAGATGATGAAATCAAGGAAAATGTTCCTTTTATTTTAAAGCAACCATCATTTATTTATCAAACAGGTCTACCAAGCATAGATTATAGATATAATAGTTAAAGTCTCACCAATAACGACATAAAAAATTAAATCCAATTCTAGTATATTTTTAAAAAGAAATTATGCCTCTAGAGACACATTATACTGTTTGAATTTCTTCCCGTAGGGCAACTTTCATTTAAAGGATTCATCTTCATTTGTTCCAGTTATGTGGAAGAAAATATCAAAATATAGATTGACAGTCTTTTATATAACTTTACTGCTATTGTGTGCTGACACAATTTTCTTTCAGCTAATTAGGACATCTAAACTGGCCCTAGTAAAATCAACTCAGGATCATCTGTAGGAAAGAGTATAAAGAAGTTTGTTCATAGTGAACAAACTTCACTATTTGCTATTTTTCTTCTCTCTCTTACATTATGACCATTAGAAAGGATATAGCTGTTATCATTCAGCTAGATGTTACTGGTTATTTATTCATTCAACAATATCTGTTAATGAGGAGACTGTCTCTAGGCCAAAATCCTGCATTTGATATTTTGAGGCGGACCACAGGCAGTTAGCAGGCTTTGCCACCAGACTGATTGTACAGAGAGCACATTGCAGTTTTCTGGAGGGAGCTGCAGTCAAGGACTCAGGACTCTTCTGTGTGAGTCATGCTCACACGCATATAGGCATTTCTAGTCCAGACACCTCCATTTGGAGGCCTGTTTATCCAAAGTCTTGGTGTAAGTGAAACTGATCCAATAGTCCCATAGAGATCACCACATCCAGACGATGAGATGCAGGACCGCTCATTCATCATGATTGTTTCCTTGCCTTTTCCTAGTTCCTGTTTCCTTACACATTGTTACATTTCCTCCTTGCTATAGAAATCCCTAGTTTTAGTCAGCGGGGAGGTGGATTTCAGACTGAGCTCCCATCTCCTCAGCTGCCACACCTGATTAAAGCCTTCTTCCTTGGCAATACTCATCATCTCAGTGATTGGGTGGCAAGCAGCAGGACCTAGAATTAAGCCGTGGTGTTTGGTAACAGAGGCATTTCCCAGGGGTTTCCACTAAGATCCCTTCATAAGAAGCCTTGGCTCATGCACTTTTTCCACTTTAACTCACTCATTCCTAGTCCCACCACCTCTCTGTCTCCCACTTATAGGTCCATAAAGATACAGAAGTTCTGGACTTCCTGGCAGTAAGAGATTTTCTCCCATTTTTGCTGCATCCATCTGACCGTTGGCTGGTACTGTTTATGAAAATGGAATATGAGCAAACTAGCATCACTTTTTGCCTCTTGCTTGTATTGTGACAATTAAGTGAAAAAGGGCTTGTTACTTTCAGTTTGGCTCATAGTCCTTGACCACTATTAAGGCCATTGTCATTGACCACCTTGACACCTGATTGCTTGATAGTTAAGTACAGTTATGCGTCACTTAATGACATTCTAAGAAATGTGTTCTTAGGCAATTTCTTCATTGTACAATCATTATAGAGTAAATGTACACAAACCTAGATCATTGTATGAGCATTACAGATGTACTTACATCTAGGTTATATGGTATAGCCTACCGTTTCTAGGCTACAAACCTGTTCAGCATGTTACTGTATACAGTATACAAGTGTACCATATTGAATACTGTATACAAGTGTAACACAATGGTAGGTATTTGTGTACCTAAACATAAAAGAAGTACAGTCTAAATACAATAAGAAAGATGAAAAACGGTCCAACTATGTAGGGCTCTTACCATAAATGGAGCTTACAGGACTGGAAGTTACTCCAGGTGAGTCACTGGATGAGGGCTGAGTGAATGTGAAGGCCTAGGACATTACTGTACACTACTCTAGACTTTACAAGCATTGTACACAGGCTACACTAAATTCGTAAAAAGTATTTTTCTTTCTTCAATAGTAAATTAACTTAACATTATGGTAACTTTTTAACTTTATAAACTTTTTAAATTTTTATAACATCTTGACTCTTGTAATAATATAACACACATTGTACAACTATACAAAAACATTTTCTTTATCATTATTCTATAAGCTTTTTTCTATTTTTAAAATTTTCTATTTTTTATTTTAAATTTTTAATCTTTTTTGTTAAAAACTAAAACATAAACGCACACATTAGCCTAGGCCTACACTGGGTCAGGATCATCAATCACCACTATCTTTCATTTCCATATCTTGTCCAGTTGGAAGGTCTTCAGAGACAATGACATGTATGGAGCTCTTTTCTCCTATAATAACAACGCCGTCTTCTGGAATAGCTCCTGGAGAACCTGCCTGAGGTTTTACATTTTTTTTTAATAAGTAGAAGAAGTATACTCTAAAGTAATGATAAAATGCGTAGTAAGAAAGCCAGGCCCTGTGGTGTGTGCCTATAGTCTCAGCTGAGGTGGGAGGATTGTTTGAGTCCAGAAGTTTGAGTCCAGACTCAGCAACATAGGAAGACCCCATCTTTAAAAAAACCAAAAATGTATAGTATAGGCCACGCACGGTGGCTCATGCCTGTAATCCCAGCACTTTGGGAGGCCAAGGTGGGCAGATCACTTGAGGTCAGGAGTTCGAGGCCAGCCTGACCAATATGGTGAAACCTCGTCTCTACTAAAAATACAAAAAAAAAAAAAAAAAAGAAAAAAAATAGCTGGGTATGGTGGCACATGCCTATAGTCCCAGCTACTCGAGAGGCTGGGGCAGCAGAATCGCTTGAACCCAGGAGGCAGAGGCTGCAGTGAGCTGAGATTGCACCATTGCACTCCAGCCTGGGCCTCACAGCGAGCGAGACTCCAACTCAAAAAAATAAAAAATGTATAGTATAGTAAATACATAAATTGATAATACAGCCACTTATTATCATTAGCAAGTATTATGTACTGTACTTAATTGTATGAACTATAATTGTATATGACTGGCAGCACAGCAGGCTTGTTTACACCAGCATCACCACAAAAACGTAAGTAATATGTTGCACCATGACTTTTCAATGGCTGCAACATCACCAGGTGATAGGAATTTTTCAGCTCCATTATAATCTTATGGTACCATCATCATATAAGTAATTCGTTGTCTGAAATGTCCTTATACAGAGCATGACTGTACTTACCAAATTACAGGTGTTACTTTAGCTATCACAGAGTTTACTACTGTCAAAGATCCTTGATCTCAGAGATCTGGTCATTGCTAAATGTACTATTGTTCTCAACCATATCTGCTTTTCATAATAGTACTTTTGAAGAAATATATTTTGAAGCAGAAAGAATAATCAAAGAGGATGGAATTTCAGTCTTGTGATAACTGGTGTAAGATTGAGTAGCATACACTTTGAAGAGATAGAGGTCGAACCACATTTCTGTACTTGGTTGAATCTTTAATCTACCTACTGATAGAGCCACCTACAACTTCCTTTTCCAGTTAGTTACTCTCAACAATGCATTCAGGTATCTGCATAGCTGGACAGCCTTCCCATATGTGTACTCCTTATCTCTATCTTGCAGAGATAATCTGAGTTTGTAAACACTAACCCAAAGTAAAAGCCAAAATTCTTTCAATGACTTAGGGGCATAAGCCCATTTTGTCCTCATCCCTACATATTTCTCTGGTCTTATATCTTCTACTCGTCTTCTTGCTCAGCCTGCAGCTGCATGAAGACTTCAGACACACTTCTATTTCCAGGTCTTTGTGCTTGTTTTTCCTCTGTCTGAAATACTCTTTCCCCAAATATCAACTGGCTTGCTATTTTACCTTTACTCAAATGTTATCTCTGAGCCAATATTCAAAATTAAAACTTCTGCACTTAACATACTCCACCTATGTTCCCTAATGAACCTCTAATACCTAAAATAGTATGTAGCACATGGAAGGTGCTTAATAAATATTTGTTGAATGAGTGAAATGAATAAATGAATCTTACAAACTAGAAAATTCATAATATAATTTGAAATCATAAGGTATGATATATTGTTATTGAAGCCCATGTGTTACTTCAATGTAGATAAATAGTCTACATGATAATTCGTTATAATGGTGAATTGAAATAGATAGCAAATTCCTAAGTCGCTGCCACTAGGGTGGTTCTTCAAAATTGTAGCTGTAGAAAGTAACTTACAGTCCAGAATTTCTGTGTACAGCCAAGGAATCATTCTGAGATCATATATGACCTAGAAGCAACTCTTTTCCTACTTAAAGCTCGAGCTGAAAAACAAAAATCTCCCACTTTGGCAGCACAGTTCAGAGAGAGACGCGACACAGATCAGAGAGCACAGAGAACAGAGAGAATGAGCAAGCGAATGCAGGGCGCAGAGGACATTCCTCCTAATAAGCAGCTTCAGGCAGCATTTGAAAAGCAAGCAAGCCTCCTAAAATTCTAGCACTCCATAGATTCATGGAAATAATTAATTAAAATGATTACCTCATGTCTGAACCTTCAGCAATTTCAGAGACACTAAAAATGAACTGAAGCTGGTGGTAAACCTATTCCAGAGTTAGTGACTATTAAAGCACAAGTAGTTAGCTAACTTCTACTTGCTCTTTACAATATGTTAGGCCTTACCTTATTTATCCTTCACGATAATGTCACACAGTTGTGCTTTATATTGACCTCCATGTTAGAAGAAAAAAAAGGTGTAAAAAAGTAGTTATCTTGCTCAAAATCACAATCTAGGAAGCAGTAAGTTCAGGACTTTAATCTGGAACCCCATAGTGTAGCATATGGAAAAGAGCTAGCAAATGAATCGACAGAGAACAACTGGATCTGAGCAAGATCCTTAGTCATGCCAGACAAAGCATTTCTACAATCTCCCGGGTAGGAGGAGGAGTAATAGGAATGCCATGCCCACAGTGTTTATTAACATTAATTAGTGGATATATTTTTGTTCAGTATATCCCCAAGTTGGGGTTTATTTGTTTGTGATTATTTTTTTTTTTTGCCCTCAGAAAGGCCTGAATAAAAGTATTCAAAATTTGATAACAGTATTTTTAAATAATTTTCTAGATTTCCTAGGGATTTTTTGAGCAACTTTGATTATTCTGCAATGCTGTCTTAGCATGAGCACAAGACTAAAATAATAAATTATAACTATCATTTATAGAATATTTACTAAGTGCCATGACTGTGATAAGTGCTTTGTATACATCATTTCAATAAATATGCATAACATCATAAGAAAATTGTTATTATTATCACCTCCAGATTACATGTGAAACTAGTGAGAGTTAGAGAAATAGCAACCTATCTAAAGCCTCAGAGATTCGAAATCAGTTCTGGCTGATTTCAGATCCCCACCATTCACCAAAAGATCATGCTGCACAAAGGACAATAGACTATATAAAGAGCAATACATGGGTATATTTACTCCATAGCATTTTGAATGAAGACAGTTCCAGGCAACTATTTCGTGGTTTTAAAACAATGATTTGTCTGCATGGTTTTTTGTTTTATCATCACTTACTTGATATCTGATAATGTTCCTATTAATGATCACTCCCCATAATTTCCACTGCTCATTTCTGAAGTTCCTCCCTGCTGAGCACTTCCACTATCATTGGTTTGTAGGTTAGGATCATTCTGTGTCTTAGGAGTGTAGTATAATGAGATCATGGTTATGGGTGAGCAAAGATGTAACATGACCATTATTACGAACAGCTGTAATCCAAATTGTGGACATGAAAGTATATATTTCTAGTTGCAAATAGTTCGACCCGATGGAGATTGTGTAAGAGAAAGGATCCTGAGATACTGTTTATTAAGATATGGTGGCTGGAAGACTACAAACTTACTGGTCGTGGATGCAAAACCACCCACCAGATTACATTGTATCCGTATTTTCATTATGATTAATAAGCACAGATTGGTCCCTTAAATATCAAATTCATATTTCTTACAAGGAAGCTAATTCTGAGTCTGCCTTTGAGATACACTTCATCCCTGGTCAGTGTTTTAAGCTCCAAATACCCATTTTATTAAGTTAAAACAGCCAGAACTACTCAGGGCAAACTTCTCATATCATAATGTAATCCACATAAATCCAAGGATTTGGTATATAAAATAGTATGTTCTAATATATTCAGGCTGCAAAAGGAATTTCAATACTTACATCCTTTATATGCACTCATATACTCTTATTTTGTCTCCAGCTTATGCTACATTGCATTATCACAAAGCATTTAATATGTGCTGTCATTTCTCTTAAAAGAACATTCAAATGAATACAAAGCGTCATTTAAAAAAATACACAATGTTTGTGCTGCTTTGAGAGAAAATTTAACAAATAAAGGAAATCAAGCAATGAAAGAAAACATTTTTAAAAATATTATTGAGAGAAAATGTTCCAGTTCAATAAATGAATTCACATTTAGAAATAAGGGTAATGGTAAGGCAACATAATTCCATTCTGAAACACTGAAAAGTGTTGCTTAAGATCTCAAACCAGCAAAAAGGACAAATATGAAATCTCAAATTTATTTTATGCAACTAACTTTGAAATCATACAGTATTAAGTCAACATGAAACATTTTTTTCCCAAATAAAGTTCATCAAATGTGAGCTGAGTCAGACAAACCTGAAGTAGAAAATTACTCTAGGCTATAAGCCACTCAAAGACAGGATCTGTTTCTTACTTAAACTAATCAGAATGTTAGGAGATGAGCTTGTTTTTCGTATGAGTAGGGTGTTCATAAATATATTATCCAAACTAGGATACCTTTGTAAGTCAAAGGGGCACTCCTCCAGGGCAAGAGCTGCAAACCTGGAGGACTATCCCAGGCAACCTGAAATTTAGGTCACCCTATTTAAAAGGTACCACATGATATCTATTAGAAGGATCTAAACATTTTCCTCACTTATTTCTAAATGTATTCAATTTTTAAAATACAGTCATGTACCACATAACATTTTGATCAATAACAGATTGCATAGATGACAGTAGTCCCATAAAATTACATTGGAGCTGAAAACTTCCTATCACGTAGTGACATGAAAGTCATAGTGAAGCACATCACTTATGTGTTTGGGGTGATGCTGGTGTAAACAAACATACTGAATTGCCAGTCATAGAAAAGTATAGCACATACAATTATGTACAGTACATAATACTTGATAATAAATGACTATGTTAACTGGTTTATGTATTTAATATATATTCTACATTTTATTGTTATTTTTAAAAACTAAGACTACTTATTTAAAAAATGTATGTTACTATATATCATATAAACATATTATTATATAAACTTATTATTTAAAAAACTACTTATTAAAAAAATTGACTATTAAAGCCTCGCGCAGGTCTTTCAGGAAGTATTCCAGAAGGCATTCTTCTTATAGGAGATGAAGACTTCCAGTGGGACAAGATATAGAGATGGAAGATGATGATATTGCTGATCCTGACCCTATGTGCCTTAGGCTAATGTGTGTATTTGTGTTTCAGTTTTTAATTTGAAAAGCTTTAAAATTAAATTTTTTTAATTTTGAAAATAAAAAATCTTAAAGAATAAGTATATAGACAAAATATTTTTGTATAGCTGTACAATGCATTTGTATTTTAAACTAAGTGTTAAAAGTTAAGGAATTGAAAAGGTTATAAAGTAAAAAAGTTATAGTAAGTGAAAGTTAATTTATTATTGAAGAATAAAAAATATGTTTTTCCAAATTTAGTGTAGCCTAAATGTACAGTGCTTATCAAGTTTACAGTAGTGTAACAGTTATGTCCTAAGACTTCAGTCACTCATCACGTACTCCCTGACTCACTGGGGCAACTTCCGGCTTCATTTGTGATAAAAGCCTCGTATAGTTGGGCCACTTTTTAGCTTCTATACTGTATTTTGACTGTTCTTTTTCTGTGTTTAGATACACAAATATTAGCATTGTGTTATAATTGCTTACAAAATTTAGTCCAGTAATGTGTTGTGCAGGTTTTTAGCCTAGGAGCAATGGGCCATTGCATATAGCCTAGGTGCTTAGTAGGCTCTACCATCTAGATTTGTTTAAATATAGTCTATGGGCTGGGCACAGTGGCTCACATCTGTAATCCCAGCACTTTCTGGGGCTGATGCGGGTGGATCATGAGGTCAGGAGTTCAAGACCAGCCTGGCCAAGATGATGAAACTTGGTCTCTACTAAAACTACAAAAATTAGCCAGGCGTGGTGGCAGGCACCTGTAATCCCAGCTACTAGGGAGGTTGAGGCAGAAGAATCGCTCAAACCTGAGTGGCAGAAGTTGCAGTGAGCCAAGATCATGCCACTGCGCTCCATCCTGAGCAACACAGTGAGACTCCATCTCAAAAAAATAAAAAATAAAAAATAAATATAGTCTATGATGTTCACCCAAAGAAAAGGCATTGCCTACATATGCATTTCTCAGAAGGTATCCCTGTTCTTAAGCAACTCATGACTGTAAAATAGTTACAGAGAAGTGAAGAATCCTGGATAGATAATGCATTAAGAAGATTTAACAGATTTCTATTATGATTTTTTAGGTTACTCTTCTCAAATAGGGAAGAGTCTAGTGTTCTATCTAAAATTGAGTGTTTTGAATAAAAAATAATGAAAAAGGGTACGCATAACTATATTATATACAACAGCATCTATTGATTGCTACACTTGACACTGAAAGTGTGCCATTTCAAATGGTGAAACAGTCACAACTGCGCAAGGAAATATAGACAATGCTATGATTAATCATTACTTCCATTACTACTTTGCTTAGAAAAGGATTTTACAGATAAAAATGGCAAATTTCCTCACCAGAATGATTAAAATGAAAATGAAAGACAGTGCTAAATATGGGTGAGAATGTGGAGAAACCAAAAGTCACGTACACTCTTGGTGGGAGATATAGCTTGATGCAATCACTGAAAAACTCTCTGGAAAATTAGTTGGTACTATCCACTAACCACGAATATATCCATATCTTTTGACCCAGCAATTTCTATTTGGACAGCAATGTGTACATGGGTTCACCAAAAGACATATAAAATGTTTATCACAGCACTATTCATGATAGTCCCATATTAGAAACTACGCAAATGTCCAATGACAGAAGACTGAATAGATGAATTTTGATACATTCATACAATGAAATACTACACAGCAATGATAATAAAAAATGTGGCAACTACTCTCAATAATATAGATCAATCTCACAATGAGAATCCTTAGTGAAATAATCCAGACAAAAGTGACTACATATTGTATGATTTGTATGTAAAGTTAAAAACAGGCCAACTTAATCTACGGTGTTAGAAGTCAGGAATAATCTTAGACCAAGGGGTTAGTACTCACTGGAAGAGGTCACAAGAGAGTGCTTCTAGGAGGCTGGTGAAATACTGTTTCTTGATCTAGCTGGGTGTGTTCAGTTTGTGAAAATTCATCAAACTGTAACATATAATTTGTGCATATTCCTTATGTAGGTTATGCTTCAATAAATATTATTTAAAAGAGGCAAACCTCAGTCCAGTACTGGTTGAAATGACAACAATTTCAAATTAACAAAATCTGAACTAATGATTTTTTTAAAGCATAAAAAATTAATCCTTTTTTAATCTTTGGGAAAAGCACTACTAGGCAAAATATGTTCTAAGGTTTTACATGATAGCTTGACAAGATCATTTCCAATTCTAAATCTCACTAAGAAAGAGAATCTAACCATATTTTAGAATAACTTGGGATCATAAAAAGATGTGAAAAGTATGACCCATTTTTTTGTCATTATATATATATAGTACTGGTGGATTTTCTTATATTTCCTTTTTTTAAAAAAATCCATTGCTTTTTGTGAAAAAATAGTTTTTAACTTTAAAAATATAATTGTCACAGATTTAAGAACTGTTTTATAGACAGCAGAAATAAAAATGTGTTGAAAGGAACTTTTGGTTACTTTTAATGGTAAAGAAAAATTATTATCAGTGGCATCACCTTTCACTGATGGCTTATTGAAAGTGAATAATGTAAAATATAATTTGCATTTCTAAACTGAAGTTATTAGCTAGGTTTTACTCAGTCACTCACAATACATTTAGAAATGCTTTTAGAGATATTTTCTTTAAAAAAAATCTGAACTGAAATCATTCTTTCCCTTTTGCTTAAAATGTGTAAAAATGAAGCTTTTTAACTCCAAACTCTCATTTTGAAAATGTTTGTTGTGATTGTAAATTTTTATATCCCATATAAGAAAATATTTTAGTAGAACATATTTCAATATTTAAACCAGTCTTATAATGGCTTTGTTGTATTTTATTCTGCTAATTGTTGTGTGCATTTCTTACCTATCTAAATCATGTTTTCAATTTTATTAATATTTCAATATGTGTTATTGCAATATAGTTTGTATCTGATTCTATATGTTATCATTGCATTTAGAATACATACATGCCACTAACAAGCTAGCTAGATATTAATTACTTAATTGGTGTTGTAAACAGTTTACCTTATGTGATATTTAGATGTCCGAGAAAGTTTTCATAGTATTTGTGGTTGAGACTTTTCATTAGGCAAGGAATATATTATGACTTTTCCCAATTGAAATAATGGAATATAGACTCACACTATACTTGAAAACATATTATGCAATTTATTTTTAAAAATTAGATTTGGAGGAAGAAATTCATTCCAATGTTATATAAAGATGGCAATAATGTTAAAAATGTATTTCCTCTATTATTGACTATAGAAGAGAAAGTGAGTCTTTGGTTTAAAAATAGAAAATACAAGTATTGTAGGTATGTTTTGGGAGAATAATCCTCAATTACAATACTTTAATTACCTACAATATTTTGTAATGATGTTTCTCTACTTCTTCAGGGCTGGGGCAAGACTGTGCACAGAAATTACAAAGTACAAATTCTTGCATTAGTCAGATATAGATGTATGTTTGTCTACGAAAACATATCATACACGTTTGCTAATTGTCTAGCATCCTGAAGGATGCTAGAAAAGTTAAACATAATTTAATGAATGATAACATCACAACTCAGAATACATGGGATAAGGAGAAAATAGACCAAGAAGATATTCAGAAGGACAGGAGAAAATGAAACGCGAGACTACTATTCCAAGCCTTGAATATCAGGCCTTATGATCTCAATCATCAGCATAATACTGATGATTGAGAAGATAAAATCATTGAGTGAGGCCCACACCATGTTTCCCCTCAAGACGGGAAACAAAAGGATTGTTTTTTCTGTGCTTCCTCAAAAAGAGGCCCCAATTGTCCCTTTTTCTTTTCACAAGCCCCAGAGAACCTCTTGGGTTTCCTTGTCCTCTCATGCATGGAGCTCTCCATGCTAGCCAGAAAGATCAAAGTCTTGAAGCCAAGCCTTTTCTCTTCTCAACTCCTTTGTTTTCTTAGTAAAGATGTAAATAATTCATGAAATAAGCCATTTGCTTTTTCCTTTTGTTTATTTTTCTCAGTAATTTTGAGAGAAAACTATTATAATGGGAATGATTAGGGACTTTAAGACTACTGAAATTCATTTTTAATAGAGAAAGTGTTACTGCTTTCAAAAAGTGTATTGTTTTAAGAAAACATGTCCTATCTTCACAATTTTTGTCAAGTTGTTTTCTCCTATTTAAAGTGTCTTTCCTTTGAGCCAATTACTTTCTCAAGATCCACTGCAAATAATTTCTTCCTATGCAGGCATTTTATAAAACTGGCAATGTCACATACTTTGACATAGGAAATTATTTTTCTTAACTAATTGTCAATGTTGATATCTGTAGTCCTTATGCAGAGGAGTAGAGTAGGCTCAGTCATGTTCTATAACTCCAGATAACTTCATAAAATCCCGAATAAAAGACATATGTTTTGATATATAAATATATTCGTTATTAGCCTCTGCCCAGCAAAGTCAATATTCTGGAGATCAGATTGGAAAATACCAGGGCCGCCCTTATGGAAGATGATACTAGTAAAATTAAAGTCTGAATATATCATATTACATGTTCAGACATGTAGATATCTTTCAGATTGGTGATACAGAATTCCTTCCCTACCTATCTCAATTTTAAATTGTTTCATAAAAAAATTTTGCTTAGAGTATTGATATTAAACTAGGATATTCTAAACATTAATTTTTCTAGATTCCTTATAGTAAAACAACCTACAAAGCTGTATTTCAAGACTTCGTAGGGTTGACTCCTACTTAACTCGTGGCCCTAGGACTTTACTGAGATCTGCATTAATGGAAGTCCCCGTGTATCACATCTGCCCAGTCAGATTTACCATGGAGACAATGAAGTTATGCCTTCAGGGCTTGTTACTCCCATAGGTACCTTCCTCAGCTCTGAGAGGGGCCCTTACACTGGGTTCATAAAGTAGAAAATTTCATAAAATTTCCAGAAATAAAATATTTTCTCAACAACTTATTAAAACCACTGCCTGAGTTCATTCCACCTTCTCCTTTGACACAATTCTTTCCTTGTCTGGTGAAGTTAGTGTGGCCCCAGAAATGTTAGGTATCTAGGAGGAATTTGGGTTGGTCAAACCTTTATTTGAAATATAATGGGTTGTATTGTGTGATGGCAGTCTCTTCTAACTATAAAACATGCAAAATGGTTAGCAGACAATTCTGTTCCCATTGATGCGAAGTGAATATAGAAATTTCTCCCTGCCAGGAATAAACTTAACATAGCATAAATAATTTAAACAACCGCAGGACATTTTTCCCCCATGGGAATATAGAGAAAAAGATCTATCAGAATTCCTGTCTTTGTAAGACACAAACCTGTAGAAGTACTATAAACAGCAAGTAAGTGTGTGTGAAGTTGCATGTTTTATGCATTCCAGTGTTTCAGATCGTATCTTTTTATCCAACAGCTCTTCTCTTGCTGAACTCTTGATCTTTCAGATAAAATACTAACTAGATCATACTTAAAACAGTAAAATCCTGAAGAAGAAAGATAAATTTCTTATAGAAGTAACAAATAGACTTCTGGATTGTTTGATAATCCAGTAAATGAAGAGGAATTCATTATGTGAATACATAGAAAGTGTTTACATTTCTTGCTGATTCAACTTCAATTTGACAGGAATTGCTGACATTAATAGAGACAACAAGACTCATACATTACAGGAACCAAAGCATTGATACCGTATTGGCTTGACGTATGCTGTCAGTTTAAGAAATACTTAAAATTAGTCATTCCAAGAGAACTTAAAATATAAATTTCCTGAATTCTTACAGCTCATATATAAAAGGAACTTGATTGAAATTTTCCCAAATTTGACAACAATACTAAAAATTTATGTGGCATTACAAATGATGAAGCTCTAATAAACTTCTTACAACTATCAGTAATAATAAAAACATTTAATTGTGCTATTCTCTTTATAGATAATACAATAAAATTGTTGTCCTAGGAAGAGGTGTTCCTAGAGAATACAGTCAACAAACATAGGCAAAAATATTGAGTTACTGCAGACTGTTAGTTTTTTTGTCAAGTTTTCAAGTATCAATTTGTGAGATTTATTTTTTCACAAAATAAATATTTTCTAATATTGTATATATAATTGTATATTCTGTTTCTTTAAAAAGGCCTCCAATATATTTCAGGCCTCATTAAAACTAGATTAATCCATGTGTTTCCGTACCTTTTCTGCTATTAAAGAGGATGACCATGTAATTTATTTTGTAAACATTAACATTTTTGAGTGGAAGTTTTACATAGATTTTTATATATAATATATATATTTTTATTTACTTTAAGTTCTAGGGTACATGGGCACGACGTGCAGGTTTATTACATATGTATACATGTGCCATGTTGGTGTGCTGCACCTATTAACTCATCATTTACATTAGGTATATCTCCTAATGCTATCCTTCCCCCTTCCCCCACCCCCACCCCACAACAGGCCCCGGTGTGTGATGTTCCCCTTCCAATTCCCACCTATGAGTGAGAACACACACACAAAAAAAGAAAGTTTTACATAGATAATTACAGGCTTTATATTGGAACAGCCCCTAGCAAACTGGAAGTAGCACGTTCTATTTATAGAAATACGAGATAAATTTCTGATGGATTGCATAGATACGGGAGTATTTGTCTCTTCTGGAAAATTGGTATGATTCTTTGTTTTTCAGTTATTAAAGCTATGTCTCATTATGTTTTTCTTCTTTCCTTGACTTATATTCAGAGATAAGTTTTGTGCTCAGTTGCAATGGATTCCCTTAGTTCATCATTTCCTGGATGATTCCCTATCCCAGTTTACCTCTAATCCTTTGTAACATAACTCTCTCACTCTGTTTCAGCTTTTATTAAGTAGTTACTAAGTTCCTTAAGAATGTTTTTCTAGTACATACTGCTTTAGTGTATTTTTCGGAAGTTAGTATTATACAGAAACAATAGTTGAAAAGAAAATACTTTAGAATCATTATTATCACAAAAGCTACCATTTATTAAATAGTGACTCTGGGCTAGCTCTTTTATATAAATTACATTTTATTGTTTTGTTTTCCTTTGTGGTAATAATTTCTAGCTCATACTCATTCTGTTTAGACTAACTAGTTGCTTAATTAGTTATAAACTATTGACAATTTATATTTGTTTATAGTAGCACAAATTATAATAAAACCATTATCTTCTAGTATCATTCATTCAACAAATATAGGATACATTTTAATATAATGGCCACTTTGTCAGAATATAAATTGATTGTCAGCTTCACAATCATAAATCAAATGATTTCTTTTGGGCACTTTCCATACATACATAAATATACAATATATACAATATATAAATATAAACATATAAAAAAATTTATATATATATCCTACTTGATATATGTATATATACTCTCCTATATGTGTATCTTCTAAGTGTGTGTGTGTGTGTGTGTAGGCACATGTGTGCACAGTTTTTCCAAATATTTTTAAAGGTGTCATATCCTCTGTGGAGGTACACTGCAGAATCCTGAAATTATGACATTACTAGGGCAATTGTATTCAATTAATGCTTGGCATCTTGACTTTGATAAAGTCAGTATAACTTTCAATGCTAAACAAAAAGACTGAATTAATTTCTGGCCATTGTAGGAGTCTCCTATTAACTTAATGGAACCCTGCAGCTGTGAAGAATACTGGGGAGTCTTGGCAACATCACCAGCACAGCAGCCTTGGCTAACTTCCTGAATTAGGCCTTTTCTTTGCAGGTAACCATCTGCTTTCTAATTTTACTTCTCGCTAGCAGTAGGTGCTGTCTTCAGTGAAACCCATCAACTTTCTTGATAGTGGCCATTACCTTTTCCAGAGGAGGATCTTAATAAGGACTCATATCACATGACTTCAGTGGGGAAAGTTGAGCCACAAAGGAAATCTCTGAACACTGTATTTCTGATTTCACAGCTAAGAGAAAATTGTAGTCTATTGCCGAGACCAGCTCAGTTGTGGAGACCCTAACCCAGCGGTGCTAGAGGAATTAAAGACACACACACATAGAAACATAGAGTGTGGAGTGGGAAATCAGGGGTCTCACAGCCTTCAGAGCTGAGAGCCCAGAACAGAGATTTACCCACATATCTATTGACAGCAAGCCAGTAATAAGGTTTACTAAAAGTATTGCTTATGGGAAATAAAGGGATGGGACGAAACAAAGGGATGGGTCTGGCTAGTTATCTGCAGCATGAACATGTCCTTAAGGCACAGATTGCTTATGCTATAGTTTGTGGTTTAAGACGCCTTAAGTGGTTTTCTGCCCTGGATGGGCCAGGTGTTCCTTGCCCTTATTCCAGTAAACTGCCAACCTTCCAGCATGGGCGCCAAGGTCATCACGAGCATGTCACAGTGCTGCAGAGATTTTGTTTATGGCCGGTTTTGGGGCCAGTTTATAGCCAGATTTGAGGGCCTGCTCCCAACATTCTATGATGACCACACACATTGGAGAGAGAGAGTGAGAGAGAGAGAGAGAGAGAGAGAGAGTGTGTGTGTGTGTGTGTGTGTATGTGTGTGTGTAATGAGCTGAGAAATGGAGGAAGGAGAAAGTCCCTTGTCAGAATTCAACCACACCTTCTTGTTCTTTCTTCTCTGTGAGTAATGAGAATACGGAGATTCAAGTGCCTCCTAAGAACACTGGTATAATATGCTGTGAATACTCAAAGTACACAATGAAAGAGAAGACAGACTCTTCCAGGCGAGAACACTATATCAAGGAAATAAATATAAACATGCAATGAGAAAAAAAACATGGAGAAAGAATCAATGACCCCTTTACTCTTTTCATATATTTTGTCCATTAACACTGATCACAGCAGTCCTTCTGTAAATACATTCATATTTTAGTCATTTAGAAGGTTATCTTTTCTAGACATTAATTCTAAGCTAGTTAACTTACGTTAAAATAGTAAAAGCTGTTTATGAGAAAATCAAGCAATGGGGAGAATCAAAAAGTTAAACAAAACACAACAAAACTATGCAAATCAAATATATGATAAAAGAAAATGATTGGCTGGGCATGGTGGCTCACGCCTGTAATCCCAGCACTTTGGGAGGCCAAGGCAGGCTGATCACGAGGTCAAGAGATTGAGACCATCCTGGCCAACATGGTGAAACCCCATCTCTACAAAAAGCATGAAAATTAGCCAGGCGTGGTGGCAGGCACCTGTAGTCTCAGCCACTCGGGAGGCTGAGGCAGGAGAATTGCTTGAACCCAGGGGGCAGAGGTTGCAGTGAGCCGAGATTGCACCACTGCACTCCATCCTGGGTGACAGAGTAAGACTCTGTCTCCAAAAAGAAAAAGAAAAAAAAAAAAAGAAAGAAAATGATTGCAGGATAGCAAAAGAAATGGGTAGTACTGTGCTCAAAATATTGACATGTTTTGGCTTGGGCCAGTAGAAGCAGTGCCAAATTTTGCTCACTGTGTGTTGAGGAGGGGCTTGGGGATTAGATGAGAAACCAATGTCCTGAAAAGTATCACCCATAGCTCCACTCAAGAGAATAATGGAAGGCAGATGAGTTTTGGGAGTCTGGGGGAGGAAGTAGACATTTCCACAAGATTAGAAGTCCCCACCTGACCTCTTCTGAGTCACTGTAAGGGGCTGGGAAAATGACTATACTTCACCATTTTGGTGATTCCCTAATGGGCACAAAGCCGTAAAGGAAAAGCTAAACAGTCCCATAAATGCTCAGTGCTAATTATTTCCAGTAGCGAACTGCAATTTAATCAAGCAGAAGATAAAAGATAAAATAAATAAGCAAGAAGTTGGGAGCAAGTGGGAGGAAGACATTGCCTATGGAGATCCTCAGCTGCTTCCCCCACCACAATATTTTTTATCTAAAAATTAAATCAGTTTAACTCATGGACATAGAGAGTAGAAGGAAGAATGATTACCAGAGGCTGGAAAGGGTAGTAGAGGATTGGGGGGAAGAGTAAGTATGGTTAATGGGTAAAAAATAATATGTAAAAAGAATAAATAAGGCTTACTATTTGATAGCACATTGGGGTGACTATAGTCATTAAAAACTTAGTTGTATATTTTAAAATAAAGAATGTAATTGAATTGTTTGTAACTCAAAGGATTGAGAAGATGGATACCCCATTTTCTATGATGTGCTTATTTCACATTGCATGCCTGTATCAAAACATCTCATGTACTCCATAAATATATATACCTACTAGGTGCCCACAAAAAATTTAAAAAATAATTTTAGAAAGTAAATGCCAAAACCACATTATGCATATGTTTTTCTCCTCTATTGTTAGGAAGTGGATATAAGAGAAAAGATGAGATAACAACTGAACTAATCATAGTGAATGTGTCAGTGTCTCCAAATTGGGTTATGGGAATTATCTGAAGTCAAAGGTCATATCTGCACTGGGCAGGGATGCAACCCCGACACAGTGGAATGAACACAGGTGTGGAGTACTTAACGAAACTTGGACAAAAATGGATGTAGAGACCACATAGTCCTACTGAACCATTCCGGTTCTGCAGCCTCCTACAACCCCCAGTCCATGTGCTACAAAAATCCAGTCTTCAACAAAAGGCTCAGAGGAGAGAGAGGCTTCAGATACACAGTAATCAAGAAAAACTTACTCTATTTCAGTATAAAATAAAGGGTCTAAATAGAGCTGCCAATCTACACAAAAGAGCAAAATGAAGGACAAAAGTCAGAATTTAGGCAAAGTTAATATAGCAAAAATAATAATAAAGTGAATAAAAGGAACACAGCATGTAATGAGCAGAGAAGAACTTCATTCTGAAAGAAAATATAACCCAAGAACTGACCCCAAATCACAAAAAATCCTTGTCAGTCCCCAGGTTTTCTCTAATAAGACATCTATTCTGAAAATACTGGATTTGTATCTTTAGGGAGATTGCTGAAATGCCCTTTGAAATCCAAATTATTATTGAATATTAAAAAAATCAAAGTCTATATTAAATAATGAAGATGACTTTAAAAGTTGTTTTGTAACGACAGATGTGGAGTAAAAATTAACAAGTTTGCTAGATAACTAGATAATTTCTAGTTATTTATATTTAGGCCAGGAATAACATCTTATTTCTCACCATAACTTTGAGAAAAAAAAGGGCATGGTTAAAGAAATACCATAGCTATCTACATATTACTTTCAAGTTCTAAAAGTCACTTTCCAGGGTGTACAAAATTATTTTTCTTACCTAGTCTTTCTCTCCATACAATATGAGATTTAATGATAGAATGAGTTTATAAATTTTGACTTCTGTGAATGTGCAACTGAGATACATGCTTTCTATTAATTTCTGTTCATTCTTTACTTTTTCAGAAATGAAAATAACACATAGTAGCAGGAGTGAAAGGGAGATAGAGCCAAAAGGTCCATCCAGATCAGCATGGTCATTAACTGATTGAAACCTTGGGAAAGGCAAAACCTCTTGGGAAGGCAAAAATTCTTAGGTTTTCATTTCATTTCACTCAGGCCTGGTTGTATAGCCAGATTCAGACTCACCTGAGCTTCTCCAGTTTCTCTATCCTTGGGTTAGTAGGGAAACCCCTGAGCCAGCTCAATCAGTATTAGTGTAGCTTGCCTGTGCATGCAATCCCAATCTATGTCCTTAGCTTTGTTTCCTGACAACTTAGTATCCCCAGATAAGAAGGCCAGCATTGTGCATGGCTTTCATCCTAATGTTGCTAGATCTATGGAGACTCTGGTTTCATTCACAATGTCCACACTCTGGTGAGGTTCCATGACGAGGGAAGAACAATCTGGCTTTTCCAGTGATTGCCTGGTGGGGCTGTATAAAGTATACCATGAAATTGTCAAGGAATTAATGCCTCTGGACCAACCTTTGAACAGTAAGAAAAAATATACTGGAAGGAACAAGAAGATAAATTATTTGTCCTTCTTCCCCTCTGACAGTTTCTAAGCACCATCCATAGTGACTAAGGAAACAGTTGTACTTTCTTGTGAAGATATCTTCAGCAGTCACCTTTTATTCACTTTCTATGTTAGTCAGGGTTCTCCAGAAAAACAGAAGCAATAGGACATCTATCTACATCTGTCTATCCATGAAGATATTTGCTATAGGGTATTGGCTCACATATTTATAGAGGTTGAGAAGTCCCATTATCTGCTGTCCAGGAGACCTAGGAACAATGGTGGTATAATCTGAAGGCCTGAGAGCTAGAGAGCCAAGGATCTAAATTCTAGTTCAGGTCTACCTGAAAATCAGGAGTGCAAGAGCAAGGGAAGATTGATGTTCCAGCACAACAGTCAGGCAGTTAATTCAGTCTTCCTCCCTCTTTTTGTTCTATTCAGGCCCTCAGTTGATTGGATGAGGACCATCTGCACTGGGGAGGGCCATCTGTTTTACTCAGTCTACCAATTCAAACCTTAATCTCTCCCTGAAACCTCCTCACAGACACACCCAGAAATAAAGTTTAACCAGCTATCTGGACATCCCTTGGCCCAATCGAGATAACACATAAAATTAACCATTATGCTCTCTCTCGCTGGCTCCAGGGGTCTTTTCATTCTTGCTCCCCTGGTGTTGCATGCCTAATAAAGTATAGCACGTAAGTGTCACCTCAGGCTCTGTTCTCTAATGTAGACTGGCTCAGACAGATGGTAATGCTTAGAATCTTCCAAATTTTCTTCTGGTCTACAAGAAAATTTGAGGAAAATTATAGTAGTGTAAGTAGAGGGAATTGAGTCATATGGTACATCAAACTTGAAGTTGCTACAAATGTGTGAGCCTATTAATAGTAAAAGAATCTGTAAGTGGTTTCTAATATCTGTAATGTCACTCTTCTAGTATATTCTACATTAATCTGACCCTGACATTATTATTCTCCTGAGTTTATTTATGATTTATATGAAGGAGAAGTATTTTATAAAGAAAGTAGATAAAATGAAGAAGAAACAGAGGGGCAAAATTAAAAGAGGTAATAAGAGAAATGGTGAAACTGATTTAACATTTTTAGACTACAGGAAGATATTTAATCTCACATACATTAATGGGTAGTATCTGTGGAAGTCCAAATTTAAAATATTGTGCATGTACTAAAACATACAGTTTAAAAAACTTGATTTATATTCAGGTTTTAAAGCCAAACCTATCTTAAAGTGCATTTATCTTTTTTTCAGTGCTATAATAAAACCATGGTGCTGATTTATGATGAACGTGGAGATGTACCACCTAGATTTCTCTTCAAGGAAGGACTTGTTTCCTCTGCTGATGGAATTCCTGTCAACAGAGACCTTTCAGGTGCCAGTGACTTGGAGAAGGCCTGAGCTGTAGAGCAACATCACCTAAGGTCACGCCCTACGTGAGTCAGCAGAATCCACTGACTGATGGAGATTATAAAGACTTAGCCATTTTGTCTCAATGAGGTGTACCTACAATGGGTCATATGAGCTCCACAGCTCCCTGTGGAGTCAGCTCAGACTGTTGTTGACTTACATTGTACCTCAACTTCTCTCTCTGCCAAATCTAGCTCCCTTTACCTCACAATCATAGGCGTTCATCCCAAAGACATCCCTTAATATAAATAATGCACAATATACTCTATATGTTAATCTGTTCCACATTAATTTTTTTATGTAAATCTGTGTGTGTGTGTGTGTGTGTGTGTGTGTGTGTGTGTGTGTGTGTGGCAGAAAAGCATAAAAATCATCCCTCTAAACTTTTATTTATATAACTGGTCTCCAAGCCAAGGTGATAATAAAATATTAGAATTTTGAAAAGCTCAAATACCAGTAAAAACAGATACATCTTGAAGAAGTGCATTAACCTTTTGCTTGCTGGTCTGTGTGAAGGTCAGAGATACAGCAGTCAAGATGAAAGTATTTAAATGTTTCAGTTACTGACATGGAGGTCTTGGATCACTCTGAGTATCAGTCCTCCCCTTAGCAAAGTGGGACCATTGTTGCAGCTGGTTCCTAACATGGAGTCAGATTTGGGGCAGGAACCCAGTGCTCTAGGGATTTTTACCAGAAAAAAAAAGGTAAATAAACATGTACAGTTTTCCACAGTGGTAATAGCCTCTGTCATATGGCAGCCCTCTAACTGATCTAGAGCCCAAAGTGTCATCCCTTTTACTCTCAAAAAGTACTTGTAGCTCTGCCACTCTACCAGCAGTCAGGAAAGTGTCTTCACACAGAGTAGCTCAAAGGAAACTGCTAGACTAAGCAGTGAACATTCCTGCTGAGAGATTACCTTTCAAGTGGCTTGCTCTCTACTTCTCATGGCCAACTAGAACGCCATTCTAAACAAAACTACAAAAGAAGAGAGAGAAAGCAGGCTACAGAAAATCTCTTCTCTCTCTTTTGTCACTCAGGTATTGACCAAAGATGCACATATTTTGATTGAAGATATTGCAATTGCTAATATTCGATGACTTAGACCTCCCTTTCTAAATTGTGAGCCAGCACAGTAAAATCACTGGAGTGAGGATGGTGTTCTACAGTTTTCATCAATATATGATATCGATTTGGATGCTTTTAGTATTTACCATAACAGGTGGCATACTTCCACAGCTTGGTTTTTCACACATTTCGTATTTTTTTAAGATCTATCTACATGGATTCATGTGGTTCTATTTCATTAATTCACTACTAAGTAGCTTTCCAACACAGTGATATACCTTAGATTTTTTTTTAACTTTTATTTTAAGTTCAGGGGTATATGTGCAGGTTGTTACATAGGTAAACGTGAGTCATAGGGGTTTGTTGTACTGATTATTTCATCACCCAGGTATTAAGCCTAGTACCCATTAGTTTTTCTCCTGATCCTCTCCCTTCTCCCATCCTCCACTCTCCAATATGTCCCAGTGTGTGTTGTTCCCCTCTATGTGTCCATGTGTTCTCATCATTTAGCACCTACTTATAAGTAAGAACATGCAGTTTTTGGTTTTCTGTTCCTGTGTTAGTTCTCTAAGGATATTGGCCTCTAACTTCTTCCACCTCTTGGCAAAGGACATGATCTTGTTCTTTTTATGGCTACATAGCATTCCATGGTTTATATTTACCACATTTTCCTCATCCAGTCTATCACTGAGGCATTTAGGATGATTCCATGTTTTTGCTATTGTGAATAGTGCTGCAGTGAACATACACGTGCATGTGTCTTTATAACAGAATGATTTACATTCCTTTGGGTTTATACCCAGTAACGGGACTGCTGGGTCAAATGGTATTTCTGTCTTTAGGCCTTGGAGGAATCGCCACACTGTCTTCCATAATGGCTAAACGAATTTATGCACCCATCAACAGTGTATAAGGGTTTTTTTTCTCCACAACCTTGCCAGCATCTGTTATTTTTTGACTTTTTAATAATAGCCATTCTTACTGGTGTGAGATGGTATCTCATTGTGGTTTTGATTGGCATTTCTGTAATCATCAGTGATACTGAGCTTTTTGTCATATGATTTTTGGCTGCATGTATGCCTCTTTTTTTTGAAAAGTGTCTGTTCATGTACTTGTCCAGGTTTTTTTTTCTTATAAATTTGTTCAAGTTCCTTTAGATGCTGGATATTAGACCTTTGTCAGATGCACAACTGGCAAAAACTTTCTCCCATTCTGTAGATATTCTGTTTCCTCAGTTGATGGTTTCTTTTGCTGTGAACAATCTCTTTAGTTTAATTAGATCCCATTTGTCAATTTTCGCTTTTGTTGCAATTGCTGTTGGCGTCTTCATCAAGAAATCTTTTCCTGTGCCTGTCCTAAATGAATAGCATTGCCTAATATCTTAGATTTTTAATCTTCTTCTGTATATAGGCAGTAACAATAATTTCAATATTTTTCTATTATAAAAACCTTCAGCAGATTTTCTTGTATATATCCTATTACAGATATGATAGGTTTCCTCTGGTTTATAGAAAACCTATCTAGAGGTGAACATTATGGGTTGTAGTGTGCGTGTGTCTGTGTGTGTGTGGGGGGGGCATATTTGATTTTACTAGGTATTTCCACTTTCATTATGCAAAGTAGTACCAATTTACACTACCACCAGAAATATACATTGTGTCCTACATCCACAAAAAAACATTCGAATTGTCAGATTTTAAAATGTTTGATAACATAATCTAATAAGAAGGATATTAATATGAGAATGGCAGTTCTTTTATTCAAGAAAGAATATTTCAGAATATTTCCTTATGTTTATTAGCTTTTATTTACATTCTTGGATAATTTTACCCATTAAATTGTTTTACTTAGTGATTTGTACAATATCCTCATATATTCTAGATATAATCCTTTGCCAGACAATGCAGTGCAAATAACTTCTGGTTTAGTTTGTAATTTAACTTTTTTTATAGTTTATTAATTTTATTGTTATCAACTCTACCAATAATTTTTTATATCTTGTATCTTTGCAAGAAATCCTTACGAATCCTAAGGTATAAACATATGCTTGTTTATTTTCTTCATAGGTCTTTATAATTTTGCTTTGCACATTTAGGTCTTTAATCCATTGAGGATTTATTTTTCTGCATGACTATAATGGGAATCTGAAAATTTTCCCTCCTATGAATAGTCTCTTGTCTTGTTAACATGCATTGAATAGTTATTTTTTTCTCCAGATGCTGCCTCTGTCATATATGATTTCACATTTGTGCTCAGGACTTTTTCTGTGCTGTCTCCTGCTCTATTGGTCTAACTACTGTCTTTTTCAGTACTAACAACAAACTTTTAATTAATATGATTTTGAAATATTTTCTCTCATTCTATATATTGTCTCTTCACTATGTTAATTGTTTTCTTTGCTGTGCATAAGCGTTTTAGCTTGATGTTATCTAATTTGTCTATTTTGCTTTTGTTGCCTGTGTTTTTGAGATCTTGCCCCAAAATCTTTGCCCAGATTAATGTTCTAAAGCATTTCCCTAATGTTTTCTTCTAGTAGTTTCACAGGTTCAGGTCTTGCATTTGTAAGTCTTTAAACAATTTTGATTTGACTTTTATATATGGTGAGAGATAGGGATATAGTTTCATTTTTTCTGCTTGCAGATGTCCAGTTTTCCCAGCACCATTTATCGAAGAGACTGTCCTTTTCCCAATCAATGTTCTTGGTACCTTTGTCGAAAATCAGTTAGTTGGAAATACTGGATTTATCTCTGGGCTCTCTGACCTGCTCCATTTGAACATATGTCTGTTTTTAAATTAGTACAATGCTAATTGTAAAAAACAAAATTTTTAATAGCAAGGGGAAGGAAATTAGGTGTACCTGCAAACATGGGTAATATAAATAATTATGCCATAAAGTCCTATTCACTTTTGCAAATAGGACACTAAATGACAAGTAAGACATGTCCATTTGTGTTCAATTGAATATTTTCTTAGGTTGTTTTTCAGAGAGGAATGAGTGAGTGTGACCATTCTAAACATTTTTGACTCATAATGCCAGTTTGTCCTCTGTGAAGGTAATTTCAATTTATAATCTTGCCAGCTTTGTATAACAATGTCTGTTTTTTCCATGTTAGCTAGTTCTTCTGATCATTCCTTAATTATGTTAATATATTCTTTAATTTATTTCTTATATTATCATTCTTTTAATCATTGCCATCCTAATTAAATAATATACCATTTCTATTTTCATTCCCATGGCTATTAATGCAGTCGAAATTACCATGTAATTCGGCATTTAATATTGTATGAATTGCCTTTTTAAAATCATTATTTTTTTCTTTAACTTAGACATTTGTCATTTTCTTGGTGATTATCTCTTAAATAATCACAAAGACTTTAACATATAAGGACAATAATTTATTTTCCATCACATATATTAAACAACTTTTACCCTCCTGTTGTGAATACTTCTTTTTATGAATTTTTTTCTACTAACAGTATTTCTTCTTTTTCTTTTTCTTTTTTTTTTTTTTTTGAGATGGAGTCTCACTCTGTCACCCAGACTGGAGTGTAGTGGCACCATCTCAGGTCACTGCAACCTGCACCTCCCTGGTTCAAGCAATTCCCCTGCCTCAGCCTCCCAAGTAGCTGGGATTATAGGCACACACCATCATGCCCAGCTAATTTTTTGTGTTTTTAGTAGAGATGGGGTTTCACCATGTTGGCCAGACTAGTCTCAAACTCCTGACCTCAGGTGATCCACCTTCCTCGGCCTCCCAAAGTGCTGGGATTACATGCGTGAGCCACTGTGCCTGGCCAATATTTCAATTTTTATTTGGTTTCAATCACTATACATTTCTTGTGTCATATATGCCTTTGCCCTCAAATTTTATAGGTTGTATTCAGACCAAGATTGTATAAATATTTATGCATATTTACTTCCCATAATTTAATAAAATTATATCATTTTACATATAAATCTTTACATATAAATTTGCATATATATTCATGTAGAGTTTATTTGGTATAACCTGGGCATCTCACACTGTTTATGATTCCAGATGGTTAGACAATTACAATAATACTGATCATTAACTAATCATTTATTTCTTTGCCAAGATGAAATGTTAAATTTATAATTCTCTTTTGAACTATTTGTCCTTCTTGATTTTTAATATCATGCTAATACAGATCTTCTCTTTCAATTTTTAGAAAAGAATAATATATTTTCTAAACTTTTATTATTTTTTTCTTGATAACATTTTTTCTTTCAATGTTTTGAACTCTTTAGTGGATAGTCATCTTACTAGTTACTGGGGATTAAGTCATGTACCAAAGAAATATCCACACTGAGGCTACATGTGTGTGAAAAATCAGCGCTAAACAAATAATTATGTAATTTGTTATGTACTTGAAAACTCAACTGGCATGTGGAGGAAAGAGAGCTAACCAAAGGATCTAGAAAAGATGCATATGAGGAATCTTATCTGAGATATACACCTACAATGTGCCCACAAAAATTAAAAATAAAAAAGGAGAAAAAAAATCTGAGAAACATATCTTGAAGACCAAGTCTAAAGATAACGAATTAGATAAATGGAATAGAATGAATTTCTCAAGAAACAGTGACTGCAAATGTGCAAATATCATAAGATGATACAAGAAGAATAATACATTTGGAAAATGAAAAAGCAACTGGTTTGTCTGGACTGGAGAAAGCAAAGGGTAGAGTGGCTCGAGCTGAGACTGGTGTCTAGGGCTTACATCATTTAGAACCTTAAAAACCATATAAGTATATCTAATGTTTTCCCTGAACAATAATAACAAATTATGAGTAAACTTAAGCAAGAGAGAGGGATTATGGAATTAACCTGGCTTTAATATGAAGAATGAATTGGGAAGAAACAAGAGTGGATATAGTGAGACTGGGCAGGAGGCCATCCCCCTGGTAGGCAAAAGATAATGATGGCTTAGAATAGGGTCATGACAGTAAAGAGAGAAGATATGTTAAAGAGACACTTAAGTGGGAAAATTAAAGGGATCCATTAATTTAGAGGGAATAGACAATAAGAGGACAAACGTATGAGAGAATCCCTTTAGGATTCTGGGATTGAGACTAGGCAGATGCTGGTGGCATTCACTGTGATAAGAAACACTGAAGGAAGAGAACCAAGTTTTAGATATATGTAATTTTATTAGTCTATGAATGACTGAAGGAATAATGTGCGCCTATAACTAAGAGGTGGAATTTCAATGAGTAATATATTTTAGGGAGTCGTCAGCATGTGGACAACCATTTAAACCACGTTATCGATGAGAGCCTATACAGAAAAAGAATATGTTGAGAAAGAAGGCTAGTTAAACCTTTAACCTGTAATACTTACAATTTAGATATCTAAAACAAACTGGCAAAGAAATTTGATAAACAATGACCAGAAACATAAGAGAAAAACTAGAAGAATGCAAGAGAAGCCAAGAAGTACCAGAAGAAAACAGTAAAATAGGCCAGGTGCGGTGGCTCACGCCTGTAATCCCAGCACTCTGGGAGGCTGAGGTGGGCGGATCACGAGGTCAGGAGATAGCAACCATCCTGGCTAACACAGTGAAACCCTGTCTCTACTAAAAATACGAAAAAAAAATTAGCCGGGCGCGGTGGCGGGCACCTGTAGTCCCAGCTACTCGGGAGGCTGAGGCAGGAGAATGGCGTGAACCCGGGAGGCGGAGCTTGCAGTGAGCCGAGGTCGCGCCACTGCACTCCAGCCTGGGCGACAGAGTGAGACTCCGTCAAAAAAAAAAAAAAAAAAAAAAAAAAAAAAGAAGGAAAGGAAAGAAGGAAGGAAGGAAGGAACAAAACAGTAAAACAGAGCTAATGAAACAAATCTAGGAAAAAGAGAGGAAAGCATAATTACCAAAAGTCAGAAATATTAAGTAGCTAGTTAACCCAAAATACAAAAGGAAAAAATTTAGAGTCATAAGAAATAATTGTGCTTACCTCTGTGTAAAACTTAAAAAATTAAGCAATTTCCTAGAACAACATAATTTACAGAAACCTGTTTTTGAAAAAAACACACCAGCATTTTAAAAGACCAATTTACATAAAAGAAATGAAAAATTTTGTTAAGTACCTATCACCAAAAACTACTAAAGATTATTTTTTGGAGGAATTTTCTACAAAACCCAAAAGAAAGGATAATCCCAATTCCATTTAAGCTGTTGCGGAGGATAAAACAAAAAGGAAGTCCACAATCATTGTTATTTAATAATTTTATAACCTACACAATTAGAGTATAGAGGAAAAATGAGTTATAAGCTTTGAAGACAGTTTTACATATCTATTTGCAAATTATATGACTGGGGATTGCTATTTTGGAGGTAAATTAAGTGTAATTAACAAAAATCACTACAATAAATAAGAGAATTTGGCAAGTAAGCCATAGAAAATAATTATTATAATTAAAGCAAATGATTTCATGTATACAACTTGTTAGAAAGTATGACAAAATGAAAAATAAAATTTCTAAAAGCAAGAAAAGTACTTAGCAATAAACTTAACAAAAAATTAGTAAAATTTTAATATACTTCTGACAAAAGACAGCTTGAGGTAATAGCTTACAGAATTGTTTGATAGGAAGATTTAGCATAAAAAGAAATCAGTTTTCCCCATTAATTTAT
The DNA here is from genome assembly GCF_000001405.40 of Homo sapiens. Lineage (NCBI taxonomy): Eukaryota > Metazoa > Chordata > Mammalia > Primates > Hominidae > Homo > Homo sapiens. Next base: position 120,338,468 of record NC_000005.10, on the reverse strand, counting down.
AAATTTAATATGCTCCTGATACAAAATTAACTGTTTCTTAAACTACATTGCTGACTTTAAATTGCATATTGGAAAATTTAAAAGTAAAAAGAGCCATAAAATTTATGAAAAAGAAGAGGAATATTTTGTAATTAGCACCCTTAAATAGGAAAACATATTATAAGTCTCAGTAATTAAGATATTGTGGTATTGGCACATGAATATGAATTCAAGAGAAATGAATAGAATTTTCAAAAATTGATCTCAAACTTATTTAAAGGTGGTATGTTAAAGCTAGTATGTTATAAAGTCACTTCATACCAGTATGGATAAAATGACATTAAATAAATGGTATTGGTGCAAAAATAGTGTCAGATCCATACCAGAATCAATTTCAAATGATTCAAAAATTTACATGCAAGGAAATGAGTCCACAAAAGCTACAGAGGGTGAGACTGTGTGGGGTGGGGAGACAAGAGAATTGTTTCATAATCTCGATGTACAAAAAGGCCTTTCTTGGACTCAAAATTCAGAATTCATAAAAAAAAATAACAAAACAACAAAACACTTTTATATGGCAAAAGTCGTCATATTGAACAAGGACAAACGATAAACTGAAAAAAATATATGCAAGCCACATCATAGTTTAGATCTGAAATATATAAAAATTTTCAATACATTGGTAATTTAAAAAGAAAGTCTCATATTAAATTCAAAATTAATGTTAAAGAAATTTGTATTAAATTCATCTTGAAATTAAAAATCTGCAAATATCTCAAATACCTGAAAACACATTGACCTCACAATCATAGAGAGGCAAATAAAAGGTAAACAGAGTGCTTACTTCAGCAACACATATACCAAAAATTGATGCCATTCAGAGATTAGCAGGAACTCTGAACAAAGAGGATGTGCAAATTCATGAAACATTTCATATTTTTTAAAGCGACTATTTTTTCAGCATCAACTTGGCAAAAATCAAAGTTTTAAAACACAACTGGCAAGTCTGTGGAGATAGAAACTCTCATTCATTGCTGATAAAAGTCCAAGTTGGTACAATCTAAATGGAGGATAATTTTGAAGTATCTGTCCAAGATTACAAGGTATCTATCCAATATTATATACACTTTCAGCAACCAATTCTAGGAAAGTATCATACAGGTAAGTTCCCATACACAGAAAATAAGGTATGTACAAGGTTATTCATTGTGGTATAGGCTGTAATAATGTTTAGAAACAAACTTCATTATCTGTCAACTAGTAACTCTTTAAATATGTTATATCCCCAGAACTGAATATGAAACACTATAATACAATTGAACATGACACAATATGATCTAGGAAGATCTTGAGAAACATTTTAAAGGAAAAAAACACAAATACATAAAATGTGTACAGTATGATACGATTGGTATAAAACATGAGAAAAACATTTATTTATATTTGCTTTTATGTACATAAAAATCTCCCTAAAAGTAGAGAAGAAAACAGTGGTTTCCAGAAGGGAGTCCTGGGGAGAAAATGCGGGAGATGTAGTTTAAATAATACAAAGTAGCAGACAAGTAAGATGAACAGGTCTAGATAGCAATGTACAACATGAGGACTACAGTTAATAATATTGCCTTGGGCCTCACACCCAAGTTAACAATATTGCCAGTGGCTCACGCCGGTAATATTAGCACTTTGGGAGGCCGAGGCAGGTGGATCATTTGAGGTCAGGAGTTCGAGACCAGCCTGGCCAACATGGCAAAACCCCATCTCTACTAAAAATACAAAAACTGGCCGGGCATGGTGCCGTGCACCTGTAATCCCAGTTACTCGGGAGGCTGAGGCAGGAGAATCACTTGAACCTGGGGGGTGGACGTTGCAGTGAGCCAAGATCACACCACTTCATTCCAGCCTGGGCATAACAGCAAAATTCCATCTCAAAAAATAAAAATAAAAATAAATAAATAAATAAATAATATTGCCTTGTATTTAGGAGTTTTGCTAAATGAGTAGATATTAGCTGCCCTTGCCACACACATACACAATCGAGCAGCTATATGAAATGACAGATATTTTAATTTGTTGCATTAATCATTTTACTATCTATATGTATCCCACAACATCATGCTATATATCTTAAATATACATAATAACATTTACATTAAAAAGCTCTATAGGAAGATCCCCAAGAATCTAACACAGGAATATCTATTTAGTAGTGTACTGGCAACTGGGCACATGACAAACAGAGTGGCAAGGAGACTTTGCATTATATACTTTTTAATACACTTTGATTTTGGAAACTTGTGAATTTTTAAAAACACATTCAAAGAAGACTGTTAGGAATAAGGAGTAAAAGGTATCCTTGTCTTGGGTTAGGAGTACATTTCTTAATCTGATTGGTAAGCATCATTACAGGCAGTAAGATGCTAATGGACAAGAGTTTGTGTACCAAAGGAAGGTTATGATTCTCCAGAGGTTCTTATCTTGCTGGGACTGATGGAACAGCCACTGTCTAAATAGCAAGAAAAATTTTTAAAGTCTTGATACAAAAGGCTCTTACTGAACCATAATATCACCCATTATAGCTGAAATTAGCAATAGGCTTATTATTAAGCATGTCTTTCTAAAACTGATAGAGAGTGGCGTTGCAGCACATACATCCATTTACTCAGTTGAAGACTATGAAGCATGCTGTTGAGCTATAGAGCGTATTCAATGGTGCGCTCTGCTCTCAAGGAGCATACATTCTAAAACGGCAAATAAGTGATGTATGCAAATACTCATAACTATAAACTTAAAAATGCAAAAGGTTACAGAAGAGATAAAATTCCATGGGTTGTAGAAGAGCTAGAAGTGAATTCCTGCTGGAGAGCAGAAAAGGGAAGATGAAGGGAGGCTTGACAGTTGAGTAAAGGAAGAAGGCCAAAAGGATCAGTGAGTCAATCAGCACTTAGAGAGCATAGCATGCGGACAGGAAGAGAAAAAGAGGACAAGGAGAACAAACACATAGCTTGGTCTTCCTTACGTATAAGGTATTACAAAAGTAGAATTGTTGGACCCAGATTATAAGACCCTGAACTGAAGGCTAAAAGGTTTGAATTTTATTCCATAAAACTGGGAAGATTCTGGAAGTTCATGAGAATGGAAATAATAGCATCCAAACAGCCCTGTAGCAAGCTTGACCTGGCTACAGATTTGTAGGGTGGGTTGAAGAAAAGGGTTGATGATGAGAAAAAGACAGCAAGTAAGGGCTATCAGAGAAATCCAAGTGAAGCATGATATTAATCAAGAATGCAAAGTAACAGATAAGTGGCATTATGTAGAGATGTGAGGAAATAGTGGGGACTCAGTTAATATCTATTATATGAATGGATAATAAATAAATGAGGTCAGGCAGATGGAAATAAAATAAGGAACTATTTTTTTTCCTATTTCTGACTCAAGTTATTAGTGAAAAGCCTGCATCCAGTCTTCCCTCCAGAGTTTTATCTCCCTGCCTGACACCCTTAAAGGAAAGGCAGAAACAATAGCCCGTTATGAAAAGAGGAAAAGGACATCTTGGCTTTCCTATCAAAGAGCTTACTAGAAAAATTCTGAGCTGCTGTTCTTCCTGGGAGTTTTCTGTTGAATGGTACAAAGTTGAGGAACATGGCAGAGGACTGTGTCTTTATAGGTGCGCACACAGGGGTCTTTCAGTTACCTTACAAGGGATTTGAACTTGTTATTTTTCTTGTAGCCACAGATTACTCATTACTAGATAGGTATAAACTAGACCAAATTAAGAAATGAAAGAAGAAGATACAGAAATTGTTGGTTCTTTAGTTAGTACAGGACTTAATCCTGGATGCTTTTAAAATATGGAAAGGGAAACAGATATCTAAGGAAGAGAGGAAAGATGGATGTATAGAAAGAAAAAAAGCTAGGAAGGGGGGGAAGAGAGAGACAAGGAGAAAGGAAGAAAAGAAAGAAAGGAAAGAAAAAAGAATGAAGGATAGAAGGAATGAAGGGAGAAAAAAATAATGAAGAAAAAGAAGTAAAGAAGGAAGGAAAAAATAAGGTTTTTGGAAACTTCTCTGCTGGAAGATTTACATACATTTATCTCTAACCAATGAAATAAGCACTATAATTTTTTTTTATTTTCCACCTAAATCATTGGTATTACTATTACATCTCTCAAGCCTTCTTACAAAGCCACTCCTTTGGGCAGCAAGTCAATATTTACTAAAATAGCAGAGGACAATGTGAGAATATGGACTGTGTGGGAAAAGATTTTGATAAGACAATTTACGCTTCCTTTTCAATTCAACTGATATTGCTATGGGGGACTGCACTTTTAGCAGTCATTGTCAGATCCAGTTTCTATGGAAATTTTAAGCTGCTGCCATTGGATAAAGTCAATGATGCCATGGGAACAAGATCCTTGATAATGTCAAGTTTCTTCTTTGAAGGAGCGATTTGCTACTTTTTTTCTGAAATATGACAAAACCAGTGACAATTTAAAAATTCCTTCATATATGCACACCACATGAACAACTCACGCTAAAATTTTTCTCATAGCTGCTGTTAATAAGAGAATTATATATCCAAATAATAATATTTCAATTAACAGGACAAAGAATAACTTAAAAATCAATATGAGGCATAGACTGTCTTCATTTAAACTTAGCCATTTAAATCACACCTTATGTGTAGACGTGTTTTTTATGTGGACTGCTTTCTCCATTAAATATATGATATGTCCTAGCCGGGCAGAGAAATTCTCCCTGCTTCTCTATACTTTGTTACATCTATCTTGCCATTCACCCCACAGCCTACCTTCCACAGTGCTAAGAATCTCAGCTTCTTGCAGACATCTTAGCCTTCAGTTTACAACTAGCCACTGCTGAGAGGAGTTAGCAGCAGAAAGAAACTATGTGCGATGAAGGGTGGGGTGGGAAAAAGCACTCTCTTATTAAAATATTTGTTATGTAACTTCAACCAATACACGTCACCTACTGAGTAAAGGATATTGTTCATTCTGAGCAATTACTCAAATTGTTTCACAGTGTGTTCTATTTATTTGTATGAGCATGGTTAATATGCAAACTGGATCATCCCTTGGAAACCTGAAAGTGAATTTTGTGATAATACAAGGAATCCTAGGGTAATCATACCAGATGTCTTCTGCATGCCTTAATTTACAAATGCCAACAATAAAAAGGAGGAAGAAGGAGCCAGGAAGATTGGATGCAGTAGCCACCAAGGTAAGTGAAGTCCTGTCTCTTCTTCCAGTCCTGCTGCCTCCATTTTTCTTGGTAGGAGAGGTGTGTGTGTGTGTGTGTGTGTGTGTGTGTGTGTGTGTGTGTGTGTGTATCAGGGAGTTATATGAGAGACTAAAATGTGTGTTTTAAAACACTGCATGGCAAAATTTAACCTAAATGGAAAATTTACTGAGGGTTGATTTTCATTTGTTTGCTTTTGTTTTTGATTTGTTTCGTTTAATGGTGGGTGGGGAGGGTTAATGGAGATGACAGAAAAGCGAAATCCTTTCAAGCCATTTCTTAGTACAATGACTGCTTCTTTGACCACCACTCTTCCATTTCATAGAAGCAGATCTCAGCTCCTGTTTGATGAGATTTTTAAAAATTAAAAATAAGAGGCTGGGCATGATATCTCATGCCTGCAATCTCAGTACTTGGGGAGAGCAAAGCAGGAGGATTGCTTGAGCCCAGAAGTTCAAGATCAGCCTCGGTAACATAGTGAGACCCTATCTTTACAACAAAAAATAAAAGAAAGAAAAATATTAGCTGGGTGTGGTGGCACATGTACCTGTGGTCTCAGCTACTTGAGAGGCTGAGGCAGGGGGATTGCTTGAGGCTAGGAAGTTGAGGCTGCAGTGACCCATGATCATGCAACTGCACTCCAGCCTGGGTGACAGAGCACAGCCCTATCTAAAAACAAATAAAATTAAAATTAACATAATGTGTGGATTACTTACCTTTCTCCAGATATGACGCAAATGAAAAAAACAGATACAAATTAATGTTTCATGAACATAATGAGACTTCTTCTGTTTTACCTATTGGGTCCAGTGGATTCTTAGCTTCCTTCTCATTGATTTTTGTGATTATTTTGCTGCCTGCAGGTCCAAAGAATTGTGTTCCTGTTAGATGAATTGCCATTATCTCATTTTTTGATGTGAAGAAGCTCACGGGGATAGAATCCCTTTGAGTAATCTGTTGAAGTGTAGTGGGGTACCTTCTGTTATCTTCAGAACAGATTGGGCCCCAAAGGTGAATGTGCCATGCTGCCATGGGCCAGAGTGAGCTGTGCCAGTTTAGGCAGGGATTACTAACATAGGCAGACTGTAGGACTCAGATAGCCCAGGGAAAGTTATAAATCAATAATGATATTTGGATACAAATGCTGAGAGTCAGTTATACCTAGACTTCTCCACCAAGTGCTCTCACCGTTATTCAGAGGGAAATGGTCTTAAGTGACATTAATTCTGCTTATTCTCAGACCTATTTGGTTGACTCTGTCCTTTTAAAGTTTTGCATATCTGAGAGTTTTATTTTGAAATCTTTCTCAATGTTTGCAGGAATAACTATATTTTCACCTTGACAAAGTGGAATATGTGCCCGGGAACTTCCCTGATGCCAGGGTAGAAACAAACTGTTGCGTCTTTCCCAGCTCCCTTCATTCCCCTTGCCCCGAATGTATCCTCTTTGGATTTCATCTGTCTCCAAAGGCCATAAACAGTATGCAGAGTTCAGCTAAAAGATCCTTCTTGGCCAGATGCCACAGCTCATTCCTATAATCCCAGCACTTTGGGAGGCCAAGGCGGGCAGATCACTTGAGGTCAGGAGTTCGAGACCAGCCTGGCCAACATGGTGAAACCCTGTCACTATCAAAAATACAAAAATTAGCCAGGCGTGGTGGCAGGTGCCTATAATCCCAGCTGCTCGGGAGGCCGAGACAGGAGAATTGCTTGAACCCCGGAGGGGGAGGTTGCAGTGAGCCAAGATCGCACCACTGCACTCCAGCCTGGGCAATCAAGAGCAAAACTCCGTCTCAAAAAAAAAAAAAAAAAAAAAAGGCCGGGCGCGGTGGCTCACGCCTGTAATCCCAGCACTCTGGGAGGCAGAGGCGGGCGGATCACGAGGTCAGGAGATCGAGACCATCCCGGCTAAAACGGTGAAACCCCGTCTCTACTAAAAATACAAAAAATTAGCCGGGCGTAGTGGCGGGCGCCTGTAGTCCCAGCTACTTGGGAGGCTGAGGCAGGAGAATGGCGTGAACCCGGGAGGCGGAGCTTGCAGTGAGCCGAGATCGCGCCACTGCACTCCAGCCTGGGCGACAGAGCGAGACTCCATCTCAAAAAAAAAATAAATAAATAAAAATATCCTTTGCAATCCCTATATGAGACAAGGACAAATCTGAGTGAACAATAAGACCAGTAAACAATCCATTCCCAACTGCTGCCCTGAATTTAAACCATAGTATCTTGAGATGCTGCTTCATCAAACCTGCTTTGGCTTTGACATGAAAGCCTCCCTGGGTAGCAGTCTTGGGAGGATAAAAAGGCTAATCACACTGCACTTTCGGAAAGAAAAATGGGATCTCTATGTAGTGCTGGTCCATGTATCATCACTATTTTCAGGACAAGTGAAATGTCAAGGCTAAAATACCCTCCAGCTATCTATAAAATAATGTAAGCCAGATACACAGTCATGGCAGAGTTTTGAAATATTATTCAATTGGCTTTCCCCATCAGAAAAAAACCTAAAAATATATATTTTCTGCCTCACATTTATCAAAAAGGGTACTGAATTAAAAGTAAAAACATGGCAGTAGTCTGGTATCCTGTCAAATTTAATCTATGTGAAATAGTCCAATCTATCCCACAAAAAAAAAAATGCATTGTAGTAAAACTGGAAGGCTATTTCAGTGCAATGCTTGATTTTTCTTTAAGAGTACTTTGCTTTATATACTTGTGTATATAAAAGACAGTGTTTGGCTATTGCTAATCCTATATATTAACTCTTCTGTTCACAAAATGGAGAGCTGCTGGAGATTAACGATATTTTATTTCTTCTTTTTCCTATTTTAGGAAACTTTTAAAAGATCTACATTTACATGTAGTATATAAAATTTTGGACACACAAATGCATATATATATGGGGTGACCCACTTTTGACAAATTAATTGAAGCATAAATGTTAATGGTTAGGGCTGAAATAGGTGGTAGAAGTATGAATAATAGTTCCCTTTTTACATATAAGCCATGGTTAATGTTATCACATTTATTTTATTTTGTATTTTAATCACAGAAGAAAACATAGGCTTACTGCTGCCAATATACATTTTGAGCAGTGATAATGCTCTGTAAATTTGAAATCATTTTTTTCAATAAAAATTTAATTAATATGGCTACTTGATATTAATCACTTGTGTAGGTTTTAAGAACACACACACTTTTTCTCTCCATTGAACTCCTAATCTATTATGATTAGCATACTATTTTCAATGAAGACTTTCAAAAATAAAAAGTCTTACAGTTTTTAAGTTGTTTACAATGATTACAAATAGGCAGCACACAAAGATAAAATTTTGTTCCATCTCTGAATAATTTTTCTCTATATATTTTCATATATAAATAGAAAATGAAAGGAAAGAGACTCTCTCTTTTTATCGATTGTGGGAAAATAGTCCTGTAACGATGTTCACATGTCAATGATATTCATATCAATTCTATATTAACTGATCTGGTGCTAAAAAAAACAAAACTCTGCTTACCCACACAACTTAATTATCGTTTCAGCTTTCTTTCTTACTTAACTTTTGTTTTAGGCTTGGGGGTACTTGTGAAGCTTTATTACACAGGTAGACATGTCTCATGGGGGTTTGTTGTACATATTATTTCATCACCCAGGTATTAAGTCCAGTACCCAATAGTTATCTTTTCTGCTCCTCTCCCTTCTCCCAACTCCCTCCTCAAGTAGACCCTAGCATCTGCATTGTGGAAAGCAGTATGGTGATTTCTCAAACAGCTAAAAGCAGAACTACCATTGGACTCATCAAACTCATTACTGGGTATATACCCAGAAGAATATAAATCATTCTACCATGAAGATACATGCACATGAATGTTCATTACACCATTATTCACAATAGCAAAGACATAGAATCAACCTAAATGTCCATCGGTGACAGACTGGATAAAGAAATTGTGGTACATATACACCATGGAATACTATGTAGCCATAAAAAAGAACAAGATCGTGTCTTTTGCAAGAATATGGATGGAGCTGGAGGCCATTATCCTTAGCAAACTAAACCAAATACTGCATGTTCTCACTTATAAGTGGAAGCTAAATGATAAGAACTTATCATTTCAACTTTCAAAGATATGATATTAATGTCTCAGTTAGTAGGTCAAGCTTGCAATTCTAAGATTTGCTGAAGAGAAGGCAGATAATGGGAATGGGTTCCTATTCTTCCTTTTTTCTCTTCTCTGCTATGAGATCCCCACCTCCCCCTAGTGATCTGGAGCTAGTTAGTACTCAGGACCCTGACTTAGAAAATATAATGACTATTACTGTAAAACAAGAACAACATATTTTAACCAGTTGAAGCCTCTGAGAACAGTAAACATGTATTTTGCTCTGTGAAAACAAATATAACTTAGAGGGCAGGAAATAATCATGTAAATTAGGGTACCAAAATAAATTAACAAGATTCACTCGCTTTTCCACATTAGCCTGGAGAATGCCTTGCTCCAGAAGTAATAAATTTTCCACTTAAAAATAGAAATTCTTCAATCAAAAGAAATCTTAAAGATAATTTTATGTAATGCACACTTGCCTATGTTGTAATGAAATCAAAATCCAGAACGATTCATCTCAGAAATGGCAAAGCTCTCTTGTCCTTGATTGTGATACCTTTTCAGCAGATATTCTTAACATCTGAATAATATAGAAAGGCTTATTTATTATAAACCTGTTGAAACTTAAACTGCAAGACCTCTCACTGGAATAGGCAACTGGTAAGAAATGTCTAGCAATTTTGAACTATTGTATTTTTAAGATTTTATTAAAAATTACTCCTCCAAATTGTATAAGCTTCTGATTCCACCAAACCTCAATCCCCCTGTGATGATGTGGATATTGTATAGAGTTTCATATTGTTGTAACTTATCAACTCTTTATTGGGATTGACTAGAGTAACAAAGGTCTAGCCAATTAAAATAATCTAGACTGGATCATTACATACTTTCCTGTTTCAAACTGTCAATTTCCAGGCATTCTTTTATTACTTATGAATCACAGTTTCTTCCATTTTAATAAGAACTCATTTCTTACCACCACTCATTAAATAAAGCTAACTAATATCAAGGTAACTTCATAATTCACACTCACTTAAATAAAAAGTTTTAATTTGTTAGGTAAAAAATGTAGAAGATAAGATGAACCTATATTTCATGATAAAGAATTTGTCATAGTAATTTCATTATATTGAAACAAAACTTTGACTTACATACAAAGGAGAGGAATTCTAATGAAACTGACACTTCCTGTTTATTTAATTTTCTGTACTTTTGTTCACATAGAAGACGATTTAGGAGCCTTTCTCATAATGTAATTTTAAATACTGTTCTGTCCTCACTATGAAAATATTTCTCCCTCTCAACTACATATACTTAGCATTAAGTTTTAGTTACATGATTGATAGTACGAATAAATAATAAACACTTCAAAAGTTATCACATTATGGCAAGAGAGGAGCATAATATCAATAAAAACAAAAACAATAAGAAAAAGAATAAGGGTGAGCAGACCCTGATATAAATTTTTGAAACCATAAACTACAAATCCACAAATACAGAAGACTTCCTGACCATCTGAAGTAAATATATACGTATGTATATATATGCTTATGAATATAATAGATTATACTTAGTACTAGTTATTCATGACATTTTATAAAGAATTTTTACATAAGGAGATCGTTGAGCTTTTATTAAAGGAATTTATCTAACTCTTTGAGAGTTTAGAAAAATATAACATATTTAAGCAGTAAAAGCAAATTAAATCTAATTAGATAATATCAAGTTATTCATTTCAAGATCCTCTAGATGGCAGGATCCTAGAAAAAGACTGCACTTGGATGGAAAAAATAACATTTAGTAGAAAAAATCTGTTTGAAGTGGAAAAAATCTATGTTCAATTCCAAAATAAATCTAATACTGTCCTTGAGAAAAACTTAAATTTAATGGTCTGCAGTCACCCACTCCACGAGAAAAGTAGATTGGAAAAGATGACTTTTCAGGAACAAATTTCACAACACTATAATGTTGATTAATATATTAATAAATATTACTAGGATAGGAGGTAAGGGGCCCATGGCCATTTATATTAGGGAAATTTTATAACACCTTGAATCCCCTTCTTAAAGAATTTTATAAAAGAACAAGAAATTTTGCCATAAACAAATCTTGTTGCTTTTTCAAATCTAAGATTCTCTAACATTTTGACTCTTAATCTTGTTTTCTCTGAACAGCTGTTAACAGTAATATTCTGTCCACAAAATTCAAGTAAACAGAAATGGAGAAGATCAAGTGTTCCTCTAAGCTTCACACAGAAGGTTCTCTATAAATATTTATTTCATGAATAAATCAAAGCCAGATGTTATAAGCTAACTTGAACATTGTGAGACTTGATTTCATTTATATACTGTTTTCTGTAGGTGGTGTCTTTGTCTTGTCTGTTTTGTGTTGGTATAACAAAATACCTGATGCTGAATAATTTGTGAAGAAAAGAGGTTTGTTTAGCTTGTGATTCTGGTGTCTGGAAAGTCCAAAAGCATGGCACCAGCATCTGCTTGGCTTCTGGTGAAGGTCTTTCTGCTGCCATCCCAGAAGGTCAAACGGGAAGCAGACAAGTGCAAAGAGACAAAACACGAGGAGTGTCCTTGCTTTATTACAACCCACTCTCATAGGAACTAATAGATTCCCACGAAAACTAATCCAATCTTGTGAGAGGGAGAACCCACTACTATAAGAATGATACCAAGCAGCCCAGGAAAGCAGAGCCCCCTAATCCAAACACCTCCCACTAGACCTCACTTTGTAAGGGTTCTACTTCCCAAATTTGCCACACTAGGAATTAAGTTTCCAACATGAGTTTTGGAGGGAACGCTCAAACAATAGCAGCTGGCAGTGTGATGACATGGATACATTAATTTTTGTATTATTTGACCAAGGAGTGATATTGAACTCTTATCCCATTTGTAATAAATATTTAAACTCAATGCTAATTATGTATTCTGAAGGTAATATTAACTAAGACAATGCTAAATCTTTCTAAAACCATGAATATTTTAGCTAAAATGCGAAGACTTACACCAGTTCTAAAATGACGGATTGTCTAATCCTACTGTCAAATATTTGAAATCTCTCCAAGCAATTAATGAATAATTCTAACAGGTATATATTTTTATTTTTGAACCAAATTCAAAGTTAGTATGAATTTTTATCTTAGGATCTAGAGTTGACATTTCAAATTTTCTGAAGAATTTGAATTTTTCTAAGAATAAATTATAGTTGTACTGGACTCTATTAAATATAAACAACACATTTTCTCAGACTCTTGGTCATGATTTTGATCTATTTAACATAAAGAGAGCAAGAGAGTGAGACAAATTGTCAGTTTTGTGAATTCTGCTATTGACATTAAACAAATGCTCTTAAATGCTGTGGAATTGACAGTTTTGTATTAGAGTCAAAATGTGATAATGAAAATGTAGTGTTATAACATTTATTTGTAAGCAGCTCAAATCTCAGGCTTTTTTATTTTAAAATTATTTTTCTTTTTAATTAACTCAATAATTGTACATATTTATGAGGTACATTGTGATGTTTTGATAGACATATATGTTGTGTGATGATCAAATCAGGGCAGTTAGTATATCCAACACCACAAATATTTATCATTTATTTGTGGTGGCAACATTCAAAATCTTCTCTTCTAGCTGTCTTCAAACACACACAAGGCATTATTGTTAACTATGGTCACCCTACTGTGCAACAAAACACCAGAATTTATTCTTCCTTTCCAACTGTAACTTTGTATTACACATTAACCAACGTTTCTGCTTTACTCCTCTTTCCTTCCCTTCCCAGTCTGTGGTAACCATTGTTTTATACACTACTTTTATGAGATCAACTATTTTAGATTACACATGAGTGAGATCCTATGGTATTTGTCTTTCTGTGTCTGGTTTATCTCACTTAACATAATATCCTACTGGCTCATCCATGTTGCTATAAATTAGAGAATTTTATTTTTTATGGCTGAATAGTATTCCATTGTGTATATATACATTTCTTTTGTCCATTCATGCATTGCATTTTTATTTTTTAATGGATTATCTTAACATTCCATAAGTCAGAACTTTTTGGTTGATAAGAGAATGAAGCTTAGGAAGTTTATATTAGATCAATACTGGGTAAATAAAGCAACCACCTTTTTAATAAATCAAAAGGCAGCAATAAAAATTGAACTTTATGTGTTAAAATAGAGGCTTTAGAATGGTACATTTAACTTACACTATGATATATATTTTATGGTTAATATATGAGCTTTGAAATATAAAATTTAAAATTAGTAGCCCTCCTAATTATAAATGATCTAAATTTTTTCTATATGAAACATTATATTTTCCTAAAGTTCAATTGGGTATAAATTTTACTTTTCTCATGTACTTTTCCAAAACACAATATTTTATGGTTTATACATGGATACATTTTCCAAGTAATAGGCATACATCCCATGAGAACTAGGCCCTTTGAGCTTTAGAGAAATAACTGAAGCATGTACTATATCCAATAAATGAGAATAGCTACCATTTAATGAGAGCTAACGATACACTAGGTACTGAGATTAGGTACTGTTTTATTATCATCCCTGTTGTACAGTTGAGGAAAGATATTTAGTAAGATAAAATAACTTCCAATTTTAAAAGCCAGTGAATGCCAGAGAACCACATTTTCTTTTTTTTTTTTTTTTTTTTTTGAGATGGAGCTTGCTCTGTCACCAAGACTGGAGTGCAGTGGTGTCATCCTGGCTCACTGCAACCTCTGCCTCCCAGGTTCCAGCGATTGTCCTGCCTTAGCCTCCCCAGTAGCTGGGATTACAGGTGCATGCCACCACACCTAGCTAATTTTTTGTATTTTTAGTGGAGATGGGTTTCACCATGTTGGCCAGGCTGGTCTCAAACTCCTGACCTCAAGAAATCTGCCCGCCTCGGCCTCCCAGTGCTGGGATTACAGGCGTGAGCCACCACGCCTGGCCCCATGTTTTCTAATGAAGTTCAGATCACTTGAACTACCTCAGCCTAGTGCTCATTGTGAAAAGGTCCAGAGGTGCAGAAAAGGGACACTGATCAGACTACCATGACCACTGGGTTGATGATCTGTCATCCATGGGTAGAACTTTGTAAGTATGAGATGCTGATGAGATGTGATAGGTCAAGGGGCTGCTGTCACCCAGGTCACTCAGGGACCAGGCTGGGGCTAGGTGAGGAAAGTTTTCCCTTTTAATTTCTGAAACCCACTGTGGTTAATACTGGGTATGGATGAGGACAAAAAATACCTTTTCTACTCTTTGGGAGGTAAAATGCAGGACACAATCATCCCCCAATCCCATATATAGTTCAGCTGAACCAAAGACAACTCTCAAATGGAAGATCAGTATTTTCACTAGGTTGAACAAATTGGATAATGGGATAAATAAAACCTATGTTTGGATTAACATCTGACCACCCCAGACACTTCAGATGTACTGAGTGCCCAGACACATCACTTCTCCTGGCTATGTGGTTTGAAGTAAATACATTTTTAAAAAACTGTTTAAAAGGCACAAAGATAGAGTTCCAAGCATTTCTACAAATATGAACTCATTAATCTTCATAATTATACTATCAAGTAGAATATATAGAATATATTATTATCCCCAGTGATTAAGTATCATGCCTGAAGTATCCCAGCTAGTAGGTAGCAGAGCTAGAATTTGAAACCCTGGAGTCTGGTCCCAACCTGTGTCTTCTTCCACTATGAAACTAATGCTTTTTTCCATCTCACACTGCCTGAATTGATGGCCCGGGTGGATGACTGTTTCAGACATTTTGGTCTGGATAACTCACTATCCAGTCTATACAACACAGACCAGACAAATCCCACTAATGGCTGAAGCAGATTAATTATGCCAGACATTGACTACTTCACACTGATTAAGATGTTATTTTAAGTATGAATTTTGAACAAGTGCATTAGCAGAGGCCAAAAATAAAATCCCTGATATAAGCAAGCTATACTCTAATCTACAAGACAGTGAAAATAGAACCCCAAATTAATCAAATAGGCAGTAACCATGGTGGTTAAGAGCACAGACTTGGGGCAGATTATCTGGGTTTGGATTCCAGCTCCACCGCTCACCAGCTATATGGCTTAGCAAATTACTTAGCCTTTTTAAATCTTTGTTTTCTTATCTTTTAAAAGGAAGTAATAATAACTATTTTTTGTTGTCCTAAGGATAAAGTGTAAAGCTTATAATGGAAAATGACACATTTTAAGGACATAGACAATGAACAGAACCTGGACAATGCAAAAAGAGAAATACAAACTCCATTATTACAAAGATACTGTCTTTAGTCACAGTTGGTCAAGCAATTTTAGCAGGCTTTTAGTGAAAAGGAACTGGAAATCAATACCCATGCTCTACTTTGTGTTTCTTTCAGAGTGTTGATGAAAAGTATCCCCATGTTAGTTGTTCTCAGCTAATTGTTTTGTTACCTGCGGTAGATTTCAAAATGTGGCCACAGATGTCTCCCAATCCAGTGTGTACCCACTATGCAATGTGATTTTTGTCATTCCTATAAGAAATGGAGTCTATTTCCTCCTCTCTTTGAATCTGGGCTGGCAGTTGTCCAGTAGAATAAAGCAGAAGGGGTGTCATAATACTTCTAATTGCTAGGACTTAAGAAACTTTGTAGTATTCCTATTGTTTTCTTGGAATGCTATTTGAGACCACCATCTAAAGAAGCCAAGCTAGCCTAGTAGGAAATTGGAGGCAATACAATGTGTTACTTTTAATACAAGCAGAATTATCATGCAACTGCTTCTCCATAAACTGTAAGATTTTAGAAGTACTTCGCAATTACAATGCTCTTTTATAAGCCATGAAACAGTTATAAAACAGTCACTCCCTTCCACCAGTCAAGTTTGATGTATTAGCTGCTTTGTTGGAATTACCACATTAAATTGACATGATGGTGAATGCAGCTGTAAGTGCACTGATTTCATTTATCTTTTCTTAGGTTTTTGTTATAACAGTTTTTGCTGCTGTGATGTCCCTCCCTAAAACACCACTGATTTAGGTTTGGCTATCTTCAGTGTTAACCACGTAAACCAGAGTAAACCCACATGTTATTACACATTAAATATGAAAATTCAGACTGCATCCCTGGTATCTTCTTTCCACTCTGCCATATCTGACTCTTTCTCCTCTCTTCTCCAAAAGGCATGGAGAGCCGCTCAGCAATGTCACACATAGCAAATACAGAGTGGAAAGGCAGTTTCATGCCTAAACTCCATGCGTAATTCTCTTGGAGCCACAAGACACCCATTCTTCCTGGAGAAGGAATGAAAAAGCAAAAACTATAGACTTTTTACATCCAAGTCCAAGTCCCATGACAGTAATGGCTGATTGTTTATCCCATTCCTTCTCTACTCCTTCATTTCCTGTCACACAGGGGAGGGCTGAGCGGGTGAGGGCTAAAATGATGCTGGGGTGTAGAAGAACTGGTGGGGTTCCAATTGAGTTTATTTCTCTCTAGAATGTGAGGTACTTGATATTTCATCCTCAACTTTGGATAATACCTACGAATTTTGGTAAAAGGAAAAGTCCTCTTCAACATCATTTTCCATAGTGATGTGTAATTCTAAAATGACGCTATCATTTTGTTTTCACCCATGTACTAAAATACTATAATTAATGTAACTTTTCTTATTCCCAAGCTTCTTTCACAGTGTCTGCTTTATAGGTGGTTATTTCTATGTACTTTGGTACATTTTATTAAATCACTTTTTAAAATATTTTTTAAAAACTCTACCTTCAATTCTTTACATACTTCTACTTAAATGGCATTGCACTTGTTAAAATATTGTTTTTATAAGTGTTTGCATGAATAGAATTAATTTTAAAATACATGAAGTTTAGCTCAGAACAGATTTATTCTAGCTTACATGATGGCTCAGTTTCCTAAAGAAACTGGGTAATTGTGTGTATGAATACTCAGGAACAGGATAACAAAAAGGAAAACCAATTTTTGAACTATTTAAACCATAATTGATCAGTTTTGGTTTTACATGTGTTACATAAAGAGAAGTGAAATTAAATATCATTTATTCTTATCATACTCCCTGTAATACCTAGCTGGTTCAAATAAAACTGTAGTCAAAATATTCTTTTGCTCCAGAAGAAAAACATTAAACCATTAAGCCATCTGATTAATTTATTTTGTAGCTGAACTGTATCAGTTTGTTCAGGGGTCCTAATTTCTGAAGAATTCTTTCTTAAACTTGAATATTTAACAGAGTCCTTCTAGGAAATGAGGAACCATGTCCTAAATGAGGAACTGTGTCCTAAATTCTACTTCTAGGTCCTATATTGAATGATGAAAGAGTAAATCCATCAACTCATCAATAAGTGTTAGAAGAATTAATGATCACTTTCAATTGTGTCTACTCACTAATTTTTGGTTAGCAAACAAACTAGAGATGGAGTGCTTATATGAATCAAACTTATTTGTGCCCTACTGTGTTTGAGATGTCTTCAACTACTCATCTACTCATTTGTTCAGAATATATTTTCATGCCAGAATATTTTGGCTGGGATACAGTAGAAAATAAAAAGAAATAATCTCTGGGTTTATAATATTTGTCTTCATATGATTATCCCTGACAATCATAATTCTGGCTGGGAAACAGACAATAAACAGATTGATAATATAACAAGTGTCAAATTCTAATAAAAATAAAACAAAATAAGAGTGATAAAGCATCCTGGGGTTTGGCCAGGAAATTATTTTGCATTTTAATGATCACCAAATTGATGCCACAATTTTAAGCTCTTTATTTCATTAATTCAACAAGTATTTATTGAGGGCCTAGTCTGTGCCAGGCACTAGAGAGGCAACAGAGAGCAAAACAAGCATGTTCTTTCTATGGATGTGTTTGGAAGAGAAATAGCAATCTTGCAATAGCTCCAATACATGCAAAAATTGGTAACTACTACACATTTTTTTGGCATCCCGTGCACATATCAATTCATTTTTATGGTGACTCACACATACATACTATGTCCTTGAATTGGATAATAGTGGCTCTGTTGTGCTTACTGCTGTAATTCTTTAATCAATCACCCAGAATACAAGAGACATTCTGGGGACTTAGAAAGTAAACCTAAGTAATTCCAGTGGCAAAACCTTGACTCAGGTTAGTCGTCAAACTAAATCTACTCTTCCTTCAATTACACGGATCATTGCTTTAACTCTTTACCTGGCTTTAGTGGCAAGAACCTTACATCTTAGAATAAGATAACATCAGATGTGATCATTTCTTAAAGATGAATATAAAATATATTTCTCATATACCATAATATCTGCTTTAACTTTCCAAAGCAAAAATAAAATAAAATAGCAAAGGAAAAATAAACATTAAAAAAATCAAGATATATTACAACAATCAATATTGGATAATAAGTCATGGCATATTTAAAATAAAAATTGTGTTTCAAGTAAAATGGTAATTTTAGAGAATAACAAGCTCTTTACTTATTATTTTAGCCTTTAGATTTCTTGTTTTTATTTGCTAAAATATTAGTGTCTAAAGCTGAGATGTCAATCTACACACTTTAAGATGTGAGCATATATGAATCTGAATGAGGAAAGAAAGAGAAAGAGTCAAGGAGATGGGCAAAGAACCTGAATAGACATCTTTTAACAGAAGACATATATACATGGCCATTGGCTATATGAAAAGGTGCTCAACATAACTAATCATCAGGGAAATGTAAATCAAAACCATTATGAGATTTCACCTCACACTTATTAGGATGGCTACTATAAAAAAGATGAAAGGTAACAAGGTTAGCAAGAATGTGGAAAAAAAGGGAACCCTTGTACAGTATACACTTTGTAGTGTACTTTGTACACTAATTTACACTGGTGGAAATGTAACTTAGTATAACCATTACAAAAAGCAATATGAAGATTCCTCGAAAACTTAAAAATAGAACTACTATGTGGTCCATCAATCCTGCTTGTGAATATATAGCCAAAGAAAATGAAATCAGGATCTGTACTTCCATGTTCATTGCAGTATTACTCACAATAGCCAAGAGAGGGATGGAATCAACTAAATGTCCATCAATGGATGAACCGATAAACAAAATGTGATATACATGCATACATATGTATGAAAACATATATGCATACATATATATAATAGAATATTATTCAGCCCTTGAAAAAAGAAAGCTCTGCTGTTTTTGATAACATAGCTGAATCTGGAGGACATTATACAAAGTGACATAAGCCAGCCTCAGAAAGACAAACATAATCTCATTTATATGTGGAACCTAAAAAGTCAAACTCATAGAAACAGAGAGTTAGAATGGTGGTTGCCAGGAACTGGGGGAGGGAGAAAAGGAAAGATGTTGACCAAAGGGCACAAAGTTTTCGTTAATACAAAATGAATAAATTCTGGAGAGCTAATGTACAACATGTTGACTATAGTTAATAATACTCTACCAAAAACTTGAAATTTGCTGAAAGAGTAGATCTTAAATGTTCTCACCACAGAAACAAAGAGAAAGAAGGAAAGAAGAAAAAGAGAAAAAAGGAAGAAAAAGTAGAGAAAAGAGGATATGGTAGCTGTGTGAGGGGATGGATATGTTAATTAGCTTTTTGTCCTTATTGTGATCACTTCACAATGTATATCAAAACATCAAATTGTACAATATAAACAATTTTTACTTGTCAATTATACCTCAATAAAGCTGAAAAAGGAATCAAAGAGATAGGTTTAATCAGTTAAATTGAAAATGACAAAAAGGTTTTCCAATTATTGTTACTTATTCACACACGGATATTTGTATTTTTTCCTGTTACTAATCTATAATCAGGTGTTATATTCAAGATATTATCATGTTAAATTTCTCAAAAAAAACAATACGACAACAGACATAATTCCATTCCATCATTTCTGAAAAAATTATATTCAACTTCTAAGACAATATAACTCATTATTTCTCAAGTATTAATCTTCCTAATTCATTTACAATGACAGCATTCTAGTTACATGCAAGCTGCTTAATTACAAACTATTTTGAATATATCAAAACTACATAAAATTTTAAATTTTATGTATAATTATACAAGTTACATAAATATACATTATCATTATAAAATATTAGACAACAAAAAATGTTTATGCTTTTTGTTTTTACTATTTCCAATTTAAGTTTACTTGTGAGAAGTAACCATCTATGATCAATAGTTTACTGATTAATACATTTCTACAATTACAGACATTTGTACACACATATATACACGTATACACTTTTTGTTTTAGTTTTCATGTAAATGATAGAAATGTATCATTTTACAACTTACTCTTTTTATTTAAATTGTTTTTGAGATTTGTCCATGTTACTTACGTCTCTACTGAAGAAAAATTGTAATCCACATCTTTTCATTTTCCTAAATAATATTTTAGTAAAAACATCTGCACATGCTACTCCAGTCATATATTGAATAATTCTCTTAAGTGAATACTAAGAAGTGGAATTGGTAGATCAGAGCTGCAGTCTAAATCAATTCTCCAAAATTGTCTTCCAATGTGCTTATACCATTTAATACTACCACCAATCACCCTCATCCATGAGAGTACCTTCTCCTGTGCCCTCACCTCAATTGATACTGTCAAACTGTGAAATTATTAATAAAATGTTTGATGTATCTAATTGTATTTTGATTTTGATTTTCCGAGATTACCAGTGAGGTTGAATGATTTCCTTTATGATTGTTGACCTTTTGTATTTTATCTTTTGTTAACTGTTCATTTATTTTGCTTCTTTTTCTATTAGATTGTATGTTTTTGCTTTTTAAATAATTTGTAGGATATGTTTATTTCAAATATAATAATTTATTATAAATGTTTAAATACTCTTCCCATTTTATAAACTATTTTTAACTTTGTTTTGATAACTTTCATTATTTTAAAGCTTACATTTATAAGTAGTCAATTTATTAGCAATTATTTTATGGCTATGGTTTGTTGAATATTTAAATAAAAAGCCTTCCCAAACCAAAGTTGTATACATATTCTCCCAAAGTTTCTTTTGAATACCTTTATTTCCAAAAGGCCTAAAATTCATATGGAATATATTTGGGGAATTATGTATTGAAGATACATAACTTCAAATGCATAGCTATTTGTTTCCACATCATTTATTAGTATTGACCATGGGAAGAAAGTATGTAGATATATAAATCCAAATGTATAGCCAGTTATTGGATACACGTCTCCCCCCATTTGAAAAGCTAACTTTATTATGTGGCAAATTTATGTATCTACATGTTTCTATTTATAAACTATTCTACCCTAGTCTATTGATTTGTCTAATACATTGCCAGTTTTCTACTGGTTATATTATTTCTTCTCATACTTTCAACCAATATTGTTTTAGTTCCATTGTGTTATTATGAACACACAAATAAACATGCCTTTTTTCAGTAAACATTTATAATTGAAAAGATTTACTGGTTTTGTATCCTGCCATCACTTCTTGGGTTCCACAGGTTTTTGGTTTGTTTTCAGTTTTGCTAGACTGTATCTTTCTGTAATTGTTTCTGTGACTCTTTATGGGTGGTAAAATTTCTGAGCATTTGCAAATATTAAAATTGGCAATATT
This sequence comes from Homo sapiens, assembly GCF_000001405.40. NCBI lineage: Eukaryota > Metazoa > Chordata > Mammalia > Primates > Hominidae > Homo > Homo sapiens. Next base: position 120,316,482 of record NC_000005.10, on the reverse strand, counting down.
TCCTTTTACATATGATTATATAATTCTATGAATAATTCTTAGATCAACACTATTTTCCTCAGATCTTTACAGATTTTATTGTTTCCTTGTCCCCCTTTTAACCAAGCAGAAGCATATTAATCAAATCCTCACTTCTTTTCAGATTTCTTGTCTAGAATCACTTACTTTTCATTTTATCAAAGAATTTTAATATTTTATTGTATGTATCTGTGACATGGTTTGGCTCTGTGTCCCCACCCAAATTTCATCTTGTAGCTCCCATAATTCCCAGGTGTTGTGGGAGGGATCTGGTGGGAGATAATTGAATCATGGGGGCCAATCTTTCCTGTGCTGTTCTCATGATAGCGAATAACTCTCATGAAATCTGATGCTTTAAAAATGTGAATTTCCCTGCACAAGCTCTCTCTTTGCCTGCTGCCATCCATGTAAAATGTGACTTGCTCCTCCTTGCCTTCTGCCATGATTGTGAGGCCTCCCCAGCCAAGTGGAACTGTAAGTCCATTAGACCTCTTTCTTTTGTAAATTGCATGTCTTTTTCAGGAGCATGAAAATAGACTAATATAATCTAGATGCAGCTTTTCTTATTCATTCTGTTTACTAAATTGTCCTTTCAGTATGGAAAATAAAAACTTAGTTCAGATCTGTATTTTCTTTTTCTATGATGGCTTTCTATACTTTTATTTGTAAATCACTTGTTTTTTCTTATTTATCACTTGCTATGTGGAAATTGAATGCTCAGAGTTACTTTTTATTTAACTTTCTTTTTATCTTCTTCAGCTACATTTTGAAAGATTCTCTTAGCTTAATTATTTTTAGCCTACTAATTTTCTCTTCAGCCATAATCATTCTTATTCAAATTAATTGAGATTTTTATTTCAAAAATCAAATTTTTAATTTTATAATTCCCCACCAATTTCTTCTTTTGAATGTCATCATCTTTCAAATATCTCTGAGAAGATAAATTATATTTATTTCAATTTTTTCTTCTTAGTGTGTTATAAATCTCTCTCCTTGGGTTTCAGGTTTTCTGTTTGTTGAGTGTGGTACCTCCATTTTATGGTGTTGCATTCCTAAAATGTTAAATGAGTCTTGCTTGTGTATTTGCCTCCATATTTGAGATGACTCATTACTGGTTAGTGAATGGGGAAGCATTCCTGGAAAATGGAAATGACTCCAGGAAAGGGACTACTGTTTTAGGCATAGGGGCTCCTAATTCCTCTGGATTTTGCCATTACCAAGGAGTCTTTTCTTGGTTTCCAATAGTCATACAGGCAATCATGGATTTTTAAAACAGTTACTATATTTAATATTATGTGGAAAATAGTTCTCAAAATTTTGTACAGATTTAATGATGATGAAAGATTCATCTTCCAACTTAGAGTAAGGAATGTCTGCTTCCAATTTTCAAATAACATTTATATTATGTTTTCTTATTATAAAGATATATGGTTTTTACTTAATCGAATTAAAGTAACAAAAGGGAAGTTTTCAAATTAGAGTATTTTTATTGCATTTATTTCCATGGCTAAATAAGTGACTACTTTCTTATTTTATGAAAACTATATATTGTTCCTAGAATTATGCCTCTATTCCTAAACAGATTTGAGCCTATTTGGGATAAATTTAGGGAAAAATATGAAAGCTTATTTCTAAACTATTATCAGTCATTATCTCTGTATGCCAAGATAATAACGTTTTTGTTCTATTTTCTTCTTACAAAAATTTTCCAAGTTTCCCACAAAATAACTATTAATTTTAATACCAGCAACATCACTATTTAGTTGCTTATATACTGTAAGTTTTTTAGTACTCTTTAACAATTACTGTGCCCTTTCATCAAACATCCAACAGTTATAAAACATTCACTCCTTCCCCAGGTCCAGTTTGGTATGTTAGTTCCTTTGTCAAGAATTACCACATTAATTAACATAGTGAACACAGATGAAAGGCAGAGATTTCATAATTTCTCTTTTATTATTTTTTATGTGTCTTATTCTTTGCCATTCTTACTAGCCAATGAATCTTCAGTGCTAGCTGGCTTTGTATCAGAGGCTGAGTCATTAAATAGAGAAGTGAAGAATAACTTCCACCAGAGTCCAAGAGAAAGTACTTCAGGTTCCCACTGTGCCCATAGTGCTTCTCCCCTGGGTCTCCTGCATTACCCATTGTCCAATACAAAGACATCATTTTGTTATACAAATATGTGTTTCTTCTGTGAAAGAACCCTCCCTTCTCCTCTAATGCCATATCATGAATCCAACCTTCTTCAATAGTGATTACTTTCATGAGTGCTAAGAGAGCTTCAGAATTAGCTTTGATCAATGTTCTTGATATGTAAATTTCTAAAAACACAATTTCTATCTAAGTAATTTATTTTTATTTAATAAACACTTAACTAATTTAGTGCCCTACTCATTTTGTATCTTTCCTTTCCATGTCCAATTCGTAATCAAGCCCAATGCCTACTTCCCTGAAATATCATGTAACTCCATTTCATCTTTTCTATATCTAGTGATACTTCTCAGCACTAAATCAACTTTCACTTACTTCAACAGTTTTAATAGCCTATTCAATAACTTCACCAATTTTAATATTACTCTCCTTTTCTTTGTGTTTTATAAAAGCTGTGTCCTTCTAAACCACAATGTGATTATGGTTTGTGATCTTGCTATAACTAATATGATTCATGTAACCCCTCGTTTTTCTGTGGAATAAAATTCTATCTACAAGAAAGGGCTGTCAGTTTTCCCTAAAGATTTACATCAACTTATTTCTTTTTAGACTCAATTCTCCCTATGTCTCATTCTTTCCCAAACTGATATATTGTATATAGCAGCCATAAGGCATAATGAATGAGTCTATCTCTGTTGTCCTTACCATCTTTGACTTTAATGTTCTTCCTATACAAAGTGTAATAAAAATAATATCAAAGGCAATTTTATTGTTCAATCACAATGTTAAAATTATGAAAAGGCTGCAACTAAGTTATTTTTTTTATTCTACAAAAGACAAAGTCCTCCACCCTAACAAATAAAATGTCTAGCAAAATTAGAGAATTAATCCTTACTTAAGAATGACCACCTAGACTTCTGCTTTGGGCCATTTTAATAAGTAATAAGTGATCATCCCTCTGTCTTAGAACAACTATAAAAAGAGGCTAAATTTGTTTCTAAACTTGCTATTTGAAAGCATTAGGACACATCCACCCAAAACTTCAGGCTAAGATGCAGTGAAGGAAGGAAATGCAGTAATACTGAGTTAAATGCACAACAGAAATTGAACTAGAAAAGCAAGAGCAAACACATTCAAAAGCTAGCAGAAGGCAAGAAATAACTAAAATCAGAGCAGAACTGAAAGAAACAGAGACACAAAAAACCCTTCAAAAAATTAATGAATCCAGGAGCTGGTTTTTTGAAAGGATCAACAAAATAGATAGACCGCTATCAAGACTAATAAAGAAAAAAAGAGAGAAGAATCAAATAGACACAATAAAAAATGATAAACGGGATATCACCACCGATCCCACAGAAATACAAACTACCATCAGAGAATACTACAAACACCTCTACACAAATAAACTAGAAAATCTAGAAGAAATGGATAAATTCCTCGACACATACACTCTCCCAAGACTAAACCAGGAAGAAGTTGAATCTCTGAATAGACCAATATCAGGATCTGAAATTGTGGCAATAATCAATAGCTTACCAACCAAAAAAAGTCCAGGACCAGATGGATTCACAGCTGAATTCTACAAGAGGTACAAGGAGGAACTGGTACCATTCCTTCTGAAACTATTCCAATCAATAGAAAAAGAGGGAATCCTCCCTAACTCATTTTATGAGGCCAGCATCATCCTGATACCAAAGCCTGGCAGAGACTCAACCAAAAAAGAGAATTTTAGACCAATATCCTTGATGAACATTGATGCAAAAATCCTCAATAAAATACTGGCAAACCGAATCCAGCAGCACATCAAAAAGCTTATCCACCATGATCAAGTGGGCTTCATCCCTGGGATGCAAGGCTGGTTCAACATTCGCAAGTCAATAAATGTAATGCAGCATATAAACAGAACCAAAGACAAAAACCACATGATTATCTCAATAGATGCAGAAAAGGCCTTTGACAAAATTCAACAACGCTTCATGCTAAAAACTCTCAATAAATTCGGTATTGATTGGATGTATCTCAAAATAATAAGAGCTATCTATGACAAACCCACAGCCAATATCATACTGAATGGGCAAAAACTGGAAGCATTCCCTTTGAAAACTGGCACAAGACATGGATGCCCTCTCTCACCACTCCTATTCAACATAGTGTTGGAAGTTCTGGCCAGGGCAATCAGGCAGGAGAAGGAAATAAAGGGTATTCAATTAGGAAAAGAGGAAGTCAAATTGTCCCTATTTGCAGATGACATGATTGTATATCTAGAAAACCCCACTGTCTCAGCCCAAAATCTCCTTAAGCTGATAAGCAACTTCAGCAAAGTCTCAGGATACAAAATCAATGTACAAAAATCACAAGCATTCTTATACACCAACAACAGACAAACAGAGAGCCAAATCATGAGTGAACTCCCATTCACAATTGCTTCAAAGAGAATAAAATACCTAGGAATCCAACTTACAAGGGATGTGAAGGACCTCTTCAAGGAGAACTACAAACCACTGCTCAAGGAAATAAAAGAGGATACAAACAAATGGAAGAACATTCCATGCTCATGGGTAGGAAGAATCAATATCGTGAAAATGGCCATACTGCCCAAGGTAATTTACAGATTCAATGCCATCCCCATCAAGCTACCAATGACTTTCTTCACAGAATTGGAAAAAACTACCTTAAAGTTCATATGGAACCAAAAAAGAGCCCGCATCGCCAAGTCAATCCTAAGCCAAAAGAACAAAGCTGGAGGCATCACACTACCTGACTTCAAACTATACTACAAGGCTACAGTAACCAAAACAGCATGGTACTGGTACCAAAACAGAGATATAGATCAATGGAACAGAACAGAGCCCTCAGAAATGATGCCGCATATCTACAACTCTCTGATCTTTGACAAACCTGAGAAAAACAAGCAATGGGGAAAGGATTCCCTATTTAATAAATGGTGCTGGGAAAACTGGCTAGCCATATGTAGAAAGCTGAAACTGGATCCCTTCCTTACACCTTATACAAAAATCAATTCAAGATGGATTAAAGACTTCAATGTTAGACCTAAAACCATAAAAACCCCAGAAGAAAACCTAGGCATTACCATTCAGGACATAGGCATGGGCAAGGACTTCATGTCTAAAACACCAAAAGCAATGGCAACAAAAGACAAAATTGACAAATGGGATCTAATTAAACTAAAGAGCTTCTGCACGGCAAAAGAAACTACCATCAGAGTGAACAGGCAACCTACACAATGGAAGAAAATTTTTACAACCTACTCATCTGACAAAGGGCTAATATCCAGAATCTACAATGAACTCAAACAAATTTACAAGAAAAAAACAAACAACCCCATCAAAAAGTGGACGAAGGACATGAACAGACACTTCTCAAAAGAAGACATTTATGCAGCCAAAAAACACATGAAAAAATGCTCACCATCACTGGCCATCAGAGAAATGCAAATCAAAACCACAATGAGATACCGTCTCACACCAGTTAGAATGGCAATCATTAAAAAGTCAGGAAACAACAGGTGCTGGAGAGGATGTGGAGAAATAGGAACGCTTTTACACTGTTGTTGGAACTGTAAACTAGTTCAACCACTGCGGAAGTCAGTGTGGCAATTCTTCAGAGATCTAGAACTAGAACTACCATTTGACCCAGCCATGCCATTACTAGGTATATACCCAAAGGACTATAAATCATGCTGCTATAAAGACACATGCACACGTATGTTTATTGCAGCACTATTCACAATAGCAAAGACTTGGAACCAAGCCAAATGTCCAACAATGATAGACTGGATAAAGAAAATGTGGCACATATACACCATGGAATACTATGCAGCCATAAAAATGATGACTTCATGTCCTTTGTAGGGACATGGATGAAATTGGAAATCATCATTCTCAGTAAACTATCACAAGAACAAAAAACCAAACACTGCATATTCTCACTCATAGGTGGGAATTGAACAATGAGAACACATGGACACAGGAAGGGGAACATCACACTCTGGGGACTGTTGTGGGGTGTGGGGAGGGGGGAGGGATAGCATTGGGAGAAATACCTGATGCTAGATGACGAGTTTGTGGGTGCAGCGCACCAGCATGGCACATGTATACATATGTAACTAACCTGCACATTGTGCACATGTACCCTAAAACTTAAAGTATAATAATAATAATTTAAAAAAAGAAATTATAGAAACCAGTAGACATTCTATTGTCTACTGGTATGACATCCTTAATATGCTAACATAGAATAAATGTCAAACAAAATTTCTATTCCCAGGGAAAATATTATTCAAATATGAGGGCAAAATATGAGGGTCATTTTTAAACAACAAAAAGTGAAATATTCGTTACATGGAAGCCTACTCTAAAATAAATAGCAAAGATAATTTTTCAGGCAGAATAAAATGATTACTCTGGAAGTTAGAAAATACTTGATGGAATAAAGAACACACAAAAGAGTAACCATGTAAGTAAACACAATACTGATTATACAGAATAATTATTCTAATGTCTTATGAGATTTTAAATACATATGGAACTAAAACATAGGCACATGTGTAGAAAGAAGTCAGCTAAGTTGATTTTTTGTGTGGTTTCAGAATTACTAAGAGAAGGTGAAAAAGTTAGATTTTTTAATTGACTTAAATAATTATGTATGTCATAATTGCCAGGATAACCACAAAGAAAATAGGGAAAAAATAATAAATAACACATTAACACAGAGATATGAATATAATTTAAAAATTGAGTATCCAAAATAAGAGAATAAGGAAATATAAAATAATGTAACATAATTGTGTTAAATTCAAAAGAGTAAAAATAGTAGATATGAACTTAAATTTACAAATAAATATGCAAATCGAACAAATAATACAAATAATTCCCTAAAGTCTTCTACAGAATTAAAAAAAAAAGCATTTAGATATAAAAGTATGGAAATGTGAAAGTAAAGCATGGAAATCATGCACCAGGTATACCAGGTTATATACTGTTGTATAACAACCCTGAAATTTAGCAGCTTGAAACAATAAACATTTATTATCTCACGGCCTCTGCGGATTAGGAATCTGGGAGTCCTTCACTGGATGGTTGGGTATTAGGATCTCTCATGAGGCTGCAATCAAGGTTGGGCCGGGCCTGCATTCATCTCAAGGCTTGATTAGGGAAGTATTTCCTCAGAGGCTCTTCATGTGGTCCTTTCCACAAAGCCTTTGTAAAATGGCATCTGGCTTCTCCCAGATTCTCTGTGAATCCAGAGGGAGTAAGAATGCACACGTGCCAAAATCTTTTTTGAAACTTAATCATGGAATCTGCACCCCACCACTTTTGCTTCATTCTATTCCTTAGAAGTGAGTCACTTTATTCACACCACAATCAAGGGGCAGAAATTACACAAAAAATATGAATCTACAGTAGAGTCTGATAAATTAAGTATTCATGTTGAATCTCCAGGATAGCAAGTTCCAAAAAAGAAAATTTCAGGGAATGTGTGCAGTGACAATTATTTTCATAATAATACTAAATATTACTTGCTTTTTTGCTTTCACTCTCTTATTACATAGTGAAGTTTTCCAAAGGTAACATAACATGTGGCATTATCCTTGCTCTAATGACTAATGTAACAGGTAGTTGTGTATTCTTTGTTTTAACACTTTTTCAGTTTTAATGTCTAATATGGTAAATATCAATATATGTAGCCTGCATTATCAAAAAATCTTTGGGATTCCCAATAATTTGCGAAATTTTAAAGAGATCCTGGGACATCTTTAAGACTTTTTCTAATATTTAGCATAAAATTACTAAGTGAATGTAAAAGAGAACTAAAAATAATAAAGAGGAATAACAGAATAATTTTAAATAATTAATAAGCAGGTAATATTGAGGAAAAAAGAACAATAATTGATTTTCAAAAAGTAGAAACAGAAAGTCAAATACTGTATGTTCTCACTTATAAGTGGGAGCTAAATTTGTACACATGGACATAGAGTGTGGAATAATAGACACTGGAGACTTGGAAGGGATGGGATGGGGATGAGGGATGAGTAATTTTTTTTTTTTTTTTGAGGCAGGGTATCACTCCATCACCCAGGTTGCCAGGTCAGAGTACAGTGGCGCGATCTCGGCTCACTGCAACCTCCACCTCCCGGGTTCAAGTGATTGAACTCAGCCTCCTGTGCCATGGTTATAGCCATGCCTGGCTAATTTTTGTATTTTTTAGTAGAGATGGGGTTTCACAATGTTGGCCAGGCTGGTCTCGAACTCCTGACCTCAAGTGATCCACCTGCCTCGGCCTCCCAAAGTGCTGGGATTACAGGCATGAGCCACTGTGCCCAGCCGGGGTGAGTAATTTCTTAATGGGTATAATGAACAGTATTCAGGTGATGGTGACACAAAAAAGTAATATTTAAAAATATATTAGTCATTAAAGTTATAAGTTTATAAATGTCATAAACACAATGTTAAGTGAAAGAAGCAAGAAAGTAGTCCATCACATAAGATTCTACTTATAGGAAGTTCCAAAAGGAGCAAAACTAATCTATTGCACAGGAAGTCAGTATACTGCAGTTTTTAAAGAAAATTTTAGTTTAGACTCTTATGAACTCTATACTGCACTAAACCTTACTTAGTTCCCAAGGCAAATTTGCAGACAAATTGTCTCCAATCTAGTTTAGGTTTTTACCATCCATTCAAAGAATCCTTTTTGTGTCTAAAACTCCTGGGGTTCTTGCTGGTTACTTAGCTAAAAAACATTTTATATGAGGACAGTGAGACCTAGACAGTTTAAGCACATTATTTAAGGCCACACATTTAGTTAGCTACTTTCTTTCTTCATTTCCCCTATTGATTTTTTCCTGATCTTCTTGACCCAGTTTCCTCTCTTCCGAATTATGTTAGTACACTGTTCCTCTACCATTGGAAAGCTATCTAGTATGTACTGGCTTTATATTATTAGTTGTTTCTTTTGGACATTTAATCTGCTCCAAATTCTCCGTGTGTTCTTTTGGGTCAGTGACTGTGTCTCACTTTTTCTTTGATTCTGGAAATCTAATTTTGTTCTTTCACTGTGCTAATTAGTAAACATATTCATCCATGCATTCATTCATTCATCAAATACTTTTGAATACCTATGATGTAGCAAACAAACAAAAAAAAGGCCCTCCCTCCATAGAACTTAGATCGCAATTAAAGTAATTAATAAGTAAGAAAATAAAATGCTGTGCATGGTATGTTATATTGTGATAAACGCTTTGGAGAAAAAACTGACCACTGATTAACTTTCAAATAGTGAAGTTTTTATGCTGCTTTGACATCCCTTGTCTTACTGTGGAGGCTTCTTGGGAACTGCTGGTGTGAAAAGCAGTTCAACCAGCTGACCTCCCAATTTGACTTCATTCACAACTTATGCTTTTATCTCTTTCACATAAAATGCTACCAAATAAAATTACATTTGAACAAAGCACTCCATAGATGAAAATTAATTCAACACATCTTTCAGGTTCTAAAATATTTTAGCTTTTCGAAGGGACAAATGGTGTCTCTGGTTACAGGCTCTGTAAACCTATGTATCAGTGAAACTCATTTTATATTTTATATTTCTGCTCCATAATTATAGGATGTATATAAGCAGGTAAGTTTACAATGTTGAGAAGGGCAGTATAACCCTTGTTTACTCGACCCTAATGATTACTCAATGACCTTACTGAAGACAACAGGGTGCCCTGTGTGCATTTGTCTATACGTAAGTAATAAAACCATTAGATGATTAAGAGAATGACTACATTTCAATGATTTACTTTTGTGCAATACTGGTTAGCCACGTGGAAACAGGTTAGTACTGTCATGCTGAACCCAGCACTTACTTTCATCAGTAACTGCTAGCTCATTTCAATTAACTTCTCTGACACTAATTTGAAGGTACCACCATTACAGATCTGAGAGGCACACAAAAATTACTTGAAAGAGAGCAGATGTGTTTTTAAAAAGGGGAGCTGTTATGCTGAACAGCAATCAGAAACATAAGAGACGTCTTTTTTCTCTACATCTAATTGAATCAGAGCTGAGAACAGCGTCTATGATTGATGATAATAATATCAATGATGGTGATGTAAAAGTTATTAAATACCCAAAAAATTATACGAGTCGTGCGGTACATGTTGCATTGAAAGACAATGTCTTTCCCATCAGGGATTTTTACCTCTAAAAATAGATGAGACAGATTATGACATATCCATAAAACATTCATCAAAAATATACTCAAATATCCTTTTTTTCAAGATTGTATGGTTAGAAATAAGATAAGGAAAAATAAAAGGACAAAGGGGAAAAATGTATAGTGTATGCTTGGCAAACAGTTGAGAAGTAGAAAGTAGAGATAACAAAATGTTTTCAAGATAAGTTTTAATTTCTACATATAGTACCTGCGTATACCTTAAAGTAAATAATTAACTCAATCCATGCATTTGAAAAAAGTGTATACTAATATAGAGTTTTGAAGGAGTATTAGGGGAATTACTAGTGTTTTTGTTCTATTTCCTCAGGTATTTGGAGGAGGTAAGTTGCAGTTATTTTTCAGAAATGTTAGCATAATCCAGTCCAATTCTTAAGTTTCAAAAAAACTGTGAATGTGAAACAGGCATAAACACAGAGATGATATTTTCATTTGGAATACATTTCATGCATAAGTTTCAAATACTGTTAGTTCAAGGTATGCAAGTGGTAGTTATCTAAAATTTAATTTTAAAAGTATTACCTTTATTTGTCTTTATTTAAAAAGCCTATAATTTCTCATAGTATCTCATTTATTTTGGGACCAAGAGCACTGAACCAAATTATTGAACATTTCTGAACAATTTCAAAGATTTATCAACCCAGGGAAAAACAGGACATGATGAAAAGGAAACGAAATTTAGCAACATGTTATTTGGATTTGTACTCCAAGGGGACACAGACAGAAGCCAGACAGCTGGCTTCAAATTCAAAAAGTTCTTAGAAAGATATTGCTAAAACAGGATCTAGAAGGTGGAATTCGTTGACTTCCAAGTTATTTAGTTAATCTATGGCTATACGGTGGACTGAATCTGCTCCAGAGCAGTTAGAATTCCCCAAATGGGGTCCCCAGACCAGCAGCATCAGCATCATCTGAGGACATGTTGGAAATGCAAATTTTTAGGTCCCATCCTAGGCTCAGTGGATAAAATATTCTGAGATTGAAGCCAAGCAACCTGTGTTTTCACAAGACGTTCAACTGATACTGCATGCTTAAGTTTCAGAACTGCTCTGCAATAGACTGTGTGCTGAAGTACATTCTGGTTTCTCTCTCTCTCACACACACACACATGCACACACAAATGCCTTGAAGAAACAACTTCCTCAAGAACTCTCTAAATGTGTTCAAATCATTCTGAAAAATACCTCAGGGACCAGCCAGCTACAAATCTTTATGACATCTCATGACTCAGCCAACTATACACTCACTTTGCTATTCACCTACAAACGTTTTCTGGGAATCTGGTTGATTCATTCTGTTCTCCCTATCTTCTACAGTGTAAGCAAGATCTTAAAGGGAGGCTCACTGTTTTTAGGCTGTTTAGTAAATAAAATCTTCTGAAGTAAAGAATTTTAATAATATACTCTGTAAAATACTTTGGGGGGAATATGAAAGAACTTCTTTCTCTGAACTATGCCAACTAAAATTGCTTTCCAGAACCTTGTTCTTCAACTTCCATCAGTTACCAGTACCATGAAACCCAACACTCTATCAATGAAATGCAATGTTCAAATCGGGTAATACATTTATTGGAATGCTTTCTCCATTTTATGAGACTGTGAATTTGTATGAGACTATTTTCTTAAGTTAAACTGCAACCCCTTTCAAATCTTTTAGAGTAAATATGAGGCCAGCCCCTTATGCTGATGAGAACTAATAAGTGGAGAATTAGCTTTCTTTAGTTTACAATGTTATGGACAAAAACTGTAAATCTGTAGTGTATTTTTGCTGTCCCCAACTCTTCTGGAGTCTGGATCTAGGGGACTGAACTAAAACTATTTTAGCACTTTGATTCATGCAGATTATGTGAAGTTGTTTCCCCTTTTGTCCTGCATATATAATCATAGGCTGAGTCATCAATATGATGATGGGGCCACCACTACAACACTGATGATAGAGACAGAAACAAAAAGGCAGATCACCTTGAACATGGTCAACGACCTAGTCAAGGTGTAAGAACATAAGCTGATTTTTAAAAATAATATTTGTAACTTACATAAACAAATAGCTTTTTTTATTTTTTATTATACTTTAAGTTTTAGGGTACATGTGCACAACGTGCAGGTTTGTTACATATGTATACATGTGCCATGTTGGTGTGCTGCACCCATAAACTCTTCATTTAACATTAGGTATACCTTCTAATGCTATCCCTTCCCCCTCCCCCCACCCCACAACGGGCCCCGGTATGTGATGTTCCCCTTCCTGTGTCCATGTGTCCTCATTGTTCAATTCCCACTTATGAGTGAGAACATGCGGTGTTTGGTTTTTTGTCCTTGTGATAGTTTGCTGCAAATGATGGTTTCCAGCTTCATCCGTGTCCCTACAAAGGACATGAACTCATCATTTTTTATGGCTGCATAGTATTCCATGGTGTATATGTGCCACATTTTCTTAATCCAGTCTATCATTGTCAGACATTTGGGTTGGTTCCAAGTCTTTGCTATTGTGAATAGTGCCTCAATAAACATACATGTGCATGTGTCTTTATGGCGGCATGTTTTATAGTCCTTTGGGTATATACCCAGTAATGGGATGGCTGGGTCAAAAGGTATTTCTAGTTCTAGATCCCTGAAGAATCGCCACACTGACTTCCACAATGGTTGAACTAGTTTACAGTCCCACCAACAGTGTAAAAGTGTACCTATTTCTCCACATCCTCTCCAGCACCTGTTTTTTCCTGACCTTTTAATGATTGCCATTCTAACTGGTGTTAGAATGGCACAATGAGATACCATCTCATTGTGTTTTTGATTTGCGTTTCTCTGATGGCCAGTGATGATGAGCATTTTTTCATGTGTCTTTTGGCTGCATAAATGTCTTCTTTTGAGAATTGTCTGTTCATATCCTTTGCCCACTTTTTGATGGGGTTGTTTTTTTCTTGTAAATTTGAGTTCATTGTAGATTCTGGATATTAGCCCTTTCTCAGATGACAGAACAGAGCCCTCAGAAATAATGCCGCATATCTACAACTATCTGATCTTTGACAAACCTGAGAAAAACAAGAAATGGGGAAAGGATTCCCTATTTAATAAATAGTGCTGGGAAAACTGGCTAGCCATATGTAGAAAGCTGAAACTGGATCCCTTCCTTATACCTTATACAAAAATTAATTCAAGATGGATTAAGGACTTAAATGTTAGACCTAAAACCATAAAAACCCTAGAAGAAAACCTAGGCAATACCATTCAGGACATAGGCATGGGCAAGGACTTCATGTCTAAAACACCAAAAGCAATGGCAACAAAAGCCAAAATTGACAGACGGGATCTAATTAAACTAAAGAGCTTCTGCACAGCAAAAGAAACTACCATCAGAGTGAACAGGCAACCAACAGAATGGGAGAAAATTTTTGCAATAAACAAATATCTTTAATAGATGTTAACCATAGTTATTTTAAGTGATATATGTCTACTGAGTTTTAAAATATTAAATATCTAATGAATTAAATCTAATCAATTGAATCTAATGATGATAGTTAAGAGTACTGGGGGATGATGAGTAGTGCCTTCTGAAATATGTATTTTTAAAGTAGAAAACACAATGTACTGAAAAAAAACAAGCTGAAATCTTGATGTACTGAAAAAAATCATGCTGAACAATCTTGAAGTTTAGAAATTCAAGGTTTTAATATTAGATTTTATACATCAAAAGTTGTCATTTCAGATTTTAGACTAAACAATGAAATCTCACAGAAATGAAAAAGAGAAATAGCAGTCTCAAAAGTCTGCTTGAAGATAGGATGACCTTTTTTCCCCAAAGCTTTTTTTTCTTCTTGATTTAACTGTGAATAGGTTAATTAGCAGTCAGATACAGAAGCTTTGTTCTTTCACTAATTACATTCCCCTCATCATGAAACTCTTTGGCCATTGTAGGGTCCTTGCCTCATTATGTGATACCTCCTCATTTCCTCATCTCTAAGGTTCTGAGTGACTGTAAATCACTTGGACTAGATTTTTTGGTGAATAAGTATTAATATTCATTAAATGCTCAAATAATGTCACCAAGATCTGTGGAAATTAAATTGTCTTAAGTAGAGAATCAACTGAGAACACTTTAGTTTATATAAGAAAATTGTCTACATATGTCTGTTAAATAATTTTTTTCAAGTAATGGACACTTAAGAATCATCATACCCTTAGCCTATCAGAGAAAGAGAAGAATTTAGTTATTTTGTGCTTGAATAGTGAAGAGCAGCACGGATCATCCAAATTACAGAGCATTTTAATCAGTCTGAGTTCTAATCATATCTTATCAATTGCATCCTAATGATTCATTTAATACCTAAGCAATATTTGATTAATAACCACTCTATATAGAAAGTTCTGTTTCTAATGATAAAATTTTAATGCTCTGCCCTTTAGAAGCTTGCAATCTAAATAAAAATATGACATATACGTTAATCAATTAGCATTGTGACTGAAGGAGGAAAATGTATTTTAACGTAATTTTAATTTAGGGTACTAATTATATTTTGTCCCAAGTGGTTGGTTATTATGACTCACCCACTTAATATTGCTTGAGAGTTGATTTAACCATGAAAATAATTATCTGAAAAGACAAGAAATTTAACATTTATAGAGTCCCTTCAATATTCCAGACATTGGACTAAGTATATTCCCATGGACATTATTTAATCCTTAAAACACTACTTTGTTCATGTTACTGTTATGTCTACAGGTTTGGATAAACACCTCCCCTGGCATCAAAACTTCTTCATAACTTTAATCTAACCTACTTTTCTAAATAACCTCTATCATATGCCACTGCCTCCCACTTCATTGTCTCACAACATCGTTACTCTGTCTTCTTGAGTCAACACATGCTGTTTTCCCTGCTGGAATCACTACCTCTCTCTTCCTCTCCACGACTTAAAATACCTTCTAGCAACTTAAGCATCACTGTAGTCAATTTTTATCACAATCAATTATTTTACACACATGTACAAGTCTTCTCAGTATTTCTATAATGACTCGTAATGATCATTTTTAAAACTAGTTTTCATTATTTGACACAAGAAAGTAAAAGATGGGATAAAATAATCTTTTACAAATTAAATATCTAATATAAACTTTAAAAAATTAACAGACTTTATGTTTTAGATGAGTTTTAGGTTTACAACAAATTGAGCAGATAGTACAGAAAGTTCCCATGAATCACCTCTTACTGCTCATGGTTTCCCTTATTATTAACATCTTACATGAGTGTGGCACATTTGTTGCCTAATAAACTGATATATTATTATTAACTAAAGTCCACAGTTTACATTAGGATTCTCTATCAATATTTTGCAGTTCTAGGGTTTTGATGACTCCATAATGCCATACAGCCACCATTGTGCTATCATGGAGAGCAGACTTACTACTCTCCCTTACTTAATAAGAGTAGACTTATTAAATCCCCTGTGCTCCATCCCCATTCCACCTCCTCAAACCTCTGGTATTCACTGTTCTTACTGTCTCTATAGTTGTGTCTTTTCTAGAATGTTATATATTTAGAATCATATAGTACATAGCTTTTCAAATTTACTTTTTTTATGTAGCAATATACACTCAACTTTCCTCCATGTCTTTTTGTGGCTTAGGGTCTTCACTTCTTTATTGATGAATAGTGTTCTCTTGCATGCTGCAGCTTGTTTATCCATTAACTAATGAAGGGCATGTTGATTTCTTCTGGTTTTTGGCAATCATGACAAATTATGCTAGTATTTTGATTGAGATTACATTGCATCAGTACTTCGATTTGGGAAGAAATAATATCTTAACAATATAGAATATTACTATCCAGAAACATAGAATATCTCTTAATTAATTTAGATCTTCTTTGATTTCTTTCATCAGAATTTTGTTGTTTCCCTCAAATAGATCTTGTACACATTTTGTTAGATTAATAATTGAACACTTAATCTTTTGTTATTAAGGTAAATGGCATTATACTTTTAATTTCCAATTCCAGTTGAGCTGAGTACAGTAACAGTCACTTGTAATCTCAGATACTTGGGAGGCTATGGTGGGATCGTATCTTGAGCTCAGGAGTTTGAGATCAGCCTGATCAACATAGTGATATCTTAAAAACAAATTTCAGGCTGGGCGGGATGGCTCACACCTGTAATTCCAGCACTTTGGGAGGCCGAGGCGGGTGGATCATGAGGTCAGGAGATGAAGACCATCCTGGCCAACATGGTGAAACCTTGTCTCTACTAAATATACAAAACTTAGCTGGGCATGGCGACGCATGCCTGTAGTCCAGCTACTCGGGAGGCTGAGGCAGGAGAATCGCTTGAATCTGGGCAGTGGAGGCTGCATTGAGCCGAGATCATGCCACTGCACTCCAGCCTGGGTGACAGAGCGAGACTTCCTCTCAAAAAAACAAAGCAAAACAAAACAAAACAAACCCCCCCCAAAAAAAGAACAAAAAACAAATTTCAATTCTACATTGCTAGTATATAGGAAACAATTGACTTTTATATATTAACTTTATATCCTGCAACCACACTATAGATTTTTCTTCATTGCAGAAGTTTTTTGTCAATTATTTGGATTTTTCTAATTAGGAAGTCATGTATTCTGAGGATAAACTTCTTCTAAATCAACATACACACTTTTATTTATTGAACTTATTGTATTACTTAGAACATCTAGTATGATGTTTAAAAGGACTGGTAAATGGAGACATCCTTGGCTCCCAATCTTAGGGAGAAAGCACCTAGTTTCTCTACCTCTACTTCCTTTCAAAACCTTAAATATTTCACTCCACTCTCTTTCTGCTTAATAATTTCTCAGGAAGAGAGAGCGAAATGTGAGCTGGCAGAGAAGATGACAGCAATAAGCAGGAACCAGAAACCATAGATTTATGATGGAAAGTGTCTGGAGTCTGTTTAACTCCCAGAAAATGAGTTATTACTAAAATAATAGACTGATCCAATTGTTGCAATGGCTATTTCACAAGAAAAACAGAAACAATTCTAGGCACCTTTGTTAGCCAATTGAATCTAAACTGTAAATTCTTATGCCCTTCAACTTCATATCCTAGTAAACCAGTGTTCCTCAAACTTTGGTAGTGTAACTAGAGAGCTAGTTAAAAATAAATGTGTACTTACGTGTGTGAATAGGTGCATATGTGATTATATATATATATGTGAATAGTATAAATTTAAAACTTAATAAGTTATATAGAGTGTATTCATATTATTTATGGTAGTAACATTCTATAAAGTCACCATAAATGCTGTATCTATGAATACTGAATTATCACTCCTAGAGGAAACACAGGGTTAGGTTTCAGGGAGCCTCTGGTCATCACATCAATATATAACCTTGTTTTATGTGTGTTTCTGTTTCAACACACCTTATTTAGTATACATTGTTTACTCAATGACATTGAATTCACAGTCAGCAGCACTGACTGACTATATCTAAATGAAGCATATCTAACAAACATACGTCCTTCCTAAGGTACATCACAGCACTCTTGTGTCTAGCAATACTAGATAGCATTTCAGCACATACTTGGAGGCCATTTTAAATAGAGAAATAATCAACAAAAAGCACAAAAATGTGAAAAATTCACCAGACTGTGAATAAAAACACTTATTAACAGTAGGAGATCTGCAACAAGAAGGTGATGCCACACTTTGACCTGAGCTGGGGGAATGTGTGCCTGGGACCAACTCACATTTTTTCCCACTCTGTGCATACACATGTCCATGAATGACCAGAAAAGCACCACCCATATTGGTCTGGGAGTCACAAATAAATTTTAGCAAGTAGGCCAATTCACAAAAATGAAATCCACAAATAACAAAAATGGACTGTGTGTATGCGTGTGTGTATACACACACATATGTATATTATGTAATACTGTATGTGTGTGAGTGTTGACAGAGAATGAAAGCATGCATTTGAAAGCTGCTATATGGATATAGTAGGCAACAATTAAATAATTTTTCTTTTAAAATTCTATTAATTAAATAAAACTTTTTAGTTTACTTAAAAATATACATGTTTGTGAGAAAATGGCAAAATAAGTGCTAAATATATGAAGTTATAATTACCTCCAAAATTACTTTACTTCCAGGAATGGAAAAAATGATAATAAAGATGACAAAATTCATATCTCTAGCACTGCCAAGAACCAATCTAACCATTGTCAGTCTTTGCCAACTTTCTTTTTCTTCAAGTTCTCATGTCACCAGATTTCTGCTTTTCTTAATACTTCGGAATGACTGTAATGACACATATTTCTAACTTAAGCTGACAATTTTAGAAGCTGGACCACAGAGCTGTGAGCCTAATAAAATCACTTGGCAAGAACTAAAAAATAAAAAAGAAAGAAGCAAGAAAGAAGATCCTAATATAGGGGATGAAATTAAAAGGAATAATGCCTTGTTTATGAAATACAAACCACCAGCTTAGTCATTGATTTGGGTGGGTTGTAGAAGTGAATTCTTTTAGCACTGTAGTGAGAAAATAAATGTGGAAGAAGAAAGGCATAATTTCTGTTCAACTGCAAGAAAACCCTTTATAATTATTTAGAAAAATTCAACTATGTTTTAAAAGCAAATATTAAGATATGAAAGGATGATAAAATAAGTATTTCTGAAAGAAGAACTGATAGTACTGGTAATTTTGTTTTTGTTCAGGAATTAGATAATGGTAGGGTCTTCCTGGTGAGCTCATATATATTATCTAAACAGACATTAATTAAGAAATTTAGCTAAGGCATCAAGAGGACAAATTCACTCAAATATTACTCTTGAACAGTTTATGACATCTCTCTGATTACTGTTACAAATGCCACTTAGAGGCTCAACCTCTGCTGACATCCAGCAGTGATATGAACCTTTCCAGGATCAGTAAATATCAGAAAAAATAGTCCACCCAAGACAGACTTGTAATTAACCATTGAACTAATTGTTCTACATTGAATGCTGGTGCATAAACTACACAACATAGTATCTAGTAGGAAAAGTAATATTATAAAACAAAGACTTCATCTTACAGTCCCTTGGGTCCTGTGTTATGAACTATGTGCAAAATGTTAATAATAAACAGAAAAAAATGGAGTGTTTAAATAAAAGAAAATGTATAAAAACTGCAAAAGAAAAAATAAAATGACACCTGATATCTACATGATATAAATACATCAAGTTCAGTCAGTTTGGGGCTCTTTAAAAACCAAAGCCCAAAATAAACCAAACTAATCTCTGCCCAAAATAATTTTTTAAATGGACGGAAAATTAAATATATAAGTTGAATTTGCATAAAGACCAAGTCTCTAAGCAGAGTGACATAAGCTCCTGCAACTCTGACTTAGGATAGATATAATTAAGAACACACACACACACACACATACACACACAAATTATCCTTTTGTCAACCCCAGAAATCTTCACGAAGGCATGAGAAAAGCCTATATTTGAAAAATAAAATTTGAAAATGAAAACATCATAAAAATATTTACCAATGGAAAAAAAGAATTTTTACTGAAAATTAAAGCTTAAATTTAAAATAATATAATAAGAAAGATAATTAAGATTTGTTTATGCTTAAGAAATAGCCATTGTTCTAGCCACTTTACATATATTTAACTGGTTTATTTATTTAATTAATACCATAAGTAGATAATATTATCCCCATTTTACTGATGAGGAAATAGATTTAGAGAGGTTTAAGTCAGAGGGCTGATCATTAGAGCCAGGAGTTGGGTCTTAACTATGACAAAGACCTTTTCTCTAATGTATCATGTAGCAAAAAAAAAAGTTTACTTCTAATACTTTTATTAGAGTATTCAACTTATGGTTGTCTACCCCTTTTCATTTCCCTGCATTCTGTTGTCCACCTACCATTATCTCCTAATGCCCTTCTTTTTTTCTCTATCCCTTTTATCTTGATTATTTTCCAACTTTCTTTGCTAACACTAATAGGTTATTACTGGGAACTAAAATATATTTTATCATATCAATTAAATAATTTTGTGGTCCACTTTATGTTATTCACTCTCCAAAATCCTATAGGATAAATAATTAGGTTTCTTGTTACTTCTCAATATTGCAGGAGAGATGCTGAGTTAGTGACCTTTGGTAGAAAAAGTTTTCATGCCCCTAGTTCTATATAAATCATGGTCACACATAAGCCTGAGCCAAGAGCTGTAGGTCAACAGGTCATTAGCATGAATAACCTTGGGACTCACTACTGAAAATACTGAATATAACAGAGTTTGAAATTTGGTAGAATATAGACTAAATTGGCTAAAAATGTGTTTTGTTTGGTCCACACTGTTTTAAACTTTTTAAAATTAGTTGAAAATCTTTACAAATCAGAAACATTACTTAAGAAAATTTGAATTTACAGTTTCTCTTGAAATATTTAATCTGACAATGCTAGTCTTGGCTTTTTCGGGGCAATAATCAGATGATAATGATTAACAATATGTGTCTTCCTTACATAGGCTTAGGACTCCAATTTTTGTTCCTACGTAGAGCCCAGTTCATTCCTTTATACCTACTGGCCTTTTTAGGTAGTTGAATTTGTGGACCTGATTTTAAATATTCATGAGGTGCAGTAACATCTCCTAGGGATGGAACAGAGATTAAGAACTTTCTTCTGATTTGGTTTGTAACTTTAAATATTTTACCAATTACTTCAAACCACTTCTAAAATTGATCTAACTTGCATATTCACTAGTCCTTTTTTAGAGATGAAGAATTTTAATGCATGACACTTAGGAACACTAGAATTGATGTTTTTGTATAAAATAGGAAAAAATCAGGGGTCAGCCCAGAAGACATTATGACTGTGTCAGATCCAGAGAGGACATAATTCTCAAAAAGGAAATATCATTCCAAATAATGAAAGTGACCAAGTGAAGAGTGGTAATCACACATTTTCAAGTTTTTCAGTATTGGCAGGTTTCTCTTTGTTTACTCCATGGCTAAAAAGCAGGGTTGAATGGTGACTTCTAAGTTTTTGAGTAAGTAGAGCTCAGAGGGGATAATTTGGTGATTAGAGGGAAGGCTATTGGACCTGTTTTGAAGAGGCATTTTTAAGAACAAGCTCCTTTTTTAAAAATTTAGATTATATGCTACCAGATCTATAAAAACGAAAGGTTTATATTTCTTTTATTCATATTTTATATAAGATTGAGAAAACCTCAATTAACCTGACTTTGTGGAGGAATCTGACTTTGTGGAGGAAGGTTGTTAAAAAAAATTCCTCAAGGCTGGGCATGGTGGTTCATGCCTGTAATCCCAGCACTTTGGGAGGCCTGAGATGCGAGGAGCTCTTGAGTTCAAGACCAGCCTAGGCAAAATATAGAGACCCTGTATCTACAAATAATTACCTGGGCATGGTGACATGCATGGGTAGTACCAGCTGCTCAGGAGGCTGAGGTGGGAGGATCACTTGAGCCCAGGAGTTTGATTGTGCCACTGCACTCCAGCTTGGGCAACAGAGTGAGACTGTGACCCAAAAGAAAAAAAAAAAAAAGAAGAAGAAGATGAAGAATCCTCAAATCACTACTTTGTGTACCATCATTCCCTTAAGATTTGGAATTAGTATGATTTATATTTGAAACAGTTACCTATTGGTTTTACAATATTGGACAAAGTACTGAAAACTTTCTGAGTTGCAGATTCTTCATTTAACAGTGGGCAGGAGAGGAATCTCAACTCATGTATTTGAGCTTTTGTAAGATAATGAACATAAATCTCTTGGCACAGTACTCAGGTTATATAAGAAAATTTTATTAGAGTTTGATCACAAAACTGAGACAGGCAGTTCTCAAAAGGCAGTACTGTATGTCGAGGCAGAATTTGGTCCCAAGTTTCCTTGAAGTTATCTATCAACATTTCTAGAGAAAAATACTAAAAATTAAAATTATATCCACTAGAGGAGGTTACTGTGACTTTTAGAACGCCTCATATGGAACAAACTATATTCACTGATTTTAAAAAATTGCTCACATTTCTAATTAATCATGCATTCTCTTGTGGTTTGTTAGAGAAATGACTAATGATGAACTCAAGTCTAGCTCATGGCTAACTACAGCATGCTCTTTCCCCCGAGAATTTACATGCAGTGGCTCTGGCTTCCAAGAATTTTGCCATTCGTTCATTCCCAAAAGTATTTCACTGCTATTGCTATTTTTGATACCTCTGGAAAGGCCTGTGCCTCTGTTTGCTGTTTGTTTCATTCCTCTGCATTCTCTTCTTCCATACTAACCTTTTACTGGGTCAATTTTACCCTTCCTGAGTGCCAATGAAATTTGCCTCCAGGCAATTACTTTCTCTACCTCTCACCACTAAAAGATTTAGTTTCCCTTATATCTCTGAACATTTGAAAAGACCCCAGGCCCCTGTGCAAGTTCCTTGCCTTCCAGACCAAGTGGAGCCCAGTAGAGAGCAAAAGCCCTTCACCTGGTCTTTGATTTAAATGTTCCCCAATTCCCTGCTAGACCCAAAGTTTCTTAATCTCAATTTTATGGCTCTATATTTTGTATCATTGGCTTTATTTTACATAATCCAATAATGTCTACTTTTCTGATACCCTTAACTTTTATCAGTCCACGTTTCTTAGTCTCTTATTATAGACAAATCTGAAACAGAAGATATTCCCATAATCAGCTCCCATGGCAGACTTCCTGGCCTCTTAAGCAGGAAAAGGTATCCAAAAAAAAATCTGAAGAGATAGGAACAAAAGCTGGAAACCATCATTCTCAGCAAACTATTGCAAGGACAAAAAACCAAACAACGCATGTTCTCACTCATAGGTGGGAATTGAACAATGAGAACACTTGGACACAGGAAGGGGAACATCACACCCTGGGGCCTGTTGTGGTGTGGGGGGAGGGGGGAGGGATAGCATTAGGAGATATACCTAATGCTAAATAACGAGTTAATGGGTGCAGCACACCAACATGGCACATGTATACATATGTAACAAACCTGCACGTTGTGTACATGTACCCTAAAACTTAAAGTATAAAAAAAAAAGAGGTAGGAACAAAAATTTATAAGTGCCAATGCAACCTGGAGGAGAGAAATAGGGGCAGAAGGAATAGAAAGCAGTAGACACAAAAAGAAAATGATTTACATTTGTTGAGTCTTATGTTTCCAGAATCAGTGCTGGGTGCTTGGTATGTTTATATATGTGTATATAAATAATATATGTACACATGTATGTATACATAAATATATACACAAAGCATATCTATATGATCTCGTTTAACTTCATAATAGTCCAGTAGGCTATATTTCACCTCCTTTAAGATAAATAAACTGAGACTCAAAGAGACTAAAATGTCTACTCAAGATTATATTCCAAGTCACAAAACTAAAATTCAAAGCCAGATCTGGCTTATTTTCCAGTGAAGCACCTGGCTCACACAACCTCAGGTTTTAAAATCAGTCTTAATGAGGTATGCCTTTAGCAGAGCCTGAGACAGTGATTTGACTGAGTGGATTTATTGAGGGGATGCCTTCAGTAGAAAAAGATCAAAGGGGGAAAGGATGAGGCAAGTGAAGGAACTAGGTAAGGATGTCTTCACAGCTAGGCTCTCTACCTGCAATCTGATCCCATGGGCAGTTCTGGAGTATGAATTAAGCCAGAGTTGGATCCACCTTGAGGCAAGAGAGCTATTTGTATCCCCATGCCAGTTAATCCTTGACTGTGGTTTGTCAGGAGGGGAAGGACTGTGAACAGTTAGCCCCAAGTGCCCCCAGCACCTGGAGGATGGGTGCACCGATTGTAGGATTTCAGAAGGGCACAGATGAGGAACTCTCAAGAAGACATAGTTGAAAGTAGTATATTTAAAAATGTAAAAATAGTTCATTTAAAAATGTAAAATGAAATGTAAGCTTATCTTCCTTCTGAAACATGGATATAAAATCTTAATGTGAGTTTTCCCTAGAGAATTCAGAGAATTACACTTCTAAAGTATAGTTAAGAAACCAGAAAAATAGAAAATAATTGTCACAAGGCCCGAATATTGAAATCATAGCTCCAGAGAAGAAAATTTGTGAATTAGGGACAGGTATCTTCTTTTTTGTGCAAATAAATCAAGAACCAAATAGTTTAGATACCTTGACTAAGATTTCAGAAAAAAATAAGTAAAAGAGCCAGTATTTGAGTCCAAGTTTATCAGGCGCTAAAGTTATTTTTCATCATCAGTAGACTGTAAGTTTCAATCACAGTAACACGCTAAAACATTAGCTTTTTAACTGGCTAAATAAAAATACTGATATCGTAATCAAGATCATTATTTCAGATCATGGTGCCAAATCATCGCTAATTCCTATTTGTTTTTCAAATGGAATTGCAGAACATATGTTGTTTTAAGGAATGCCGAACCGCACATTTAAAATAATAGTTTAAATTTTGTTTTCTTTCTATATCTGCTAGATAACAAAATTGACATTGTATTTTCAGTGCCCATATAAGGCTCAATCTTGCTAATTAGAAGCAAATAAATTATTGTGAAAGGTGGAATGTGATATGATTTTTTTTCTTTTTCATTTTAGTTTTTTTTTTTTTTTTACTGAATAGACTCATCTTCTGGATATTTAGATTCCAAATGACTTGGTAAGGCAGAAAATCAATGAAGTACAGTAAATAGACACAGTGAAAACTTTTTTCTTAAATAGCCCAGTCTAAAACACTCATTCTTCAAGTAATGTCAGGATTGGATTAGCCTGGTTAGGAGTCCATTTTCTAAATAAAATTTTGCATCTGAAATGTCAGTTTTTACCATGCTATTATCTTCTTGAGAAAAATCAGTAGACTCCTTACTCTTCTCAATATTTGATATGATGCATAATCCATTTCCATAAGGGAACTAGATTTCTCCCTGATTTGCCAGTACTATTTGCTGAGGATAGCAGAGGATCATAAGGCAATCGAATAATGTATATAAACAGTGTTTCAATCACAACTGTGTATAGTATTCAACATTTAATGTATTTCCCATTCAAACATTAGAATCCTTAAACAGAAAGACCTTAGAAATCACCCAATTAACCACACCAAGTAGACAGACAGACATACTCTCATCACCACACACATGCACACTGAAGCCACAGTCAATTGGGCCTAAACATGATGAATAAGTATTAGCATCTTCAGGTCTAGCATTTTACTGGTGCTGATTAATTATTTGAGTATTTTGAAAGGGAATAAGCAATTATAGTGAGTATGGGGTCAGGTGAAAGAGATGACAAAACTCTTAAGAGTCTGATGCATGCAAAGTGAGCAGGAAATGGAGGGCCAAAATCAAATAGGCAGGGAGAGGAACAGAAATATCACTGCCCTATGGGCTTTACTCTTTTCGATGTCATAACACTTCAGGAAAGAAACGAACGTGGAATGATGTAACCCTTATTTCAGACTGATGTATCAAGTCCTATAAAGTACATTATTCAATTCTAGATCATTATTCCTGAGGGTCAGTCTTCTATTTTAAAAATATATATATGGGTAATATCCTGAAATATTCTTTCAGAGAAAAGAAAACCAGTGGCTTTTCTGTAAGACAAATAAAAATGAGACCTTTGGTGATACGTGGCTAGAACAAATATTTATTAAATTACCTGGGCAAACCAGCAACAGGAGATGAGTTAGTGACAAGGGAATCCCATGGTCTGAGCCCTCTATCTTTATGCCATATCTATGCCACCTTAGATTATCAGAGTCTAGTTCCCAAGCTACCTTTTCCGTTAAGTTTTCCCTGATCCCTTCAGTCTAAAATAACATCTCATTAAAATCTGACTTCTTGTTCAGTATTTACTCTTCTGCTATATAACCAAATTCTTAAAATCTGGCATTATGTCTTGGTTTACCTTTATAACCTGGCACCCAGTTGAATATATAATACTTGTCATTGCTAATTTTGTGGAAGCAAACCAAATTACAGAAAAAAGTGACTAAAATCCCAACTTGATGTACCAATATATACTTTATTTTTCAGAATATGGCAAAGATCACTAGACTAGAACACTAACCAAAAGGTACTGATAAATGTATAAAGCTCTAAAGGATATGATGTGGTGCTGCCATATGATCATCATTATTATGAGTATACTCACTATTGAATCAGAAGTGCAATCGCAAAAGTACTGTAAAAAGAATTAAGCTGCTTGACAGAGGAAAATTTAAAGCATTAATTCTTTTTGAAATACGATTTGATCATCAAGACACATTCTTATTTAATCATTTCTAAGATCTCATATCATGAGTTATAGCAAAGGGATTTGCTTGAAATAACTTCAAGGGTAATGCTTATAGTCTCAAACTAATACAATTTTACAATTCTAGGCTATTTCTGAGAGTACAGTAGCTACTTCTCAAGCTAATTAAGAGATGAGACTATGTAGGGGAATTAGAATTGCACTGTCACATAGGAGTCCAAAATTATAGTTTCAGTTTTCCACCAATACACTATAAAGTTATTTGATTTTACCCATTGATACATCTATAAAATGGGACCTTTATGTCATTTTCAGTGTTTAATGTATCTAAGGTGTCTCAGTTAATGGCTAATTGACGAAACCTTTATGTCTGAAGCCTGATGTAGAAAATACTTAGAAAAAAGAACACATAACTCTACTTTCAACAAATTTGAAAATATTAGAGGACACAGATCCATCACCCTCCCTCCCCTGCCATACACACACACAGAGGCATGTATACATATACAGAAACTAAGGCAGGAAAAAGAAGTTTTAAGGACACATTTGATCGATGATGATATATTAAAGGTATACTAAAATGCCAAAGAATCAGGAATGCAGATATTAAAGTTTTACTCAGTTGATTAAAATGAGATAGAATGGGTTTGAAAAAGCTCACGTGAGGAAAGGAGACTTGAGAAAAGACAGGCATAGAGATGTACTTTTAAAGTTCATAGGTCTGACCACTCAATTGTATCCAATATGCAAAGGTAATGATGATGCAATTGCTTACATTACAATGGCATTCTCTTAAGTACCAATATGCCCTTGCTTGTTTAATAATAACTTGCTTTTACTGATAATGTTTGTCAATGTTATAGAATCATTTTCATAGAGTTTAATAGATACAGACCTTCAGGATAATATCCACTTGTTTCCAAAAAAAACATGTGACTATCTCATAATGTTTTTAAACACAAAGTCTTCATAAATGTACTTATAATTTTTATTCCTAGTAATATATAACTTGTAATTTTGCAATCACTGGGAATGATGCTTTTTAAAAAAATGTTTGGGAAATGGAAATGGTAAAACATAAAATGTACTACTCAAGGACACAAGTGATCTTAATCTCAATCACTTATTTAGTGAACAACAATGAGAAAATTAATTAAAATGTCTTGGCTTCAATTTTCTCCTCTAAAATTCTTTCCTTCCTTCTTTATTTTACTCACTTACTCCACAATTATATTTATGAAGTTTCAAGCATCATAGTAGTCACTGGAAATACAGAAATAAAAGATATAATAATGACTCCAAGAAAAGTATATACTAGTTACAAGACAAGAAAGTAAACAAATCAAAAAGAAAGTTCATCTGAACTAAATTTGAACCACAAATAGAAACTAATTAATTATTCTACTAAGCTCCAACAGAAGAAATCACTGATTCCTGTGAATGTACATATAACACTAGGGCTCCTAAGTAGGGCTGGATGAGGTGAGGAGGGTAGAGGACGCAGGCACAACTTACTGGAGAAGATAATATTGGAGTTTGATGGACTTAGACTTCATGGGGTAAGAGTAGGCATAAAAAATCTATGAATATGTGAGGAACATATGAAAAAGCATGAAACGAGAATGAGCATGGTGTTGCTGGAGTGCAAGGTGAAGATGAAAGACAAATGTAAGAAATAAGGGCAGACTTAGAGGGAGGCCATGTGGAGAGGGTCAGTGTGTGCTAAATAATTGGGGTTTTATAATGACTATTCAGTTAAGGATAGTCCTTGAAGGATTATAAACAGCAGAATGACTTGATTAGTTTGCATTTTAGGAAAGATTATTGTAATATCAGTAAGGAAAATGGGTTGGAATAGGATCATACTAAAGCCAAGGAAACCAGTAATAAGATACAGAGTGACTTAAAGAAGAGGTAAGTGCAATGGGGTGTTAAAGAAAGAGAGTGAGGCACAGGATACATTGTGCACAAAATATGGTTTAGATATTATTCCATGTTACTGTTATTAGAGGAGAGAGTCAGGGATGGCTGCCAGGCTTCTCACTTGGGTCTTGCATGAGTTAGTTTTGGCTGAATAAAAATCACAAAATCTTAATGATGTACAATAATATGGACTTATTTCTTGTTCACACAACTGCTACTGTACCTTGAGCATAACTGGGATTGACTCAGAGCATCAGGTTTGGTCCAAATGTGCTTCACATGTCTCTCAGCCTTCTTTGACTAACACCTGCCTGAAGCATCTTCTTCTCATCATGAAAGGAAGGTGCATAAGCAACAAGCCCAATAGCCTTTTAAGCCTTTATTGTGTCATACACACCACATTTGCATTAACCAAAACAAGTAATGTTGGCAAAAGCTGAAGTCAAATGGTGGTAAGTTCACTCTCTATGAAGCCATAACAGACACATGTATACATAATACTACTCCAGGCAGGTGAAGAACTCAGCCCAATAATTCAATTTATCACAAGCACCATGTCAATGGTGGGAGAATTCCTAAGAAAATGAATTAAAAGAAAGAGCATGATTTGAGCATAGACAAACAGAATTTGGGTTTGGACATATTGAGGCACCTCTAGCACTTGAAATCACGGTTTATATATAGTTGTGTATTGACTAGACTGTTAGGAGAATCATATCTGTGTTGTGAACACAGATCGGAAGTTGTCAGTATGGATAGTCACAAGAGTCTGTAGAATGAAAAACAAAGAGTCTGGGGGAAAGAAGCCCAACATTTAAAGGATGAGCAGCAGCACAGAGGAAAATGAGATAAATGGTAAAGATATAAGGCAAAAAGAGAGTGACTTTGTGTGCCAAAACTACATAGAGGTCCAGAGAGGAAAGGACTCAGAATTCTCAATTGGATTTAAAACTAAAAGAGCACTCACGGCCTTTAACAGAATCATTTCAACATATTAAAGTTAGAATCCGGGTACATCCCAGGAAAGATTACTACTGTCATTCTAGCTGCCCCAGCATTATCTATTTCCTCAACCCTCTCATTCACTCCCTTTCCCATTCAGTGCAAAAGCAAATCTATGTCTTCTGTTGGTACGTTTCTCTACATCTTCAACATTCAGACCACCACAATAACTACCTTATCTTAAAAGAACTTCCTAGCCAGTCTCCTACCTCCACTCCTGTCCCCATCAAAATCCGTTTTCACATTAAAAACAGACTAATCCTCAAAAACAACAATCAGATAATCAGTATATTCTTCCCACTGTAAAATACCACTCCACACCACCAATATCTTAGCATGGGAAATCCTATGTGGTTTGACCTCTCACAGTCTCATCTTTTACTACTCTCCCTCCAGGCCAATATATTTCACCCATTTTATCCTTATTTATCAATGCCAATCATCCCAAGATCATTCCCAACTCAGGACCTTTGCTCTAGCTGTTCCCTAATCTGTAGTGTCTCTTCTGCTAGACAGCCAACTTCTTAAAATCTGAGATAAGGTCTACCTGAAAATTCTCTTTTCACAGATTTCATATTGCTGAACTTTCTAACAATTGAGATATCAGCTTAAATGAAGCCTTCCCTGAACATTGAAATGATTAGCCTACTAGTCACTACTCTGCCTACATCATAGACATGAACTTATTTTAATTACTTATGTTGTACTTGTCAGTATCTGATTTTATTTTTTTGTTTCTACAATATTCATACAGATATACTGCCCTATTCACAAGTTATATTCATAGCTCCCAAACATAGAACTGGATCTCACACAAAGTAAGTATTAATAACTATTTGTTGAATAAATGCATAGTTTTGTATTAACCTCAGTGATCAAAGAAACTGGAAAACCTGTGTATTAAAAAAAAACAGTAAAAGCTTCACTGAAACAAAAAGGAGGGATGATCAGTACCTATGGGGAATAGCTTCATCCATCTGTTTACGTATGTACGCATGTACTTGATGGAAGTAATTTTGGCATTTTTAAGTGCCAGTGGGAGTAAAATTTGGGAGACCAAGTAAAACAGAAGATAGAGAAAATAATGAGGAATAACAGCTGTTGAGGAAGTGAAAGGTAGTGTATCTAGAATATGACTGGAGTTACGAGCCATTGAGAGAAAAAAGATACTTCTTCCACTTAAACTGGCAAGAAGAACAGATATCAATACTTGATTATTTTTTCTTTCTCAAAATTACTATATACCTACCATCATATAATCTACTTTTCTTATGTTTCATGCATATTTTCCTCTCTTTAGAGAGTCTCAGATAGCATCATTTTATTGGCCCTGTAAGTGCTCTTCATAAACATGTATTACATTGATTTAACCAGTATGTTATATTATTTGACAACAGGAAGTTTGTTTTCAGTCATTCATTATTATACATAGAATTGCAACAAAGGATATATAAAATATATTTGGAATATGTACACAGTTTTGCATGGGCCTTTGAATACTTCTATGGCAAAAATTTCTAGAGTTGAAGTAATTGAAGACTTTTAAGTCTTAAGAAATATATTGCAAAATTAGCCTCCAAAATAGTTTCTACCTCCAACACTGTTTCCTTCTACTTTCATGAAGGATAGGTACCATCTATTTAAAATGTTTCTAATTTGATAGAGTAAATATTGTAGTTTCTTTTAATGGTAATTTCTTTGATTTCTAGCAAAGTTAAAATTTTTGTGTATATATTGTCCATTTAGATTTATTTTGTGAGTTGTTTGTTCATGTCAGCTGTCTATTTTCATACCACAGCAACTGCTTTTTTATGACTTTTCATAGCTCTTTCTGTGTTTACATAATATTTAAGAGTAGCATATAATAAATTATTATTCATAGATTAACATATCATGGTAATATACATCATCATATTATGTAGAACAAGGGGAAAATTGTTGCCAATTCTAATGTGACAAACCACTGGCTTTAAAATTCATCCCACTTCAAGGATGTTAAACTGTGAAAAAAGATAGTATATTGTTATAATAGGCAAATTAATGAACCTTAAAGATGCTGTATGAGTCAAGGTTCTCCAGAGAAACAGAACTGATAGGATACATATAGGAGGAGATTTATTATGGGAATGGCTCACAAGATTGTGGAGGCTAAAGAGTCCCATAATATGCTGTCTGCAAGGTGGAGAACCAGGAAAGCTAGTGGTGTTAATTCAGTCCAAGTTCAAAGGCCAGAGAACAGGGATGCCTTGGTTTAGGCCCTGGAGTCCAAAAGCCTGAGAACCAGGAGCTGTAATGTTCAAGGACAGGAGATAATGGATGTTCCATCTCAAGACAGAGTGAATTCATACTTCCTCCACCTTTCTGTTCTACTTGAACAAGATCTCAACAGACTGGATAATGCCTACTCACATTGGTGAGGGTGGATCTTCATTACCCTGCCTATCTGTTCAAATGCTGATCTCTTCGGGAAACACTTTCCCAGACACACCCAGAAATAATACTTCACCAGCTATCTAGGTGTCTCTTAACCCAGTCAAGTAGGTAAATAAGATTAACCATTATTTTGAGATACGTCCCATCAATACCTAATTTATTGAGAGTTTTTAGCATGAAGGGCTGTTGAATTTTGTCAAACGCCTTTTCTGCATCTATTGAGATAATCATGTGGTTTTCGTCTTTGGTTCTGTTTATATGCTGGATTACATTTATTGATTTGCGTATACTGAACCAGCCTTGCATCCCAGGGATGAAGCCCACTTGATCATGGTGGATAAGCTTTTTGATGTGCTGCTGGATTCGGTTTGCCAGTATTTTATTGAGGATTTTTGCATCAATGTTCATCAAGGATATTGGTCTAAAATTCTCTTTTTTGGTTGAGTCTCTGCCCGGCTTTGGTATCAGGATAATGCTGGCCTCATAAAATGAGTTAGGGAGGATTCCCTCTTTTTCTATTCACTGGAATACTTTCACAAGGAATGGTACCAGTTCCTCCTTGTACCTCTGGTAGAATTCGGCTGTGAATCCATCTGGTCCTGGACTCTTTTTGGTTGGTAAGCTATTGATTATTGCCACAATTTCAGATCCTGTTATTGGTCTATTCAGAGATTACTTCTTCCTGGTTTAGTCTTGGGACAGTGTATGTGTCGAGGAATTTATCCATTTCTTCTAGATTTTCTAGTTTATTTGCACAGAGGTGTTTGTAGTATTCTCTGATGGTAGTTTGTATTTCTGTGGGATCCGTGATAATATCCCCTTTATCATTTTTTATTGTGTCTATTTGATTCTTCTCTCTTTTTTTCTTTATTAGTCTTGCTAGTGTTCTATCAATTTTGTTGATCCTTTCAAAAAACCAGCTCCTGGATTCATTAATTTTTTGAAGGGTTTTTTGTGTCTCTATTTCCTTCAGTTCTGCTCTGATTTTAGTTATTTCTTACCTTCTGCTAGCTTTTGAATGTGTTTGCTCTTGCTTTTCTAGTTCTTTTAATTGTGATGTTAGGGTGTCAATTTTGGATCTTTCCTGCTTTCTCTTGTGGGCATTTAGTGCTATAAATTTCCCTCTACACACTGCTTTGAATGTGTCCCAGAGATTCTGGTATGTTGTGTCTTTGTTCTTGTTGGTTTCAAAGAACATCTTTGTTTCTGCCTTCATTTTGTTATCTACCCAGTAGTCATTCAGGAGCAGGTTGTTCAGTTTCCATGTAGTTGAGTGGTTTTGAGTGAGCTTCTTAATCCTGAGTTCTAGTTTGATTGCAGTGTGGTCTGAGAGACAGTTTGTTATAATTTCTGTTCTTTTACATTTGCTGAGGACAGCTTTACTTCCAAGTATGTGATCAATTTTGGAATAGGTGTGGTGTGGTGCTGATAAAAATGTATATTCTGTTGATTTGGGGTGGAGAGTTCTGTAGATGTCTATTAGGTTCGCTTGGTACAGAGCTGGGTTCAATTCCTGGGTATCCTTGTTAACTTCCTGTCTCATTGATCTGTCTAATGTTGACAGTGGGGTGTTAAAGTCTCCCATTATTATTGTGTGGGAGTCTAAGTCTCTTTGTAGGTCACTAAGGACTTGCTTTATGAATCTGGGTGCTCCTGTATTGGGTGCATATATATTTAGGATAGTTAGCTCTTCTTGTTGAATTGATCCCTTTACCATTATGTAATGACCTTCTTTGTCTCTTTTGATCTTTGTTGGTTTAAAGTCTGTTTTATCAGAGACTAGGTTTGAAGTCTGTTTTATCAGAGACTAGGATTGCAATCCCTGCCTTTTTTTGTTTTCCATTTGCTTGGTAGACCTTCCTTCATCCTTTTATTTTGAGCCTATGTGTGTCTCTGCACGTGAGATGGGTTTCCCGAATACAGCACACTGATGAGTCTTGACTCTATCCAATTTGCCAGTCTGTGTCTTTTAACTGGAGCATTTAGTCCATTACTATTTAGGTATTGATGGGACGTATCTCAAAATAATAAGAGCTATCTATGACAAACCCACAACCAATATCATACTGAATGGGCAAAAACTGGAAGCATTCCCTTTGAAAACTGGCACAAGACAGGGATGCCCTCTCTCACCACTCCTATTCAACATAGTGTTGGAAGTTCTGGCCAGGGCAATCAGGCAGGAGAAGGAAATAAAGGGTATTCAATTAGGAAAAGAGGAAGTCAAATTGTCCCTGTTTGCAGATGACATGATTGTATATCTAGAAAACCCCACTGTCTCAGCCCAAATCTCCTTAAGCTGATAAGCAACTTCAGCAAAGTCTCAGGATACAAAATCAATGTACAAAAATCACAAGCATTCTTATACACCAACAACAGACAAACAGAGAGCCAAATCATGAGTGAACTCCCATTCACAATTGCTTCAAAGAGAATAAAATACTTAGGAATCCAACTTACATGGGACGTGAAGGACCTCTTCAAGGAGAACTACAAACCACTGCTCAACGAAATAAAAGAGGATACAAACAAATGGAAGAACATTCCATGCTCATGGGTAGGAAGAATCAATATCGTCAAAATGGCCATACCGCCCAAGGTAATTTATAGATTCAATGCCATCCCCATCAAGCTACCAATGACTTTCTTCACAGAATTGGAAAAAACTACTTTAAAGTTCATATGGAACCAAAAAAGAGCCCACATCGCCAAGTCAATCCTAAGCCAAAAGAACAAAGCTGGAGGCATCACGCTACTTGACTTCAAACTACACTACAAGGCTACAGTAACCAAAACAGCATGGTACTGGTACCAAAACAGAGATATAGATCAATGGAACAGAACAGAGCCCTCAGAAATAATGCCGCATATCTACAACTATCTGATCTTTCACAAACCTGAGAAAAACAAGCAATGGGGAAAGGATTCCCTATTTAATAAATGGTGCTGGGAAAACTGGCTAGCCATATGTAGAAAGCTGAAACTGGATCCCTTCCTTACACCTTATACAAAAATCAATTCAAGATGGATTAAAGACTTAAACGTTAGACCTAAAACCATAAAAACCCTAGAAGAAAACCTAGGCATTACCATTCAGGACATAGGCATGGGCAAGGACTTCATGTCTAAAACACCAAAAGCAATGGCAACAAAAGACAAAATTGACAAATGGGATCTAATTAAACTAAAGAGCTTCTGCACAGCAAAAGAAACTACCATCAGAGTGAACAGGCAACCTACACAATGGGAGAAAATTTTCACAACATACTCATCTGACAAAGGGCTAATATCCAGAATCTACAATGAACTCAAACAAATTTACAAGAAAAAAACAAACAACCCCATCAAAAAGTGGGCGAAGGACATGAACAGACACTTCTCAAAAGAAGACATTTATGCAGCCAACAGACACATGAAAAAATGCTCATCATCACTGGCCATCAGAGAAATGCAAATCAAAACCACTATGAGATATCATCTCACACCAGTTAGAATGGCAATCATTCAAAAGTCAGGAAACAACAGGTGCTGGAGAGGATGTGGAGAAATAGGAACACTTTTACACTGTTGGTGGGACTGTAAACTAGTTCAACCATTGTGGAAGTCAGTGTGGCAATTCCTCAGGGATCTAGAACTAGAAATACCATTTGACCCAGCCATCCCATTACTGGGTATAAACCCAAAGGACTATAAATCATGCTGCTATAAAGACACATGCACACGTATGTTTATTGCAGCACTATTCACAATAACAAAGACTTGGAACCAACCCAAATGTCCAACAATGATAGACTGGATTAAGAAAATGTGGCACATATACACCATGGAATACTATGCAGCCATAAAAAATGATGAGTTCATGTCCTTTGTAGGGACATGGATGAAATTGGAAATCATCATTCTCAGTAAACTATCACAAGGACAGAAAACCAAATGCTGCATGTTCTCACTCATAGGTGGGAATTGAACAATGAGAACACATGGACACAGGAAGGGGAACATCACACTCTGGGGACTGTTGTTGGGGGGGAGAGGGGAGGGATAGCATTAGGAGATATACCTAATGCTAAATGACGAGTTAATGGGTGCAGCACACCAGCATGGCACATGTATACATATGTAACTAACCTGCACATTGTGCACATGTACCCTAAAACTTAAAATTAAAAAAAAGCAAAAAAAAAAAGATTAACCATTATAGTTGCCCATACTCAAATCCCCAGAAAATGTGAATATGTTATGATAACATGGAATAAGAGACTTTGCACATGTAATTAAGGTCACTGAACTTAAATTAAGATGACTGTGGATTATCCAGATAGGCTAGGGAATAACATGAGTTCTTAAAAGGAGAGAAATTCTCTGACTGGAAACAAAAGTGATGTGGCAGGAGACTTCAACATGATTTCAAGGATGAGAATTCAGTGTGCCATTGCTGTCACGTAGAACCATGTGGTAAGAGACACCTCAAGGACCTAAGGGTAGCTGCCAGCTGATAGCCCACAAAGAAACAGGGATTCCTTACTTCAACTACATGCAACCAAATTCTGCCAAAAACATAAAAAAGCTTGAAAGCAAATTTTCCTCTAGACAAGAGCCCAGGCTGACTGATGCCTTAATTTTGGCCTTATAAGGCCCAGATCAGAGAAAACACCTGAGCCCACTCTGATATTTGACTTGCAGAATTGTGAGACAATAAATGTATATTGTTTTAAGCCATTAAGTTTGTGGCAATTTGTGACAGCAGCAATAGAAATCTAATATGATTACAGAGTAACGAAATAAGGCATATGAATTTAGAAGAATAATTAAGTTATAAAGTCTGAAATTTACAAGATTTAGAGCTGACTGATTTTATGATATCAGGGATGGGATAGAACAAATTTTATATTAAAGTAAATAAGGGGAAATCCATAGAGTTTTAAAATCAAAATGTAATATTATCAATTGTAAAGTTTTAATTTATAGGCTAGAACTACATTGGAAACTTAAAGCTTGTATATTATTGATATTTAAAATTTTTTCCTTGTCTTCCACCAATTTTATAAATTACTCAGTTGTTTCTGTAAAATATGCCTCCCTACTGGGACATATCATCTGACAATCTAAAGTAATAAAAAGTTGTGTGTTTTTGTTTCACTGGATGAAATACAGATAAAAGATAGAAATGTAAATTTACTTCTGAGACAAAATTCTAAAGAGGTAATTAAAAAATCTAACCACTATTATAAATGTACACTTCAGGTTATAACTTTTAAAGTGTAGGAGAATTACTCTGAGATTGTAAGTTAAATAAAAGAAATGCTTACAAAAATATGAGAGTAGCTAAGTTGATTAACAGACCCAAGAAGTGATAAAGTTTTTCAAATATTATTGCATCTTGCCATTTAATTACTGCATCACTCAGTTCGAAGAAGTTGCAAAACTTTTTCCATCTTATACTTCTCTAATCATAGGTAAATAATTCAAATATGCACTACTTATTCCATGGTATCTCATATTTGATGATAACTTAAAGACATCAGCTTGTATTCTTATCAAAAGCCGGTTTAATATGCCTGCAAACCTACCTGAAAACGTAATGTGAATTTGCAAGAGACAGAACACAGCCTGTCAATATGAGATTACTTTAAAAAAGAAGGTCCCCACAAATAAGGACAATGATTCTAAACCAGGAAATTATTTAAGTGTCATATTCCTTAATAGGCTTTAATGTGATTATTATGTCTAAGTACCTACTAGTATGCTGATCCTCTACCTACTGGTTGGGTGAAGTGTGTGTTTCATTTGGCTTCTACCCTTGTCTTGCACTTACCTCTCAAGACAGCTCAGCCAAAACAGATGATAGGAATGTATACCAGAGCAGGGGGTAATGGAGTGCTTTTAATTTTTTTCTCTTAAATTAAAAGATCTGAGGGAGCTACTTTGATAAATTCAGTTGGCAATTACTTCCACCAAGTTCATTCTAAGGAGAAATACTGGTGAATCAGGGAATTCAGTCGTTCTTTCCAGTAATTTATTTAACACAATGATGATGTTGACTGGAGATGATCTGACATTATGTTGTGATATATTGTTGCTAGAATATATTATTGCTATGCAAACACATAGAAGTGAAATTCTTTTAGCTAAGAGATTTGTCTACATATTTGAATACAAATGTTTATTTGGGAATGATATTTGGGGTAAAGCATATAGGAAAAATTACTTTAATAACATATATATATAATAGTAAATTAATATAGTTATAATAATTTCCTATTAGATAACTTACTCATCATTTTATTACCAGCACTTAAACACAATACCCAGAATAAATGACTGATGCACAGATGCTGAATAAATGAATGGCTGTAATCCTCCCTGTGTTTTAAGGCAATACATTCTATAAACAATGGCAGTAGCAGAAAATACCATGTAGGCTTGGTCTTCCACACTGCTGACTTTCTGGACCCTATAACATAAAAATGAGTCATGGCTGAAAAAAAAAAGAACAAAGGAAAGAAGGCCAACTGGAAAGGTCACAAGGTATCTTGTTGAAAGTCACAGACTTAATTTTCATTTTCCATTCTCCCACCTATTTTTGGTTGATCTTGGGCAAGTAGTTTAGCTCCTCAAGTTTATTTTCCACATTTGTAAGTGGTGATAATAATACCCAGTTTATAAGAGTGCTTTGAAGATTAAATGTAGTAATACCATTGATTGTCTTGTACTATGTCTAACATGTAAATCTAAAATAAATGATTATTATAAATAATTTGAACTAAATTAGCAAAAATAGTTTTTAGCTTACTTACTTTGTAATGAATGTTTAAGAAGAAATCTTTCATTTCTTTTCCTTGTTAAGTGGAATTCTTTCATTAACTTCTCTTGAATCTTCACTGGTTTGCATTATGTCTCACTAATATAGGATGAAGCCAACCATTACTGATTGCATTATGATTAAACTTTGCTAGTTTGCCATTTTCAAACAGTGAAGGATTACATGGTAATGATATCCCTTAATTAGCTAAACAGTTATCATTTATAAATTTGAAGGTATATTATATTTCAATGAATTTAAATGTATTATGACCACAAAAAAGCTAATTCTCTTGTTCGTGGATGTGGGATGTTTGAAATTACATTTATTATGGAATCATTAAGTGAGGGAGAGTTACCACTTTCCTCAAAGACAGGCCAAGTAGTTCTGTGAGAAGACTATGTCTATATCTATAGTCTGAATTTGTCATTGGTAAAGTAAATGAGAGGGTCATGGTCCATAGTGAGACTTGGGAAAATCTCATCAAGGTGAATACAGTTTAATTATCCTATCAGTCTTCATTCCATTTCTTTCTACACCTCTATCCCCAGGAGTAATATAATATTTAAAACAGACTTTCACCGCTCTTATTATTTGGAAGTTTTGCCTCATGTTGCCTAGAATCTGCTGTCATAGAACATACACTTTAGAGCTAGTTTTGCCTCTGCAGTCACTTGATTGCAGAAGCCTATACACATTGAAGAAAATATTGTAACTACTAATTCTCTTTTTTAATGAAAAACTGAATTACTTTATTCATTATTCAGAAGGTGTATTTATCGTGCGTGTGTGTGTGTGTGTGTGTTTATGTGTTTCCAATATAAAAGAAGTATAGGCCTTGGGGATAAGAATATATCCAGTAGATACATATTTCCCTCCCAAATATGGTAGCACACCTTCCTAGAGACAAAATATAGCACCCAATTATGATAGCACCTTCCTAGACAGAAAATTCACCAGTCACAGCATTAGGAGAACACAACTATTTTTAAAAGGAACATTAAAACAAAATGTTAAATACACTGTCAAAACAAAGAATGGTTTCCCTTTTATTCACACTGCTTACCAAATGGAATACATTTGAATAAAACAGTGCCTTGACTACTTGAAGGCATTGATTAAGCACTTTGGTACAGCCACACTTTAAACACTCCATAAATTTGTCAGGTTCTTATACCATGTCTTTAATTTCCTTCTGTCTGTAGCTTTGGTTTGTTGGGGTTAATTTTCATACAAAAATAGATAAAGATATAACACAGTGTGATGCTGTTTGATTATATTTTATAAGAGGTCTTTGCATTACTTCTAGAATTTAATTGTCTCCAAATATATAACATTGAGAAATTAGAAGCCTATGAATCAAAATGTCTGATGTGATTATATTCTACTAAATTACAATGAAAATGAAAAGCAGAATTCTCAATATTTAACTGTGTATTAAAAATTGTCTACTTTAGTTTAATTAGATCCCATTTGTCTATTTTGGCTTTTGTTGCCATTGCTTTTGGTGTTTTAGACATGAAGTCCTTGCCCATGCCTATGTCCTGAATGGCACTGCCTAGGTTTTCTTCTACGATTTTTATGGTTTTAGTTCTTACGTTTAAGTCTTTAATCCACCTCGAGTTAATTTTGGTATAAGGTATAAGGAAGGGGTCCAGTTTCAGTTTTCTGCATATGGCTAGCCAGTTTTCCCAATGCCATTTCTTAAATAGAGAATCTTTTCCCTATTGCTTGTTTTTGTCAGGTTTGTCAAAGATCAGATGGTTGTAGATGTGTGGTGTTATTTCTGAGGCCTCTGTTCTGTTATATTGGTCTATATATCTGTTTTGGTACCAGTCCCATGCGTTTTGGTTACTGTAGCCTTGTAGTATAGCTTGAAGTCAGGTAATGTGATGCCTCAGCTTTGATCTTTCTGCTTAGGATTGTCTTGGCTATACGGGCTCTTTTTTTAGTTCCACATGAAATTTAAAGTAGTTTTTTCTAATTCTGTGAAGAAATTAAATGGTAGCTTGATGGGGATAGCAGTGAATCTAAAAATTACTTAGAGTAGTATGGCCATTTTCACGATATTGATTCTTCCTGTCCATGAGCATGGAATGTTTTTCCATTTGTTTGTGTCCTCTCTTGATTTCCTTGAACAGTGGCTTGTAGTTCTCCTTGAAGAGGTTAAGAACTTACATCCCTTGTTGGTTGGATTCCTAGATATTTTATTCTCTTTGTAGCAATTGTGAACGAGTGTTCACTCATGGTTTGGCTCTCTGTTTGCCTATGATTGGTGTGTAGGAATGCTTGTGATTTTTGCACATTGATTTAGTATCCTGAGACTTTGCTGAAGTTGCTTATCAGCTTAAGGAGATTTGGGGCTGAGACGATGGGCTTTTCTAAATATATAATCATGTCATCTGCAAACAGAGGCAATCTTACTTCCTCTCTTCCTATTTGAATACCCTTTATTTCTTTCTCTGGCCTGATTGTCCCGGCCAGAACATCCAACAATATGTTGAACAGGAGTGCTGAGAGAAGTCATCCTTTTCTTGCACCATTTTTCAAAGGGAATGCTTCCAGCTTTTGCCCATTCAGTATGATATTGGCTGTGGGTCTATAATAAATAGCTCTTATTATTTTGAGATACATTCCATCAATATCTAGTTTATTGAGAGATTTTAGCATAAAGCAGTGTTGAATTGTATTGAATGTCCTTTCTGCATGTATTGAGATAATCATGGTTTTTGTCATTGGTTCTGTTTATGTGATGGATTATGTTTATTGATTTTCATATGTTGAACCAGGCTTGCATCCCTGGGATGAAGCTGACTTGATCATGGTGGATAAGCTTTTTGATTGCTGCTAGATTCAGTTTGCCAGTATTTTATTGAGAATTTTCTCATCAATGTTCATCAGGGATATTGGCCTGAAATTTTCTTTTTTTGTTGTGTCTCTGCCAGGTGTTGGTATCAGGACGATGCTGGCCTTATAAAATCAGTTAGGCAGAAGTCCCTCTTTTTCTAGTGTTTGGAATAGTTTCAGAAGGAATGGTACCAGTTCCTCGTTGAACCTCTGGTAGAATTTGGCTGTGAATCCATCTGATCCTGGGCTTTTTATTGTTGTTGTTGTTGTTGTTGTTAGGCTATTAATTACTCCCTCAATTTCAGAATTTGTTATTGGTCTATTCAGGGATTTGAATTCTTCCTGGTTTAGTCTCGGGAGGGTGTATGTGTCCAGGAATTTATCCATTTTTTCTAGATTTTCTAGTTTATTTGCATAGCGGTGTTTATAGCATTCTCTGATGGTAGTTTGTATTTCTGTGAGATAAGTGGAGATATCCCCCTTATCACTTTTTATTGTGTCTATATGGTTCTCTCTTTTCTTCTTTATTAGTCTGGCTAGTGGTCTATTTTGTTATTGTTTTCAAAAAATCAGCTCCTGGATTCATTAATTTTTTGAATGGTTTTTGTGCCTCTGTTTCCTTCAGTTCAGCTCTGATCTTAGTTATTTTTTGTCTTCTGCTAGATTTTGAATTTGTTTGCTGTTGCTTCTCTAGTTCTTTTAACTGTAATGTCAGGGTGTCAATTTTAGATCTTTCCCACTTTCTCTTGTGAGCATTTAGTGCTATAAATTTCCCTCTATAGACTGCTTTAGCTATGTCCCAGAGATTCTGGTATGTTGTGTCTTTGTTCTCATTGGTTTCAAAGAACTTATTTATTTCTGCCTTAATTTCATTATTTACCCAGTAGTCAATCAGGAGCAGGTTGTTCCGTTTCCATGTAGTTGTGTGGTTTTGAGTGAGTTTCTTAATCCTGAGTTCTAATTTGATTGCACTGTGGTCTGAGAGACTGTTATGATTTCCGTTTTTTATATTTGCTGACGAGTATTTTACTTCCAATTATGTGGTCAATTTTAGAAATAGTGTGATGTGGTGCTAAGAAGAATGTATATTCTGTTATATTCTGTTGACTTGGGGTGGAGAGTTCTATAGATGTCTATTAGGTCTGCTTTGTCCAGAGCTGAGTTCAAGTCCTGAATATCCTTGTTAATTTTCTCTCTCATTGATCTGTCTAATATTGACAGTGGGGTGGTAAAATCTCCCACTATTATTGTGTAGGAGTCTATGTCTCTTTAAGAACTTGCTTTATGAATCTGGGTACTCCTGTATTGGGTGCAGATATATTTAGGATAGCTAACTTTATTAAAAAGTCAGGAAACAACAGATGCTGGAGAGGATGTGGAGAAATAGGAATGCTTTTACACTGTTGGTGGGAATGTAAATTAGTTCAACCATTGTGGAAGACGGTGTGGCGATTTCTCAAGGATCTAGAACTAGAAATGCCATT
This sequence comes from Homo sapiens, assembly GCF_000001405.40. Classification (NCBI taxonomy): domain Eukaryota; kingdom Metazoa; phylum Chordata; class Mammalia; order Primates; family Hominidae; genus Homo; species Homo sapiens. Next base: position 120,273,362 of record NC_000005.10, on the reverse strand, counting down.
TGACCCAGCAATCCCATTACTGGGTATATATCCAAAGGATTATAAATCATTCTACTATAAAGACACATGCACACATATGTTTACTGCAGCACTATTCACAATAACAAAGACTTGGAACCAACCCAAATGTTCACCAATGATAGACTGGATAAAGAAAATGTGACACACATACACCTTGGAATACTCTGCAGTCATCAAAAAGGATGAGTTCATGTCCTTTGCAGGGACATGGATGTAGCTGGGAACCATCATTCTCAGCAAACTAACACAGGAACAGAAAACCAAACACCACATGTTCTCACTCACAAGTAGGAGGTGAACAATGAGAACACATGGACACAGGGATGGAATCGTCACACACTGGGGCCTGTCGGGGCATGGGGGATAGGGGAGGGATAGCATTAGGAGAAATACCTAATGCAGGTGACAGGTTGATGGGTGCTGCAAAATACCATGGCACATGTATACCTATGTAACAAACCTGCATGTTGTGCACCTGTAATCCAGAACTTAAAGTATAATTTAAAAAAATAAAAGAACATCAAGCAATTGGAAGACCTATGGGGAAACTGACAGAATCCAGAACTAGGCAGTCGTGTTGAAATATTTTAAGGCATGAATTCGCTTAAAAAAGTCTCAGTATTAAAAGATAATTTCCATTTACAGTGTAGAAATTACAAAGTTGTGTCATTTTTGGACAGCTCTAAGTTAATAAAATAGCATAAACCAAAAAAAAATTGTCTACTTTACAATATGCCATTCCCCCTAGCCTATCTTCTTGATTTATGTCTCCTTCCCTCCCTCCCTGCCTTCCTCCTTCCTTTCCTTCCTTCTTCCCTCCCTTTCTTCCTTCTTTCTTTTCTTCCTTTCCCTTTCTTTATCCCTTTCTCTCTCTCTTTACCTATAAAATCAAACTTAAGCCTTATTCGGGGGATCTATCTCCTTTGGAGTGATAAACCAGCATCCCTAATATTCTGACTTTTTAAAAGATTGTGAATTTTATTGCAACTCTACCATATCATGTTGATATTGCTTAGTTTTCTGGAAAAGTACTATAATTATCCATACCCTGAACAAAAAGTATACTAGGCCTACTTAAAACCCATACAAATAAATTAAATGGCTGCATATATTTATTGTAACTATAATCTTTTTTTCCATCTCATTAGGTAAAAACCCCAAAAAACTAGTAAGTCAAAGTGGTCCTGTGAAAAAATACTAATCAGTGACAAAAACAGAGTAATCTCTGTGGTTTTCTAATAATGTAAAAGAAGAACGTAGTTATATATTTTAGATTATTTAATGCTTAGACAATAGCATGATATAAAATTCAAATTCAGTCAGTACTCATAATAAGGATATAAAGCTTTTTTGGAAAGTGTTAACATTACACACAAACCAAGAAGTCTTGGGATACACATGCTGTAATAAATAATAACTTTTAATGAGTGAAGAATGTAATTGGTGTTACATATCTGAAACCTGAAGCACAGACTAAATTAATATGGAAACTGACAGGAGGTCTTGGGCATAACCTGTTATAGCCCTTTTCCTTCATAGCATATCTAATCTCATTAAATACAAAAGCTCAATATCTGTTATATCAGTCTAGCATTAATTTGGGCATTAAGGTTGTACAGTATGATTAGGGTGTTGTCAAGTTAGATAACTAGTTAAAAGTGAATTAGACTAATTCCATGAATGTATTCATCAAACTGACTGCATTGTCAGTGTGTTATATTCAGATACTTTCACCTCTATTTCCTCAAGATTGAAGCTTATTTTTTATCACAAAATTGAAGAACTTAAATAAATTTGCATTCCATGCTTTTACTTTCTCTTCTTGTGACAGAAATATTTTTATTTCTGAAGCTTTTGATTAGAACAAAGTCAAGAATCCCAGCGCAGCTCTAGCATTTAATCAGGATTTATTAAGGAATTTAATGTTGCATTAAGGGAGGATTTAACTAGAATTTATTGAGAAACTTAGACAAAGTCAGAAAACAAATGTAATAACCTCAGGCGGAAGCTGTAATGCACAGACTATATAAAGATTATATGTGCTGTTACTTGGGGATATACTGTAAGAAGCCAGTGACATAAGAAAGATGTAGAAGAGATTATGCCTTTGAGAACGATGAAAGCTGCTTAGGCCTCTGATTTTGTTTGTTGCAATAGCATGTCTACTCACTCTTTACCAAAAATTTGTCAGCAATAATCACTTCCATATAAATTAATTATTCAAGGATCATTAAAAGAGAATTTTAGGACAGACTGACATGTTTAAGAGATCTTAACTATTAATTATGTGAGGATTTTCTAATGAATCTATAAAGACCATTCATATCCATATTAACAATACCCATTGTCAAGTTATACCAGTGTTCTTTAAAAAAAAAAAAAAGAGCAAATAGCTGGGACTCAAAAAAATTAGTATCCCCCCCAAAATTATGCCTGAAATAAATGTAAATAAGAATATATCGGTTAGTCTTGAATCTGGTAAAACTGGAAAGATCTTCCTTGCAATTAAAAGGTGTTGAAAGACCAGTTTCTAAAACTCTTATAATGCAAGTCCTCTTGGTAAGCAATCTTCAGTACACTCTTCTACATTCCTGCCTCTAGTTACTCCTCACAGGATAATAGCTCGTGACAGGTCTTTTTGGTTCTGTCACTCATCTGTGCTTCATGCTTAGCAATTTCCCTAGTCCCACACAGTGGTGGCTTAAATTCCATTTCTTTTAGTGGAAAAGACCATTTCTTTGTAATTTTCCTCAATCAAACACTCATATTTAGTAATTATCTCCTCACCATTTTGTTCTTAAAATGCATCATGCTTAAACTTTCTTTAGGAATTTATTTTATATCTATAACAGACATAACCAGATTTTTGAATTCCATAAGTGGATCATATTTATTGAGAAGATAAATAAGAAGAGTTTATCATTAGTCTTAAAATCTCCATATCATAGATATTTAATGTATTATAGAGAAAGTAAGTCACAAGGACTTCAGTAGCAAAGGAAGCTTCCTTCAGCTAGTTCTAAGCTGCTGTCAAGTTCTTATCCTTCCTTTGTGAATTTAATAAAATGTATTTTTCTTGTTAGTAGTGCGATATGGCAGTGGTGCTGATTATAGTCCTGAAAGACACAATCCTGAATGCCATTACTCCAGATGTTGAAATCCCTAAAAATCAATATCTTCAAAAATCAAAATTTTTAAAGTTTCAAATCTCCAATGTCTAAAATGCTGAAAATTATAATCTTAAAAGATTAAAATCCCAAATGCTGAAATCCTGGAAGCCAAATTCTAGAAAAGAGATTCATGCATTTTTAGTTGCGTATAAGAGTTGCATCATGTTAGTGGTTTCATGTTAGGTGGAACTAATACCTTATTATTTTCTTTATTTGGAAATTAAGTACGAGTTAAAGAGATGTGTTTATGGGTGCCAAGTTACCAAGGAGTGGACTTGTGGGACTTAATTTTAGGTGTCACTTTGGCTGGATTAAGGAATACTTTGAAACCCACTGAAGCACTATTTTGAGTATACCTGTGAAGGTGTTTCCAGAGAAGATTAATGTGAGTCAGAGTAGACTAGGTGTGGAATACCTGCTGTCGGTGTTGGGGCAGCCACCATCTAATAGAAGGGGGGCCCAGAGAGAACAAATGCAGAAGGTGAATTGGTCTTTCTCTGATAGCTGTGACAGATTTTTCTTTTGCTGCCTTGGACCTCAGAACTCCAGACTCGCCAGCCTTTGGACTTAGACTGAGCCACACTACTGGCCTCACAGGGTCTCCAGCTCACAGATGGCCTCTTTTAGGACTTCCTAACCACCATCATTGCATAAATTAGTTCCCCTAATCTCCTCATAGATAGAGATAGATAGATAGATAGATAGATAGATAGATAGATAGATAGATAGACAGAGATATAGATAGATAGATATACATACACACACACACACACACACACACACACACACACACATATATATATATATACACACACACACACACATATACATATACATCTAAACTATTGGTTCTCTGGAGAATCCTGATCAACACAGATTTGGTATTGGGGAAGCCAAATATCATTCCTTTTTACTGTATTCCTTACAACACAATGAAAGAGGTCTGTGAAATTGTTCCCTGGCAAAAAAGGCTATTATAAGAGTAAGAGGCTACTTAACGGCAAAAGATAAAAGTTTTAAAAGTTAATTACTGTTGGTGCTGCAAAAGCAAAAAATCATTTAGTTGCAACAGCAGAGCAATAATCACACTGTCAAATATATAGTCTGATTATTATATATATATATACTTACAAAATTTGTAGGCCACAACCACTGTCCAAATACAATTGCAGGGAATGTTTTGAAGATCATAGAAAGGGTGAGCACACAGGTAAAAAATACAAGAAATCTCCTCTAGGAAATTATTCTATCATAAGACTTCTGCCCCTCCACACATAGCACCAATTTGCTACACTATGTATTTCATCTTCATATCATTTCCAGTACCCAGAGATATAAATTGTGTAAAGACCTTTAGGGAATTCTAACTCATTTTATGCTTTTTTTTTTTTTTTTGCGAATTTTACTTCACAAAATGCATGATCATAAAGTTGATTTTGCCTGTGAAGTATTGTGCATGTACATGAAAATGTTGAAACTTTCTCAATAAATGAACGATGTCGGCCGGGCCTGAGGGCTCAAGTCTGTAATCCCAGCACTTTGGGAGGCCGAGGTGGGTGGATCACTTGAGGTCAGGAGTTCCAGACCAGCCTGGCCAACATGGTGAAACCCTGTTTTTACTAAAAATACAAGAGTTAGCTTGGCATGGTGGGCGCACATCTGTAATCCCAGCTACTCAGGAGGCTGAGGTGGGGGAATCCCTTGAATCCGGGAGGTGGAGTTTGCAGTGAGCCGAGATCACGTCGCTGCACTCCAGCCTGGGAGACAGAGCGAGACTCCATCTCAAAAAAAAAGGGAAAGAAAGAAAGACAGGAAGGAAGGAAGGAAGGAAGTCTTTTTTGTACATCTACATTTGTGAAAGATAATATTTCTTGATACTTTGACTCCTTAGGCAACTGCATATGTGGTGATGAGCCATCATGGTTTGTAATCAATCTCATTGAAAGACTTAGGTTTTTCATCACGGTGTTTCACGTGACCAGAGTCATAAAGCTGGGTGTATACAATTATCATCCGTAGCAATATGTCTTTATACATTTTGCTCTTTAATCTCTTTCTTTGTGAATATGTTTTGTCTGCTCAGAACTGTCATATCTGCATGACTGTTGTTAGTTAGTATACCTAAATGTTTATGCTTGTAAAATATGTATGCTATTGTCTATTTTATTGTATAATCTCTATTACTATTAATCTCAAATCCCCTTTTAAAAATGTAAATAGATATCTTTTAAAGAATTTTTAAAATTATTTTTTCCAGAAATATATTTTTGGGATCCTGATCTTTCAAGATTTGAACATTTGGGATTATAGTACTCGAGATTGTGGTTTTTAGGTTATGACCCCAACCCATATACAGTTGACCCATAAAAAACACAAGTTGGAACTGCATAGGTTCACTTACAAGAAGATTTTAAAATAAATGCAGTTGGTCCTTCGGATCAGCAGGTTCTGCATCTGCATCCAGACACAGACCAAAATATAGTATTGCCATTCTGCATATATGGAGGACCAACTTTTCCTATTTGCAGGTTCCATATCATCCACTGTGAGCCTTAAATATGTTCAGATTTTGGTATCTCCTGGGGTCCTGGAACTAATTCTCCTCAGATAGAGAGGGACAACTGTAGTAGAAAGTCTTTAGATTGAACAAGACCAACAGCAATAAAAACTGAGATTAAAGTCCTACTTTGCCCCCCACTGCTATGGGAAATTTACTCACCTCTTGAAGCCTCAGAAGCTTCATTGTACAACACAGATAATGTCCTTACCTTACAGGATTGCTGTGAAGATTTAATTCTATCATGTGGAGTCATTCATGATTGTCATCTCTCCTGCATTCCTCACATCTGTTTTATCAGGAATCTCTTTATTTAAAATATATAAATAAGTCTACTTTACTCATCTTCCTTCTACCACTCAGCCCAAATAACTTGTACGGGCCACAGTGATGCCACCATGATTCTCAACTGTGCTCCCAGTTTTCTTTCTTACTTCTCTATAGACTTTCCTACAAACCCACATCCAAAATATTTTTCTTCCAAAAACTTATGAATTATATCCTATTCTTTCCTTGTTGAACACCAACCAATGGTTGCGCATTCACCTTAGTAAAAGTGTAAACCCCTTAATGTGGTCTTCTATGCCCATGATCTTACTCTTACCATTACGGCTCTTGAATCACTATTCTCTGGTAATACTGTCCTTCTTTTTGCTCTTCAAACATGCCCAGGCAATGCAGTGTTCTTGGCCTGAAATGTAAACTCTTGTCATTTATACATTTGCCCAAATATTTATCCTCAGTAGGCCCATTATTGCTCACCCTGAACTTGACATTCTAGTCACTCTCCATCATAGAATCCAAATTCATTTTCTTCACAGTACTTCTCAGTATCTGAAAATACCTTGCTGATTCATTTTGTTTATATATTGGTGTCTGTACCCCCATCCCAAAATGTGAAATTTTATTCTTTAAGAATATTTTATGGATACTGAATTTGGGCAATCATAATGACACAATGAGATTGGCACAGTGGATTGACCTGGAACTCAATCAAAGCCACAGAGTCCTTTGAAAGGACTGGCATGGATTCCAACATAAAAACTTTAAAGACAGTGTAAACCTGGGGCAGTTGCTGACTATTTTGGCAACCACATATAGTGCCAGAAATGGGTAAAAAGCCAACAAAAGGGAAAGCAGAATTGAGAGACTGAAAGGCATAATCTGTGTATCATCATTTGAAACACTGTATTCAGACACTATTAGAGGCAGTTCTACTTCTGGATCTCCACTTTGTGTGAACCAGTAATCCCTCTCTATTGCTTTAGCTAGTTTGGATTGAGTTTATATCATTAGCAACAAAATGAAAGCTTATTATTTCCACAAATGTCATGTAAAGACTGGCTAAAAGAGTTATCATTTCTGACTGGTAAGACTAGAACAGCCCAGCTGCAGACATAGGCAGAATATTTGTTATGTTGCAGAATGCTCTAATTTTTTTAAATTGTATGCCTCCTACCACCCACTCTGCTCCAAAAATTCCAGTTTTTATAAATAGTAGATACAGTTGTTTCTAGAATAAGATTTTAAATCCTAGATTCTCCTTTACCTTATACAAGACAATATGACATTCATGCTCCTTAAGAAGAGAATTATAAGGAAAATATTCTGCATTAATTAAAGATGCAAATGCAGATATTTTTAGAGGATCCCATTTTTTCTTTTCTTGTAATTCTTTGCAGACAAGTGAGTAAATACCATTTTGTAAGAATTTGTTAAACTATATTTTCTATTTCATCAGGCTATCACTAAGAATGTGTAAAATTTACATGAAGCAAATGCACATGGAATATCTTATTACCTATGCTTAACTCATGTCATACAGTAAATTAAAAAGTAATATAGGTCTTGTACATATTTTAAAATTTAGAGAGGAATTTAATCTAGAAGTCTCTAAAAACAAATAGTAAATAACCATTTTTTCCCCTATTGCTGTTTAGGGCTAGCAAGAGCCTACATATTGATATTAATAACGAAGAGTTTAGATTATGAACAAGACACCGAGGGAAATTTTGTATATAAAATGATGTGTTATAAAATATTCTTTTTGCATCATGTCATTTTCAGAAATTCCAAGGATTAAAGAAATATGAGAATTGGAGAAGGAGGGTTGACACTGAGACATATATAGTCTGACCTCCCACAACACTCTAGAGAGAATAAGCAATAACCTGACAGGAGAATTAAGAAAGCCATGACATCTATAAATAAAAAATAATTAATTATGTTTCTGCATAAAATTATGTCAAATGTATCTGTACTTAGTCGGCTTCCTCCAGAAGGAGTGGGAGTGATTTGATGGAGAAATGATTGTCTAGGAAACACCAGTAGGAGTGCTGCACTTTACTTCCCTCCCATAGCCCCAGGAAAAACGAGACAGGGAAAGGATGAAAGGGAATGCAATCAACAAAGTGTGTGTTATTAAATGAGTTATCCCTGTGGATAACTGGATCTTAATATTTTTGGAGAAATCTGGAAAAAAAATTAGACTTATTCCACTGAAGAAGCGAGGGAACTAAGGCACTTATATACTGACTCCAGTCAGTCATCATTTCAGGATGTGGGGGTGAGGGGAGAGCAGTAATTCCCTGGCATTTCAGGCTGGCTGTGCCTGTGAGCTCCTGGCTTAGAGAATCTTTCATGTAAAAATTCAGGCACTGGCAGCTGGAGACAGGTTGGAGTGCAGCAAGACAGTAAAAGTTAGAGGAGTTGGAGCAGGTATTGGCATAATTTACTCTCATCTTCCTTGACTTACCAGGGTCGTGGTGGGGGACACAAAATGCTAAATTGACCCATGAGTTCTCCTGTAAAAGAATTAATTTATGCTGACTTCCCTACATCCTGCTGATACTCTCTGGGTATATGTAATTTTAAGACTTCAGAATATTTAAAATTAAAAGCAGAATTTCCACCTGAGATTACTTCTAGTTCGTATTTCTGATACAAACAATCCTGCCTTGAAGCACAACCAAATAAATAGAATAAATGAGTGGGAAAATACCCGTGAGGCAAATTTCCTCCATGCTGTAGTCAAGGTTTATGACTCCATTGGCACCTCCTATTATTCTTTCCTTTCACAATATAATACCATGATCCTACAATCCTACAATACAATCTTCACTATTTTGTCCTATTCTTTCTATAATTTGGCATGCTACTCTACCAGTAAATCTTATTAAATAAAATTCTAATTTTGTCAAGAAGTAAACACTTTCCTCCCATCCCCCAGGAACACACTGTCTTCCAAGCTGTGCACACACAGTCCGTTAGCTGCACAGCGAACCTATTCTCTGCCTGCCTTCCCTCTTCTCAAAAATGTGTTGTGTACCAATTATACCAAATTCCAAAAATACTTCTAAGTACTAAGTACAAAATAGTGAAAACCCAAAGCTTATAGTTTCTTGGTTTAGACAGCATGAGTGTAAAAGAGAGCTCTTCTTTCCAGAGTAACTGAGTCTAAGTAGCCAGGAAGAAAAAAACAGAGCCTATTATACTTTTAATGGTTCCACAGGGAGATAGAGGAAATGTTGAAAAGAAAATTACATGAATTAGAAAAGTGTTAATGAAATGCAGATATACATCAAAATGTCTTAATTTAAAAATTCCCAACATATTAAACCATTGTAGGGTTCTGTAATTTTTTTTTTCACCCAGAGATATAAGTTTCCAAAATTTTAAAGAGGGATGCCATGGAATAGGAGAGCACAGGTGTATGTTAAGTGATTGTATAATGTTTTTCTTCTGAGAATGAAAATATGTCCTTGACAGACATGATTATGGAATTCCTCCCACATTTTACAAAGCTTTGGTTTTATACATTTCCTTACTTTCTGGCACTATAAAATGCCCTAAACTAATCTTGTATATTTCCTTCTCTAGTCTTAGAATAAGCAATTTCTTCAAGGATTCTGATAAATGGTATTAGAGAAAGGTGGTAGAAACCCAAATCTGGGCTTTACTTGTGCTGATTTTGGATGACAAAGCAAGAATATATATGTGTGTGTGTGTGTGTGTGTGTGTGTGTGTGTGTGTGTGTGTGTGTGTGTGTGTGCATGTAATAACCCATGTACATACAACATACACATATCTATTAATATCTCTCTGTGTGACCACTTTTATTTATAATAAGCTGAACATGACTTCATACCAATGTCTCCATTCTAATGCATTTCTACATAGATCATTCTAACTTCCTCCCCTTGTCTGTAACTTTCCACCCCAATAAGAAGAAACACAAGAAATCTGGCTCCATCTTTCCTCAAATATTTACTTAATTGTTCAATTCCAGTATACACATATAATGGTATGAGAATTATTAAACCATACCTCCGTAGGAAAACGTTTTCAACTAGGGTACAGTGCTTACTCATGGTTTCTTTTGCCATTGATCTTACAGGCTCCATTCATTTCCAAAGTTACTTAGGTCACCATCTTTTTCCCCATCTTCCTCATTGAGATTGTTTTATATACTTGTAACACAGTTACGTTCTCTTGTCATAATCTGTGTTCTTTCCCAAGATCACTCAATCTCCTAAATGATTTTTTAAAATTGCATATATTATGGTTATGTTGTAAAGTTTTAGGAGTTTTAACAAATGCACAGTATCATGTATCTATTATTATAATATCATACAAAACAGTTTCATATACTGAAAAAACTTGCCTAAGCTTCACTCATTCAACCCTCTCCCCAAATCTCTGGTAATTACTCATCATTTTAATATATCTAGTCTTTTGATTGTTTCAGAATGCCATATCATTTGAATCCTATGATATGTAGGCTCCACAGACTGGGTTTGTTTGCTTATAAGTTTTGTTTTTTTCTATCTATATATCTAATATTTTTTTGTATTTGCACAGATGATATTTATATTCTTCACTAATGCTGACTCAATTAGGTGGCCCATAAGGAGTTATACCATCTAAAACAGTATTTAATAGCTTGACAGGCGTTATTCTAAACTAGTAGGCTACCCTGGTGAATCTTTAAAGGAGAAGGAAGGAAGGAAGTATGGATATATATCTATACACACACACACACACACACACACACACACACACACACAAATACATAGAGAGGGAGAGAGAGAACTTAATAAATATTAAAATCAAGCCGAGCTGCATAACTCAAACATGGACCACCTCCAACTCTCACTAGTGTGAAAAATTTGTTTGTTCTCATGTTAGTACATGAATGAAAATATTCCCACGTATTACAGTGTGATCACATGTTTATATCTTTAATTAAAATCCTACTGATTAGTTGTAGCAGAAAAATTATTTCAACTGCATTGCTATCTATTACTACATATATGAGCACTATGTGCTAAAGATAAAGCTGGGGGCAGAAGTTGAAAACAAGCTGTCACTGGTGCAGTCTGACTTTTTCTGTAGATAAAAATGGTATCTTGCGTAGAAAGAGTGATCTCCAATATCTATATAATCATATGTGATTGACATTTATGAAATCTCATTATAAGCATCACTTTGTAATAACCCTTATTAAGTTTATGTTTGAAGATGCTAGCATTTTCCTCCTATTCTAAAAAGTCATACAAAGGCAAAGAGGATAATTAAAAATATAAAATTATTCTCCATTTTTATAAAAGTAGGATAAAGCTAAACATTACAGAGAGGAAAATGGGTATAATGGCTACTAAAAAAGTAAAGATTGATTAGAGTAGGGTATATGAAAGCAGAGAAAGAAAGCCATGGTTCCAAATCACAGCAAAACACAGAAAATATACTTCTTAAAAGTGAGAAGCATATCCTGGGGAGTAAAACTTAAATCCTTTTTGCAGTAAAAGCACACACAGATTAGCAATAAGAGATTCTCTAGAATAGGTTTTGTTCTAAGAAGCAAAGGATATGAGAATCACCAAGAAAAGCTACTTACAGGAAAAATTCAGAGGCAGAATAGTGAGAAAGAGAAGCTTTGCATTGTTTAAAATTCTGCAGCTCTCTGATATTATTGATGAGACAGCAAAAGCTAAATGAACTGACACAAAACTAGGTTATAAGGAGAATTTCCTTTAGACTAGTCGTTGACCTTGATTTCTCCTTCACATAGAACACGTGTAAATAATTTATTTAGAAAAAACTTTGCTGCATCACAAATGAGAAATAAAAAGTATACCATCATAAGATCTATACAATTGTAGTACACAAAAATTATAGGAAAGAAACAACAACAAAAGTGGCAGAATACACTGATGAGAAAACCAGTCAGGAAACAGATAAAGAGATCATGTTTCATCATGATTTTTTTAAAGAAAATTTTGCATTAGTCTTCTACATATAGAGATGAGAAATCAACAGAGAAAATAAAAGATGAGCTGATAAAGCCCAACAAGAAGTAGAAGAAAACAAAACTCATATAAACAAGGCAAACTTAAATGAATAAAAAGAAAATAAATATTGCTTAAAACACAATAAGAAACACGAATATAAATTATTAAAGTGAATAAAAATTATATAGAACTCAAGACAATTCTAAAAATTATTAAAGTATAATAAGACAGTTTCTGAGTGCCACAGTGAGGAGCTCTGCACACTCTCTCCCCAAACGCAAGTGATGAAAATTACTTTTAAAAACAAGCAATCATTTGCAGCCCCAGGTAACTGTCCTAAGGCATACAGAAATTTAAGAAACAGTGTTTCAAAAACTCTATTTAATCTCTCTAAGAATAGGGAGATTTTGCATCACTTGAGCAGCAGCATTTTCACCCCTCTCTCTATCTCCTCATAACAGAAGTTCCACTCTGATGGGTGTGGCTGAGAAAATAGGGTTCTCCCTCCTCCCAGTTCCCAGTCAAGGGCCAACATATATCCTCAGAAGAGGAAGACCACCAGCATGTCTCATACTCATACCCTCCCTTCACCTTTGTACTGAAGAGACTAAATTCCAGGAGAGTACACTTGTGAGGTTGGAGGCTTTCTTCCTCTACCAGCCTCCACTCATAGGATGGAGGCTCCATTCTAGGCAAGGCAAGCCAAGAATACTAGGAACCAGATCACCCTTACCCCAGCTGGCTCACAGAAGAAGTTCCCCTGTTGGGGAAAGGAAGCCAGGAAGGCCAATGATTACCCGCCAGTGCACTGCCTCAGTCCAAGAGAAGCAGACCACTGTTCCTGCCTCCAGCTTTGGAGCAGCAGGACAGAGATTATGCCTAGTAAGAGAGGCAGGCCATAAGAACAAAGAGCTCCAGAGCTCTCCCAAGAAAACTGACTTAATTGTCTCCAAGGGACAGTTTTCCTGAATTTTTCATTTTTTTAATTAAAATAATTTTCCTGGAGCGTGGGAATAATTAGGCCCAAAAGAACTTCAAAAGCAATGATGAAGGATTTATTGTGTTAGGTAGTAGAAGTAGGAGGTAGTCATACAGGGACACTATTGTTTATCAGGGGACAAAATAGAATTAGGAACTGGCAAATTTTGTTAGGAAAAAACAGAAGTTGAGGATCAGTGGGAGAATATAAACATCACCTGTGAAACTCTGATATTTATTCTAATTCATCTTAAATATCTAGGTATACAATATTTTATGACGAAAGACTATTTATCACTATGAATAGTCCAAATGGGTTTTCCTGGCAAGCAGCTTTCTATAAATGATGAATTAGGGACTCAGGCACCTTTCATATGTCAGTTTCTCTGTCTTCAACTTATAGCTACCAAGGTTACCAAAGGGTGGGAGGAAATATGGAGACATGGAGGATCCACCTTTGAGAGGTTCGTAAGAGCTCACCCAGGAAGTGAAGAAATTTACTTTGCTCACATTACATTGCCTGGAACTCAGTAGCCTGTTCATACCAACTTCAAGAGAGGCTGGGATATGAAATTTAGAGAGAACAGGCTGGTTATTGATTAGCAGTCTGCTATAAGAATTGAAGCACTACAACATAATCAGTACAACAGGACCTAAAGCAGAGAGGTGACAGCATGAAGGCTTTGGGTGCCATTGAGACATGGATGAAGAAGGAGAGAAACATAGGCTTAAAGATCAAGTGGACAAGCACTTTGCCTCCTTCACAACTTGACCATAGACAGACTCTACCTACAGACATGTTGGAAAGCCTCAGTTGATACCGCACAGATAAATGTGGGAATCATTTCTCTTCCCATTATGGCACACATCTCAGGAATGATATAGCATGGTCTACATGCAGACATGGCCTTCCACAAACTCTAAGATCCTCCTAAAGCATGCTTTTATATCTTTATATGACTTTGAAAAACTACTGTGAGTTGAAGGTTGGTAGAAAAGTTTTACAAAGAAGTTGATGAAAGTATCATTTTCATGTGGAAGGTAATTTAGAAATCTCACACAAAAAATCAGATGAAGATTTGAAGAAAGGAGGTCGCTTTCTGAGAAACTAGGAATTTTCTAGGAGAGGGTAAAAGTAATTACATTTTATTAAAGAAACAGATTTTTAAAATGATTTAAAAGAATGAAAGGAGCAGTTTCTTCTGTGATTTTGGTGTATTGGATTTTATTTTTTTCAGTTGTCTGTCGAAAACAAATACGTCATGCTACTGAAAATAATTATTAATGTTTTTGAATTTTTCCTCAGTGAACTTTTTTTCTCAATGGTATGGCTAACCTTTCTTGTTATTAAAAGATCTGAACTTATTGAATGATATTTTAATGTTATTACCATAAATATTCCAAAGAATATTCTCATAATAAATTTTGATAAGAAAAATAAAGAGAAATAAGTGAAGAGCATCTAATAGTAATAATTAACAAGTTAGCAATGTGAAAGAGGACATTTTCTTCAACATAAAGCAAAAAGCTTCATAATTAAAAGTCCAACCATTCAGCTGATAGAGATTAAATTTTTATGCAGTCACTTCTCTACTCTTATTTATTATAAATCATGAATGCTAATAAGGGAATTCAATTCTTTATAAAACACTACGAAATATAACTTCAGCTTGCTAATTAGATCTAAACTTTAGATGGTCTTTGCAACTCATAAGGATAAATTTATTCTACCTTCCCTTTAAAGTTAAATGATCAAATTTAATGAAGATATAACTGGTAGAGATTTTGCTCCAAAGTGACTGATACAATTAAAATTGGCTTGTGAAATATTCAAGCATTATTTATAAAGCTAAACATGGAGGAATTCTTGCTTTAAAACTGGGCAATCACGAGGCCAATGGGAAAAATCAAATCGCTCACAGTACAGATACTGCCTAAAATGAAACAGAAATGTGTTTCCTTGGAATATTGCACAATTCATTTCATTCAGTAGGTCTGATAATTTTCCATGGGGTGAAAGGAAGAGAACATAACCTTCCTCCCATTGCGTCATAGCTCAAGGTTCAAAAGAGGAAGTTTAAAGTTCAGTTTTTAGAAAGTCCTGCCCAACAGCATTTCTTGATTCCAGTGGTTGGGTGTCAGATCAACTCGGAGGAGCCCTTAAAGAAGTAGAAAGCAGTGTTCTTCAGAGATCTGTTTTATCCTTTAAGGAAAGGCAACACTGTCTCTTCTTTCTCTCCAGTGTTCCTGATCTCCCATTGTTCACAAGATGCCAAGAAAAAAATGACTTGACTTCTCTCTGTACAGGAAGAACATGAATCGAGATAGCAGGAAAGCTTCCAAGTGCCTCAGCAAATGTCTAGAAATCTGCCTGCTTCTATGACTGCAGTCTGCAATGCCAAACTCATCTTCCGTCGCTGGTTAGGATGCTACCTCTTAGAGTATTCCAGCAATTGAATCTGAGCCTCAGGGAACCAACAAAGAAAAATAGCAGTACATCTATGGGTGCTGAGCAGCTTGATAGAGGAATATCAGTCAGAAAACATATGGTATAAAATATAGCTTTTGGACAATCCAGGCAATGTGTTTAATTTAAAAGGGAGAAGAGGCATTTAAACAAAATCAAGTATACCATTATCACACAGGAAACAGAGTCTTTCTGGATCTTAAGTAAAAACATGAGTTCCCAAATAATTCAATAAAGAACAGCATAATCACTTGAAGGACAATCTGGACTATGACATGAAAAAATATCATTTTACAACAAAGAGAAAACTATTCAGATATAGAAAATGAGAAAAGATAAGCAGATGAAAGAATCAATCCAGGAGATCTAACTTGTAAACAATAACAGATGTGGAAGCTGGAGGAGAATCAATATTGTGTGGAAAATTATGGAGAACTTCAAAATCAACAAGAGAAAAAAATTGAATATGTAACAATCAATCAAATCTAAAATGATAAAAGTGAACGAAAAACTACAATTCAAAATAAATATTAAACTCAAAGTAAGGAATAAAAAATATAATAAGTCATATTAGGCATTATCCTAAATTTGAAAGGTCTGAATTCTTCAATTAAAATAGAAACATAATTAGATTATATTTAACCACACACACAGACACATCCACCCATCCACACAGTTATTTGATGTTTAAAAAAATACTTAAAACAAAGGGATAGAGAGAAAATGCAAATAGAAATAAAGTAGCATCAGACAAGGTGGAATTTAAGGTTCAAAGAATAGAGGAATGTGAAACTGAAGAATAATAATAAAAATCACAATCTATAAAAAAGATAAAACACTCATAAAACTGTGTATCAAATGAAATATGTGATGCAAAAACTATTACAAATGTAAGAAGAAATTGATTAGAATTAGAGTAGGAGACTAAAATATCTCTCTTCCTATCTTGGGCATATCTAGTAGCCAAAAATCAGTAACAGTATATAAAAATTGAATTTTTAAAAATTAACAACTTTGGACACACACATGTGCACAGGTATAAAACCTTAGATCTCTCAAATGGAGTATAATTTTTGTCTTATGTCTATGAAACACTTACAAAAAATATTTATTTTCTTGGCCACATAGAAACTACACAAATTTGAAAGTGGAAAATTACATGCTAAGTCCTCTGATCTAAATCCAATAAAATCAAGTATAAATAGCAAAACGTGACCAAACTTCTTAGTTCATTAGAAATTAAGAAATAGGCCTCTACAAAATCCATGGATCTAAAAGAAAATCAATAGAAAATTGCACAATACCTTACAGTTATTGAAAAGAGAATACTTCAAACTGACAACTTATGAGACACAGTAAAAACTGCTTAAAAATTGTGTAGTATTTAGTTCTTTTACTACTAAAAAGACTAAAAATGAAGAAAATTATACATAAGAAAAAATTAACAAAATTGAAATACTTTTGATAAAAATGATTAAGGTAACAGCTGAAATTAATGAAGCAGAAAGTAAATAGCCAAAATTAGTAGAAAGAAATAATTGAAAAGCTGTTTTTCTGTAATGACAAATAAAATAGCTAAACGTTGTATTATTCCAACAAGAGAAAAGAGAGGGAGAGATACAAAATTAAGAGAAAGGAAATGTAGGCACAGAAAAGGTGAAATTAAAGTAATATTTGTAACCCTATAGCAATACATTTAAAAACTTTAAGTAAATGAATAATTCCTTATAAAAATTTAAATTGTCAAAATTAAAAATCCCCAGAAATTGAAAACTTGAGCAGGTCAATTAATATAAAATCATTGGTCATTTCTGTTAGGTTACATAGAGCCTACAAAAGAAGAATGATAGGGCATACTGTCTTAATAGCTCTGGCTATGGGAATTTAGAGATAGTCTGCTATAGCTGTCTGTCCTGTAAACAAGTGGTATGCAGCTTAACTGAGTATGGAAAAGCCACAAACCCCAGAATTCTAGGCAAAGCCGATGATGATTGAAGCTCTTCAAGAGAAATCTTATTGAAGTGACTAAACAAATGCAAAAATAAGCACCAATTGTGTTTTATGTATGTTTATGTGAGACTAAGGAGCTATTCAATTGCTAATCTAAACCTACATTTGTTTAATTCTTAAAAGAATTTACTTTGATACTGGTGGGAGGTGATTGTTATAATCATATGAAGAGGATTGACTTAATAGTTTACATTGGGTACATAAGAGCATGTTAATATTTCTCTGAGTCATGCCCTGTCTTCACCTGAATAAAACTGTAGATCAGTCATGGAACACGATATCATCTAAATACTCTTATTCATTATTGAAATGGAATAATCAAGCCCAGCATGCAAAGCTTTAAACATACATTACTAGATTGGTACCACATTCAAAACAGAGATGTTATTTGGAGGTTTGTAATTTCTCTTACTAAGAACCTAACTTGCACAGCTATTCAGTGCCTCCTCTGAGTCACTGAGCAGCCATTACATTAATAGTAGTTCAACACTAAAAGTGAAGAAAGGATGTGGTCTTTTCTAACTCTGTAACAATATATTCTAAGAAAAGAAAACAAATTTTAAAAATATACACTGTGCAGAAAAAATGCACTGCACATACGCAGGGATAGCAACATGCAACAGTGTATATTTTGATTTATTTGTTGTCATATTCAATTTTGGTACATACTTGATAATGTTTCTCTCCACTATTTAAAATATATTTCATTTACCACAGGTATATATATCTTATGTGCTAATCAGTATTGATTTTTTTCTGTAAGATGTGCATTATAAAACATATAAACCAAAATAGATATTAAAAAGGGATATGATAAAAAAATAAAGCCTGGTGTTTCAGGGCCTTGATATGTACCCATACCCCACTTAGAGACCACCTTGCTTGAATATTGGGAAAAAACAGTTTCTATTCTTGATAGAAAGCCTTGAGAAATGCATGATAAGAAGTTCATTAAGCAAAAATGTCCTTGATAGAAATAAAATAAGCTACATAATTTTCTTGAAGAAAAACCTCAGGTCTACCTACTGGCTTAGATAAATAGAAACACCAAGAGAACCATCCTAAAGCTATTGCCTTACAAAAAAATTAATGTATATCCTTGGGAAATATTTACTACCTTAATTTTCACCATCTTGTTGCTTACTCAGAAATGGGAAATCTCTGAATCCTAGACAAGATTAAAGAGAGGGCTAAACCTAACAGAAGAAATTTTGCACACTTTATATAACCTTTCTTAGTCTGTGTCTGTTAGGTACCTGAATAGGCCTACATTGTGTTATATTATAGAGTACATTCCAGAGTGATGGAGTCATGTTTGAGTTTTTTCTCAGTCTCTTTTTACTTTCTTGGCTTGTTATTGACACGTTCAGCCTAACTTTGGGCTATGTTAAAGTACCATATGCTGTAGTTCTTTTCAGCAGGCAGTTGACTATAAAGAATTGGGATTAGAAAGGAGAATTTGTCTAGGCATATTGACTGCCCATTGTTGGCTTTGTTATGAGGACAGTGGAAAGGATGGAATGGCAAGATACTAGAAAGTCTGATGGTATATATTATGGTTATATTTTTCTTCTTTCTACTTTTCTATATTGCCTACAATAATCATACTTTATTATAAGAAAAATAGTGTGAAATTTAATTTTAAAAACATCTTGTTCTAAAATTACTGCATTTAAGTACTCTGTTAATTTTAAAGCAATTTTCAATAATTATCTGTATGTCATTTCCATCAATACCTTTATGTTTCAAATGTTTTTTGACACAATAATTATATGAATATGCTTTTATTAATGTACCACCATTATTATGCTTCAATTATTAAACAATATTCTGTTCCTCTTCTGGTGCAGAAGTGGAAATTATCTATTTTAGTTATATAAGATTCTTGGCCCTGAACATTTCACTTCCAAGTATCTATATTGATGCATGTAGTCTGATGAATTATTCAAATCTAAAATATTGGCCACCTCTTATGCAAGAAATTTTCCACACAAAAGTAATTTGCCCAACATAGAAAAAAATTCAACAGTATTTAAAGATGAAAGGTAATTTGTCTTGCTTTCACATGCAAAAACAATGTAACTTCCAGATGTGAGAGAATTTCACTTAATCCTCTATTTTAATATATATATATAGTTAACTATTTTAAATGTTGATTAGTGGAAGCAACAAAGGTATTTATCATAATTTTCTTCACTTTTATAGTTTCTATAAAAATCATAAATCTTATTTAGGCTAATGCAATTTAGACATGGTGATGTATCAGAAATAATGATAGAGTTAGATTGATTTTACTTTTTAAATAATCCTACTAATCACATAACAGTAATATAATCTGTAAACAGGAATCATCATTAAGGTTCTGATACTCAGCTATGATAAAGTTATCTTAATAAATGGAAACAAAATTTAAAAAGATAGACACAAGTTATTATTTACCAACAAATAACTAAATATACAAAAAAATTTACCCCAGGTATTCCTTTTTTAAAATGTGTATTTTTAAGTACCACATTGTAACAAGTAGTTCCTACTGTGCTCTTTATCTTTCCATAGCTTAGGCTCCAAAAAAAAATATCTATTACATCTTTCAACTCATGTTAATTGCTATGTCCAAAAAAAATTGGAGGTAATTTCTAATCACGTCAGTATAATGAGGGTATAAGAAATCGCCTATATTTACCACTTATACAGTCATAAAGGGCTTTTTGCAGATAAGTAGGTTAAAACATACAATTTCTGTTTGAATTATTCTTGTTAGTTTGCACAGTGGCATTATGATAACCCAGGCAACAATTAGATCAGTCACTGAAGTGGTCCTGAAGCAGCCGCACTTGCTGACTCATCCACTCTATGCACTGTCTCTTTGGCAACCTAGACAGATTGGATATATGACTATGGATACAAAAGATTGTTGACTACATGAAATTTAGGACTCTGTGATTCCTTCCCATATAAAGACCATTACTTTGAGTGATTTTCAAACTTCAATTTTAAGTTTTCAGTGAAAGTAAACCATTATTAGGATATGACATATCTCAATGATCTATTTTCTTAATGAATATGAAAGAAATCTCCTTGGAAGTTGTAGCCCAGATAGCCTACCCTTTAAATTAATTCATGTTTCTAAGTTTTCCATTTTAGTATTCAGAAACATTATCTTAGTAAAGATTTTACTTCTGCATGTTTTCTAGTCTGAAAAATAGAGTATGATATTGGCTCAGTGAATAGACAAACTAGTAGTCTATTTCAAAAATTCCCAAGAAATACTTGATCAAACAATGACAACTATTTTGCAATGAAAGCAGAACATTGTGCTGCTCTGTTTTAAAAGTTAGTTAAAAACATGGATATGAAAATACTATCTAGGCATTTGAAGAATTATAAAAACAGAACCAGAAAATGATGTATTACGATTCCACACACAATAGTATAACAAGCATAGTTTGTGGAGTTAAATGGAGGAACCACAATTTAAATAATTACCTAGACCTGAGTTAAATTGTGGTTCCTCCATTTATTAGCTGTTTGACAAAGACATGTGATTTCACATCTCATATTCAATTTTCTTGTCTGCAAACTGGGAGGAAAACTGTTTATTTTAAAAATGTGTGAGGTTTACTAAATGAAGTAATGTATTTTATATGCCCAATATATGGCCTGACATATAAAAATGTTGCAAAAGCATCAGTTTCCGGCATAACTTTGCACCATGTTGTATGGTGTTATCTCCTACTAGGTCATTTGCTCAACTACTGCTTATCCTCTGTTTTGCTGGACACAGCTGTCCTTTGTGGATCGATTCAGCTCATGCTAATTCTCTTATCTGTAGGAGGGAACAAGGCTTTTCTCTGGGATATCGTCTCCAAATGTTATTAGAGGCAGCTATTCAAAAGGTCTAAGTCCTCAGATCAACTTTGGAATCTCTAGAGGGCTGATTTTTATTTTATTATTAATGTTTTTTACTTAATTCTCAGCTACCTGCCAAATATCAGGGGTATAATATCCACATCCCCAATACTTTCACCATTTGGAATGCCACCATGCCTCTGGGCCAAGTGATTCCTGGTGACAATTCCCTTTTGTCACCCTCCCTTATCCCATTAATTTCAATGAGAAGAAACATGATTGATATCTACCAAGCTAAAAATTTCACCACAACCCCCCGGCTCCTTCTAGGGAAGAAAGAATATGCCCCCACAGGAATTTAACAACTTAATTATCTACCCTAGAGGTAAAACTTGATTATAACTTTGAAAGCTGAAGTTTTTCAAAAATATCACAAAAATATTAAGATCCAGTTAGCTTTAGCAATATATTGCAACACAGCAAGTGCTCAGGTCTACAATAAATAAAATATTAAACACTTCTTGTTTTCACACCCAAGCATCCATTGACAATGTGGTCTTATTATAACATTGGTCTTGCTCTTTAGATTGCAATTTTTAAAAAATAGTTCAAGATAGAATAATGAATTGTTATCTAAAGTTTTTCTGAATATCTGTGTCTTAAGGAATGGACCTTAGTATTTACATAGTTTTCTTATTTTTTTGTTTTCACACCTATAAATTAGTGAGTTTGACTTAACACAGTTATGATACAAATTAAAATAATTTTCCATGGCAAAGATGAATCACAATGTTTCGTCAGCTGATTATCTGATTACGAATATTCTAAGGACGATTATATTATTAAAATATTTCTCAATTCATTTTTAATATTTGAAAAGATATGAAAATCTGTGGGTATATTAATAACATGATAAAAAGCTCAAGGTGTTTTTAAAGCATATTTCTCCATATGCTTCTGGTTTAAACTATATTTCATGAGACAGATTTTTACATTTGTTTATTTTACAATGCCACATGCAAGCAAAACCTTTTTGATCCCTCTACTTTTTGTGTAAGTCAAATAGAGGCCAGATGCTCATGTGGACCAGTCTAGAGGTGTTGGTAGACACCTAGATCAGCAACTATGATGATATGTTATAAAAATCCCCTCGTCTCTCATCTCCAATTCTCTCATAGTTTGTAATTGCTCCAGAGTCCACCTTTAACACTCTATTAAACTTTTTCCCTGAAATGCTCCCAGATAGCCCATTTACATGGGCTTTTCACTCTTATCTTTTCCAACCCCATGCTACCAGTGCCTCCTTCCTGTTATATTTTATTGGAATTTCTGAAGACACCCACAAATTGCCTCAGACCAAAAAATTGGTGGCTAGAGGACCACCAATCTTCTATTTCTCCTCATAGAGACACTGAAGAGAAGTTCCTACAGTCTAACTGCTTTTCACTCTGAAATCTCAGTGGAGCAATTCTGGGGAATAACATTGTCTACATCTGGATTATGCAAATTGGTAGATTATCCCAGACACCTAAATGTTGATGCTTGGTTGTGGGAAATGCGCAGTAATGTGCAGACACATGTATTAACAAACATCCTCAATGTGTGCAGAATCCTGATATATTATTTGAGCTAGGGTGGTAAAATCCATTCACACTGCTCTTCCCTTAGTTTATGTCCTGACTTCCTTTTGTTTGAATTATTGTAATAGCCAACTAACTGCTCCTCCTCCTACCATTTCATTGTTTCCTTCCAATGTTTCTTCCAAGTTGTTACCAGGATCATGTTAACACACAAACCTAAACATGTTGCTCCTCATGAAAATCCTTCGACTGACCCCTGTATCTACCATAGTTGTCTCCAAAGTGTTGTGATTGAAATTCAGGGAGTAAGTACCCACTAAGGTTGCAAAAAAATAAGAAATTTTATATTCTTCTTAACATAAATACAGAAAATATAAGTATTTACTATTATTAAATATTTAGCTTTTGATTTGACATGACACATACGGCCCTACCTATTTCAACTTTCTCACCTCCTGCCTCATTTTATTGTTTTCCCCACCTCTCTCTATTTTCCTGAATGACTAATATGAATTTACCACATCATTAAATGTCTTCAACCTTTGCACAAGCTGTGATTTTCTATCCACAAGTGAATTCTTACCTATGGTTCGGGAATCAGTTCAAGAAAACTTGTTCCCTAATTAGCCTTACTTATCAGGCAAGAAGAGTTGATCATATTCTCCTTTAAGATACTGACATACCTTGGACTGACCTTTTATATGGTACTGAATACACTTTTTATTCAATTATTTTAATTATTTATCATTATAGGGCAATTGCAAATTTATACTTCTTTTTGAGTTACTGGTTTAGTACTTTACATATCTCTAAGAATTGTCCATTTCACCTTTTTTGTGTTCATCAATATGAAAATGTTTAAACATTATTTTACCATGTTTTAATATTGCTGCAGAAAATCTGTCTTCTTTACCATTTTTAATATTATTTGTTCATTTTCTCTTTTCTGCTGACTCAATTTTTACCAGAGATTTGTATATTTTTTTCCAGTTTTATTAAAGAACTAACTTTATGATTTGTTAAGATATTCTGTGCTAGGTTTGTTTTATGTTTTATTAGTTTCTACTCTGATTGCTACTACATATTTCCTTCTCTTCATAAATTTGTTCTGTTTTTTCCCTCACTTAATATTGTTGATGCTTAACTTGTAAAATTTCAAGGCTTCTTTTCTCGGTCTGTATATTTTCTTAATATTTTATTACCTGAATTGCACATGTTTTACAGGATATAATTTCATTATCATTCAGTTCTAAGTAGTTTCTAATTTCTGATAGGACTTTTTTTTCGCTAACATATGGATAATTTAGATTGTGCTTTCACATTTCTCAATAATAGGGTTTTTGGGGATTTTTAAGTTATCTTTTCTTATGGGTTAGAACGTGGTATGTTCAACAGTGGTTACGAAATTTATTGAGCTGCTTTATTATTTTGTATGTGGTCATTGTAAATGTTCTAAATGTCGAAAAAATCCATATACTCTTATTGCTGAGTGTAATCAAACTCCATATTTTGTTGCTCAAATCTCCCATATTCTTACTGATTTACTATCTACTTGATCTATAAGTTAGTGAGTTAGTTGTGTTAAAAACCTTACACACTGATAGAGATTTGATATTATTTTTAAGTGCTACTAATATTTATTTTATATAGAATAGAACTTGTATATAGAATTTTAGGGCTTTTATAACTTCCTGGTGAGTTGGTCCCTCTTCTAGTGACCATTTGTATCTCCAAAAATAACTATTTATCTTTGTTAGTAATACTATTCTCTGTTTTATGCCTTAAAGATAACTTTGACTGCTATTTATACAGCATATAAACCTGTTTTCATTAGCATTGCTTTTAATTTTTTTTATTAAGTTTTCAACTGTTCTGCATATTGTATCGCTTGTAATCACATATAATAGGCTGTTCTCCTCATTAGTATAAAAGAGCCAGAATTTATTCCATTAAATTGCTATAACTAGTGATGCATTTTACTTAATTTTTCTTGTTGTTTTGTTTATAACTTCTACTCTTTATGTGCTTCTTAATTTCTCTTATTTCTTGTTTAATTTTGGAAAAATGGCCACCTCTATTAGTGGTTCTTTCCACTAGTTTATCACTTATAAATTTTATTTATATTATTTTATTATTTATCAGAGAAGCCCTAACACTCATATTTAACAATGTTTTAGTAATTTCAGGAGCCCAGAATTATCAAAGTACAATAATTTCATCCTGGATTATTGACTTCAAGACTTTAGTTCTATATCATTTTTTAACTTCACATATTAAATATTATTTTAGTTGTTTTACATAGTCAGTTAGTTTAAATATAATTTTTCATACTATTTTAAATATATTTAACACTATTTTACCCACCATTTCTTCTTGCTTCTTAGAACTTCCCCTTCTGAGTCCAATTTCCTTCTTCTTGAAGTATAACCTTTGTAAGCTATTTTAGGAAAGGCTTGTTGTAAACACTCTCAGTTGTATTTTTTTTAAATCTCTTCATTTATCTTTCATTCTTAGAAGATAGCTTGGAATAACATTCTAGGTTGATGATCATTTTATCTCGGTAAAGATATTGTAATTTGATGACTAAATATTCTAATTAGAAAAAAGAGTATGTGAAGTAATACATATGTTAATTAGCTCAATTTGGCCATTCTACAATCTATACATATTTCAAACATCATGTGTACACCATAAACACATACTACTTTTATTTATCAATTTAAAATATTCGTTTTTTTAATTTTAAATATAGAGACATAATTTTCTGGCTCCTGGTTTCTCTTGTTTCTGTAGAAAATCAGCAGCCAATTTGCCTTTCATCCTTTTGTATATACCAGTTTTCATTGGCTTCTCTTGAGATTTTATTTTTTCACTTTGGTATTCTGTAATTTCACTATGATTTGCTAGTAAGGTTACTTTATATCATACTTAGGATTAATTGGGTTTCTGGAACCTGTGGATTATGTTATTCTCATATATTGAAAATCTCATATATTATTTTATAAAACATTTTACTTCTCCCATTATTTATGTTATCTTCTCCTGGAACCCCAACTGGATATAATTTCATCCTTCTTTCCCAACTCAGAATTTATACAAAGTTCCCTAGTGAGTTTTGAAGGAATCATATTCCTTCTTCATATAGCCTGTCTTTATTTTTTATTAACATATTAAACATACTTACTTTCTATTTCTGATAGTTCCAATATTTACATTCTTTTCTGGTCTGCATAATTTTCCATTTACACTAATCTTACTCCAGTGGTTAGTCATTTATTGTGAGCTCATGTTTACCAAAGATTTATCCTGGTAAAATATAAGCTGGATTTAGAGATTTTTCTTTTAAGAAGGCAGGATTTGTTGACACCAATTATCAGGCCCACTTTAAGATAAACTTTTAGCTTTTGGTTTTTCATACTAAAAAAGTAGTTTTGATTCTAATTTTTTTAAAATAAAAGTGCACTTGTGGTTAGAAATTTCTACAGGAAAAATTTTTCTAATCCACCCACAGTCAAGATTGAGGCATCCATCTTCACGTCTACTTTTTAAAAAATATAACCAATAGGCAAGGCGCAGTGGCTCAAGCCTTTAATCCCAGCACTTTGGGAGGCCAAGGCAGGCGGATCACAAGGTCAGGAGATCGAGACCATCCTGGCTAACATGGTGAAACCCCATGTCAACTAAAAATAGAAAAAAATAGCCAGAGGTGGTGGCAGGCACCTGTAGTCCCAGCTACTCGGGAGGCTGAGGAAGGAGAATGGCGTGAACCCGGGAGGTGGAGCTTGCAGTGAGCTGAGATTGAGCCACTGTACTCCAGGCTGGATGACAGAGCGAGACTCCATCTTAAAAAAAAAAAAATACAACCTATAAATGTGATTATCCAGTCTTTCAACCCAGTAACGTCCAGGCCTTTTCTTTTGCACTGCTGCTTTTGTGCCCTTTAAATCATCATTAGGCCACCAGGTATAAACTAACACTCCCCCAAACAATGTTAATCCAGTGTTCATCTGCCACTCTAGATTTTCACTTTCTTGACATTCCTATCATTTCTTGTTGTTTCCACCAATTTCTATAATTTCTTTCCTTTTTTTTTCCAGTTCTCTTTGGTCAGAGGAATTTCTTTATGTTCCATGAACACAGTCATGTCATATTATACGTGTGTGTTCATATCATAAAAAGTATTTAATCAAGAGTTTCTTCTCTAAATATCCAGCTTGTTATATTGACATAGATGTCATTGTAGACTTTCTCATGCTTCTTTCTGCTTTCCTTAAAAAATGCTTAAGTATCCTTATACACAGATTGAAAATTCTATTTGACACTCTTCCCTCTCTGTACCTATATTACTTAGTGCTTCCCTTTTTTTTGGAATCATCAAACTTTTTATAACTGAATTTAAGGTTGATCCTGACACATAATAAACAATGCAGAATTTTTCATGAGCTGCTAGAACAGGTGACCATTTCATTTGAGTTTCACAGAGCAAAGCCAACATATGCTCTCTCTCCTTCAATTTTATTCTTTGCCAAATTGTGTTAAACTTATGCTTGTCTTCTTAATAATATGCTTAACTTAGTAAATGATCACAATAGACGGTATATTAATAATTTCCTTTTATTTTTACAACTTTTTTGCCATCTAGAGAAAGCATCTCAATTTTCTCACTAATGGCAGAGCCATCTGTATTAGGCCGTTCTTGCATTGCTATAAAGAAATACCTTTATTCTTTCCATTTTGTAAAGAAAAGAGGTTTTTAATTTGTAAAGAAAAGAGGTATAATTGGCTAACAGTTCTGCATGCTTTACAGGAACCCTGGTGATGGCATCTGCTTGGCTTCTAGGGAGGCCTCAGGAAGTTTACAATCATGGTGAAAAGTGAAGCTGGAGCAGGCACTTCACATGGTGAAAGCAGGAGCAAGACACAGTGAAATGGTACAAGTGCCAAACACTTTAAAATGACCAGATCTTACAAGAACTCACTATCACGAAGACAGCACCAAGCCGTGAGGGATCTGCCCCCATGATCTGAACACCTCCCATTGGGCCCCACCTACAGCACTGGGGATTAGAGTTCAACATGAAATTTGGGCAGGGACAAATATCCAAACTATCCCACCATCTGAAACACATGGAGACTATATCAGTCAGGGTTGGGTCTGGAAAACAGAAGCCGCACTAGGATATACTGAGTAAGAGAAATGTAACTCTAAGAATTAAAGACTTACACAACCATAGAGGCTGGGGGAGTAAAAGTTAGGAAGGCTGTTTTAAGGAAAAATGAATGCACAAGGATCCCTCAACAAAAACTGCCAGTGATGGTCTTAGTTTCCTGAAGCACAGAAATGAACAATTCTCAGATAGAAGAATTGAACCAATTTTCAGCCAGAACCACTGAAAACAATAATTGATGATCCCATATGCCAGAAATATTGAAACAAATAATTTTCCTGAGGAAGCTTAGCAGCTTCTTGCAAACTCCGTATCTATTGTTGCCAGTGTTCCAACCTGCAGCAGCCAGGTTTTTCTTCTCTTTCGTCTTCCAAATTTTATGCAAAGCCCACTCATTGCTGAAATCCAACCATATCCTTCTGGTAATGGAGTCTGAAAAATGTAGTTTCCATGCTTTATGCCCTTCAGACACAGAACAAAGCTTAGCAGAGAGGGGATAATAGTGAGTATCATCAGAGAATATTCTACAAGGAGACACATTGACTCTGCTCATATAGTGCATGCCAATTACAATATACCACTACTTGCAATTTTTCTAATTTGTGTCCACAGTGCAAAATATACTTCATGTAGTGAATACTGCAGTGCTCTGCCCAGATCCTTCATCGGATTTGATGTACTAGTGCACGGTTATCAGCCTCACCGGCAATTGCCCTCAGCCATAGATTCTTCCCTGTCCAAGTTTAACCCTCCTTCATAGGGAGCTTTCTATATCTAACTACCTGATGGAGAGATACAAAGACTCAGTGACCCTGCCTCAACCTGTGATACTTTGGCCATCTGTGCAGGATTTTCTGAGGCCAAAGTTTCTATCACAGTGTGAGTCAGCTTCTCCCTCTGCCCAACTCTGCCTTCCTCACATCCTAGAGGTGTATCTTCCTTGAGCACTCCCAGCTACACATTCTGCTTCCAGCTTTTTATCCAAGTCTCTTTCTAGCAAACCCAACCTAATGTATGTGCTACAAACTTTAACTGGATTGCAAAAAATGTTTGTCATGTTGAAAAAAATAGAAGTACAATTATAAAAGTAAGAGTATATAATTGGAAAGGTAATTTAGTAAATGCATACTGATGGCACAAAAGTGATTATATATCCAAATGGAAGTAATTCCATGCATATTGCTAAAATTGCTTTCAATAAACTGTAAGTACCTAGGAATTTTTTGGAGGAGCTATTTTTAGGTAACTTTTCTTTTTCTAGTCAGTGTAAGTTGCTCACTATAAGTATTTACAACTCGTTTCTGAGAAATTGTTAGCATGTTTGCTACAGCTTCTTATAGCTCTACCAATTTAGTGCTCAGTCATATATGTGTGTGTGTGTATATATGTATATATAGTGTATACACATATATACACACACACGTATATCTTATTACATGGAAAGGTTTCCATAAGTTATCCATAACCTACAAATCTACATTGAGATGTGTTGTCAAATTCACCAATGTTAAAGTAGCAGCCAGTTATCAAGCATTTTGTTAGGTGGAAATAAATATATGTATATCCTGGTTTGCTTGGCACAGTCCAAATAAGAGTCAATTAGTAACTGTTAATTATTTTCGTGCCTCCCTCTTTATTCTGATGTCCATCCTGGTTTGAAAGATGTATCATATTTTCTCTCTGAATAGATGGCATAATTTTTATTCTCTGAGAATTGATTGGGAAGGCTCGACACAACAAATACTGAGTACACTCATTAGTGTGGATTTTTAAATTATGGTCCTTACCCTGAAGAAACTCACCCAACAACAGCACTCACTCTCCCCACACGCCATACATGTAAAAATCATGCCAACAATATGTGAGTTAAGTTTTCTTGTTATGTCTCCTATTTAAGTGTCTTTGGTTCCAAAAAAAGAAACTAAGGCTGTTTTTAAATAAATAAATAAATGGAATTTACTGTAACTATATGAGTTATTTCAAGAGTCAAAGACAGGGCACGATGCGGTGGGTCCTGCCTATAATACCAGCACTTTGGGAGGCTGAGGTGGGCGGATCACTTGAATCTAGGAATTTGAGGCCAGCCTGCCCAACATGGCAAAACCCCATCTCTACAAAATTTTTTTAAAAATTAGCGTGGCATAGTGGTGCACACCTGTAGTCCCAGCTTCTCTATTCAGGAAGCTGAGGTGGGAGGATGGCTTGAGCCTGGGAGGCGGAGGTTGCAGTGAGCTGTGATCATGCCAAGGCACTCAAGCCTGGGCAATATAGCAAGCCCCTGCCTAAAAAAATCGAAAAACAAAAACAGAAAACAAAGGTAGGCCACAGAAAGAACAGGAATCAGTTCAACTCTGAAGATTTGTTAATAATGTAACAGGAATAAATGAAACATCAGCAGGATGATCCAGCTCCCACGGTGTTTATTTTTCATATATTAGACTATCATTGGTAATGTTCCTACCCCTTGACCAAGACAGGACCTTAAAGAAAATTGATTAAATTTGAAATTAAAGCTTCTCATTTATGCTCTGGCAGTTTTTCTGACAACTGGAAGGCACATGTGATAACCAGAGCTCCAGTAGTTATTGTGGACCCTGAGCTGACATAATAAAATAAATGGAGTAAAAACAGAAAACAAGCTCTTGGTAATGATGAACCCACCATCACCACACCAGCCTCCACCATACTACCTCTGGACTATACATGAGAAGAAACTAAGTATATAGACAGATATATAATTTGCTTAAGACATTGTTATTTTGCATTTTCTTTTACAGGCAGCCAAATTTTATTCATTTGATATGTTGGAAAGGAGATCTTGAAGCAAAGAAGACGTAAAGAAAAACTTGTGTTTGCCCACTTGTGTTCCCAACAAGAGTTATAATCTTAGATAGATCAAATTTTAAAAAGAAAGAGACAGGGAGAGAAAGAAAAAGGGAAGGAAGGAAAGGAGGGAAGATGGGTGGGAGGGAAGAAAGGAGGAAGGGAGGGAGAGATGGGGAGAAGAGAGAGAAAGGGAGAAAATACAATGAAATGTTTTTGGTAGCATAATGACTCTAAGTTCAAAAAATAAAGAGGGAAAAAGTACTTCCATAAAAAAAAAATTAGGATTCAGAGTTTAAGCAGCAACTGTGAAAGAAAATATGTCAGAGATCTAGCTATGCCTTCATTTTCATCTGCCATTTTTGAGGTGAATAATTATACATTCTTCTACTTTGAAAACACCTCCTGTGTCAAGAAATTTAAATTAAAAGAACAAATGTTTACATTGGTAGATTGCTAGAAGTTAATTTATAGAGAGCCAAAATATTAATTTTAAGAAAAATGAAGTGTAGTGCCACAGTATTAATTTGCAGGGATGCCTGGGGACAGCTGTTTCAAACTGTTAGATTTGGTGGCTTAGCAAGTATTGTAGGCACTTAGCAAGTAAAGTGCCATTTAAAAAAATCAGACTCTCCAAAGCAGGCAAAGACAGACTCATAAAATTCATACTCGGTTATCTACAGAGAATCCCCATCTAAAAATAAATTACCTCTGTGTTTTTAAGTGTCCAATAATATAGAAATCTTCCTGGTCTTAAAAGTCAACAATTACATCATTGTAAACCCAGACTTTAAATTTTTGAAGTCTGTGAGCTGTCAACTGACACAGGTGTCCAGGAGATGCCACAGAGTAGAGTTTATGACCCTATCTGCTACAGCTTTAGGTGGTCAGACAACCAGAAAGCTGCAACTGGTACACAGCCCATGTTCTGAAGCTTTCT
Source organism: Homo sapiens (assembly GCF_000001405.40). Classification (NCBI taxonomy): domain Eukaryota; kingdom Metazoa; phylum Chordata; class Mammalia; order Primates; family Hominidae; genus Homo; species Homo sapiens. The sequence continues at coordinate 120,241,509 of NC_000005.10, read as the reverse complement.
GATGAAAGTAAATAATTGTATGATGAAAAGAGCAGGGCAATCATGTGTCCCCTCTCCCCACTGCACATTTCTTACCCATGCCACAAACCTACCTTAACCAACCTTTCCCCAAACAAGCAAATGCACTCAGCTATGACTGATCTAGTCACAGTTCCAGGAAAGCCTCCTTGTCCCTAAGGGAAGACTAAAATAATCAAAAGCCTCTTCTCCAATTCTCTGTGCATGATTACCCAGAGACAGCATCTCACAGTCCTTGATACCTAGTTAAACCCCTGTAGATACACTGTTGAGTTTTCAAAAAAGTAAAAACAAATCTCCAGAATCCAAACTCAAAGGAGCTGAAGATGATACTGGTGCATTCTCACGGCTACTTCACCTACTTGGGGAACTTTTGCTAAGTTCAGTAACATAAAATGAACTCACAGGTTCAGAAAATAAGGTTTGGATTCATACAAACTTAGAAGTTGGGGTTCTCAACAATCTATATCCTCAGGTGAAGAGTGAACTAAATATTTAAAAGTCACCATCAGTGACTTAAGATTACAAGGAAGCATGTGTTGAACTGGCTTTGGAAAACATCTCCTTTGAGAATTCAGAATATCAGGTCTGCATTCCTGTGGTTTGCAACTGTGAATTTATAAAAGCTGTGATATATTACCCAAAAAGAGAAGTTAACATAAAAAGCTGGCAGCAATAAAGTCTATCCTTTGGAAAAGTGTGAACATAAAAAGCATCAGTGGATTTCCACAAATATCTATATTTATTGATGCAAGTCAATAGGTACAAAATACATAAGTAAATAAGGAATAGAGAATCAGCAGACAAAATAAGCCTTAGAAGTTGTCCACAGATAATGAAATAATCACATGCAAAATAAAGAGGTAGAAATAAAGTATTTAACAGCACAAACTCTGCAGTCACATGACGTAACTTCGAATCTTGTATGACTAACTTTATGACAGTAGAAAAGTTTTCTGTGTCTTCATTACCTTATTAATAAAAGAAGTTGATATGGGTTAACATGTATATAGTGCTGAAATGCCTATGACATGTTAATTTCTATATAAGTATTAGGAACTACCATTAATAATAATTTTAATGAAATTGAGTTAAAAAAATCATAAAAAATACTATAAAAGTAGACTAAATAAATTTTAACCCAATACAGCTTCAATGAATTGACCTGCTAAATATTTTGAGAAAGGTTCCCTCCCTGAAGGATATTGGTCTATAATTTTCATTTCATGTATATTTGTTAGGTTTTGTTATCAGGGTTATACTGCCCTCATAAAGCAAATAAGGAAGTGTTTCTTCCTCCTCTATTTCTGAAAGAGTTTGTGTGAGAATAGTATTATTTCTTTCCTTAAATAGTTGATAGAATTTGTGGCTGAAGTCATCTAGGCTGTGATTTACTTTATGGGGGAAGTTTTGAATAACAAATTCAATTAATATGTAAATATATAATATAGAAATATATACTTATATTTTCTGTTTTATCTTCTGTCAGTATTAATAAGCAGTTTTTATAAATTTTTTTATTTTCTGAGTTGTCAAATTTGTTGGTAAAAAGTTGTTCATAATATTATTATTCTTGTGACACTTGTAAGATCTATAATACTATACTATCTTTCATTACTGATATTACTAATTTTTTTCTTGATCAGTCTTCTGGTAGTTTATAGACTTATTAATATTTTTAAAAATCAATTTTTGGCTTTGTCACTTTTCTCTATGGTTTCAATGTTTCTAGTTTATTAATGCTTTCTCTCACGTTTATTATTTCTTTCATTTTATTACTTTGGTTTAATTTACTCTTTCTTTACTAGTTTCTTAATGTAGAAAACAAGGTCTTGAATTTCAATTTATTTCCTCCTTTCTACATAAGTATTTTCAGCTCTACATTTGACTCTAAAAGTTTTTATCTACTATAATTGTAACATATAGGTTATCTTAGGATTGGTATTGTTGACTGTTTTTATCTTGAGTACGGGTCACATTTTTCTTCTCATGCTTACTGATTTATACAACAGGACATCATAAATGACACTGTAGAGCTTCTGAATTGCTATGTTTGTCTGAAGAACGCCAATTTATATTTCAAGCAGGCAGTTTGGCTGGGCTCAAATTCTGAATTATTTAAGATTTTAGATACTGCTTTCTCCAACCCAGGTCCCCTGTGGCCCAAACATTACATTAGTAATTAGCAAGAAGTTTGTGAAATTTGAGAGATTCTCAAATTTCTCATTCCTCTGTGGTTCCTTCCTAGGGAAGTCCCTTCCTTTCTCAAGTTTCTTTTGAATTTTATGACTTCTTTGCTCACAAATCTTACCTACTGTACTTTGTCTTTCATAGACTGCTCTTTAATTTGGTAAAGCTCTGGTAAATTATTTTCTTTTAGAGAGTTCTTAGAGGCTTCTGTTGTGGAGAACATTTTGGGTATATTTCAAAACAGTTACTTGTCCGACCAGAAACACAAGGTGATTTTTTTGGTCTAATTTTGGTCACTTCCTGGGGCTTTCAAAGAGCTGTGGGGTTTGTTTATTTTTTGAAAATAAATATGAGTTTTCTCCTGGAAGGTCATTCCACAGAGGCTTGTTCTAAACAAACTCTTTTTCCAGAATCTAGAACCTATACATTGAAATTAAAAATGAAATTGACCAGTTCTTTAGACATACAGTCCTCTGACTCTGACTCTCTTTTTTTTTTATTAGCAAATTGAACCCAAAGAAAGAGAAAGGTGATAGAATATAGATCAGAAGAAACAATCCACAACAATAGAAATGATAAAGGAGTACATAACAATAGCAAAGACGCAAAAGCTTTGCACGCAGCATGGTTATGGGTACTATTCTACTGAAGATAACAAGAATCTTGAATTTAAATCAAACAAATAAATGATAATCAAAACAAAACAAAAACTATAAGCATCACTGAGCAGACAAAAAATAAGTATTTTAAGGGCTGGATACTTAGAAAAGGAGAGAAGTAAGAAAGGAGAGTATAGGTATCAACTCACTTTCATCATTGATCTTAGATTTTTATGGCTTTAGAGGCTCCACACAAGAAACCAAGCTCCTGGACCTTGTGAAGTGGGACCTCTAATAGAAAATACTCCACTGGTAGCTAGATCCAAAAAGGGCCTCTCCCTCATTGTAAAATTCAGCTATAATCTACAACTACTCTCTCCATTCCCTACTGTGGATCTGCAAAGAAAATCAATCCTCTCAAATCTTAGCAGTGAATTTAAAGGGATAAAGCAGTCTCAGAATGCTTGGGCATATGATGGCCCTCCAAAACCTGATGGTTTCCAGAAGTTACCATTCATCAGTATTACATAGAGATCTTATTAAAGCAGTTTGCAAGACCAACTGCAAAGGTACTGATTCAGTAGATCTAGGTAGGTTCTGAAAATTTGCATTTCTAAAAATTGCCAGATAATGTTAATATTGCTGGTTCAGAAACAGACTTTGAAAATCACTACCTTAGGTATTTCAGCCTAAGTGTATATCATCTTGCAAAAACATTCCCAAGCTTGAAGTTAATTGACTGACCTAGACAGGCAGTGCCTTCAAATAGCTTGAAGAAACAAACACTAAACCTCCTTAGAGCAGAAACGACAGAATAACAAATGCAAAGCAAAAGAAGAAAGAGGAAGAGGAGAGGGAGGGGGGAAAAGGAAGCAGAAGAGGAGTGGGAGTCAGAAAAGCAGAATATTTAAAGTAACAGTTGCTGAGAATTTTGCAAATTGAATGACAAATTTAATTTTGCAAAACAAATATAAAGATTATGGTCCTGTTTTCCAAAATCAGGTTTTAACACATAATAGAATAAATGTCCAGTAATTTTTTTTTTTGAGATGGAGTTTCACTCTTGTTGCCCTGGCTGGAGTGGAATGGCACTATCTTGGCTCACCGCAACCTCTGCCTCCCGGGTTCAAGCGATTCTCCTGCCTCAGCCTCCTGAATAACTGGGATTACAGGTGTGCGCCACCAGGCCTGGCTAATTTTGCATTTTTATTAGAGACAGGGTTTCTCCATGTTGGTCAGGCTGGTCTCAAACTCCCAACCTCGGGTGATCCACCCACCTCGGCCTCCCAAAGTGCTGGGATTACAGGCATGAGTCACCATGCCCGGCAGAAGTCCAGTAAATTTTATTGTATGAATGGGTGAATGGAAACGAAAAACAACTGAAATAGAGATATACAGAGGGTGAACAGAAGCAAAGCTTTATGAAAGAAGATATTTTTAATTTTATTTTTATGCATTTAAATAACATTTGCCTTTAACAAAGGAAAACAGAATGCTCACAGGACACCAAGGAGGACAGATACCAAACAGGAAAGATTTATCTTTCCAAGCCATATCATATACAAACTGCATATGAAGATCATATGAGTTTGAAAACGAAGAGAAGATCTTGAATCCAGAAGGTATAAAAACATCTTAACGATAGAGGAATAATTATTAGAATTACATTACACTTCACATTGCAAAGCATGCAAGCAAGAAGAGAGGGGACTGTTTGTTTCATTTGGATGTTGTCTAATTTTTAAAATTTAAATCCAAGGTTCTCCAATATTTGAAGTGTTGAATGAAGAAAAAAAGAAAAACACGAACCTCAAATTCTGTATTCACCAAAATTATTCTTCAAAAGTGAAAGAAAAATAAAGATTTTCTCAAGCAATAATGAATTTATCTCCAGTAGTCCTTCCTGTAATAAATGTTATAAGATACTCTTCAGAGAGTAGAAAAAATGGTGGTGAGAAACTCAGATCTATCTAAATAAAGGAAAAGTGTCAGAGAAGGACTAAAGAAAGTAAAATAAATATTTTATTTGTATTACTCTTAATTGACACAGATAACAAGTGTGCACCCTACCACGCTGCTGCTGCTGCTGGAACATGCAAATGAGGATGGGTCCCACTGTCACCACACTACAAAACACTTTGCCTGACACCACCCATCAGAGTTCAGAAATGAAACCAGTCAGCTGAATCCATCTTATACCACATTCAAACCCTCACGGTCATCAAACAGCATAATAGAAAAAAAAGTTCCAAAGGTCAGCACCTTCAAAGACTGAAGGAACATCAGCGCACAAAGATAAGAAACAACCATTACAATGACCCTGACAACTCAGAAAGCCAGAGTGTCTTCTTTCTTCCAAATGACCACACTACCTCTCCAACTAGAGTTCTGAACCAGCCTGAGATGGCTGAAATGACAGAAACAGAATTCAGAATATGGATAGGAATGAAGATTATTTAGATGTAGGAATATGTTGAAATGCAATCCAAGGAATGTAAGAATCACAGTAAAATAGTGCAGGGGCTGACAAACAAAATAGCCAAAATAGAAAAGAATATAACCTACCAGATAGAGCTAAAAAAGACACTGCAAGAATTTCATAATGCAATGATAAGTATTAATAGCAGAATAGAGCAAGTGGGGAAAAAATCACAGAGCTTGAAGACTGGCTTTCTAAAATAAGACAGTTAGACAAGAATAGAGAAAAAAGAATCAAAAGGAATGGACAAAACCTCTGAGAAATATGGAATTATGTAAAGAGATTTCATCTATGACTCATTGGTGTTCCTGAAAGAGAATAAGAGAATGGAACCAACTTGGAAAACATATCTCATCCATGAGAAATTTCTCAACATATCTAGAGAGGCCAACATTCAAATTCAAGAAAGGCAGAGAACCCCAGTAAGATATTTTGCAAGAAGATTATTCCCAAGACACATAATCATCAGATTCTCCAAGGTCAAAATGAAAGAAAAAATGTTAAAGGCAGCTAGAGAGCAAGGCCAGGTCACCAAAAAGGGAAGCCCATCAGACCAACAGTGGACCTCTCAGCAGAAACCCTACAATCAGAAGAGATTGGGGGCCAATATATAACATTTTAAAGAAAATAAATTCCAACCAAGAATTTCATATCCAGCCAAACTAAGCTTCATAAGCAAAGGAGATAAATGATCCTTCTCAGACAAGCAAATCCTGAGGGAATTTATTAACAACAAACCTACCTTACAAGAGCTCTTGAGAGAAGCACCAAATATAGAAAGAAAAGACCATTACCAGCTGCTATAAAAACAAACTGAAGTACACAGTCCAATGACACTATAAAGCAACCATCTAAAGAAGTCTGCAAACTAACCAGCTAACATCAGGATGACAGGATCAAATCCACACATATCAATAAGAACCTTGAATGTAAGTGGGCCAAAATGTCCCAATTAAAAGGCACAAGGGCAAGATAAACAAAGAACCAAGACCCACTGTTATGGGTCAAAAGTCCCATCTCACATACGATGACAACCATAGGCTCAAAATAAAGGGATGGAGAAAAACCTACCAAGCAAATAGAAAATAGAAAAATGCAGGGGTTGCAATTCCAGCTTCAGACAAAATAGACTTTAAATCAGCAAAGATCAAAAAAGACAAAGAAGAGGATTATATAATGGTAACGAGTTCAATTCAACAAGAAAACCTAACTATCCTAAATATATATTCACCCAAAATAGTAGCACCCAGATTCATAAAGCAAGTTCTTAGAGACCTTCAAATAGACTTAGACTCCCACACAATAATAGTGGTAGACAAAGATATTCAGGACCTGAAATCAGTACCAGATCAAATGGACATGATAGACATCTACAGAGCTCTCCATCCCAAAACAACAGGTTATTCATTCTCCTCATTGCCACATGGCACATAATCTAAAACAAATCACAAAATCAGGAATAAAACACTCTTCAGCAAAAGCAAAAACTGAAATCATAACAAAGAGTCTCTTGGACCAGAGCACAATCAAATTAGAAATCAAGACTACTACATTCACTCAAAAACATACAATTACATGAAAATTGAATAACCTGATCCTGAACTACTTCTGGGTAAATAATAAAATTAAGGCAGAAATCAAGACGTTCTTTGAAACTAATGAGAACAAAGATACACATATCAGAATTTCTGGGACACAGCTAAGGCAGTGTTAAGAGGGGAATTTATAGTACCAAATATCCGCATAAAAAGTTAAAAAGATCTCAACTTAGCAACGTAACATCATGATTAAAATAACTAGACAACCAAGAGAAAACCAACCCCAAAGACAGTGGAAGGCAAGAAATAACCAAAATCAGAGCTGAACTGAAGGAGACATGTAAAACCACTCAAAACATCAACAAATCCAAGAGGTTTTTTTTAACTTAATAAAATAGATAGACTTCTAGCTAAACAAATAAAAATGACAAGAGGGAAGACCCAAATAACTAACAGAGAATATTATGTACACCTCTACATATGTAAACTAGAAAATTTAGGAGAAATGGATAAATTACTAGACACATACACCTTCTCAAGACTAAGCCAGAAAGAAATTAAATCCCTGAACAGACCAATAACAAGCACCAAAATCGAATCAGTAATAAATATTCTACCAACTAATAAAAGGCCAAGACCAGATGGAGTCACAGTCAAATTCTACCAGATGTTCAGAGAAAAGCTGGTACTATTCCTACTGAAACTAATCCAAAAACTTGAGGAGAAGGAATCTCCACCTAACTCATTCTTTTAGGCCAGAATCATCCTGATACCAAAACCTAGCAGAGACACACACACAAAAAAGAAAACTTCAGGTCAATATCTTTGATAAACATCAATGCAAAAATCCTCAGTAGAACACTGGCAAACTGAATCCAGAAGCACATCAAAAAGTTCATCCACCATGATCAAGTAGGCATTATCCCTGGGATGCAAGACTGGTTCAATTTCTGAACGGAAAGAATCATGTGGTTTTTGTCTTCAGTTCTGCTTATGTGATGAATTACATTTATTGATTTGCATATAAATCAATATGCAAATCAGAAATGGCTTTCAGTAAACTTCAACACTACTTCATGTTAAAAAACTATCAATAAAGTAGGTACTGAAAGAACATACCTCAAAATAATAAGAGCAATTTATAACAAATCCACAGCAAATATCATACTGCATGGACAAAAGCAAGAAGCATTCCTCTTAAAAACTGGCACACGACAAGGATGCCCTCTGTCACTTCAATATAGTATTGAAAGTTCTGGCCAGAGTAATTAGGCAAGAGAAAGAAATAAAGGCCATCCAAATAGGAGGAGAGGAAATCAAACTATCCCTGTTTGCAGATGACATGATCCTATATCTAGAAAACTGCATATCACGACCCAAAAGCTCCTTAAGCTGATAAACAACTTCAGCAGTTTCAGGGTACAAAATCAGCATTAAAAAGTCACTAACATTCCTATACACCAACAACCATCAAGCAGGAGCTGAATCCGGAACGGAATCTCATTCACGATTGCCAGAAAAATAATAAAATACCTAGGAATACAGCTAAACAGGGAGGTATAAGATCTCTACAAGGTGAATTACAAACTACTGCTCAAAGAAATCAGAGATGACACAAACAAATGGAAAAACATTCCATGCTCGTGGATAGGAAGAATCAATAAGGTTGAAATGGCCATACTACCCTAAGCAATTTGTAGATTCAATGCTATTCCTATTAAACTACCAATGACATTCTTCATGGAACTAGAAAAAAAACTTTTTTAAAATTAATATGGAAGAAAAATAAAGAGCCCAAAGAGTAAAGGTAATCCTAAGCAAAAAGAACAAAACTGGAGGCATCACACAACTGGACTTCAAACTATACTACAGGGCTACAGTAACAAAAACAGCATGATACTGGCACAGAAACAGACATATGCAACAATGGAACAGAACAGAAAGCATGGAAATATGGCTGCACACCTATGACCATCTGATCTTTGATAAAGCTGACAAAAACAAGCAATGCAGAAAGAACTCCCTATTCAATAAATGGTTCTGGGATAACAGCTAGCCACAGGCAGAAGATTGAAAATGGACACCTCCCTTATATCGTATAAAAAATTAACTCAATATGTATTAAAGAATTAAATGTAAAATACAAAATCATAAAAACCCTGGAAGACAACCTAGGCAATACCATTCTGGACATAGGAATTGGCAAAGACTGCATGACAAAGTTGGGAAAAGGAATTGCCACAAAAGCAAAAATTGAAAAATGGCATCTAATTAAAGGAAAGAGCTTCTGCAAAGGCAAAGAAACTATCAACAGAGTAAACAGATAACCTACAGAATGGGAGAACATTTTTGCAAACTAGGCATCTGACAAAGATCCAATATTCAGCATCTATAAGGAACTTAAACAAATTTACAAGAAAAAACGACCCCACTGAAAAGTAGGCAAAGGACAACAAGGGACACTTTTCAAAAGAAGACATACATGTGGCCAAAAAGTATATGAAAAAAAGTTCAACATCACTGATTATTAGAGAAATGAAAATCAAAACCACAATGAGATACCATCTCATGCCAGTTAGAATGGCTAATACTAAAAGGTTTAAAAATAACAGATGCTGACAAGGTTGTGGAGAAAAGGGAATGCTTATACACTGTTGGTGGCAGTGTAAATTAGTTCAGCCATTGTGGAAAACAGGGTGGTGATTCCTCAAAGACCTAAAGGCAGAACTACCATTTGACCCAGCAATTTTACTATTGGGTATATACTTAAAGGAATATAAATCATTCTATTATAAAGACACATATACACATGTCTTCATTGCAGCATTATTCAAAATAGCAAAGACACAGAATCAACCTAAATGCCCATCAGTGGAAGACCGGATAAAGAAAATGTGGTATACTTATACCATGGAATACTATGCAGCCATCAAAAAGAACAAGATCATGTCCTTTGCTGGAACATGGCTGGATCTAAAGGCCATTACCTTTAGCAAACTAATGCATGAACAGAAAAACAAATATCACATGTTCTCACTTAAAAGTGGAAGCTAAATGAGGAGGACACATAGAGGACAACAACAGACATTGGGCCTACTGGAGGGTGGAGGGTAGAAGGAGGGAGAGAATCAGGAAAAATAACTAATGGGTACTATGCTTAATACCCTGGATCACAAAATAATCTGTACAACATACACCCATGACACAAGTTTACCTATATAACAAACCTGTACATGTACCTCTGAATTTAAAACAAAAGTTAATGAATAATCTAAAATCAGTAATCTAAGCTCTCCAGTTTAGGAAACTAGAGAAAAAAGAGCAATCTGAGTCTAAATCAAGCAAAATAAAAGAAATAATAAAAAGTAACAAAAACTAGAACAAAATCCAATAAAATTAAAAAGAGAAAATCTAGAAAACTCAAGAAAACAAAAGGTATTTTTTTAAAAAGTCCAATAAAATTGATTGTTCTCTAGCCAGGCTATTTAAGAAAAAGGAGAGAAGACACAAATTACTAATATCAGAAATAAGAAATAGGCCATCACTGCTCATCTCAAGGACATTAAAAGTATAATAAGTAAAAGTCATGTAAAACTTTATGTCTACAAATTTGATAACTTCCGTGAAATGGACCTATGCCTTAAAATATACAAATTACTAAAACTTACACAAAGAGAAAAGATAATCTAAAAAGGTATATATATATTAATTTATACAATTTTATATATAATTTGCATATATGATTTATGTATAATTTATATGTATATGATTTACATAAAACCTTTCATATATGGTTGTAAATATATGTATACATATAATTGGTAATATTTTTATATAATAATTAATAGCTTTTCAAAAAAGACCACACTAGGCATAAATGGTTTCTCCAGTGAATTCTACCAAATGTTTAATGTAGAAATTATATCAATTCTCTACAATCTCTTTTATAAAATGATGCAGATAGCACACTTTCTAATTTATTCAATAACACTGGCATTACCCTAATACTAAACCAAGACAAATACATTTCAAGGAAGGCAATTAGAGACCCATATCTCTCATGAATATCTCATAGATGCAAAAATCCTTAAAAAAATCCACAAATCAAATGCAACAATGTCTAAAAACTTACATATATTATAACCAAGTAAGGTTTATTTCATGTATACAAGACTGGCTCAAGATTTGAAACTCAATTAATGTAACTCACTGTTATCAACAGGCTAAAGGAAAAAATCATATGATCGTATCAATAAATCTTTACAAAGCATTTTCAGTCTGCAATACTTATTCATTATAACAAAGAAGGAATACACAGGAACTTGTTTAACATGATAAAGAACATCTGCAAAAACCCTACATTAACATAATACTAAATAATGATAAGCTAGGTGTTTTCTCCATAAGATCAGAAACAAGGTAGGGATATCATCTTTTGCCACTCCTATTTGAAATGATACAAGAAAAGACAATTCAAATCATACATATTAGGAAGGAATAAACAAAACTATATTTGTTCACAGATGACATAATTTTCTATGTAGAAAATATTTAAAAGTCTACAAAAAACTGGAAAGGTTGGAGCAAGATGGAGGAATGGAAGCCTACTCCACTTGTACTCCTTGCAGGAACATCAAATTTTAACAAATATCTGCACACAGAAAAGCACCACCACAAGAACCAAAAATCAGGTAGGCAATGATAGTAACTGGTTTTAACTTCGTATCATTAAAAGAGGCATTGAGGAGGATAGGAAAGACAGTCTTGGATCATTAATGTTACTTCTTTCCCATCCCTTGGATTGGGCCTATAGCAACAGAGTCTGTGCATCTGGGGGAGGGAGAGTGCAGTGACTGGGGACTTTACATTGAATTCAGTGCTGCCCTATCATAGCAGAGAGTACAGCCATGCTTGGCTCAGCCAGTGCCTGTGAACAGAGGGAGAATTTGGACCAGACCTAACCAAAGGGAAATTGCCAACCCCATTGGTCTGAACTCAGGGTATCAGCAGCCCTCATCACCACAGGCCAATGCACTCTAGGGTCCTAGGTAAACTTGAAAGACAGCCTAGGACACAAGGACTACAATTCCTAGGCAACTGTTAGTGCTGGGCTGGGCTAACAGCCAAAGGACTAGGGTGGCATGTAACCTAGGGAAATACAAGACAGAGTGGCCAAAGGAGAGCTTCTGCCATCCTCCCCCCACCGTAGGCAGTACAGCTCATAGCAATGAAAATGTATCTTTCCTTCTGCTTAAGGAGATAAGAGCAAAGAGTAAAGAGGACTTTGTTTTGCATCTTGGATACAAGCTCAGCCACAGTAAGATAGGGCACTGGGCAGAGTAGTGAGGCCCTCATTCCAGGCTCTAGCTCCTAGATAACATTTCTAGACACACACTGGGTCAAAAGAGATCCCATTGTCTTGAAGGGAAAAACCCAGTACTAGAAGGATGCATCACCTGCTGGTTAGAGAGCCCTTGGGCCCTAAATAACCAGCAGTGATATCCTGGTAGTATGCTGTGGGCCTTGTGTTCTGAAATGTGCTGACTACAGGTGTGAGACAGTACATTCCCAGCTGTAGTGGCAACAACGAGAGACTCCTTCTGCTTGAGAAAAGCAGGGTGAAGAGTAAAATGGACTTTGTCCTGCCTCTATCCCCCTCGACAATGGGGAACAGAGCACCAACCAGCCTCTTGGAGTCACCAATTTCAGGCTGTGGCACTTGGACAGCATTTCTAGGCCCGCCCAGAGCCCACTGCCTTGAAGAGTGAGTCCCAGGTCTGGCAGCATTCACCACAAGCTGCCTGAAGAGCCCTTAGGCTTTAGAGGAACGTTGGTGGTGGCATGGCAGTACCCTCCATGACCTGGTGGTGGAGGTAACCAAGAGAGAGGCTCCTCTGCCTGTGAAAAGAAGACAGAAGAGCGGAAAGAAGCTTATATTGTGGACTGAGTGCCAGCTTAACTACGGTAGAATAGAACATTAGGCAAATTGCTACGGTTTTTGACTGTAAACGCTGGCTCTCAGACAGCATCTCTGAACCTGCCCAGGGTCTGGGAGAACTTGCTGCCTGAAGGGAAGAACACGAACTTGGCTGGCTTTGCCATTTGCCGACTATAAAACCCTAGGGCCTTGAGTGAACATAGGTGGTAACAGGAGGTGGTTACAGTGGGCCTTGAACAAGATCCAGTGCTGTGCTGACTTCAGGTCTGACTCAGTGCAGAAACAGTGGTAGTGGCCACACTTGTGTTAGCATCACCACCACCACCCCCCGCCCCACCCATTCCAGGCAGCTCAGGAGGGAGAAAGAGAGAGAGAGAGAAAGAGAGAGAGAAAGAGAGAGAGAAAATGAGAGAGAGAGAATGAGAATTCTTCTGGATCTTATGCAATACCACCTAGATTATATCTCTACAAGTCTGCAAAAAACACAGAAATATTGAGCTTGGAGCCCAAGTTCCTTAGAAAAAAAGCCATCTCAAGAATGGGCACAAATAACACCAGACTGTGAAGACTACAGTAAATACCTAACTCTTCAATGCCCAGACACCAAAATACATCTGTAGATCAGTAGCATCCAGGAAAATATGACCTTACCAAACAAACTAAATAAGGCACCAAGAACCAATCCTGAAGAAAGAGAGATGTGTGACCTTTCAGTTAGAGAATTCACAATAGCTGTTTTGAGAAAACTCCAAGAAATTCAAGATAACACAGAGAAGAAATTCATAATTCTGTGAGATAAATTTAACAAAGAGATTAAAATAATTTAAAAGAATATGAAAAAATCCTACAGCTGAAAAATGCAATTGACATACTGAGGAATGCATCAGTGTCTTTTAACAGCATAATTGATCAAGTAGAAGAAAGAATTGGTGAGCTTGAAGACAGACTATTTGTAATTACACAAGATCTAGAAAATATTCTCAAAAGGGCAAATCTAAAAGTTATTGGCCTTCAATAGAAGGCAGAGAAAGAGATAGGGGTAGAAAGTTTATTCAAAGGAATAATATCAGGGAACTCCCCAAACCTAAAGAAAGACACCAACATTCAAGTACAAGAAGGTTATAGAACACTAAGAAGATTTAACCCAAAAAAGACTCCCTCAAGGCATTTAATAATCAAACTTCCAAAGGTCAAGGGTAAAGAAAGAATCCTAAAAGCAGCAAAAGAAAAGAAACAAATAATATACAATAGAGCTCCAATATGTCTTGTAGCAAAATTTCAGTGGAAACTTTACAGGCCAGGAAAGATGGACATGACATATTTAAAGTGCCGCAGGAAAAATCTTCTCCCTAGAGTAGTATGTTCAGTGAAAATATCCTTCAAACATAAAAGAGAAGTAAAGACCTTTCTAGAGAGACAAACGCTTAGGTATTTCATCAGCACAAGACCTGTCCTACAAGAAATGCCAAAGGGAGTTATTCAATATGAAAGAAAAGGATGTTAATGAGCAAGAAGAAATCACCTGAATGTACGAAACTCACTGGTAATGGTAAGCTCATAGAAAAAAAAGGAAAAACTGAATATTATAACACTGTAATTGTTTATAACACTCCAGAGTGTGTGTGTATGTTTGTGTGTGTTACCAAGGTAGGAGTGCAGTGGTACAATCATGACTCACTACAGCCTCAACCTCCTGGGCTCAAGCCATCCTCTCACCTCAACCTCCCAAGTAGCTCGGACTACAGGTGTGCCCCACCATGACTGGCTAGCTTTTGTATTTTTTGTAGTGACAGGTTTTGCCATGTTGCCCAGGCTGGCCTCAGACTCCTGGGCTCAAAAATCTGCCTGCCTCAACCTCCTAAAGTGCTGAGATTACAGGCATGAGCCACCACTCCTGTACTAACGTTGTAATTATGGTGTATAAACTATGCTTAAGTAGAAAGGCTAAATGATGAAACAATACAAAATAATAACTACAACAATTTTTCAATACATAGGTAGTACCATAAACCAAAAGAGAAACAGCAAAAAGTTAAAAAGCAAGGGGATGAAGTTAAAATGTAGAGTTTTTATTAGGTTTCTTTTTGTGTGTTTGTTTGTTTATGTAATCAGTGTTGTCATCCGTTTAAAATAATGGGTTGTAACATAGTATTTATGTGCCTTATAGTAACCTTAAATTGAAAAATGTACAATGGATACACAAAAAATAAAAAGCAAAAACTAAATCATACCACCAGAGAAAATCACCTTTACTAAAAGGAAGGAAGGAAGGAAGAAAGGAAGAAAGGAAGGAAGGGAGGGATGGAGGGAGGCAGAGAGGGCGGGCCAGAAAACAAATAACAAAATGGCAGAAGTCCCTACTTATCAATAGTAATATTGAATGTAAATGGACTAAACGTTCCAATCAAAAGACGCAGAGTGTCTGAACGGATGAAAAAACAGGACCCATTGATCTGTTGCCTATAAGAAACACACTTCACCTACAAACATAAACGTATACTGAAAATGAAAGAATGGAAAAAGATATTCATTGCCAATGGAAACCAAAAAAAGAGAAGAAGTAGCTATGCTTATATCAGACAAAATAGATTTCAAGACAAAAAACGTAAGAATAAATAAAGAAGGTCATTATATAATGCAAAGGGGTCATTCCAGCAGCATGACATAATGATTGTAAATATATATATGCTAACACTGGAGCATCTAGATATATAAAGCAAACATTTTTAAAGGGAAAGGGAAAGATAGACCCCAAAACAATAACTGGAAAGTTCAACACCTTGTTTTCAGCATTGGACAGATCTCCCAGACACTCAACAAAGAAACATCTGATATGGTTTGGTTGTACCCACCCAAATCTCATCTTGAATTGTAGTTCCCATAATCCCCACATGTCGTGGGAGGGGTCTTGTAGGAGGTAATTGAATCATAGGGGTGATTACCTTCATGCTGTTCTCATGATAGTGAGTAAGTTCTTACAAGATCTTATAGTTTTATAAGGGGATTTTTCCCCTTTTGCTTGGCACTTCTTGCTGTTGCCATGTGAACAGGACATGCTTGCTTCCTCTTCCACCACAACTGTAAGTTGCTTGAGGCCTCCTCAGCCATGCTGAACTGAGTCAACTAAATCTGTTTTCTTTATAAATTACCCAGTTTCTGTTATGTCTTTGTTAGCTGTGTGAGAACGAACTAATACAACATCAGATTTAATCTGCACTACACAACAAATAGATTTAACAGATGTTTACAGAACATTTCATCCAAAGTCTAAAGGATACACCTTCTTGCTGGGCCTGTAATCCCAGCACTTTGGGAGGACCAGGCAGGCAGATCATGAGCTCAGGAGATCAAGACCATCCTGGCTAGCACAGTGAAACCCTGTCTCTATTAAAAATACAAAAAATTAGCCAGGCATGGTGGCGGGCCCCTGTAGTCCCAGCTACACAGGAGGCTGAGGCAGGAGAATGCATGAACCCAGGAGGCAGAGCTTGCAGTTAGCTGAGATTGTGCCACCTCACTCCAGCATGGGAGACAGAGCAAGACTCTGTCTCAAAAAAAAAAAGAAAAAATATATACATTCTTTTCCTCAGCACCTGGATCATTCTCAAGGATAGACCATAGGTTAGGTAACAAAACAAGTCTTACAACATCTTAAAAATTGAAATAGCAAGCATATTCATAACCGCAATGGAATAAAACTAGAAATCAACAAGAGGAATTTTGGAAACAATACAAATACATGAAAATTAAACAATATGCTCCTGAATGACCAGTGGGTCAATGAAGAAATTAAGAAGGAAATTGCAAAATTTCTTGAAACAAATAATAATGAAAACAACATACCAAAACCTATGGGATACAGTGAAAGCAGTACTAAGATGGAATTTTATAGCCATAAGTGCCTACATCAAAAAAGAAGAAAAACTTCAAATATAACCGAATGATACATCATGAAGAACTAGAAAAGCAGAGCAAACTGAGCCCAAAATTAGTAGAAGGAAATAAATAATACAGATCATGGCAAAAATAAGTGAATTTGAAATGAAGAAAACAATACAAAATGTTAATGAAACAAAAAGTTATTTTTTTCAAAAGATTAAAAAAATTGACAAACCTCTAGCCAGACTAATGAAGAAAAAAAAGGAAGACCCCAATAAATAAAATTACAGATGATAAGAGAGACATTACAACTGATACTGCAGAAATTCAAAGGATCATTAGTAGCTACTATGAGAAATTATATGCCAATAAATTGGAAAATTTAGAGGAGATGGATGCACTCTAACAGACATACAAAACATACCAAGATTGAACCATGAAGAAATCCAAAACCTGAACAGACTAATAACAAATAACAAGATTGGATCCACAATAAAAAGTTTCCCAGTAAAGAAAAGCTCAAACCCAACAGATTCACTACTGAATTCTACCAAACATTTAGGGAAGAACTAATAGCAATCCTACCCAAACTATACCAAAACATAAAGGAGGAACGAATACTTGCAAATTCATTCTACAAGGCTGGTATTATCCTGATGCCAAAACCAGACAAAGGCGTAGGAAACACACACACACACACACACACACACACACACACACACACACACACACAGAAAACTACAGGCCAATATCTCTGATAAATATTGATGAAAAATCCTCAACAAAATACCAGCAAACCAAATTCAATGATACATTAGAAAAATCTTTTATCCCGAAGTATGTTTTTCAACTTGGTTCTATTCTTCTCACCTCTTTCAGGTACCCCAATCAAACATACGTTTTGACTTTTACATAGTCCCATATTTCTTGGAGGTTTTGTTCATTCCTTTTCATTCATTTTTCTCTATTCTTGTCTGCCTGCCTTATTTCAGAAAGATAGACTTCAAGCTCGGAAATTCTTTCTGCTTAGTCTACTCTGCTATTGATACTTGTGATACAGTCATAAAATGAGATATTATTATAAGAAAAAAAGAAAAGAGCTAGCAAGAAACAAAAATGCATGAAAGAAACATAAATGCATTCTAAGTGAAAGAAGAAAGTTGGATGAATAAATAAAGCTTAGGGATTTGATTTTTTAGGACAATGAAACTATTCTGTATGATACTATAATGATTAATACATGCCATTGTGGATTTGTCAAAAACCATGTCTATTAGTTCATTCTCATGCTGCTATGAAGAAATACCCAAAACTGGGTAATTTATAAAGGAAAGAGGTTTAATTGACTTACAGTTCTGCATTGCTGTGGCGGCCTCAGAAAACTTACAATCATGGCAGAAGGGGAAGTAAACACATCCTTCTTCACATGGTGGCAGGAAGGAGAAGAATTAAACCAAGAAGAACCTAAAGAAACATGTTGATTAAATGTTATTGGTATCCTGGATAGGATTTTCGAATACAAAAATATATGTATACAGATCAAAAATACAAAAAATCTGAATCAACTATGGACTTTAACAATAATAAACCAATATTGATTCCTTGTTACAAGCACAACATAGTAAACAAAGATGTTCAAGGCAATATGAAGATACATATTTTTCTCATCATTTAAGTAACTACAAAGTATTTAATGGTACCTCTTAGTATAGTGTCTGAGACCAATATACTTAATATAAAACTCAATTGATAAAATTAGGCCAAACAAGCATGAAACACAATTGAGGATTCTGAATGTATATAACAAAAAGAAAATGAAATAACTGAAATTATGCATTTTGGTTCAAGAATAAGCTTAGTTGTATTCTATTAAAAATTCAGCAGCTGAAAAATGACTTGAAAAATTTTAGAAACAATTCAGATAAACTATGTTATAGAATATAATTAAGCTTTAATGAGGAAATTTTCAGATTCAATGAGGGCATCCGCTGTGGATATATAAATTATGTGAGAAAGTAAAGTACTCAAAATAATCTCTTTCATATATTAAACTAAGCATAAGAGATTGTGAATAATACAATATTAACTACTTAAGGGATTTATAGCATCATTGACTAGCAAATTCAAGCATTAAAATTAAAGTGAGCCTTCAGGTCTAGGGAATAAATCTGATGTACTGGTATCTACACACTGTGAGTTCTACTGTTGATTCAAGTGTTACAAAAATTATTGCTGCTGAATGAAGAAAAATATGTTTGTTTTATTAAAGTAATATAATTTGTAATAATTTAAACTTAATTACTTTCATAGTCAATGAAGTTTTTAACTCTCAAAAACCATTTCAGGTAGGAGGGGAATTATTTTCATTCAAGAAATGAGATAACTGAGACTTCAAAAATAAATCATTTAAGGTTAAATCAAATTTGAACCCAAATCCTCAGCTTCCTAGCACATAGTACGTGCTCATTAAATATAAATGGAGACCATAATCCCTCTGTGGACACAAGTATTCCAAACCATTTACTTCAGTTTAAAGCACATTATTGCATGTTTACTATGTGACAGGCACTGTGCCCTTTGCTGGGAATACAAAAATTAATAAAATGTAGGAAAAAATGTTTTACATAATCTGCATTCCCTAAGTATCAATTTCTTGATTCAAATATTGGCTTTGGGATCCTTCTCCTTTTACAGCAATTCTATGGTGGTTTGTACCTCTGAGCCATTATTCTGGATATATAATATTAGTAGTTTGTCAAAAGCTAGGCCTGATAATAAATAATCAAAAATATCCCTGCAACATAATCCAATTGAGAATCTGAAATCAATATCCAGTTGTTGGGAAACTAAAATCTCTCCTGACACTCAAGAGAACACCCGTATTTATTGACTGAAAAAGCAGTATAAAAATGATAGATTTTCTTATAATTCATTTAGACTATTTCAGTAACTATTTTTTTAAGTTAAATAGCAGATATACTTGCATGTGTTCTGAGGAACATCTGTTCATATCCTTTACCCACTTTTTAAAGGGGTTGTTTTTATTTTGGTGAGGTGTTTAAGTTGGTTGTAGATTTGGGATATTAGTCCTCTGTCAGATGCATGTTTGCAAATATTTTCTCCCACTCTGTAGGTGGTCTGTTTACTCTGTTGATAATTTCTTTTGCTATGCAGAACATTTTTAGTTGAATTAAGTTCCATTTGTCTATTTTTGTTTTATAGCATTCACTTTTGAAGACTTAATCATGAATTATTTGCCTAGGTCAATATCTAGAAGAGTTTTTCCTAGTTTGCCTTCTAGGATTTTGTATCAGTTCAGGTCTTACAGTTAAATATTTAATCTGTCTTGAGTTAATTCTGGTATACGATGACAAAAATACAAAAAAATTCTCAATATCACTAGTCATCAGAGAAAAGCACAGTGAAATGCCATCTTACCCCATTAAGAATTGCTGTTATTAAATAGTCAAAAATAACAGATTTTGGTGAGGATGCAGAGAAAAGGGAACACTTTTCTCTACATCCTCACCAAAATCTGTTATTTTGGGACTGTAAATTAGTAAGGTCTCTGTGGAAAACAGTATGCAGATTTCAAAGAACTAAAAATGCAACTACCATTTGAGCTAGCAGCCCCACTACTGGGCATCTATCAAAGGAAAATAAATTATATAAAAAAGATACCTGCACTTTTATGTTTATCACAGCACTATTCACAATAGCCAAATCATGAAATCAACCCAAGTGTCCATCAACAGAAGATTGGACAAAGAAAATGTGGTATATATGCAGCCAGAAAAGAAGAATGGAATGTCTTTTACAGCAACATGGATGGAGCTGGAGGCTATTATCCACATGAAACAACTCAGAAACATGAAATCAAATACCACATATTCTCCTTATAAGTGGGAACTAAACAATGGGTAATCATGAACATATAGATGAAAATAATAGACACTGGGGACTTCAAAAATGAGGATGGAGGTATGGGTTGAAAAATTACCTATTGGGTACACTTTTCACTGTTTGGGTGAAGGGCACACTAGAAGCCTAAACCTCACCATTATGCAACATATTTATGTAACAAACCTGCACATGTACTCCATGAATTTATGGAGGAGGAGGAAAAGGAGGTGGGGGAGAAGGAGGTGGGGGAGAAGGAGGAAGTGGAGGAGAAGGAGGAGGGAAAAAGAAAAGAAATTATAATCATTGTGTAGCCAATAGATATTTGTCAGAAGTCTATTTTGACCTAAAACACCCAGTCTTTCTATTATCTAGCAAAATAACAACCTAGTGCAATTCTTTTATTATTCCTATTATAGAATTACATTTACTTGGAAGGCTAAATCTTCATTCTGGGCATGCTTAATATGTAAATGTGTTATTGGACAGAACAGAATTTTCCTTATCTGTACTTTATTACTCTATACGCTGAAGCAGAAATTTTGTAAGAGACCCTACACTGCCACACACATCTCTGCTTGGGCCGCTACAGGATTAGTTGGTATCCTTTTGTTCTACACATTAATGACTAAAATGGCATTAGCAAAATCCTAGCAGATTTGAAAGGCTTTTCTTATCCATCTTGGCTAGTGTGTCCTAAAGGACTTAGCCCATGGTACCAAATTCTTCGCTGCTGGTCAGAAGATGTCTAGATTTGTATGACGTAATTTTTTACTTTCTATTCCCATCTGTTCTCAAATTGTCCTTTCATGTAGATCTGGCAGATGCTCTGGGATTGCTTTCTCATTCCTCTGTGCATTTTCTTCCTAAAACTAAGTTGGATCTTTTCTCCCCCAACACCTGCCTTGGCTGCAACTGCTTCCTGGAACCCTTTCAAGCCTTTCATTATGGATAATTGACATATCCTTCCAAACTACCTTACCATTAATTAATTAGTTGCATCAACTTCCCTGTTTTAAAAATCAGAGATATGTTGGTTTTGTTTTAAACATGGCACATGTAATAAACTTCATTTTTTTACCTTTTAATAATACATTCTAAATTTTCACCCATAAAGTTTTTCATCACTTTCACTTTGGCTAAAATCAGATGAAATTTAAGTATATTGGCATGTTGGGATAATTTGTGAAATATTTCATTATCTACATACAGGACCAGTTGCATAATTCACAAGGTCTAGCACAAAATGAAAGTGCAAAGCTCCTTGTTCAAAATTTATTAAGAATAATGTTCTGATGGTATTAAAGCATTAAACAAAGCATGAGGCTCCTGTAAGCACAGAGCACCATGTTACTTCGCAGGTTGCATACCCATGAAGCCTGTCTACAAATAATGTTTTTTCCCTGATCAAAGCTCTCGTATTAGAAATAATAGGTAATTAAATTTTCAAAACTTGATATTCATGATGAAAATTCTGATATAACCTCAGTAATGTTAAATATTTTTCTATAACCTGTTTAATCAATTATTTCTCTAATATTACTGACTTAATTTTTTTCTGATAATACAGTGTTCTTTGATTCATTGTACTATTCTTGAATTCCTTATTTTGAATTCCCAGTGGTTAAGACAAACAGCTCTAAAGATAGACAGAGTCTGTGTGAATCTCAGCTCCAACACATACTGTCTCATGACTCTAGCAGGGTCCTTATCTCTCTAGGCCTTCATTTCCTAATAGACAAAATGCAGTTAAGAATCACATACATCTCCTAGTGTTTTGTTTTGTTTTTGTTTCTAGTGGGGATTAAACAAGTTAAATTAGTAATGACCCCAGGATGGTATCTAAACATAGAAGAATATGGATGTTAAATATTAGCTGTTTAATAAAACTAGGTTCTAAGTCCTACTTCTGGCATTATCCTCTATTGATGTTTATTATAAGCAACTCTGTTTCCTCTTTCCTATCTCTCATAAT
Organism: Homo sapiens; assembly: GCF_000001405.40. NCBI lineage: Eukaryota > Metazoa > Chordata > Mammalia > Primates > Hominidae > Homo > Homo sapiens. The sequence continues at coordinate 120,218,993 of NC_000005.10, read as the reverse complement.
TTATTCTATCAGATCATTTGATACAGATACTATATTTCCTTCCTGAGTATTACACATTCTTATAAACCAGGAGTTCCCAACTTTCAAAACCCTTCTCAAATTGTCCTATTAGTAACCTTTCTGGGGCCACTGTGAGATCCTGAAGATGGTGATAATGAATTCAGCTTTCAGGACCATTTGAATCTTATAATCTGTTGTCTTTGTAGCTTCTTGGCACATTCCTCTTTCTGTATCTCATGAACCTTATTTATCTAATTTAGACTATGCACATCAGGCTACGCATAAGCACAAGAGACATCATCTCTATTTTGAAAGTAATAACTCTGAATTTGAAAATGCAAAACTTTCTCTTTTATGTAGTAAGTGTTGTTCTTTCACTGCTTCATATCAAAATAACCAAATTATAGAACTCTAGCTTAGACTAATTGCCACATGTCTGAGAAACCGTAAAATCAATCCATCTTCAATGGGAATTGAAGTAAACATTCACTATCTACCTTAATCATCCTAAATGTCTAAGCCTTCTTGCTACCCAGTGTCAATGGGTTCTTTATCCTTATTCGATTGAGCATATCCATAATGCTATTCAAACCCCTTTCCTCTCTTTTCCTTTAAGTCTTTTCAGTATGTCCACTAGAACACCAATTTGTGATAAAAAGACTCCCTATGTTCTCAGTCTCCTCTTGGACTATGTCCTTCACTTTCTTACTTTAGGATTACCTGAATGTTTCTTGAGGATCTAGTTTCTAATGAAGCCCCCGGAGTGGAAGCTGCATCTCTCCAGATGTCATGTATGTGAGACAAAGAGCCTGAAGGATGGGTTATTGTCTTCATTCAGCCAATATTACCTGTTGAACAATAAGCTTTCATATTAGTAAATATGCAACCTATCTATGAATCCTTGATCTTTGAATCCCTTACATTCAATGTTGATATTGAGATGTGATGTTCTGTTCCAGTCATCATGTTGATTGTTACCTACAACCAGCATGTGAGAAAGCCATCACACAAAGACTCTCTATAACCAAGAAATTCACACAGAGTCTTCACCACTGAAAGCAACCAAAGCTGAAGCTAGCTGACAATAAACTATAAACATTAAAGTCACATCCTCAAGGAGATGTTGTTGTGTTTAAATTTTAAGCATTTGTCTTACGGTATCTTACCACACTGTTCCGAGACATGCTGCAAATTCTGCTACTTTTGAAGTTTGCATATAAATTTATTTTATTAATAATCAAAACAATTTGGAGTTTTTATATAATCAAATCAGTACTTTTCTTTGTGACTAACTTGGGTATCATGTATATACAGTACTGCTTCACAAATAGGTATATGTTTTCTCTCTTTTCACTATTTTATGTATGCCTCTTCTCCTCATTTAAAATCATCGCCTTATCTGTAATTTATTTTGTTATGTTGTTAGAGCTAATACTTTTGGTTTTCTAATGACTAACTCAGCTGTCGCAGTATAATTACAATGTTTTTATATGGTTTTGGCCTTATATACAATTCAAGTGGTTTTCCCATACTAGGTTCATGATACCACCTTTGTTATAAACTAATTTTATATTTATGTGGAACAGTTTTGAGGCCTTCTACTTTCCTAAGTGTCTGTAGCTCTCTAAACACCACTGTATTTCCATAATTGCTGAAAATGAGGATTGACTTCATTCTTTTGTGTTGCTGTAAAGGAATACCTGAGGCTGAGTAATTTATAAAGATAAGAGGTTTATTTGGCTTATAGTTCTGCAGGCTGTACAAGAAGCACAATACCAGCATCTGCTTCTGGTGAGAGCCTCAGACTCCTTCCGCCCGTGGCCAAAGATAAATAGGAGCCAGCTATTCAGAGATCAAGTGGCAAGAAAGAGGAGGCAAGACAGAAAAAGAAAGAGATGGCAGGCTTTTTTCAACAACTAGTTCTTGAAGGAACCTAAAAGTGAGACTTATGCACTCCTGTGAGTGTAGCACCAAACCATTGATGAGGAATTCACCCCTACATCCCAAACACCTCCCAACAGGCCCCACCTTCAACACTGGGAATCCAAGTTCAATGTGAGACTTAGTAGGGCCAAGCAAACTGTATCCAAACCATAGCAATGACGATGATGATCATGATGATTATAATCATGATTTCAGCATACAAGGAGCCAAGACTGCTCATTAGTCTCTTTTCCGAAATATTCTGAGCTATTTTTGCTAATTATTTTATGACTCTGTCAAATCTCTGAATTTCCTGATGATATTTTGGTCATAATTGCAGTAATTATATTGATTATCTGTAGACAATTAGCAGCATTACAGTGGTCATTTTTTCTATCAAAGTATACAGACCACTATATTCACTTATTTAGATGTTCTTTTTAATTTATAGTAAAACTTTTTTTATCTACAGTAAGTGTTCTGATTTCCTTTATTATATACTGTGATGGTTAATATTGAGTGTGAACTTAATTGGATTGAAGGATACAAAGTAGTATAGTTCCTGGGTGTGTCTGTGAGGATGTTGCCAAAGGAGACTAACATTTGAGTCAGAGGACTGGGAGAGGCAGACCCACCCTCAATCTGGGTGGGCACCATCTAATCAGCTGCCAGCACAGCTAGAATAAAGCAGGCAGAAGAACTTGGAAAGAGCAGACTTGCTGAGTCCTCTGGCCTTCCTCTTTCTCCCATGCTGAATACTTCCTGCCCTTGAACATCAGACTCCAAGTTCTTCAGCTTCTGGACTCTTTGACTTAAATCAGTGATTAGTGGTTTGCCAGGGGCTCTCGGGCCTTTAACCACAGACTGAAGACTATGCTGTCATCTTCTCTACTTTTGACGTTTTGGGACTTGGACTGGTCCAACAATGGCTTCCTTGCTCCCCAGCTTGCAGATGACCTATCATGGGACTTTACCTTGTGATCATGTATGTCAATTCTCCTTAACTAACTCCCTGTTATATATACATATATCCTGTTAGTTCTGTCCCTATAGAGAACCCTGACTAATACAGATTTTGGCACCAGGAATGGTTCTAGAGGAGCAGAATTTTAAGGATGGATTTCTTTAGTTGGTTTTGGGATTTCTGGATTTGGCTGCTTAATATGATTAGATACCAAAATGCTAAAGTCTCTACTTCTAATAATATAAAGAACAATGATAGTCCTTGCTGTGACCTGTTTAGAGAGTTAGGCAAAATAAATACATTTGATACTCCTGATTCACCACTCGTGAGAGGCGAGGAATTCAGTGACTCTACACATAATACCTTTGACTGCATGTGGAGAACCAAGGAATATAATGAAGTTGGTTGGTTGCTCCTAAGTTCACTGGGAAAAATGAGAGAAAAGGATGAGCTCAGAGATTCTAACTCCCAGCTCCATAAGCAAATACTGAGCCTCAAGTCTTTTTTTTTTTTTTTTTTTAGTGCAGTGGCGTGATCTTGGCTCACTACAACCTCCGCCTCCTGGGTTCAAGCGATTCTCCTCCCTCAACTTCCCAAGTAGCTGGGATTACAGACGTGCGCCACCACACCGGACTAATTTTTATATTTTTAGTAGAGACAGGAGTTCATCATGTTGGCCAGGCTCATCTCAAACTCCTGACCTCAGGTGACTCTGTAAAGGAATGAAATTACAGAAAATCAGACACAAGTTCTTATCATGCAAGTGGCTTACCTGCAACGAAAGGTGCACACTCAGCCTCACCAGGTGTCTACTGTTAAAGTGAGGGCATTGATTGGAAAAGAATGGGACCCTGCAACTTGGAATGGGGATGTGTGGGAGAACCCTGATGAAGCTGGGGACACTGAGCTTGTAAACTCTGATGAGCCTTTTTTGCCAGAGGAAATGGCCTCCCCACACCCAGTAGTGGCAATATCCCCTTCCTGATCCCAGGCTGCCATCAGCCTTGCCACCTTTGTCTGAGGAGATTAACCATGCACTGTCTGAGGCAACAGTGATGGCCTTCCCTGAGGTAGTTGCCAGGCAAAACAATGCTGATGCTCCTCATGACCCACCCCCAATACCCCTGTCTGCTTCTAGACCTATAACTAAATTTCCAGCAGGCTTCTGGAGGTGAGGTTCAGAGTGTGCCCCATGAGGAGGTATGCTACACCCCCAAATGAATTTTCTAATTTATATAAGCAGAAATCTAGAGAACAGGCCTGGGAGTGGATATTAAGGGTGTGGGGTAATGGTAGAAGAAACATAAAGTTCAATCAGGTTGAATTTATTGATTTAGGCCCACTAAGCAAGGATTCTGTGTTGAATGTTGCAGCTCAGGGAGTTAAAAAAAGGTTCTAATAGTTTATTTGCTTGGTTAGCTGAAACATGGATCAAAACATGGCCCACTGTGAGCAAGCTAGAAATGCCTGATCTTCCTTTGTTTAATATAAGGAAGGGATTCGAAGGCTTAGGGAGTTTGGGATGCTAGAGTGGATTAGTCACTTTAGATCCACTTATCACAGTTGGGAGGATATGTCCAGATATTATCACTTCTGGATATGTCCAGAAGACATATCCTTCACCAATATTTTGCAAAATAGGTTTGTGAGGGGAGCACCTGCATCCTTGAAGAGCTCTGTGATTGCTCTTCTCTGTATGCATGGTCTTACAGTGGGAACCACAGTCACTCAATTAGAAAATTTAAATGCAATGAGAATAATTGGATCCAGAGGTGACACTCAACCATTAAGGGCAAGGTGGGCATAGCTACCATAATGTACAGCAGAGACAAAGGAGCAATCAGAATAGTCTGACTCATGTAGAGGTCTAGCATTGGCTAATTAATCACAGTGTTCCTAGAATTGAAAATGATAGGTAGCATACTGCATTCTTAATTAATTTGTATAAGCAGAAAACTTCCAGGTTGAGTAGACAAAAGACTAATTTGAATTATAAAAATAGAGAATCACAGCCCCTCAATCTATTTCCAGACTTTGAACCAGTTTAAGGACCAAGAACCCCTTGAATAAAGGGGAGGCCGGGTCTCCTAGAGGAGGGACCCCACTACACTACCGACAATTTATACTGTTAATCTTTCCCCCATCCTTGCCCAAGGAGAACTCCGGCCTTTTACCAGAGTAACTGTGCACTGGGGAAAAGGGAATGATCAGACTTTTCGGGGACTACTGGACACTAGCTCTGAGCTGACATTGACTCCAAGTGACCCAAAACATCATTATGGTCCTTCAGTTAAAGTAGGAGCTTATGGAAGTCAGGTAATTAATGGAATTTTAACTCAGGCCTAACTTACAGTGGGTCCACTGGGTCCCCAGACTCATCCTGTGATCATTTCCCCAGTGCCAGAATCTATAATTGGCATAGACATACTTAGTAGTTGGCAGAATTCCCACATTGGCTCCCTGACTGGTAGGGTGAGAGCTATTATGGTGGAAAAGGCCAAATGGAAACCGTCAGAGTTGCATCCAGCTAGAAAAACAAACGTGTGTGTGTGTGTGTGTGTGTGTGTGTGTGTGTGTGTATTACATCCCTGGAAGGATTGCAGAGATTAGTGCCACCATCAAGGACTTGAAAGATGCAGGGGTGGCGATTCCCACATTTTCATTCAATTATCCTATTTGGCCATGCAGAAGACAGATGGATCTTGGAGAATAACAGTGGACTATCATAAGCTTAACCAAGTGGTGACTCCAATTGCAACTGCAGTACCAGAGGTGGTTTCATTGCTTGAACAAATTAACACATCTCCTGGTACCTGATATGCAGCCATTGATTTGGCAAATGCCTTTTTCTCCATTCCTGTCCATAAGGCCCACCAGAAGCAATTCACCTTCAGCTGGCAAGGCCAGCAATATTCCTTCACTGTCCTACCTCAACTCTTTGGTTTTGTGTTATAATCTTGTTCTCAGAGATCTTGATCATTTTTTTCCTTCCTCAGGATATCACACTGCTCCATTATGTTGATAACATTTTGCTGATTAGATCCAGCAAGTGAGAAGTAGAAAACACTGGACTTATTGGTGAGGCATTTGTGTGCCATTGGATGGGAAATAAATCTGACTAAAATACAGGAACCTTCTACCTCAGTAAAATTTCTAGGGATCCAGTGGTTTGGGGCCTGTCGAGATACCCCTTCTATGGTGAAGGATAAGTTGCCACATTTGGCCCCTCCTACAACCAAGAAATAAGCACAATGCCTAGTAGGCCTAGTTGGGCTTTGGAGGCAACACATTTCTTCTGTGGGTGTGTTACTATAGCCCATTTATAGAGTGACCCAATAGGTTGCCAGTTTTGAGTGGGGTCAAAAACAAGAGAGGGCTCTGCAACAGGTCCAGGTTGCTGTACAAGCTGCTCTGCCACCTGAGCCATAAGACCCTGCAGATCCAATGATGCTTGAGATGACAATGGCAGATAGGGATGTGTTTGGAGCCTTTGGCAGGCCCCCATAGATGAATCACAGTGGAGGCCTCTATGATTTTGGAGCAAGGCCCTGAGATCTTCTGCAGATAACTACTCTCCTTTTGCGAGACAGCTTTTGGCCTGTTACTGGGCTTTGGTAGAAACTGAACATTTGACTATGGGTCATCAAGTCACCATGCAATCTGAACTGTCTATCATGAACTGGGTGTTTTCTGGCACATATCTCCATTAAGTGGGTCATGCACAGCAGCATTCCATCATCAAATGGAAGTGCTATATATGTGATTGGGCTCAAGCAGGTCCTGCTTGAGGACATGAAAAAGTGGCTCAAATGTCCATGGTCTCCACTCCTGCCACCAAGCCTTCTCTCCCCCAGCCTGCACTGATATCCTCATAGGGAGTTCCCTATGATCAGTTGACAGAGGAAGAGAAGACTATGGCCTGGTTTACAGATGGCTTTGCACGATATGCAGGCACCACCTGAAAGTGGACAGCTGCAGCACTACAGCCCCTCTGTAGGACATCCCTGAAAGACAGTGGCAAAGGAAAATCTTCTCAGTGGGCAGGACTTCAAGCAGTGCACCTGGTTGCGCACCGTTCTTGGAAGGAGAAATGGCCAGATGTGTAATTATATACTGATTCATGGCTGTAGCCAATGGTTTGGCTGGATGGTCAGGGACTTAAAAGAAGCATGATTGGAAAATTGGTGACAAAGTAATTTGGGGAAGAGGTATGTGTATGGACCTTGCTGAGTGGTCAAAAACCATGAAGATATTTGTATCCCATGTGAGTGTTCACAAAAGAGTGACCTCAGCAGATGAGGATTTTAATAATCGAGTAGATAGGATGACTTTTTCTGTGGTCACCACTCAACCTCTTTCCTCAGCCACCCCTGTCATCGCCCAGTGGGGCCATGAACAAAGTGGCCATGGTGTCAGGGATGGAAGTTATGCATGGGCTCAGCAACACGGACTTACACTCAGCAAGGCTGACCTGGCTACGGCCACCACTGAGTGCCCAGTTTGCCAGCAGCAGAGAACAACACTGAGCCCATGATATGGCATCATCCCTTGGGATGATCAGCGAGATACTTGGTGGCAGGTTGATTATATTGGACCTCTTCCATCATGGAAAGGGCAGCAGCTTGTCCTCACCAGAACAGACACTTACTCGGGATATGAGTTTGCCTGTCCTGTACACGGTAGTCCTGACAAGATTACCATCCATGGACTCACGGAATACCTTATCCTCTGTCAAGGTATTCCATACAGCATTGCCTCTGACCAGGGCACTTACTTTACACCTAAAGAAGTGTGGCAGTGGTCTCATGCTCATGGAATTCACTGGTCTTACCATATTTCTCATCATCCTGATGCAGCTGGATTGATAGAACATTGGAATGGCCTTTTGAAGTTACAATTACAACACCAACTATATGGCAATACTTTACAGGCCTGGGGAAAAGTTCTCCAGAAGGCTGTGTATGCTCTGAATCAGTGTCGAATATTTGGTACTGTTTCTCCCATAGCCAGGATTCACAGGTCCAGGAATCAAGGGGTAGAAGTGGAAGTGGCACCATTCACCATCACCCCCAGTAACCCACTAGCAAAATCTTTGCTTCCTTTTCCTGCAACATTACATTCTGCTGGCCTAGAGGTCTTAGTTCCAGAGGGAGGAATGCTGCCACCAGGAGACACAATAATTCCTTTTAACTGGAAGTTAAGATTGCCACCTGGCCATTTCGGGCTTCTCCTATCTCTAAGTCAACAGGCGAAGAAAGGAGTTACAGGCCGGGAGCGGTGGCTCATGCCTGAATTCCCAGCACTTTGAGAGGCCGAGGTGGTGGATCACAAGGTCAGGAGATCAAGACCATCTTGGCCAACATGGTGAAACCTCATCTGTACTGAAAATACAAAAATTAGCCGGGTGTGGTAATGTGCGCCTATAGTCCCAGCTACTTGGAGGCTGAGGCAGGAGAATCGCTTGAACCCAGGAGGCAGAGGTTGCAGTGAGTCGAGATTGCACCACTGCACTCCAGCCTAGGAGACAGAGCAAGACTCCATCTCAAAAAAAAAAAAGGAGTTACAGTGTTGGCTGAGGCAACTGACAATCAGCCTACTACTCCACAAAGGAGGTAAGGAAGAGTATGTGTGTAATACAGGAGATCCCTTAGGGCATCTTTTAGTATTACCATGCCCTGTGACTAAGGTCAATGGGAAACTACAACAGCCTAATCCAGGCATGACTGCAAATGGCCCTGACCCTTCAGGAATGAAGGTTTGGGTCACTCTACCCAGTGAAAAATCATGACCTGCTGAGGTGCTTGCTGAAGCCAAAGGGAATACAGAATGGGTAGTAGAAGGTAGTCATCAATACCAGCTATGACCACGTGACCATTTATAGAAACAAGGACTGTAATTGTCATGAGTATTTCCTCTAGTTTGTTCAGAACATCTTTGTGTATGTATACACTTGTACTAAGAGAATATCTTCATTTTTTTCCGTTCTTTTTCCTTTATCATGTAACATAAGATTTATTGACTTCATATCAGTATTTGCTACCCTCATTTGGTACATATCAACTTGATTGGATTGACGGATGCAAAGTAATGTTCCTGGGTGTGTCTGTGAGGGTGTTGCAAAAGGAGATTAACATTTGAGTTAGAGGTCTAGGAGAGGCAGACCCACCCTCAGTCTAGGTGGGCACCATCTAATCAGCTCCCAGCACTGCTAGAATAAAGCAGGCAGAAGAAGTTGGAAAGAGCAGACTTGCTGAGTCTTCTGGCCTTTGTCTTTCTCCCATGCTAGATGCTTCCTGCCCTTGAACATCAGACTCCAAGTTCTTCGGCTTTTGGACTTTTGGACTTACACCAGTGGTTTGCCAGGGTCTCTTGGGCTTTTGGCCACAGACTGATGGCTGCCCTGTCGTCTCCCCTAATTTTGAGGTTTGGGGACACGGAATGATCCACCACTGGCTTCCTTGCTCCTCAACTTGCAGATGTCCTATTATGGGACTTTACCTTGTGATTGTTTGAGTCAATTCTTCTTAAATAACTTCCTTTCATGTATACATATATCTTATTAGTTCTGTTCCTAGAGAACTCTAATACATATATTTACAATTTTTATTTACTTTATATAACACTATGTATTTTATTTTGTCTTGCTATTGTAAATGTGATTCTTGTTCCATTGTATTTTCTTTTTTTTTTTTTTCTTTTCCAGGCACAGTCTCACTCTGTTGCCCAGGCTCTGAAGTGCAGATCACAGCTCACTGCAACCTCCAGCTCCCAGGCTCCACTGAGCCTCCTATTTCAGTGTCCCAAGTAGCTGGGACTACATGTGTACACCACCATGCCCAGCTAAGTTTGCTTTGTTGCTGTTGTTTGTTTGTTGTAGAGATGAGGATCTCACTATGTTACCCATGCTAGTCTTGAACTCTACCCTCAAGCAATCCTCCTGCCTCAGCCTCCCAAAGTGCTGATATTACAAGTGTGAGCCACCACACCCAGCCTCTAGTAATTAATGGTATTTAGGAATGCTACTGTTTTTTTTAAAACACATACCTTGTTACTGGGTGGAGCATTATCCTCTCATTGAATCTGGTAGATTCCAGTTGATAACTTTGATTATCCAGGTAATACCATCCATTAATAATAGTAAATTTATACTTCCAAGACTACTAACAGTTTAGTTCTTCCCATGATTCCCAATTTCCCTGAAAAATCTCTTCTGCTTTGGCTGTTTTAACAAAATACCACAGATTGGGTGGCTTAAAGAACAAAAATGTATTTCTCACACTTCTCTTGGCTAGGAAATCCAAGATCAAGGTTCCAGTGAATTTGGTTTCTGATGAGGGCTCTCTCACTTGCAGATGGCGGCCTTCTTATTATGTTTTGCATGACCTTTCCTTGGAGTTCACTCAGAATGAGAGAAAAGGAGCTCTCTAATGTCTCTTCCTGGAAGGACACCATTTTATCAAATGAGGACCTCACCCTTATGATCTCATTTAACCTTAGTTACAACCTTATGGGTTCTACTTCCAAATGTAGTCACACTGGGAACTAGGGCGTCAACATATGTACTTGGGAGGGACACAACTTAGGCTATAGCATGTGCTTTATAATTTCAATCTAGGACCTAAGTGTCACTTTTAAGTCAATAACTTTCCACTCTTCAGAAATCCACTCCATCCATTTTCTGAGCTCCAGAGTAATATTTCCAGCTGCCAATTAGATAATGAATTGAATTTGTTATCTTTGCCTACCTACTCAAACACACTAAAGCCACAGTTTTACTTAATTTCTCTTTCTTCTTCATCCCTCCAAACATTTGGTTATCAAGTCCTGTTGACTTTCTTTCAACTCTCCTCCCTACACAAGACTCACTGCCCTGACTTCATCTGAGCTCTCATGATGTTTTCCTAGATAAATGGAGTTGCCTTCTTCTACATCAACTTCCTCCAAGTTACCTTTCCTTAAGGGATAATATTAGTTGTCATTAAGTTTTTAAATGACACCATCTGAAGGATACAGCCTGTAGAATAAATGATATGGCATATATGAGAAAGGTTAATTTCGGAATTAGCTAGAACCATAGTTATCAGAGTTTTTTCAAATCTTCTTAAGAACTTTAAAAATGCTTTATTGTACCTGCTGTGGGTATCTAAGTCATGTGATTCAAATTAAAAACAAAAACAACAAAAGAAAAAAGAAACAGAAAACACTGATCTAACAACTAGGATTATAGTTTTTTCTTAATTACTACATATTAATTACTACATATTTTGTTATATTCTATCAGATTACTATCTATCAGATACTCAAAGATGTATTTTTCCGCTAATTTAGGCACAGGACTAGTTAATCTATTTCTAGTGGTACTGAAGATGAATGTCTAAGTCTGTATATATTAAGATACTATTAAAAGTCAAAAGTGTAATGTTCTCAGATATGCCTATAAAATCTAATTTAATGTATTTTTAAGAAATAAAACTAGCTGCCAGTAGATGAAACTTCTGCATTGCTTAGCCTCTGGAATTTTGTGGCCATCAACTTGACTTTGAAACAATGACAAAAGAGCAAAATGCAAAAAAAAAAAAAAAAAAAAAGGAAGATTTTTAAACAATGAAATGGTATCTGATACTGCAGTCAGCATAAAGATCAGAAAAGAAAACAATCAAATATCCCAACTTTATTCCCAATATAATTCTGATCACCAAGCAAAACATCTAAAATGCTATGATTGTTTTGCAATTTCTATATAAAGTCAGACTCTGAGTCAGAAAGCTGAAAAGCATGATGAAATTTGAAAATTAAGCAGGGGAAAATGAAACTAAGGCCCTAGAAGATGAGTTAATATAGTAAATAAAGAGACAATTTTTCCACTTTTGTGAGGTTTTTTGTTTTTGTTTTTTGGTATACTTTTCCACTGATTGCCTAACCTTCCTCCAACTCATTTCTGTATTTTGAAATGTTACCCAGAGATTTTGGTTATACCAAGACAGATTAACATTCCTCTATATCTTCCCTCTTATCCCAAAATATTCTGGACATAACACAACAAACAAATACAGGCGCTCCCTGAAATGTGGAAAGAAGAATGTGGACTGTGTAGGGACCTTAGGACTTGCAGAACAACAAATGATATATTCTCTGAATTTCCTTATTGGTTGTCGTATATCACAGACGGGATAGCAGAAGCCTCCAAAAAGGAACCACAAAGAGGTAGACAGAAAAAACTCTAAGAGCCTCTTCCTCCTAAACAAAGGACACACTACAGGGTGGTCTAACAGATAAAAGCATTTTTCCTGCCCTGGTCCAGCCAAATATCAAAAGAATTAAAACACACCTTCACTCCTTAACGAGGCAGTGGGAGGCAGGGATAGCAAGTACTCCACGTTTCTCTCCCTTGGTATCAGTGAGCCTAGTGGAAAGCTGAGTTTCCACTTTCATTCAAAGGCAACTAGACTGTAATAATCCTTTTGCCACTTTCACCCAGAAAGTGGCAGGGAGGCTCCATCCTACTGATCCTAAAATAAGGCAATGCTAACTAGTGCCCCACTTTGCCTGAGTGATGTCAGTAGGACAAAGGGAAACTGAGTTTACACACTCACCTAGTCCTCATGAAACAGATGGACTGCTTATTAAAACAACAACAACAATAAAATGCTTAGGTGGGATCCAGTATCTCATAATATCTGAAGTGTCCAGGGTAGAATAGAAAATCACTCATATTAAGAACCAAGAAAACCACAATATGATTGAGAAAGGCATTCTACACACACCAACAAGATGTCCTTGAATGAGTAAGTGGTTAAAATACAGTACAACCATACCGTGGAATACTATTAAGCAATAACAAGGAACAAACTATAGATAACACAGCAACTTGGAAAACTCCTGGAAATTATGCTGAGTGAAAAAGTTAATATCAAAAGGTCACACACTCTATAATTCTATTTATATAGTAATCTTAAAATGAAAAACAGATTAGTGGGTATCAAGGATCAATGATGGTGGGGATTATGGGGGAGAGAAGGGGCTCTATATAGGCATGGCTAGAAAAGAGCAACATAAGGGATCCTTGTGGTGGTAGAATTGTTCTGTAGTTTGACTGTATTAATACCAGTATCCTGGTTGTACTATCTGTAGGATAGTTTTGTAAGATGTTACCACTGCGGGAAACTGGGTAAAAGAAACATGGTATCACTCTATATTATTTCTTACAACTGTATGTGCAATTAAAATTATTTTAAAATGTTTAATTTAAAAAATAAAAACAAATAAATCTATCTAAATTTAACATGAAAACCATAGTCAAAGGCCAGGGCTGGCTATGTAATTTTCAGGATACATTGCAAAAAGAAAATGTGAACCTTTTAACTCAAAAATTAAGAATTTCAAGACAGTGACCACAGAGCATTATACTAAGTAGGGCACTTCTGAATAGAAGATCCTCTATGACCACACAAAACCCTTATCCAACCCCTGGCTCAAGGTTGGGATTTTTAAAGCATTCCTACACTCCAATGCATCATTAACCAGCATTTTGAGCCTAAAAATGCACTTTCCACCCATTTTCTGCTCTGTTACCCAAAAGCAGTACTTTGATGAGCCATCCTAGAAGCTAAATCAAGAGGGAAAGTCAAAAACAAAAAATAAAAATAGGAAAATCCAGTAATATTAATATTGTCTTTATTCAAACTTTTGATGTTTTGTTCATCATTGCTATTTGTTTTAATTTTAAAACTACACTAAAACATTATTTTGATTAGTGGTGCCTCCTTAAATTTTGCTGAAGAGGCAAGTGTCTCACTCATTCCCCCCTAGTCAGGCCTGCCAGGGAGGCTGACCAGTATGACCTGCATCTCTCAGGCTCCGTTTTCCCTTGGCTTCAGTTTGGGGTCAACAGACCTAAGGGGGCACAAGTAGGAGATTCATGGTGAGAGAGCGAGTTTAGAATACTGATTTCCCCAGTTTCTCACTTCCAGCCTGGAAATTGGCAGTAGCTATGTTCCTCGTGGGAAGGTAATATCCTTTGGCTGTGTCCCCACCCAAATCTCACCTTGAATTGTAATAATCCCCAAGGGCAGGGCCAGGTGAAGATAAGTGAATCATGGGGGTGGTTTCCCCAATACTGTTCTCATGGTAGTGAATAAGTCTCACAAGATCTGATGGTTTCATAAATGGGAGTTCCCCTGCACAAGCTCTCTTTGCCTGCTGCCATGTAAGATGTGACTTTGCTCCTCCTTCACCTTCCACCATGATTGTGAGGCCTCCCCAGCCATGTGGAACTGTGAGTCCATTAAACCTCTTTCCTTTATAAATTGTCCAGTCATTCAGGTATGTCTTCATTAGCAGCAGGAGAATGGACTAATACAGAAGGTCACAACGTCATAAGGTTGCCTTCACTACAGCTACCACTGCATCTCTCTCTGGGTTCTAGTAAGCATACCTCCAACTGTATCCTCAGTCCCAGAGTAAATGATAGCTCCTTGTTGTTGCTGTCCTTGAGTGCTTCACTATCTATTCCTCACGCTCTTGCAAGCAATCACCTCATTAAACTCTCCCTACTTGCTCCGTGAGTGTTACATCTATTTCCTGTTAGGACCTTGGCTGATTAGTATTTCAAAAACATTTTGCTTAAAAGTATATTAGATTCTCCCTTGTTTCTATCATGTATTGCATTGTATACAGATTTGCTATTTCTGTCAACAATAGATATTTGATGGAGGCGGTGGATTTCTTACTTATCTGTATATCACACCCAAGTCCTTGCACAGTGCCTTAAATATGCTTGCAATAAACTCATGATTGCCAATTTTAACTTAATGTGTAAAAACAGTGAAAGAGTAACCTATTGTGTAATCAAGAATGAAATCCTGAAGTGTTTTGAGTGTAGACAGCTGATGGCAAAAATAAACAGTTAATTTCTGGAACCTAAAAAATTCATACATGTGGAGGCTGTTCCATTATTGGATTCAATTCTTTTGCAATAAGTCCACTATTCATAGGAATTTTTCAGTGGTGTGTTCCAGATCTTCTTTTTCAAAAAGTTACTGGATAATCAAAATGTAGTGTGAAAGCTTGTTCTTAATTAAAAAACATATTTTAGAGCAATTGTCAATGCCAGTAGTCATTCAAATTCATGCCCCAAATGCATATATACATATATATAGAATAAAGTGCTTTATTCAGTCACTTTATTCAACTACAGATTTATATTTAAATTCCACATGCTGTTCCACTAAAGTTTAATATATATATGTATTTCAGTATCAATAGCTGTATCATTAACATATCACAGTAATGTTCATAATGTTCATAATGTTCAAAATTTCGAAAAAAAAGATATTTGCAGGTAGATGAGTTTATAATACATATTACAAAGGTACAAATTGAAGAAACAGCATTTAAATCACTAGGCTTCAAGTTGCCAAAAAGCTTGAAATAGTATAATAAGTAATTCCTGTTGGGTTCAGGTAGCTAAAATTTGAGTACAGTTAAAATATCTCCTGATATGCACATGCGCACATGCACACGCACACACACCCCACACACAAATCACTGAAGTAGCATTAACGAGAGATTGAACTATATCTATGAGAGACATTAATGAGCGAACACATTAATGAGAGTACTGCCACTATTTTCATAGACTCAGTAAAGAAAAGCAAATAACAGGATAATATATAAAATCAATATTTGGCCTATTCTTTGCTATATCATATTAAAATATGATTTTTCAAAAGGAAACTAAAATCACAGAAAACCAAAAACAATGGCATACACCATAGACTATGAGATGCCATGAAAGAGTCTTTCTCTGTCCAGATTTGATCATTTACTTCGTAGTTACCAAGAACAGATATAAAAGCAGATGCCAATAGAAAGGCAGCTACATATGTATAACACTCACAAAGGGCTTTGTAAGAACACCTGAAAGAGTCTTCAGTGAATTCGGGCTAATATTTCAGTCTTACATTAACCCACAGTTTCACATTAATGTTCACTTATTCATTTGGTAAACAAATATTTATTGAGGATGTATTGTGTTCCAGGTGGTGGTATAAAGGCGGTGAGCAAGACAAATGGGTTATCCCTCTAATAGAGCTCAGATTTTAGTGAGGGGGAAAGACAATACACAATGAAACAAGAGATAATTCCAAAAAGTGCCAACTGTTACCATTAAAATAAAACAGTGTTTGTGAAGGATAGTGAATGCTGCAGGTGAGTTGGTTTATTCAGGTTATTTTGGCAGAGAAAGCTTCTGTGAAGAGGTTATAATTTAATAAAGTGAAATTTAAAAATTAAAAATAAAGATCTTCAGCTTTGTGAAGATCTGAGAAATGCCTGTGGCAGTGTCCTAGGGATAACGTGAACTTTGTGTTTTTGTGGAAAGAGAAGAAGTTATCTGTGTAACTGAAGAGGTGAACAGGGCCAGATCAGTGTGGCCTTCTAAGACATACTGAAGGGTCTAGTTTCTGCTCTAAGCTCGGATAGTAGAACTAATAGTTCCTGTTTCATATGCTATGTACTTCTTTGAAGACCGGTATTATAGACAGTTATTTTAAGCACAACAACCAACTATTATTTATAAAAATTTAGGCAAAAATTATTCTGCAACTGGAACACAAAAGGTCAATTTACTATACTATATATATCAAAAGGTCACATCATAGTGGTTTAAGATTATAACCTTTTGGGACACATGGTTTAGAGTTATAATTTCAGCTCTATAGCTTAAGTACTAGGCTCAATCTTGGACAATTTAAACTCTCTCAACTTAGTCTCTTCCTCTATAAAATGGTGACTAAAATATTTATAGTATAGTGTAGCAGTGTAGATTAAGCAAGATAAGTGTTTACTGCAATGTATGATACCTTATAAGTGGTGAGGAAATGGTAGCTATTGTTGCTGTAATTATTATTATGTTATACCCCATATTGGCATTTACTCTGTTAATATTTAAGTTTTAGGTTGAATTTTTTGTCTTGGTCAAATACTCTAGAAGCTTACTCTGATAAGATCATTTTTGTGCAAATGATTTATTAAGAATACTCTCAGCAGGAACTGGCAAAATACTAGTTAAAGTAGGACAGAGTAGGGAGGAAGGGAAACAAGGCTGCAATCTTAGGGGAAATCCTACAGAGGAAGGCTTCAGTCTGCAGAATTTTGGAGTCTAGATTATACCTCAAAAGTATCCTCATGCAAAGCAAGAGAGCAGACTTTCTTACATCAATACCTGCCAGTCTCTAGTCCACGGGTGCTTAAATACTCCTAGTCCCCACTAAGAGAAATAAAGTTGATTCTTGTTATTCAAGGTAGTTATGTTCTACAAAATCATCGTGAACACTGAATGATGAATCCTGATCATTGTACCTAGAGGAAATAAAAGGTTAGGTTTCTACAAGGCTTTCATCACATTTTTGTCAACCAATGACCATATAACCTTGTTTTACGGGTTTCTGTTTAAAGACACCTTACTTAACATACATGTTTTATTCATTAACATTGAATTAATGGACAACATTGTAACTCATGCCTGAATTAAGCTTATCTAGCACTTACATTTTTTCCACAAGGCACATCATTGATTTAGAGGTTACAAATAAGCTTTAGTAAGTAGATGAATTCTCAAATACAAAAGCCATGACTAATGAGGATCCACTCCAAATTATCAGAAACCTCTTCTCTTTGGATGTAGCCAAGGTAGCTTCAGCGGCCATTGGCAGTGCTCTGAAGGCTAGTTAAGATTCAGGGTATTAGAAGTGAAGGGCAGAGCACTGGCATTATCTGCTACAGTCACCAACATGCTTAAGAACAACAGTGACTACTATATTATCATGTACAGTGATAGCATGGAAATATACTTGTGTATTCTCCCCAGGGACTCCTGAATATCAAACATACTGTTAATGTAATAATTAAGTGAGCCTAATGGTGACACAGTCTAGAAAAAGAGGTAAAATCATATTCGAGACCAATATGTATAAACAGAAATTTCTGCATGCAGTCTGTTTGTAATTTTTCCCTAGGTTTTTTTTTTTTTCCTCTGAGATAGAGTCTCACTCTGTCACCCAGGCTGGAGTGCAGTGGCGCGATCTTGGCTTACTGCAACCTCCGCTTCCCGAGCTCAAACGATTCTCCTGTCTCAGCATCCGAGTAGCTGGGACTACAGGTACGTGCCACCATGTCTGGCTAATTTCTTTATCTTTAGTAGAGATGGGGTTTCACTATTTTGGCCAGGCTGGTCTCGAACTCCTGACCTCAAGTGAACCACCCTTCTTAGCCTCCCAAAGCGCTGGGATTACAGGCGTGAGCCACTGCACACAGCCTAGTCTATTTATAATTTTCCCTTTTGAGGGATTACTACTTCCGTCAAAGCTACTTACCCCCAATATTGCATACTGAAAATGTTTTCATATTTTACCATGTCTTTTTTTCACTTATGTACCTTTGTGCATGGTTTATACATTTTCCAATATTTTGGTATATAATATTGAAACTGCCATTTTATACTACTAGAAATAATTAAAATTTACTTATCTTTTTCTGTTTTCACTATTCTTATATTTTTGGTAGACTTGGAAGATTACATTAATGTTCATAATTCCACAGAGTAATTCTCCACAACTCCCAAATCATCTTAAGAGGTCATCGTAAACTGAGGTTTTGCTTACTATACTGAGACAGTTGCTAAGGATGCATTTTAGAGAAAAAATAGTGAACAAAGAAAGACTTTTTTATATAGCATGAGATCAATCAAAGGGAAATAGTGTACCCTTTGGTTTGGAGTACAGGCCTGTAACAAAATAGCTTTTAACTTCATTAACACAGAGGACAACAACTGGCATTTTAACAGAGGACCAGAATTGTTTTCTCCCTCCCTGAATTTTTCTGATTATTTATGATACAATAAGGACAACATAATTGCTTACGCTCTCCTTATTCCTTATATGCATGTGTGTTTCTAAAGTAAACAACCTCTTTCTTACTGCACTGTGACATTTTTAGGATAGTAGCTGGCAGTGCACATCGGGGTTGACTCTATAACATCCAGCCCACTCCTCCCAGCACTATGCAGCAGCAACGTGGTTTGGAGATTGACCTTTCTTCCAAGGGTGAGCAGTCCGTAAGTTAAGCCAGTTGGCTCAATACTAGAATCACCTGTGGAGTTTAAAAGCTATGATGCCTGGGTTTCAATGCGGAGACTCTGATTTAATTTGTCTGAAGTAGAGACCAAGATTTTAAAACTCCCCAGGTGACTTTAAACTGCAGTCAAAGTTGACAGCCACTGGTTTAAACCAGTCTTGCTAATTCCAGCTCCGTTGACATTGATTGATTTAGAAGGAGGGCCAAGCCAACACAAACATGGTGTTTGTATCCATTATGATTAGTGTCAGCTGTCATCTTAAGAAAGAAGTCTGACGATAGACCAACTAGGCATGGTATGGCAGCTCAACAAAGCCATTGGAGTCCCAGGCTTTTTCTATATTTCCATCTGTTAAAATCTTACTCCAGCCAGAAAGAAGGAGAAAGGGAATAGGAGAAGAAGGGCTCAACACCTATTTTAAAGATCACTGCTGGAATCCTCAGTATTACACATAACTGACAAGACTTAGAAATGGAGAATGCTCATCCCCTTTAGAGAGTTTAGTTGGAAGGCCCATACATCTCTTTTCCTTGGCAAAAACTTGATCACATAACTATATCTAGCTACGAGGGAAAATGCAATTTTTAAACAAGGGCATTGTGGCCCTAAATAAAATCAGATCTTCTAGAGGTAAAGGGAGAATAAATTAAGAATAGGCAGATAGCGGTATTGGCCATAGCATTTATCTTAGCTGGGATTGGTCGACAAATGACCCAGGACAGAAAAAAGTTGATAGTAAAAGGAAAAGTAGAAAAGTGGGAAGAACCTTAGTTACACTTCCATGTAATAATTACACCATTGTGTCACTGACTCCACCAGCCTGAAGACCTGCTAACTTAAATTTGTGAGGCCAGTAAATTCTAATATAAGATAGTTTTCTGCTACTTACAATTCAAAGCATATTCATAGTTACAAAGGCAAAAGCTAATTTGGTTCTTTTTAATTTATCAAATGGCAGTATACTTTCTTTGTGGATAAAATAAAATTAGTACTATACCATTCTTAGATTCTTTCCAATCTATTTGCAATTTGTCATTTTGGTCTAGAAAAGGTCTTCTGGTTGTTACCTGTTAATAAATGTACATAAAATCAGCTTAGACTAAGCTAAACTGGGAATGAAAATATTTTGATATATTTTCTTGAAGTAAATTCATTGCTAGAAAATAAATATTTTTTCTATTGGACCAGAAAAAAAAAATAAGCTCAGTGCTTCAAACCTATTAATTTTCAGTACATTTTTTAAGAAAAAATATTATGTGGAAATTATTCCTACACTTATTTAATTTTTTGTATCATTTTATGTATGTAAGAGGATTATGTAGGATACATGTGTTTTATGATATATATGTGTCTTTTGAGGGCTTGTAAGGAGACTCTAAACCAGGCCAAAATTTTACAAAGACATCGCTTAGAGCTGAAATCTTGTCCCCAACTTCAATTCAAAAGTGTAGTGTTCTGAAAAGAGCCAAAGCCCAGAACTAACAATTAACATAATAATAAGGATAGTAATAGTTATGTCTGTCCCTGTCTGTCTCAGGTAAACCACTTATTACCATGGTAGATCAAAAACTTGTCTACAAGTCACGAATTCTAAGACCAAGATGTGCTCTCTTGGTATGTCTAGTTGTTCGGGCTTAAGCAAATAATTTAGCTTTTCTGATCTCAAGATAATCATGTAGAAAATAGTTGGCTCTGTTGGCTACTCTTATAAGTCTGTTCCAATGTTGGGCTAATTAATGTCCTACCATTTTAATTTGTATTCTTTCTCTCTGCCCTCCAAGATTCAAACTTATTTTATTAAAAATAATGGTTTTCATATATAAACAGGTGAGAGAGAATATTTGTTAAAGAAAATTTAAGGTCCATAAAATTGGTCTATTAAATGAATTAAATTCTGTAGGATATAAGTAGTAAACTGTATCTTCTTTTTCCTGGTTACTTTCTTTGCCACACGCACGTGTGCATGTGTGTGTTTTGGGTTTTTTTTTTTTTTTTTGTATTATTTCAATAGATTGCATAGCTTTCCAGTTACTTTTAGGTAAATCAACTCACTTCCAAGTTTTAAAAAATCTAGTTGAATCTAATTCAATACTAGCATCTCACATCCAATTTAAAATTTATCCTTTCATCATCCTCAGACTAGGCACAAGGATGGGTATCTGTATTAGAAAGGGGGAATGTGTTCTGTTTTGTCTCTTTTCTTATTCCAAATAAACTGTTGCTTCTGGCTTCTTCTGACTGAGGGACAGAGGGAAAGTAGAATCAGAGAAATGAAGCAAGATCTGACTTTTGCTGTTACAATGTGATAATTGATTCTCAGGGAGGTGGATGCCCAAAGGCTGGCTCTTTCTCATAGGACACACAAGTGACGGAAATGTCAGAGAATCCTCACCAAGAAGCCCTTTATGGCACCTTTGCCAGGTGCAAGTCATATACTCACCAGCTCATTGTTTACTGCCCCTCTAACTCCTGCCTTCTAACATAAGACCCCACAGTATTTCTTTTTCCTGGGCTCCCATCATACCAGGAGAGATCCTCCTTGGTCAAGGTCCTTTTAGTCCTTTTGAGATGGCTCTAGTCTGGCTACCTTTTAAGCATTCACTTGGCCCATGAGAAACCTTACACCTTTTCCCAGCTAAAGAAAATAAATAAAAGTTGTTCCAAAGGTAGGCATGCTTCTTTCCCTGAAATCAGAGGAGGCTACAGCCAACCTCTTTCCTTTAGACTTCTGTGAAAGTCAGGCATCATTTTCTCTGACCAACAAACTGCAGGGGATACGTGTCTCATTGTCTTAATAATTTCTTCCTACTCCCTTTCAGTAGCAAATTAGAAAAGGTCTATATTCTTGAGCACTTTGGTGGCATTCATGCAGGAAAAAAATATTCCTAGCTGGAAAGCCACTTCCAAAATCTCTGATGAGCTCTTTGGCCACTCCTGCTTTTCCACTTGAGGGGAGAAAGCTCTCTCTCCTCATTTCTACCCAAAATAAAGAACAGAGAGGCATAACAGTGTTCTTATTGCACAAATTTCCATTAAAAGATCTCCCTCTCTATCCAATGTCTAGGCTTTACCTACATGGGCTGAAGATGAGTGATACGACTAAGATCTCAGGGTTGGTTATGGTTTTGATGAGATTTCCACATGTTTTTTTTCAAGTGTTTCCTTTTAAAGGTAGAAGGAATTATTACCCATTATTCTTAGCTATAAGGAAAAATATAGCCAAAATTCTGAAACAATCTCGTATAGTTTATATAAAATTCATGGTGAAGACCTACAAAGGCTGTTATTTTATGAGCAAGTCTTGGAAATAACAATTTTCTTTGAAATACAATTTGTTATGAGAAAATACTATATAAATTACTCCTATGTTTAGCCTTTGTGCAAAGAAAACATGTGTCTGAAACATACAAAATGGTACTGTACTTCTTTTTCCTGGATGATATGTTTATGTGTATCTCTGTTTAAGAGAACATGGAAACTATTTTATGTCTTCATCACTTCTATTTTTAGAAATAGAAATTTTGCTAAACTCTCCTACTTAGTTCTCAAGTGTACATATGAATTATATTGCAGCCAAATAAATAAAACTGATGTTGAATGATCAATGTGACGTTTATTTAGGATATGGAATATGTGGCAATTCCATTTTATCCTGCTTCCTATTATAGTGGCAATCATGTACCTTTGAGCTCATGGTAATCACTGGTTATTAGAATTAATCATATCATCCTCACCATAATATTACATTTATTTTTATTAGCTTCTTTTACACAAGGGAGCTGTGTAGGTTATTGTGTAAGCATAGAAAACTGACATGTGCTGTCCTTCAGGGTTTCCCATTTGAAGCCAAGCAATTCAAATAACAGTCTCATTGGAATGAAGACCATTTTATAGTCATAATTATCTCCATAATCACCATCATCATCATGAATGACTACAATGTGCTGAGTTTATACCAGGTGCTTTAATTATAATATCTATAATTGTCAAGTAACACTATTGCTGTGGTGTCTCTCAATTTTCTCTTTTTACAACATGTGAGGGTTTCACTAACTAATGGAGTAGTTGGGAAATTCGGCCTCACTACGCTTAGAGACTAATTCTTCTCTTGTGCTTCCTGAGTAGGGGTTCACTGGTGTTATTAGACTCTCCATTGACTGACAGAGCTTAGAACAGAATGGGTGGAGAGTTGTGTAGATGTCTGTTAGGCCTGCTTGCTCCCAAGCTGAGTTCAAGTCTTAAATATCCTTGTTAATTTTCTTTCTCGTTGTTCTGTCTAATATTGACAGTGGGTTGTTGGAGTCTCCCACCATTATTGTGTGTGGGGAAAAGCAAGAGAGATCAGATTGTTACTGTGTCTGTGTAGAAAGAAGTAGACATAGGAGACTCCATTTTGTTATGTACTAAGAAAAATTCTTCTGCCTTGAGATTCTGTTAATCTATAACCTTACCCCCAACCCCGTGCTCTCTGAAACATGTGCTGTGTCAACTCAGAGTTAAATGGATTAAGGGCGGTGCAAGATGTGCTTTGTTAAACAGATGCTTGAAGGCAGCATGCTCCTTAAGAGTCATCACCACTCCCTAATCTCAAGTACCCAGGGACACAAAAACTGCGGAAGGCCGCAGGGACCTCTGCCTAGGAAAGCCAGGTATTGTCCAAGGTTTCTCCCCATGTGATAGTCTGAAATATGGCCTCGTGGGAAGGGAAAGACCTGACCGTCCCCCAGCCCGACACCCGTAAAGGGTCTGTGCTGAGGAGGATTAGTAAAAGAGGAAGGAATGCCTCTTGCAGTTGAGACAAGAGGAAGGCATCTGTCTCCTGCCCGTCCCTGGGCAATGGAATGTCTCGGTATAAAACCCGACTGTATGCTCCATCTACTGAGATAGGGAAAAACCGCCTTAGGGCTGGAGGTGGGACCTGCGGGCAGCAATACTGCTTTGTAAAGCATTGAGATGTTTATGTGTATGCATATCTAAAAGCACAGCACTTAATCCTTTACATTGTCTATGATGCAAAGACCTTTGTTCACGTGTTTGTCTGCTGACCCTCTCCCCACAATTGTCTTGTGACCCTGACTCATCCCCACCTTAGGAGAAACACCCACAGGTGTGTAGGGGCAACCCACCCCTACAATTGTGTGGGAGTCTAACTCTCTTTGTAGGTCTCTAAGAATTTGCTTTATGAATCTGGGGGCTCCTGTATTGGGTGCATATATATTTAGGATAGTTAGCTCTTCTTGTTGCATTGGTCCCTTTACTATTATGTAATACCCTTCTTTGTCTTTTTCGATCTTTGTTGGTTTAAAGTCTGTTTTATCAGACACTAGGATTGCAACCCCTGCCTTATTTTGCTTTCCATTTGCTTGGTAAATATTCCTCCATCTCCTTATTTTGAGCTTATGTGTGTCTTTGCACATAAGATGGATCTCCTAAATACAGCACATCGATGGGTGTTGACTCTTTATCCAATTTGCCAGTCTCTATCTTTTAATTGGGGCATTTAGCCTGTTTACATTTAAGGTTAATATTGTTATGTGTGACAATTTCAGTAGCTTGTATGGGAAAACTCCAATACAGCCACTGAAAACTTGTGTAGGGCCTTATATTTCTGAAGGTTGTTACTTTCTGACCATATTCATAGGTTTAAGAGGGAGAAAACAGCTTTCCTTTGAGGATGAATAAGTGAGAATCTTTCAGGCTCAGCTTCACCCTACCACAGGTTATCTATAAGGTTAGCATATTTACAAAGGCCAACAATTTATCTGAGACCTCCCACCCTTCCTCTCTTCTCCCTCGGCGTTGTACTGAGAATCATTTGGCTCTCACCTGCCTATATCAAAGTGCAGCAGTCTCACAAATAACCCAAACAGCCTTGTATTAATATTTCTCTCTACTCTTTATTATCTGTACCAGAGGTTTTGCATCAGGTCGTCTTATGAAGTAGAATAAGAGAGAACATGATTTCAACATTGCTATAAATGAGGAATTATTGTTACTAATTTATAGATAAGCAAAATGAGACACATCTGGATGTGAATCTCAATATCATTATTTACTTGCCTTGGATAGTCATTTAATTGGGCAACTCACTTGAACTTCTGGGACCTCTGATTTCTCATCTGTAGAATAATACCTGCCTTGGAAGATTATTCTGAGAAGTAGAGTAATGAATAAAAAACACATAGAGACACATCTGTAACACAAGAGGTGCTCAGTAATCTGTAAATTTTACTATATTTTTGTATTGACTCACTCCTATAAAGTCATACAGCAGTTATGTATCAGACACAGGGTTCATACTCTCAGGCTCTTTCAACTACACTCCTGAAACTACACTATCAATGCAGCTGAAGTAACTAGAAGTATCAATAACATCTAAAACCATTCCAGAACAAAAGAGATTCCACAGCCATAATTGGTAATTTTCCAAGTGCTTCTGAATAATATCTGAGCCTCTCCTTGCAGGAGTATTGGATGAGAGACAGGGAAACCAGATACCTCAACTTTCAGGCATTACCTGTAAAGCCAAAAAATGGCAACTGGAATATCTCCTTTAGAAGTTTTCCAGAAATAGACTTTGTAATACAAGGGACTTCCTTATAGGCATGAAACTGGCAAATCCTTCATTAGGAATGAATAATACTCAATTTCATGACATACATTATCACATGTGATGATATTACCAGAAATCCTCTGAGTAAATTTTTAACAGGTAAGAAATGTTAATATTAATAAATAAATATCAATATATTAATAGAATGTATTGGTATTTCCAGTTTCATATTCTAAGAGGACCTACTGTTTTATAACGCTTGGGGGAAAATCCAGAAATCCTACCATATACATTCATACATGTGTTTAGTTAGAATTTCAACAATTTGGGAGAAAACTGTTCTCTTTCCAGTCAATGATTAGTGTTATGGTAATTAGGTCCTAAAATTGAAACCATGTAAGCTTTTTTATCATTATGAGTTCCTATAAAAATAGCTATATTGTTATAAAAATACTTTATTGTATTTTTCAATTAATTCCCTATAGATGCATATTGGTATCAGTGTTTTCCTACAATTTTCCAAGAATTAGATTTTGTGACACATATGCTCTTAGTTTAAAGAAGTAATTCTTAGCCCTGTCACTAAAGCAAAGATATATATAATCCTCTCAGCCCTCTAAATTTTATTATATGGTAGTATTTTATTATGAACGTGCTGCTTATAAATCTGAGCTATTTAAATAAAGTAAAGGTTACTTGTACATTAAATATAATAACATTAATGTTTTTAGGTTTTAATATATAAAATTGTGAGTATAAGATCATATGATTCTTCTCTAATCTAAGAGATGCATGTTGCCTAATAGCAGCAATATTTGCTGAAATACAGTAGCATGATTTTAACAATGCTGTGTTTATGCGAAATTCTTTAATCCTCTGGGAAATGGGAAAGGATGTGAAATAGTGTCCTATGGCTGCTGTAATACAAACTGTGTTGCTTAAAACAACAGAAATTTATTGACTTACAGTTCTGGAGGCTAAGAGTCCAAAATTAAGGTATCAGCACAGTTGTTTATTTCTGAGGACTCTGAGGAAGAATCTGTTCCAAGCCTCTCAAAATTTTAGCTACTGGTGACAGCCAGCAATGCTTAAGGCTCCTTGACTTGTAGATGGAGCACTCCAGCCTCTGCCTCTGTCATTACATGGCATTCTGTCACACCAGAATCACCTTTCGTGTCTACATTTCTACAGATAGTTTCTTCAAGGCAATCTAGGCTTTTTCTATTCTGTGCCTCAAATCTTTTTGCCTCTACCCATTATCCAACTTGAAAGCCGCTTTCACATTTTTAAGTATTTGCTCCAGCAGCACCCCTCTTCCTGGTACCAAAATCAGTATCAGTCAGAATTTCCAGAGAAACAGAGCTAATAGAATATTTAAAGAGGGAGAAAGAGAGAAACGTTGTTCGAGTTTAAGGAATTGGCTGAAGCTACTGAAAGAATTAGCAAGTCTGAAATCTGGAGTACAGGCTGGCAAGCTGGAACCTCAGGCAGGATTTATGTATTCTAGTCTTGAGAAAGAATTCCTTTTCCTCTGAGGAACCTCAGTTTTTGCCATTAAGGCCCTCAACTGATTGAATGAAGCCCATCCATGTTATCCATGGTAATCTACTTAAAGTCAACTGATTATAAATGTTAATCACATCCACAAACTACCTTCAAAGCAACATCTAAAGTAGTGTTAGATCACACAAGTGGACACCAAAGTCTTGCCAAGCTGACACGTAAAATTAACCATCATCAGGTAGGAGACAGGCAGCTGTGAACCAGCGAAACCAGATCATAGAGACAAGGTCTGAAATGAAAGGTAGAAGGTAGAGAAACTGGTGACATGTAAAGCCTTTGGCATACATTTTGTAGGTTTCCAAGGACCTCTAGAATGAGTAGGTGGGAGCTTTTCATAGGCAATATAAAAGATAATAATAGCAATAATAATAGCCAACATTTATTGAGCTTCTAAATTTTCTTGATACCACACCTACGAAGTAATGGCTGTTGTCATTTTCATTATCTATAAAAGAAAATTTAGGCAAAGAGAAGTCAAGGAACTTTTCTAGTTCACAAAGCTAGTAGGTAGCTGAGACTGGATTTAAACCTAGGTATCTTGGCTTTGGGGCCCATGCTCCCAACCATCAACCACTAGCAATGCTGATGCCTCCTTCTCTCTTTTGGCTTCCCAAGAAGCTGTTATACTGTCTTTCTACTGCCTTAACGTGGCTTATCTAAGATCAGTGAGACAAGGAGAAGTACATGCTTTGAACATTTGAAGGATCTATAGTCTAAGTTAAAGGAATTACGTATACTCACATTACGAATTAGTGCAGTAATTCAGTAACACTAAAAAACCACTGAACAATGAAAAACAGAATGAAGCTGAAACGAGGCAGTTGGGCTTGAAACACTAAGAAAAGCTAGCACAAAAGTTGATCTTTAAGTCAGATTCTGTGTACAGATAGAGCAATATGAGGCATGAATTAAAAGCACCTAGACATAATAGGAAGAGCTGGTATTTGTTTAATCAGTGTAGACCATACCAAACAAATGTGGAAACTTTTGGGGGCAAAAGGTGAACTTTAGGGAATAGGTATTCTCTCAGAGTTTACTTGCATTTTTGAGGAAGTAAAAATATCAGAGCAAATATAAAAAATTCAGTGCATCTTGATAGGTACTGGAGGTCTAGATTTATATAATGCAACCTATTATCTCACTTAATTTATTTAAAAACTATTGATTTAACATCCACTTGCTGGGAGGTGCTCTTCTAGATGCAGTGAATAATCAGAAAAATCCCCTTTCTCACATAGCTCACATATGGACACAATAACACATAATAAAATATTTGATGTGGTTTGTTAGATGGTGTAAGTACTATGAGTACAATAAATAAGAAAATGAGCTAAAAATCATGGGGCAAAAAGTGAAAAAGACTGATGACAATCTGTTTGGAGACCCAGAAGGTGAGGGAAAAAAAAACGAAAAAAGGGCAAAAGAAAGGATAATGGCTACAGCCCTTCCAGAATCAATAGAAGGCATCAATCTTTGTGGATGGAAGACTTAAGACTTCCCAACACCAAATAGCATCTAAGTGAGAAACAGATGTGGTAATCAGAGGTAAGTGTTCTAAGATCACTGTATTATTCATTACTAATACTAAAATAGAGTAACATTTGATAGGTTAAGTTTTCCAAGATAATTAGTAATTAGTTCACAGGTAACACAGTAGCTAAGCATAGAGCAGACTCCACCTCAAGGCAATAATCAGAGCTGTCTTCTACCTGCTCAAGAAGCTAACTTTTAAATTTTCAGGACTTTTGGCAACCAGTTATTAAACCATCAGAAGCTTCAAGTCAGCCATGGTAGGAGTATTCACACCACAGAAATCAATGAACACTACCACTGAGAGGCAGTTTTTAAACATTTACAAACACACCACAGCTCTGAGTCCTGTACTCTTATCTCTATGATACACCTTTTCATAATATGTCTTTGCAACATAAGCTCATTGAAAAGCAAAGACAAATTTCTGAAATGTTTTTGTGTTCCCTGCAGAACTGGGCATATGTTCCTCAAATATTCTCTTGCTTAATACTGAAAGTAAGGCCAATGCTAGTCCTTAATTCCTAAGGAAGAAATAAAACTTTACAATTAGCTTAATTAGTTACCATCAGAAAACAACACATCTCTTGGCTCTCAGTAAATAATATGCATTACTAATGCCTCAAAATAACGTTAATACACGTATCATTTATTTATGAGTAGAATGTAGTCAGGTAACTTTTCAGTGTTTCAAAATGAAAATCTAGAGGTAATAATTGCAAAAACAAATGCATAAAAATGAGAGTATATTGACTGTTTGAATGATAAATAAACATTTTCCTAGATGTCAGAAAAGTGTCATAGAGAAGGCAAGGTCTGTCTTCCCAGAGAAAGCTCCCTCTCAAGCCACAGAGAAAGAATTATCAGTCTGTTTAGAGAAGAAAATGAAAACATATAAGGCAAAAAAGGGGAAGATAGAAATCAAGGTTTAATTAATTTGTTAAAAAAAATCCCTGAAAATTATTTTTTGGGGTTTGCATGGCAGAGAAGCCACAGTGGATAAAACACAATGTGTACACAAACACAGTCTCTCTAGATTGGATAAATTAGATGGTTAATAGACAGACAGATTGACCAATCAGTGTTGTAATGCAAATTTCCATTTTGAGTTATAGATAAGACGACAGCATTTGAAGGAACAGTGTCACGAGATCATTTTTGAAAAATCTGATAGAATTTTGAAAAGTGCAAGTTAAAGTAAAACTGATGTACTTTGAGCCAACAACTATTCAGATAGAGATTACAGATAAAGAATATAATTTAAAGTCATTTGATGAGAACTAGTTAACCCATGAAAAAGTGGTACAGATTCTGCAGAAATTTTAATCTGATTCTAAAAGAAATTTTAAAATTGATTAAAAACAATCTCCCAACAATGTCTCTTTTTTCCCTTTATTTTTAAAACATAAGCTCTCAACATTTGATCTACTATGTCTCTCTCAGCTTGTGATGAGGAAACCTATTCCATGATTTAAAATTCACCTCCCACAAGCTGAAAAAATTGTGGTGAGCAATTCTACTTAGTCAAAAGTTAAATTAGGAAAGTTTTCACATGACTTCCATCTCCCTCCATTCTACTTCTATAATTAATCAACATACATAAGCCTACATTAAGACCAAAATCCTTGTAGGCTGATACCCAGTTTTCTTTTCCATTTTCCACCTCCACACATTGATACTTGTAATTTTAGAAAATGGTATTTGGAACTGAGGCCACATTGAACAATCAACATAATAAAATTGTGAGGGTACTGATCAGGTATTGTCTATTCTTCAAAGGAAAGGATCCTTTAGTTATATTTTTATGAAATTAGATAACAGAAATAATGCTAAAATTAGAAGTCAAACAGCCATTTTATCTAATACTTCTTTTCACATGGCTTAAAGATGACTGTAATGTTTGTAGGAGATAAAACTTCTTTTTCATCTTAATATAAAATTTTCTTTTTAATCTTAAAAAATCTATCTGCTGCTTTTGAATTAAACAAGCATAAAAAAGAGATTCATTTTAAGCTTGTAAAAATTGTTTCAACCTTTACTCAGATACTCCAAACCAATATTTTTAGAATGCAAAGTAAGCACATGTAATGAGAAATGTAATAATTTTTAAACTGGAAATAATTAATTTTTGAAATGAAGCTTTTTATGAAAGTCAAATACTGTAGAATTCAGTGTTCTTTCCCTCAGTGATTTAAGCCCACCCCAAAGTGTAATTATCTGAAAAATTACATTAAAATGATGTGGTCATATTTATTTCTAGATTCAGGAAAAATAATGGATTCCAACAAGATATCAAGTAAAGGATGTAGAGAGTAAGTTAGTTTGATTTAAATTATGACAGACCCAAGACATTACTTCAGGAGATTTTAGAGTATCACTACCTCCCTCCCATTTCCAAACACCCAAATCTTCTGGAAGAGAGATCAATGGGCTTATCATGCAAATAAAATCTCTAGGTATGTTCTCTAGTTGCCCCACCACATCCCTCCACCTAAAATTTAGCCAGATCCTTATTCTGAAATCTTTCGTATATAGAAGTTCTACAGCCTAAACTTAACAGCTTTTGTAATAACCAGCTATTCTTTATATAATAAGGAAAGCTAGAATATTCTCTGAAATTAGTGATTTTCAAACTTATTCACATGGCTGGTGCAGGATCACAGAGTTACAAAGAGAGTTACAATGATTTTCACTGAATTGAAAAAAGTAAGGTTATATGGTGAATATGTAGGCATGTGTCTATGCATCCATTTAACGGTATTAATATTTACTTTTTAATGAAATACTGATTAGAGATTCTACTTTTTGAATGTTTAACCTGTAAAAAATAAAGTTTGACAACTCAGGAAAATAAAAGATTTCAGGGTTCACTTTTCTTAAGAATTCACTTTGGATAATATTAAGACTTCATTTGGACATTTAATACTCTTCAACAAGAATTAGCAAAATATCTTTTTGTCTTTTACTTTGTGTCAATGAAAGGTTTAAAATAATACGAGTTTAGCTGCTTGCTATGAGTAAATCTATTATATTGCTCCTGGTGAATGTGGAAATTGATGTAAAAAGCTAAAAACTGACTTCACCGAGGTATGGGTCTACTTAAAGTATTTGGTATGATCAAGTAGAAAAGAGCATCATTGTTGGACTCACAGCACTCTCCCTTTCCCCTCCTTCTGCCTAAACTGACTCAGAGCCCAATGTCCAAAGATTTGTTTCTCCTTTATTAAGGATAACATTAATTTCCCCATCTACACAGTTTGACCTCATGATATCTTGGGGTCTGCTTAGTTTTGTGTTTTGTTTTCTGTTCAATTTTTTTTTATATTGTTAATTTTTGTGGGTACATAGTAGGTGTATATATTTATGGGGTATATGAGATGTTTTGATACAGGCATGCAATGTGAAATAAGTACATCATGGAGAATGGGGTAACTATTCCCTCAAGCATTTATCCTTTGTGTTACAAACAATCCAATTATATCTTTTAAAAGTTATTTTACAATGTACAATTATCATTGACAATAGTCACTCTGTTGTGCTATCAAATAGTAAGTCTTATTCATTCTTTCAAATGATTTTTTGTAGCCGTTAACCATCCCTCACCTCCCATCCCCACTACCCTTCCCAGCCTCTGATAACCATTCTTCTTCACTCTCTATTTCCATGAGTTCAATTTTTTTTTTATTTTTTTAGACTCACAGATAAATGAGAACATGCAATTTTTGTCTTTCTGTACCTGGCTTATTTCGCCTAAGATAATGATATCCAATTCCATCTATGTTGTTGTACATGACTGGATCTTATTCTTTTTTATGGCTGAACAGCACTTGACTATGTATATGTGCCAAATTTTCTTTATCTATTCTCCCATTGATGGACACTTAGGTTGCTTCCAAATACTAGCTATTATAAACAGTGCTCAAAGAAACATAGGAGTGCACGTATCTCTTTGATACATTGATTTTTTTTCTTTTGAGTATATACCCAACAGTGGGATTGCTGCATCATATGGTATCTCAATTTTTAGTTATTTGAGGCACTTCCAAACTATTCTCCATAGTGATTGTACTAATTTACTTTTCCACAAAGAGTGCACAAGGGTTCCCTTTTCTCCCCATCCTCGCCAACATTTGTTATTGCCTGTTTTTTGGATATAAGCTATTTTAACTGGGGTGCAAATAATATCTTATTGTAGTTTTGATTTGCATTTCTCTGATCAGTGATGTTGAGCACCTTTTCATATGCCCATTTGACTTTTGTGTGACTTCTTCTGAGACATATCTATTCAACTGTTTTGTCCATTTTTAAATGGATTATTAGATTTTTTGCCTATAGAGTTGTTTGAACTCTATGTATTCTGGTTATTAATCTTATGTAAGATGGAGAATTTGCAAGTATTTTCTCCCATTCTGTAGGTTGTCTGTTTACTTTGTTAAATTATCATTTGCCATCCAAAAGCTTTTTAACTTGATGTGATCTCATTTGTCCATTTTTGTTTTGCTTGCCTGTGCTTGTGGGGTATTGCTCAAGAAATCTTTGCCCAGACCAATGTACTGGAGAGTTTTGCCAATGTTTTCTTGCAGTGGTTTCATGGTTTGAAGTTTTAGATTTAAGTCTTTGATTTGATTTTTATATATGGCTAGAGATAGGGGTCTAGTGTCTAGTTTCATTCTTTTGCATATGGATGTCCAGTTTTCCCAGCATCATTTATTGAAAAGACTTTTTCCCTAGTGTATGTTTTTGGCACCTTTGTCAAAAAATGAGTTCACTGTAGGTGTGTGGATTTGTTTCTGGATTCCCTACTCTGTTCCATTGGTCTACGTGTCTGGTCTTATGCCAGTACCACGCTGTTTTGGTTACTATAGCTCTGCAGTATTATTTGAAGTCAGGTAATATAATTTATCCAGTTTTGTTCTTTTTGCTTAAAGTAGCTTTGGCTATTCTGGGCGTTTTGTAGTTCCATATAAACGTTAGGATTTTTTTTACTATTTATTTGAACAACATCATTGGTATTTGATAGGGATTGCATTTAATCTGTAGGTTGCTTTGAGTAGTATGGACATTTTGACAATATTCTTTCAATTCATGAACATGGAATGTTTTTTAAATTATTTTTTGGCATCTTCTTCAATTTCCTTCATAAGCATTTTATAGTTTTCATTATAGAGATTATTCACTTCTTTGGTTAATTCCCAGGTATTTAATTTTATGTGTGGCTATTGTAAATGGAATTACTTTCTCAATTTCTTTTTCACATTGTTCAATGTTGACATATAGAAACACTACTGATTTTTGTATGTTGCTTTTGTATCCTGCAATTTTACTGAATTTGTTAATCAGGCCTAATAGTTCTTTTGTGGAATCTTTAGATTTTCTCAGTATAAGATTATATCATCTGCAAATGAGGATAATTTGACTTCCTCCTTTCCAATTTGAATGTTATTTACATTTTTCTCTTGTGTGATTACTCTAGCTAGGACTTCCAGTACTATATTCAATTAACAGCGGTGAAAGTGAGCATCCTTGTCTTGTTCCAGATATTAAAGACCTTCAGTTTTTTTTCCCAATTGATTATGACACTAGTTATGTGTCTGCCATACCTGGCTTTTATTATGTCAAGATATGTTATCTCATACCCAGTTTTTTTAGGGTTTTTATCATGAAGGGATGTTAAATTTTATCAAGTGCTTTTTCAGCATCAATGGAAATGATCATATGGTTTTTATCCTGCATCCTGTTGCTATTATGTATTACACTGATTGACTTGCATATGTTGAACCATCCTTGCATCTCAGGGATAAATCTCTCTTGGTCATAATGGATGATCTGTCTAAAGTATTACTGAGTTCAGTTTGCTAATATTTTGTTGAGGATATTTGCATTAATATTCATCTGAGATATTGGCCTGTAATTTTCTCTATTTTTTTTTTTTTTTTTTTTTTTGGAATTGAACAATGAGAACACTTGGATGCAGGAAGGAGAACATCACACACCAGGGCCTGTCGTGGGGTGGGAGGAGTGGGGAAGGATAGCATTAGGATATATACCTAATGTAAATGATGAGTTAATGGGTGCAGCACAATAACATGGCACATGCATACACATGTAACAAACCTGCGAGTTGTACACATGTACCCCAGAACTTAAAGTATAATAAAAACAAAGAAAAGAAAAAAAAATTCTCTTTTTTGATGTGCCTTTGTCTGGTTTTGGTGTCAGGTTAATACTGGCCTGGAGGAATGAGTTTGGAAGTATTTCTTCCTCCTCTATTTTATGGAATACTTCGAGTGGATTGGTAGTAGTTCTGCTTTAAATGTTTGGTAGAATTCAGCAGGGAAACCATTGGGTCCTGGGCTTTTCTTTAGTGGGAGATTTTCTATTACAGCTTCCATCTGGTTACTTTTTATTGGTCTTTTCAGGCTTTGGATTTCTTCTTGGTTCAATCTTTGTAGGTTGTATGTGTCTAGAAATTGGTCAATTTTTTCTAGACTTTTCCAATTTATTGGCATATAGTTGCTCATAATAGACACTAATGATCCTTTGAACTTCTATATTATCAGTTGTAATGTCTCCCTTTCAATTCTCATTTTACTTGTTGGTATCTTCTTTATTTTCTTTTCAGCCTGGCTAAAGGTTTGTCAATTTTGTTTAACTATTAAAAAAACTTTTTTTGTTGCATTGATCTTTTGTATATTTTATTTCAATTTCATTTATTTCTGCTTTGATCTTTGTTTTCTTCTACTAATTTTGGGTTTGGTTTGCTCTTGCTTTTCTAATTCTTTAAGACACACTGTTAGATTTTTTATTTAAAAATTTTCCTCTTTTTTCGTGTAGTTACTAACAGCTATAAACCTCCCCCTGAATACTGCTTTTACTGTATACCATAGGTTTTGGTATGCTGCATTTCCATTATCATTTATTTCAAGAAATTTTAAAATTTCCTTCTTAATTTCTTCATTGACCCACCGGTCATTCAGGAGCATATTGTTTAATTTCCAAGTATTTGTATAGTTTCCAAAATTCCTCTTGTTATTTATTTCCAGTTTTATTTTACTATGGTCAGAGAAAGTGATTGATATTATTTCAATTTTTTGAATGTTTTAAGACTTATATTGTGACCTCGCATATGGTCTGCCCTTGAGAATTATCCATATGTTGAGGAAAAGAATGTGTACTCTGCAGCCATTAGATGAAATGCTCTGTAAATGTCTAACAGATCCATTTGGATTACTGTACAGATTAAGTGCAATATTTCTTTTTTTTTAACTTTTTTTTTTATTATACTTTAAGTTCTAGGGTACATCAGAGAAATGCAAATCAAAACCACAATGAGATACCATCTCACACCAGTTAGAATGGCGATCATTAAAAAGTACAATATTTCTTTGTTGATTTTCTGTCTGGAAGATGTTTCCAATGCTGAAAGTGGAGTGTTGAAGTCTCCAGCTATTATTTATTGTATAGTGGGCTCTCTCTCTCTCTCTTTAGCTCTAATAACATTTGCTTTATATATCTAGGTTCTCCAGTGTTGGATGCATGTATATTTATAATTGTTATGTTCTCTTGCTGAATTGACACCTTTGTCATCATATAATGACCTTCTTGGTGTCTTCTAAAATTTTTTAATTGAAATCTATTTTCTCCGGTATAACTATAACAACTCTTAATCTTTTTTACTTTCTGTTGGCATGAAATATCTTTTCTCATCCCTTTATTTTCAGTCTTTGTGTGTCTTTAGAGATGAAGTGTATTTCTTGTAGGCAACAGATCAGTGGGTCTTGTTTTTCTTTTTGTGTACATTCTGCCACACTATGTCTTTAGATTGGAGAGTTTAGTCCATTTACAATAAATGTTATTATTGTTAAGTAAGGATTTACTCCTACCATTTTCTTACTTTCTGGTTGTTTTGTGGTCTTCTCTTCCTTTTCTTTCTTTCCTGTCTTCATTTAGTGAAGCTGTTTTTCTCTGGTGATAGGATTTAGTTTCTTGCTTTTCATTTTTTATATATTCATTGCATGTTTTTTGGTTTGAGGTTACCATGAGGCTTGCAAATACTATATTATAACCCATGATTTTAAACTGATAACAGCTTAATAATGTTTTCATAAAGAGACAAGCAAAAAGAAAAGTAATAAAAATACTACACCCTGCCGGTGGAGCCAAGATGGCCGAATACGAATAGGTCCGGTCTACATCTCCCAGCGTGAGCGATGCAGAAGACGGGTGACTTATGCATTTCCATCTGGGGTACCGGGTTCATCTCACTAGGGACTGCCAGAAAGTGGGCGCAGGACAGTGGGTGCAGCGCACCATGCACAAGCCGAAGCAGGGCGAGGCATTGCCTCACTCGGGAAGTGCAAGGGGTCAGGGAGTTCCCTCCCCTAGTCAAAGAAAGGGGTGACAGATGGCACCTGGAAAATTAGGTCACTCCCACCAGAAAACTGTGCTTTTCCGACGGGCTTAAAAAACGGTGCACCAAGAGATTATATCCCGCACCTGGCTCGGAGGATCCTATGCCCACGGAGTCTCGCTGATTGCTAGCACAGCAGTCTGAGATCAAACTGCAAGGCAGTAGCAAGGCTAGGGTACGGGCACCTGCCATTGCCCAGGCTTGCATAGGGAAACAAAGCAGGCGGGAAGCTCGAACTGGGTGGAGCCCACTGCAGCTCAAGGAGGCCTGCCTGCCTCTGTAGGCTCCACCTCTGGGGGCAGGACACAGACAAACAAAAAGACAGCAGTAACCTCTGCAGACTTAAATGTCCCTGTCTGACAGCTTTGAAGAGAGCAGTGGTTCTCCCAGCATGCAGCTGGAGATCTGAGAAGGGGCAGACTGCCTCCTCAAGTTGGTCCCTGACCCCTGACCCCCGAGCAGCCTATCTGCGAGGCACCCCCCCGACTGACGTCTCACACGGCCGGGTACTCCTCTGAGACAAAACTTCCAGAGGAATGATCAGACAGCAGCATTTGCGGTTCACGAAAATCCGCTGTTCTGCAGCCACCGCTGCTGGTACCCAGGCAAACAGGGTCTGGAGTTGACCTCTAGCAAACTCCAACAAACCTGCATCTGAGGGTCCTGTCTGTTAGATGGAAAACTAACAAACAGAAAGGAAATCCACACCAAAAACCCATCTGTACATCACCATCATCAAAGACCAAAAGTAGATAAAACCACAAAGATGGTGAAAAAACAAAGCAGAAACACTGGAAACTCTAAAAAGCAGAGCACCTCTCCTCCTCCAAAGGAATGCAGCTCCTCACCAGCAACAGAACAAAGCTGGACGGAGAATGACGAGTTGAGAGAAGAAGGCTTCAGACAATCAAACTACTCTGAGCTACAGGAGGAAATTCAAACCAAAGGCAAAGAAGTTGAAAACTTTGAAAAAAATTTAGAAGAATGTATAACTAGAATAACCAATACAGAGAAGTGCTTAAAGGAGCTGATGGATCTGAAAGCCAAGGCTCGAGAACTACGTGAAGAATGCAGAAGACTCAGGAGCCGATGTGACCAACTGGAAGAAAGGGTATCAGCGATGGAAGATGAAATGAATGAAATGAAGCGAGAAGGGAAGCTTAGAGAAAAAACAATAAAAAGAAATGAACAAAGCCTCCAAGAAATATGGGACTATGTGAAAAGACCAAATCTACGTCTGATTGGTGTACCTGAAAGTGATGGGGAGAATGGAACCAACCTGGAAAACACTCTGCAGGATATTATCCAGGAGAACATCCCCAATCTAGCAAGGCAGGCCAACATTCAGATTCAGGAAATACAGAGAACGCCACAAAGATACTCCTCGAGAAGAGCAACTCCAAGAAACATAATTGTCAGATTCACCAAAGTTGAAATGAAGGAAAAAATGTTAAGGGCAGCCAGAGAGAAAGGTTGGGTTACCCACAAAGGGAAGCCCATCATACTAACAGCGGATCTCTTGGCAGAAACTCTACAAGCCATAAGAGAGTGGGGGCCAATATTCAACATTCTTAAAGAAAAGAATTTTCAACCCCGAATTTCATATCCAGCCAAACTAAGCTTCATAAGTGAAGGAGAAATAAAATACTTTACAGACAAGCAAATGCTGAGAGATTCTGTCACCACCAGGCCTGCCCTAAAAGAGCTCCTGAAGGAAGCACTAAACATGGAAAGGAACAACCGGTACCAGCCACGTCAAAAATATGCCAAATTGTAAAGACCATCGAGGCTAGGAAGAAACTGCATCAACTAACGAGCAAAATAACCAGCTAATATCATAATGACAGGATCAAATTCACACATAACAATATTAACTTTAAATGTAAATGGACTAACTGCTCCAATTAAAAGACACAGAATGGCAAATTGGATAAAGAGTCAAGACCCATCAGTGTGCTATATTCAGGAAACCCATCTCATGTGCAGAGACACACATAGGCTCAAAATAAAAGGATGGAGGAAGATCTACCAAGCAAATGGAAAACAAAAAAAGGCAGGGGTTGCTATCCTAGTCACTGATAAAACAGACTTTAAACCAACAAAGATCAAAAGAGACAAAGAAGGCCATTACATAATGGTAAAGGGATCAATTCAACAAGAAGAGCTAACTATCCTAAATATATATGCACCCAATACAGGAGCACCCAGATTCATAAAGCAAGTCCTGAGTGACCTACAAAGAGACTTAGACTCCCACACAATAATAATGGGAGACTTTAACACCCCACTGTCAACATTAGACAGACCAACGAGACACCAAGTTAACAAGGATACCCAGGAATTGAACTCAGCTCTGCACCAAGCGGACCTAATAGACATCTACAGACCTCTCCACCCCAAATCAACAGAATATACATATTTTCAGCACAACACCACACCTATTCCAAAACTGACCACATACTTGGAAGTAAAGCACTCCTCAGCAAATGTAAAAGAACAGAAATTATAACAAACTGTCTCTCAGACCACAGTGCAATCAAACTAGAACTCAGGATTAAGAAACTCACTCAAAACCACTCAACTACGTGGAAACTGAACAACCTGCTCCTGAATGACTACTGGGTACATAACGAAATGAAGGCAGAAATAAAGATGTTCTTTGAAACCAACGAGAACAAAGACACAACATACCAGAATCTCTGGGACACATTCAAAGCAGTGTGTAGAGAGAAATTTATAGCACTAAATGCCCACAAGAGAAAGCAGGAAAGATCCAAAATTGACACCCTAACATCACAATTAAAAGAACTAGAAAAGCAAGAGCAAACACATTCAAAAGCTACCAGAAGGCAAGAAATAACTAAAATCAGAGCAGAACTGAAGGAAATAGAGACACAAAAAACCCTTCAAAAAATTAATGAATCCAGGAGCTGGTTTTTTGAAAGGATCAACAAAATTGATAGGCCACTAGCAAGACTAATAAAGAAGAAAAGAGAGAAGAATCAAATAGAAGCAATAAAAAATGATAAAGGGATATCACTACCGATCCCAAAGAAATACAAACTACCATCAGAGAATACTACAAACACCTCTATGCAAATAAACTAGAAAATCTAGAAGAAATGGATAAATTCCTCGACACATACACCCTCCTAAGGCTAAACCAGGAAGAAGTTGAATCTCTGAATAGACAAATAACAGGCTCTGAAATTGTGGCAATAATCAATAGCTTACCAACCAAAAAGAGTCCAGGACCAGATGGATTCACAGCCGAATTCTACCAGAGGTACAAGGAGGAACGGGTACCATTCCTTCTGAAACTATTCCAATCAATAGAAAAAGAGGGAATCCTCCCTAACTCATTTTATGAGGCCAGCATCATCCTGATACCAAAGCCAGGCAGAGACACAACCAAAAAAGAAAATTTTAGACCAATATCCTTGGTGAACATTGATGCAAAAATCCTCAATAAAATACTGGCAAACTGAATTCAGCAGCACATCAAAAAGCTTATCCTCCAAGATCAAGTGGGCTTCATTCCTGGGATGCAAGGCTGGTTCAATATACACAAATCAATAAATGTAATCCAGCATATAAACAGAACCAAAGACAAAAACCACATGATTATCTCAGTAGATGCAGAAAAGGCCTTTGACAAAATTCAACAACCTTCATGCTAAAAACTCTCAATAAATTAGGTATTGATGGGACGTATCTCAAAATAATAAGAGCTATCTATGACAAACCCACAGCCAATATCATACTGAATGGGCAAAAACTGGAAGCATTCCCTTTGAAAACTGGCACAAGACAGGCATGCCCTCTCTCACCACTCCTATGCAACATAGTGTTGGAAGTTCTGGCCAGGGCAATGAGGCAGGAGAAGGAAATAAAGGGTATTCAATTAGGAAAAGAGGAAGTCAAATTGTCCCTGTTTGCAGATGACATGATTGTATATCTAGAAAACCCCATTGTCTCAGCCCAAAATCTCCTTAAGCTGATAAGCAGCTTCAGCAAAGGCTCAGGATACAAAATCAATGTACAAAAATCACAAGCATTCTTATACACCAATAACAGACAAACAGAGAGCCAAACTCCCATTCACAATTGCTTCAAAGGGAATAAAATACTTAGGAATCCAACTTACATGGGACGTGAAGGACCTCTTCAAGGAGAACTACAAACCACTGCTCAACGAAATAAAAGAGGATACAAACAAATGGAAGAACATTCCATGCTCATGGGTAGGAAGAATCAATATCGTCAAAATGGCCATACTGCCCAAGGTAATTTATAGATTCAATGCCATCCCCATCAAGCTACCAATGACTTTCTTCACAGAATTGGAAAAAACTACTTTAAAGTTCATATGGAACCACAAAAGCGCCCGCATCACCAAGTCAATCCTAAGCCAAAAGAACAAAGCTGGAGGCATCACGCTACCTGACTTCAA
The DNA here is from genome assembly GCF_000001405.40 of Homo sapiens. Classification (NCBI taxonomy): domain Eukaryota; kingdom Metazoa; phylum Chordata; class Mammalia; order Primates; family Hominidae; genus Homo; species Homo sapiens. The sequence continues at coordinate 120,177,462 of NC_000005.10, read as the reverse complement.
ACTATACTACAAGGCTACAGTAACCAAAACAGCATGGTACTGGTACCAAAACAGAGATATAGATCAATGGAACAGAACAGAGCCCTCAGAAATAATGCCGCATATCTACAACTATCTGATCTTTGACAAACCTGACAAAAACAAGCAATGGGGAAAGGATTCCCTATTTAATAAATGGTGCTGGGAAAACTGGCTAGCCATATGTAGAAACCTGAAACTGGATCCCTTCCTTACACCTTATACAAAAATTAATTCACGATGGATTAAAGACTTAAACATTACACCTAAAACCATAAAAACTCTAGAAGAAAACCTAGGCATTACCATTCAGGACATAGGCATGGGCAAGGACTTCATGTCTAAAATACCAAAAGCAATGGCAACAAAAGGCAAAATTGACAAATGGGATCTCATTAAACTAAAGAGCTTCTGCACAGCAAAAGAAACTACCATCAGAGTCAACAGGCAACCTACACAATGGGAGAAAATTTTTGCAACCTACTCATCTGACAAAGGGCTAATATCCAGAATCTACAATGAACTCAAACAAATTTACAAGAAAAAAACAAACAACCCTATCAAAAAGTGGACGAAGGACATGAACAGACACTTCTCAAAAGAAGTCATTTATGCAGCCAAAAAACACATGAAAAAATGCTCACCATCACTGGCTACCAGAGAAATAAAAATCAAAACCACAATGAGATACCATCTCACACTAGTTAGAATGGCAATCATTAAAAAGTCAGGAAACAACAGGTGCTAGAGAGGATGTGGAGAAATAGGAACACTTTTACACTGTTGGTGGGACTGTAAACTAGTTCAACCATTGTGGAAGTCAGTGTGGCGATTCCTCAGGGACCTAGAACTAGAAATACCATTTGACCCAGCCATCCCATTACTGGGTATATACCCGAAGGACTATAAATCATGCTGCTATAAAGATACATGCACACGTCTGTTTATTGCGGCACTATTCACAATAGCAAAGACTTGGAACCCACCCAAATGTCCAACAATGATAGACTGGATTAAGAAAATGTGGCACATATACACCATGGGATACTATGCAGCCATAAAAAATGATGAGTTCATGTCCTTTGTAGGGACATGGATGAAATTGGAAATCATCATTCGCAGTAAACTATTGCAAGAACAAAAAACCAAACACCGCATATTCTCACTCATAGGTGGGAATTGAACAATGAGAACACATGGACACAGGAAAGGGAACATCACACTCTGGGGACTGTTGTGGGGTGGGGGCCGGGGGGAGGGATAGCTTTAGGAGATAAATCTAATGCTAAATGACGAGTTAATGGGTGCAGCACACCAGCATGGCACATGTATACATATGTAACTAACCTGCACATTGTGCACATGTACCCTAAAACTTAAAGTACAATAAAATAAAAATAAAAATAAAATTCTACACCCTAACTTCATCCTCTGCTTTTTAACTTTTATTTATTTCCATTTTCATCTTACTGTACTACGTCATGAAAATTTGTAGTAGGTGTTATTTTTTATTGGTTCATCATTTATTCTTTTTACTTAGGATAAGAACAGTTTGCACACAATAGTTACAGTGCTATATTCTGTTAATATGTAATAACATATTAGCATATTTATTAGTGTTATAAATTCTGTTCATCATTTATTCTTTCTTCTTAGGATAAGAATAGTTGGCACACAACAGTTATAGTTTTATATTACATTCAGTGTTATCATATTCTGTGTTTTTCTGTGTACTTGCTATTACAAGTTTTGTACCTTCAGATGATTTCTTATTGCTCAGTAACATCCTTTTCTTTCTGACTAAAGTACTCCGTTTAGCATTTCTTGTAGGACCAGTCTTGTGTTAATAAAATATCTCAGCTTTTGTCTCAGAAAGTCTTTTTTTCTCCTTCAATTTTGAAGGATATTTCACCACATATACTATTCTAGTGTAAAAGTTTTTTCATTCAGCACTTTGAATATGTCATGCCACTCTCTCCCAGCCTGCACGGTTTCCATTGAAAAGTCTGATAGGTCTGCTGCCAGATGTATTGGAGCTCCATTGTATGTTGTTTCTTTTCTCTTGTTGCTTTTAGGATCCTTTCTTTATTCTTCACCATTAAGAGTTTGACTATTAAATGCCATGAGATAGTATTATTTGGATTAAATCTCCTTGGTGTTGTATAACCTTCTTTATACTTGAATGTTAGTATCTTTCTCTAGGTTTGGGGAGTTCTCTGATATTGTTCCTCTGAATAAAAATATCTACCCCATCTCTTTCTCTACTCCTCTTTAAGGCCAATAACTCTTAGATTTGCCCTTTTGAGGCTATTTTCTAAATCTTGTGCATTTACAAACAGCCTGTCTTCAGGCTCACTAATTCCTTTTTCTACTTAATCAATTATGCTATTAAAAGCCTCAAATTCATTCTTCAGTATGTCAGTTGCATTTTTCAACTGTAGAACTTCTGCTTAACTGTTTCAATCTCTTTGTTAAATGTATCCAATAGAATTCTGAATTTCTTCTCTGTGTTAACTTGAATTTCTTTGAGTTTCCCCAACACAGCTACCTGAAGGTCTGTCTGAAAGGTCACATATATCTGCTTCTCCAGGATTGGTCCCTGGTGCCTTACTTGGTTCATTTTATGAAGTCATGTTTCCTGGATGGTACTGATGCTAGTAGATGTTCTTCAATGTCTGGGCACTGAAGGATTAGGTATTTATTACAGTCTTCACAGTCTGGGCTTATAGTACTCATCCTTCATGGGAAGGCTTTCCAGATATTTGAAAGGACTTTGGTGTTGTGACCTAAGCTGTATCTGCTTTAGGAGGGCCCCAACTTCAGTAACACTGTGGTTCTTGCCAACTTGTAGAGATACTGCCCTGGTGGTCTTGGACTAGATCTGGGAAAATTCTCTGAATTACCAGGCACAGACTGTTATTCTCTTCTCTTTCTCCCAAACAGTCTCTCTCTCCATTCTTAGCAACCTAAGCTGGGGGTGGAGTGACATAAGCACTGCTGTGGCCACCACAGCTATTACTGCGCCTTGTCAGACCTGAAGCCAGCACAGCACTGGGCCTCACCCAAGGCCTGCTGAAACCACTCACTGGCTACTGCCTAAGTTTGCTGTAAGCCCTGGGGCTCTACAATCAGCCAGTGGCAAAGCCAGCCAGGGCTATGTCCTTCCCTTCATGGAGGTAAGGTCCCCCAGCCCCCAAGTGGGTCCCTGAGGTGCTGTCCAGAAGTCAGGGACTAGAGTCAGAAACCTTAGAAGTCTACCTGGTGTTCTACTGTACTGAGACTGAGCTGTCAGTCAAACCACAAGACTCCGTTCTTCCCACTCTTCCCTCCCATTTCTAAAGACAGAGGAGTCTCACCTATGGCCATCACAGGCCATGAGGTGTACTGCCAGACTACTGCAATGTTCTTTAAAGCCCAAGGGCTCTTAAGTCAGTTTGTGGTAAATGCTTCCTAGCCTGGTACTCACCCTTCAGTGTAGTGGGCTCCCCTCTGGCCCAGGGCAGTTCCAGAAATGCTGTCAAAAGAGTCCAGTCCTAGAATCAGGAATCCCAAGAGCCCACTTGGTGCTCTACTACCCTGTGGCTGTCCTGGTATCTACAGTACAAGACAAAATTCCCTTTCATTTCCCTCTGCTTTTCTGAAGCAGAGTTTTGCCCCATAGCCACCACAGCTGGTAACGTGCTGAGTCTCATCTGAAGCCAGCATGTCTCAGAGGCTCACTCAAGGCCCTCAACCAAGTACCTGAGTATCACTGATGGTTATTCACGGCCCAAGGGCTCTTCAGTTAGCAGGTGATGAATGATGTAAGCACTGGGTCCTTCAAGGCAGAGGGTTCCCTTCTGGCCCAGGATGTGTCTAGAAATGTTGTCTGGGAGCTAGGGCCTAGAATGGGGGGCCTTAAGACTCTGACCAGTGCCCTATCTTACTGTGGCTGAGCTGGTATAAAAAATGTAAGATAAAGTCTTCCCCACTCTTCCCTCTCCTCTCTTCAAGTGGAAGGAAAGGCTCTCTTTTGAAGCTGTGAGCTGCACAGCTGGGAGTTAGGGGAGGGTTGATGCCAGCACTCCCTTGGCTGCCCCAGCGGCTATCACAATATGTCACATGTCCTCACAGTCCCCAGTCTTTGGGCCTAGTTCAGTACTGGAACATGCCTAAGAATTGCAGTCCTTACGGCCTAGACTACCTTTCAAGTTTACTTGGAGACACAGAGCGCTGTAGCCCTTGGTGATGAGGTTTGTGGGATCTCAAGTTTGAACTACTGGAATCAGTGATTCTCCTCTGCCTAGGGCTGGTTTAAATGCTCTCTTTGTGGGCAGGCAGCAGCTAAATTTGGTCCAGTTTTTCTTTCTGCTCTAATAGGACAGCACTGAGTTCAATGCCTCACAATTGCTGTGTTCTCCCTCCCCACCACCCAGAGACACTCTCTGCTCTACACTTCCACCGTTTTGTATTGCTGGAAGATGCTAAAGTAAAATAAATAAATAAATAAAGTGCTTCATGTTCAGGCTAGGACACAACTAAATCTAAAATAATGCAACTTATAGATTTCATTTCATGTCTTCTGCTGCCCCTGATTTCCAAATGTTGGAGCAAGCCACGGTATCTTCAGTTTTCATCCCTTTTCTATATTTACTCTTTGCCTAGGAAATACTGATTTGTGAATGAGCTGGATATTCCTAAATTTGTATTTATTTTTATGACTTTCAAATTTAACAGGCTTAGGAATCTTGACTTCTCTACTAATACTCAAGGACTCCTCCATAAATGTTAAGATTATCCATGAATTTGTTTAGAACAAAACTTGGAAGTTATCTTTGGTTTCTCTCTTTGTTTCAAATTCACATCTAATCCACCAACAAATCTCAACACCTCTATTCATAAATATATCACAAATCTGACTACTTCTAACCACTGATGTAACCTGTCTACACGAGGTGATTATAATTTGCTGCACAGACTAATTCAAATGCACCGTTTGTTTCCATGCTTATACAATTGTCTTCCCACCCTTACTAACTACAGTCTATTTCTAAATCATTCAATGAAGAAAGTGTTATCCTGATACTAAATCCATACAAAATATCACAAGAAAATTACAAATATCCCTCTTGAATATAGTTGCAAAAATACTTAACAAAATATTAACAAATGGCACCAAGCAATATATAAAAAGGATTATAGACCATGACCAAGTAGAATTTATGACAGGGATGCATGGTTAGTTTAAAATCTCAAATCAAGTAATACATTCCATTAATAGAATCCAGGGGGGAAACATATGATCACTTCAATAGATGCCGAAAAAGGGCTTTTTAAAAATCCAATATCCTTTCATGATAAAAACACGAAACAAACTAGGAATACAAGGGAACTTCCTCAGCATTGTAAAGGGCATGTACAAAAATCCATGGTTAATATCATTCTTAATGGTAAAATATTGAATCTTATTTCCTAAGATACAGAACAACTTAGGGATATCTTCCCTTACCACTTATATTCAATTGTAATCAAGGTTCTATCCAGGGATATTATGCAAGAAAATAAAAGGCATGAAGATTGGAAAGAATGAAGAAAACCAGTCTATTTGGAGATGAAATTGTCTGTATATAGAAAATAATGAGAAACACACAAAAACCTATTAGAATGAATAAATAAGCTTAGCAAGTTTGCTAAGCTCTTAGGATGCAAAATCAATATATGGAAATTAATGTATTTCTATATATTAGAAATGAATAATTCAATAATAGTTTTTTACAAAACCTCATAGAATTCAAATAAATAAAATTTTAAAATACAACAAATAAATTTACAAATAGAATTTTAAAAAGAAATGCAATATTGGCACACAAAAAAACCACAAAACATTGTTGAAATAAATTTATAAAGATCTAAATAAATGGAAAGAACCCCAAGTTCATAGTTCAGAAGACTTAACCTTGTTAAGATAGCAACACTCCCCAAACTGCTCTATAGATTCAACATAATTCCTACCAAAATCTAAAATCTAAGCTGGGTGTTTTTTTTTTTAATAAATTGACACACTGATTCTAAAAAATTTATATGAAAATTAACAGGACCCAGAATAACCAAAGCATTCTTGAAAAAGACCAAATTTGGAAGAGTCACACATCCCAATTGCAAAATGTATTACAAAGCTGCAGTGATCAAGACAGTGCAGCACTAGCACAGGAGATCGATTATAGAACTGAGAGTCCAGAAATAATCCATCAAATTTACAGTAAATTGATTTCTGACAAAGGTGCCAAGAAAGAGAAAAGAATAGTCATTTCAAAAAGTAGTGCTGGGACAACTGGATATCCACATGCAAAAGAATGAACCAGGACCACTAGCATATTTATACACAAAAAAATTCAAAATGGTTTATAGTCCTAAATGTAAGAGTTAAAATCACAAAACTCTTAAAGAAAACATAGGAGTAAATCTTTATGATCTTGGGTTAGGTAATGGTTTCTTGGCTATGGCACTCCCTACTCCTTAAGTTGGGGCTATGCATAACAACTTCTTTCCAAGAGTATACAAAGAAGAGAAAAACGCATGGAAAAAGGAGAAAATAATAACTTTCCAGATTCTCAGAGTAAACATCATTAATTAGATGTCATACTGGTAGTTTGTACTTTTGATATAATATGCTGAAAATTGTACTTTGTCTTTGTGATCTTCCCGAAAACTCAGTGTAATTATAACAAAATTACCTGAAAAATTCTATTTCAGGAATACGACAAAATACTTCACTGGTACTACTCAAAACTAGTACTCCTCAAAAACTTCAAGGTCATCAAAAACAAGGACAGTGTTAGAAACTTTCATAGCTTAGAAGTGTCTAATGTGGTATTGAAGAACATCAAATAAAACCTAAGGAAATCTGAATAATGTATGCACTTTGTTTAATAATATTGTATCATTATTTGTTGTAAAAAATGTGCCATATTAATCTGAGATTTTAACAATAGGGGAAATTAGATGTGGGGCACACAGGAGCACTTTTCTGTAAATAAAAAAACTATTCTAAAATTTAAAAGTTTATTTTAAAAAATAGGAAAAAATCTTCCGAAGATTGGAAGATATTCATCAGACTTTTGATTTCATAAGCTGAGATGAAAAAAATCAAAACTGCCCCTTTGGAAATATGTGGAGAAAATACATAACCGTATTCTCACTTTTAGTTTAAACAAGGATCAAGTAGAATATTAAGGAAAGCTTGAACATAGTTGAATTCAGTTGAGTGTGTGTGTGTGTGTGTGTGTGTGTGTACACCAATAAGAGGAAAGTTAATTCTCTTTACAGCTTCTCTGTAGTTCCAACACTCTATCTTATTGACAATATTTAAAAGTAAGACATCCACCAAAAATATCTTGAGTTTAAAAATATGAGCCACCAGAGAAAGATATTACAAGAAAACCACAGACCAATACATCTCGTGAACATAGATGAAAAAGTTCTCAACAAAATACTAGCAAATCAAGTCCAACAGTGTATACAAAGAGTTATACACCATGACCAAGAGGGATTTTTTCCAGGTATGCAAACCTAATTCAACATTTGAAAATCAATTAATGTAATCTATCACATAAACAGGCTAAAGAAGAAAAATTACATGGTAATAAACATAGATACAGAAAAAACATTTGACAAAATCTAATATCCATTCATAGTAAAAACTCCCCATAAACTAGAAGTGGAGGGAAGCTTCCTCATTTTGGTTTCTAAAAATCTACAAAAACCTGAGGGCTAACATTAAGCTTAGACCTGAGAAATTCAAAGCTTTTCTACTAAAATTAGGAAAAAGGCAAGGATGGCTCCTTTCACTACTTCTTTTCAACATCTACTGGAATCTCTACCTAATACAATATGATAAGAACAGGAAATAAAAAGTATACAGATAGGGAAGGAAAAAATAAAACTATTTTGTTTGCAGTTGATGTGATTCTCTAGGTAGAAAATCTGAAAGAATCAACAAAAAAACTGCTGACACTCACAAGTAATTTTATCAGGTTGCAGGATGCAAGGTTAATACACTTCAGTCAATCACTTTCCTATATACTAGAAATGACTGATTGAAATTTGAAATTAAAAACACAATAACACTTATATTAGAAATCCCAAAAATGAAAATGAAATAAATCTGACAAAATATGTACAAAATGTTTATGAGAAAACTACAAAACTCTGATGAAAGAAATCAAATAACTAACTAGAGATATGCCATGTTATGGATAGAAAGATCCAATATCAATTGTCAGTATACAGTCCCAATCGAAATCCCAGCAAGTTATTTTGTGAATATTTTCACACTGATTTTAAAGTGTATGTGGAGAAGCAAAAGATCCAGAATTACTAACACAATATTGAAGTAGAAGAACAAAGTTCGAAGAGTAACACTACCCTATTTTAAGATGATAATCAAAGCTACAGTAATCAGGACAATCAGGAAGTTATTCGCACAAGAATAGACAAATAGAACAATGGAACAGAATGGAAAGTTCATAAATAGTCCCACATAAATATAGTCAACAGACTTTTGACAAAGGAGGAAAGGAAATACAATGGAGAAAAGAGCTTTTTCAGCAAATGGTGTTGGAATAACTGGACACACACATGCAAAAATAAATGAATCAAGACATAGACCTTACACACTTCAAAAAAATTAACTCAAAATGGAATCTGTATCTATATTTAAAATGCAAAATTATAAAACTCCTGGATGACAACTTAGGAAAAAATCTAAATTCCCTTGGGGTTGGCAATGCTTTTTAGATAATCACCAAAGGCATGATCCATGAAAGAAGTAATTGATAAACTGGACTTTATTATGATTTAAAAATTTCTCTCTGCAAAAGACATCGTCAAGAGAATGAAAGGACAAGTTACAGAATGGGAGAAAATATTTGCAGAAGACACATCTGATAATGAACTGTTACCCAAGACATACAAAGAACTCTTGAAACTCAACAAGAACATAACGAATCTGATCAAAAATAAGCCAAATATCTTAACAGATACCTCACCAAAGAAAATATATAGATGGAAAATAAGTATATGAAAATTATCTTTTATGATCTGACATCATATTTCATCAGGGAAACACAAGTTAAAACAATCATGGCCTACCACTACACACCTATTAGAAATTCCAAAATTCAGAACACTGACTACACCAAATGCTGGTGAGGATGTGAAACAATGGGAACTCTCATCCACTGCTACTGGTAATCCAAAATGATACAACCACTTTGGAAGACAGTTTGGCGGTTTCCTACAAAACTAAATGTACTTTTATCATATAACCCAGCAATCATGTTCCTTGATATTCACCCAAAGGAGTTGAGAACTTGTATGTACAAAAAACCCTGCACGTGGATGTCTATAGCAGCTTTATTGATAATTGCTAAAACTTGAAAGCAATAAAAATGTTCGTCAATAGGTGGTGTAAACTGTGGTACATTCAGACAATGGAATATTATTCAGTGCTAAAAAGAAATGAACTATCAGGCCATGAAAAGACAAGTAGGAAACTTAAATGCATATTGCTGAGTAAAGAAGCCAGTCTCAAAAGGCTGCATCCTGTATGATTCCAAGTATATGACATTCCAAAAAACGCAAAGCTGTGCAGACAGTAAAAACGTCTGTGGTTGCCAGGGGTTGGGGGAAAAATAAATAAGCAGTGCACAGGCAATTTTTAAGTCGGTGAAACTATTCTGTATGATACTATAATGGCAGATACATGCCAGCATGCATTTATCCAAACCTATAGAATACATGACACCAAGAGTGAACCCTAATCTATATATATAATCTTTATATATAATAAATCTTTTATATACATTATATATAATCTCTCTATAATCTTTATATAATCTAGTTTATAAAATTTATATATGTAATTATATACTTTTATAATAAATTCATAATTTATATGTTTTTTATAAAAGCACGTTATTGTATATAATCTATGCATTTATATTTATACATACATATTTTTATGAAAAATAATATAAAAGCTAAAAGCAACTTAGAGGTTTAAATGTAATATGTTCATTGATTTTTCTCATTTCATATATTTATTGAGCAACAGCTACATGCTCTTGTGCTAATGTAAGAGACGGAAAACACAACAATCAAACAAAAACCAAGAAAATAATGGGATACTTGCTCTATCTGCTATGTAGAAAATAAAGTATGTGGTAATGTCTGGAGACCTACTTTGAGCTGAATGATCTTCATTAAGTGACATTTAAAATAAGATCTGAATGATCAGGAAGACTCTACCATGCTAAAATCTTGAGGACAAGTATCTAAGGCAGAATAAACTACAAATTCTTGGCCTTAAGGTAGGAAAGAGCTTAGTGTGTTCCTGGAATCCAAAAAAAGGTCTGAATAGCTGAAGCTTATTGACAAAGAAGTGGTAGAAAGGGGGAAAAAGTCACATGTTTAGGCAGAATGCTGTAAGGTAAGTCCTTGTTGCTCTTGGTTAGTTAAGTCTATTTTATGCGGTAGGAAATGGGAAACCATCAAGGGGACTTAAATAGTAGTGGTCTGATATGATTTCCATTTTTAAAAGATCATCTGGCTTCCAGTAGCAGCTCTGAGACATCAAATATTGTTTTTTGGTCTCCACATAACTATGCTTATTTCCCAAGTACAAGGCTAATTCATGAATTTGTGGCTTCAACATTTGCTTTTGACCCACCAATTCAGAAAAACATCTAAGGAGGAAAAATGGAAATCAGCTTCCATTAACAGTTTGTGATTGATGAACTGCAAATGCCTTGAACCATGAAAGAAGCAAATCTTATTACACCATAAACCCAATGACATATATTTTCTTCCTAAAGCACAGGTTGTTGTATAGTTCTTCTATCAGGCCACGGATATTGGTTCTCAGCAGAGGAAGTTCATTACAAGCATTACTTTGACTAAAACTAGAGGTTCTTGGGAATTAAGGTAAAATCAGCCGAAAAAGATATGTAAATTGAACACAAATTAGAAAATCCCTAAAAGTCTAGGTTGTCTCTTAGGATAATCTAGTTACAAGCCTCATTCATCTCTTCAACATATATAGGCAGCCTACATAATTTAGACATCAAGTGATAAGAAAAACACCTGTGCCACTGACAACCCCTCATATTGGGAGTCATTAGATTTGTTGGGTCTGAATTATTCTGTGAACTGCATATTCAGAGCCACTCTGATATTATCATAGGCATACAGAGAAACTTTCAAACATTCTCTGTAAGTTATACATATTGTGAATGGAAGAAGCCCCTTCCATTATTGAATCAGTCCCCTGCCAAGGCAAAATCAGGTCTTCACACAATAGAATGCACCCTATTGTAAGCTGACTTTCCATTATGGTCTATATCCAAGGCCAAGATTATAAAATAAAGCAAAGTAGGGCAAGCCCAATAGATTTGCTACATGAGATAATTTATTTTATTTCTTAAAAATTGCACAGGCAGTTACTTTCCAAGTCATGATATTCAAAGACCAATATAATTTAGCTGAATTTTATGAGCTAGATTTGAAAAGGGGGGAACAGGTTTTTATTTGTAGAGTCAAAAATGCCTTAGATATCATCTGGCCCAGCTATCATTTCACAGAAGGGAAATTAAAGTACCAGAGTTTCAAGTATCTTGTGCAAAGCTAGAGAGAGGAAGAGCCAGGCCTGGCACACAGGTTTGTGATCCTAGTCCAGTGAATTTTTTGAACTCAAACCAGAATTGGAAAAATGAAGAGAGCTTGCTTCTTTTTCCGCAACGGAAGAGGCAGAAATTAAACATTTTTTTTCAGCTTCCTTCGAGTCAGGTTATGTATAGCCAAACAGGAACCTAAGCACCTTTTTTTTTTGGAAGACTTCACATGGCTTTGTGTAATTATTTATTAGTAGTATAAACTCATCATGAATTGGATTGATGAGAGTTATGTTGTCACTGACAGATGCCAGGGTAGAAATGCCCAATTCTATAAATTTTTCATTCTTCCATTGTGGGCAGCTCACCAGTGTGAAAATAGGTTGGGTATATAGACTTTAAAACATAAAACAGACCCCTAGGAACTAGGTCTTTCTCCGGCCTATCACAGTAGAGAAACATTGTGTCTCATCCAAGGACATCAGTGCTGACCAAAAACAACAGCATTAACTAAAACTAAATAAAATGACCAAATTGAAATTCTGCATTGCCTAGAATAGGCATGCAGAATTCTGATGTGTATTGCCCAACCTCCTCTGGCAAGGGGAACTTTGGTTCTGAATACAACTGTTTTGAATAAGGGTAACTTTTGTGAGTCATTTGTTGTCCTTCAAAAGAAAAAAAAGTCAAAAATAACTGTCAAAAGTGACAGGCATGTTGCCATATCAATTTCACAATTTCAATTTCATATGCAAAGTAAAAAACAGTAATCTCTGTATTAAAAATTTACTTTAGAGGACAATGAGAGTGTCATCATTGTTTTATTTCTATAATTATGAATTTAATTCAATTTTTTGTAGGATATGTCTACTAATTTTGCATAAAAACAAAAGCATAATTATGTTCATCAATTGTAATAGTCTAAACACCATCAGAAAATATAGCCAATAGTTTATCAGCATCATTTAAAACACCTTAGAAGGGTTAACTCATAAGATATAATTTTTGATAACATTATTTTTATTTTTGTATTCTATTATAACTTATGAGACAAAAATTGAGCCAAATACTTTACTTTTCTGATACTCATAATAGTAAACTTATAATTAGATGCTATTATTCTACCCATTTTATGATGAAAAATTAAGTATATTGCCTCAAAATTAACAAATTTCTACTTCAGGCAATCTAATTCCAGTGGTATTTCATTTAGCAATTCTGTGCGTGCATGGTTGTGTGTGTTTAAGTGAGGGGAAGAGATTTAATGTCCTTCAGCAGACCTTCAAAACAGTTTCTGATACAAAAACTTCTCTAGAAATTGGTGATTTACTTAAGAAACTTGACGTCTACAAATCAGATTAATCCAGGTAGCAGAGCAGAAGTCAGTGAAGCCTTGAAGAGTTTAAGCTTAAGAATTTCTTCGTATTCTCACCTAATAAAGACGTTATTTTTCCAATTAACCTTAAAGAGAAATGCTAAATTCAGAAGAGGCTTTCATAAACAACCATCATTGAAACAGCTTGCCAGAATACTAATGCTCTCTCTGTTCTCTGTCATGTCTGTTATCTATGGCATTAATTAGGTTGGATGCACTCCCTAGTACATATATGTTTTCCTGCTCCAATTGTCGAATTGTATATTTACCTTAGATCATCCCAAATATGTTTAGGGCAGTAAAACACACTAATAATTTAATTAAGTAATTACAGTAATGAGTATAAAAAAAGAAAACCAAGATAAAAATGTTAGAAAAAAGCAAATAGACAAGGGTAAGAAAACTACTAATGTTTGAATACAATTGTAAAACTCCAAAAGGATTGTACACTCTGTTGTCTTCATAAATATTTCTTATTCCAGTTTAAAGAAACCCAAACAAAGTCATTAATATTACGGTTTATTCAAGGAAGATATGGGCTCTAATCTGAAGACTCATACTTTAATAATTTTAAAAGGCCTTGCATTAACATAAAAAATTGGCCAATGAGTGTATATCTATATTTCAAGTTAAAATAAAATACATGTTATGTGTCATTTTAAATGAAACTTCTCAAATTGAACAACCAAATATTATGACATTAAGGAAGATAAAAGTATTTGTACCATAATTTCTTACTACTTTTTCAGTTCCTCTGTTACCACTAAAAAGAATGATCTGAAAGGAGATCATTTATTCACTCAAAATAAACACGATGTGCAAAGTCTATTTGCAGAGGAGATAAAAGTTAAATTTATGACATGAAATTTGCAAGCCCCAATAATGATTGTGAATGGAAGTAGAAGGATTCAAAACTAGCTCAACCTTGGGCAGATTAAGAAGAGAATCCACACATATGTAAAGAGACCTAAACTGTCACATGTTCTGGCTCTAAATTGGAACCCCCAAACAATTTGCATAATATTCTTGTGCCCCCATTATCTCATCTCTAAAATAAGAAAATAGCAAAATTAACCTGCTACTCTAGTATAATTCAAAAATGCAATGATTTTCACATTGTGTAGAAATTTTGTTTGCCTAAAAAATACTAAATCCTTCAGAGGGCATTTCCATTTAATTACATATTGTTTTTCTTTATATTACATATAGAACCATTATTTTCTTGCATACAGAGAGCTGTCCTCTCAAACTTTGCAGGAAGTGGTCAGCAGTTAAAATGTTAAGTCATATGAAAATAATTCAAACATGGAATCAAAGTCACTACATAGTGCTAACAGAAAATCTTACTCTAAAATACCCAACATTAAAATTATTCCTGGAAAGATTTGAGAAAAAAAGGCAAAGCCTAAAATAAAATGAATACATCAAAACCATCAAATTTCTTCTAAAATATAGTGAGCCTTATTAAGCTTGCCAAATGTAAGCATTAACTTAATTAACAACGAAAACATTTATACCTAACAAAGAAATATGTATATTCAGGATCTGTGTATGTCTATATAGACATATATATGAAATGTATATATTCAAGATCTAGTTCAAATGTTTAAGTAAAATATCATGTTATATATCAGAATTTAACATCATAGGACATTGACAAAAGGAAGCAGTCTATATTATGTCATTATTTTTGAATACATTTATATATAAATTTTTATGTAGATTAGATAGATATACACAGATATATGTACATATGTATAGAACTGTGTGATTCACCATGTTTCTTCCTTTCTTGGTAGACTTAATGGAAAACCACAGAACAAAAACCAAAAAGGCAAGTCTCAGAGGAAACTAGGAATCTTTTATCTCATTAAATCTCCTAACATCTTTCCACTCTTACTCATCAAGGTTTATTGTATGAGTTCTATTCTAGCCAATGTGGTGATATTATAGCACATCTACTAATTATCCAGAAAGAAGAGATTATACTATGAATATTCTTCCCTGTTAAGTTGATGAAAGTATTCCAAATTTATAGCATGTTGCTCACATTCTTTTCATAGGCCTACACATAAGGACTGAAGGAAGACACTGATTTCATAGAAAACCTAAGGATTTCCAACTTAATCTGATGGATTGTGAATTTCATACTGGAGGTTCAGAGAAGACATGTTTTTACATAACTTTAACTCAAAAAATGTGATATCTCAGTAGCCGCAGAATAGAGACCTCCTGTACAAATGCTAAGAAGACTGAACAATAAGTCCTTTTTTTTAGGGTCAAACAATCTCAAAAGTTTTAGATTTTCACTTTGGGTATACAGAGCAATTAAGTTTCCTGAGTGTGTTGCCCTTTAGGGACCTAATTCTGTAAGTCACATAACTTTGGTATCCTGAAGGCTAAGATAGGGAGAAATAAGAGTGTAAAATGCAGATCCCTATCTGATTCAATTTATGCTAGAAAGAAGTATGACATCTCCTATTTCCCCCATAAGATTCCAAATCGTAGCAGTTTAATGGAAATTAATGAAGACCACAGAACAGTTGGCAAAGAATCACTTTCAAAGCATATGGCTCATACTGCTAAACCAAAATATTAGCTTACATGCTGTCAACATTGAGTTGTCATTAGTATGTTACATTTTAACTTATTTTATTTTTTCTGACTAGATTTTAAGTTTATAGTAATTGTGATCTATATATATATATTTTTTTCTCTCATAATGCCTGTCCCAGTATCTTATACAAAGAGAGAATGGTCAGTAAATACTATATGTTGATCAGCTAATTTATTAATTAATTTATTAATTATTATATATTGATTGTTAGTGCTGAAAGGAGTCTTATAACCTCCAGGTAATGCCACTGGTAGAAGGAGGGGAGGATGAAAATGTTGCTGTGAGACTTAGATGGCTGGTCCCTGCCCTGTGATGTGTAACAGAGTCTAGATTATTTATTTAAAATATCAGTAGTATAATATTGTTTTGATTTACATAGAATTAGAATTTCCTCTGCTTTCAAATGGACACCACTTTACAGCATTTTGAATTTTATGATGCTATATCCCAGCAAGAGCCAGAATATATTAAAATGTAAAATACATCCATTTTTCTTCCAGAATAAATTGAAAGTAATCAAAAATTTTCTAAGTATATGAAATTTCAGTTCTGAATTCTCTGGCATTAATCTTCATCTAAAAACACACAAATATATAAATGACTGGAGATAAGAAAATCAAGTATCACAGCCACAGAAGAACAAGAAACAAATATGCTTTTTTTTTTTTTTTTTTGAGACAGGATCTTACTCGGTCATCTGCAGCTCACTGCAGCCTCAGCCTCTTGGGCTCAAGCGATGCTTTCACCTCAGCCTCTAGAGTAGCGGGAATACAGGCATGCACCACCACATTTGTTTTTTTTTATTATTATTATTATTATTATTATTATTATTATTATTATTTTGTGCAGCAGCCAGTTCTTGCTATGTTGCCCATGCTGATCTCAAACTCCTGGACTCAAAAGATCCTCCTGCCTCGGCCTCCCAAAGTGTTGGGATTACAGGCATGAGGCACTGTACTGGCCAGCAAATGCATTAATTCTGCTTTTTTTGTGTACTTCTGCTTTCAGAGCTAATTATTTGTTCTTTAGATGAGACTGGCAGCCTTGTGTGAAATGTAGAATCTGTAGAATTCAGAACGTCTCAGTTTTCCCTGAAATGTTCTATGAGTAAGACAGAGCCTCTTACTAAAGTTAACAATTAGTGTTAGGTAGAAAAGTATAAACAGAAACACAAATCTTGAATATACTAATGTTCACCCTCTGCTATGGATATTAGACAACATTCAAATATTGTATATAAATCAGTAGGCTCTAATACTAAAAAAGAGAGGTATTTTATATGCTTACTCATACAGGTCATGCTATAAAATCAAAGCATTGATAAATACAGTGTGAAATTAATGCTATACATATATAGTTTTGCAAGAGGTTTTAGTTACTGAGTCATTCTGGAGCCAAGAGTCCCAAGTGAGTAATTTCATTCAAGGGAGAGCAAGTATCCACATTTCTAATGTTTGTTTAATGACCCAATAGAACTTGGATAATGAGACAATTGAGGGTTGAGAAAGGTATACCATCCATCATGGTGAGTCTAATGCTAGCGACATATTGTTTATTTACAGTGCAATATAGGAGACCTATGGCTCACACTGCCGACACAAACAGAACAATAAAAAGCACTTAAAGCCATTTATATTCATTTTAAAATTAAACCCATGGGGTGATGTCAAGATCCTATTCTCTCTGACGGAGACATAGCATTTATCAACAGCTTGTATGCCTCGTTCTTCAAAAAGGGCACAGCAGGGACCTGGATTTCTACAATTCTTTTTCACTCTAATGGAGAAACAATGAAATAGGAGGAAAAGCAAAATTATTAGATCTACTTTGTCTTCATAGTTATGTTTATGAGACATGCTGTCTCATTTTTCCCAGGCCTCTTTCTGATGGTTTCCAACAAAAATTCTCAGCACTTTTCTTCATAATAGTACAATACAATCTAGCTGTCACTGGATTTCCTTTCCTCTTTTCAAAGTTTATTTCTAGTGAATTCTATAGAGTAAAATATTTCTGATCCTTTTCATTGGCAATGAAATCATTTTGCTATTTGTAAAAAGTGATGTCCATATTTGATCTTGACTTACTTAGCTTTTCACGTGTAGTCCCGTCATATATTACCTGTACATTCTTGCTTTTTTTCCTCTTGGTTTCAATTGCTACTCTGCCATTGACTCACACTTTAAAAAAAGATAGCTTATAAAATCAGAAGAATAATTCTGTTCCACCTACATGATTTGGAAGTGAAGAAACATGTACCTAGCTTTATTAGGAAGATGTGTCCAGATGCACAAAGTTACAACTTTGGGTAAGGTAAGTTAAGGGTAAGGTAAGTTAGAGTGAGGAGTGATGAGTTTCTGATTGCTCTCCTCAAACACAGAGAAGTTCAATTATACAGACTAGAGGAAAATTCTGTGATAATTTTAGCACCAAGCAATTAGCCGCTCGTCTGGCTCACTCACTGAGTTAGCCCTCATACTAAGCATATTGCTTGACATTTGGCTGGTAATCCTTTGCTATAAATATTTTCTTGTTAAGAAAGACTTTGCTAATATTGAATCACCAGGCGCTAGTGATAATAGAAATATTTTTGAAAATTTTACCTCATATATTTTTAGATTCAACCTATGGTAATATTTTCATATTCTTCATCTCTTTAGTAATGTTTTAAATAAACTTAGCTTCAAAATAATGGAAAAGACTAAGAAAAAATTTATATTTTTTAAAACTCATCTAAAAAATATTAACTTTACTGTTTCATTCTCTCCCTACACAACTTATCTAATTATCCTTTTAAAATTTTTCTCTGATAACATTCATATCCAGACCAGTTTGAAAAAAATTAATAAATGTGACCACATGATATCAATTATTAAATTATTTTACAGCATTGATAGTCTATTCACACTCTTCCGTACCCATTAATTTAAAAGGAATCAGCAAACTTTTTCTTACAGATATTTAACCTAATTTCTTGCTAATGAAAAATATTCCATGATTGCCACAATACATATTTCTTATAATTCACCTGTGTAATGCCTTTTCACCTCATAGTAATCTTATAGACTGTTAATATTATAATTTTATCTTTTGTCATATTTCCCATTTTGCTTTAAAAATCTGTTATTATCCAAGTCTTCAAAACATTTCAAATACTTCCCATACAGTTTCAATAATCAGCCGATTTCCAAATATAAAAACCAAGAAATAACATAATTGCATTTTATTACTATGTATCCTTTGAGTATTTACAATTAATTTATGCTTAGTCATTACTACAAAATTACAGAAATGATATTTATTATTTGGAAGTATGTTCATATATTTCACATAGATTTTAAAGACTTGCATAACAGTGATTTTCTGGGAAAATTCAAGTTCTCACATCCCTTTACAGTGGCTACTATTGTGACTCATGAATCATTCTTTTTCACTCACTGGTTCATATACTGAGCTCGTACTATTTGTCCAGCCCTTGTCTAAAGCTGGAAATTCAGAGGTAAAGACATGGTCCCTAAATTCTTAGAGTTAGACTTTGCTATGACCTTATATCTCTTTTCTTCTATATACTTTGATGATAGGGTAATGTCTTTGGAAGTTTCTCCTTCTCTTCAGGAAGTTTCAAGTATATTAATATATAAATTTAGTATTTCTTGGAACATTTTGATTCTAATAGGATATCTAAGAAATTTCAGATAACGTTCAACCATCTTAATTTGATTCAATCATATTTTGTCAAAAGAGTAATATGATAATCTGTTAAAAAGTGGTAAATTTTTATTTTACCTTTACTAAAGTGTGAGAAAATGTTATTGTTTTTTCAGTTTTATTTCATAATGCATTAAAAATGCACATTTGTTTTTTCATATATTTATATCCAGAAATGGTAGAAAATGCTTATTTATATAACTCAAAATAGGCAATTACATGAAAAAATTTCAAACAGAACTCCCAGTAAAAACTCCAATTCTGGTAAAATAATGAGGGGAAAAAGTTAATGTGCATACTGAATCCATGAGAAGTTGTAACAGACATATTCACATATTCACCAAAATTCATTTCTCTTCATCCTGGACACATAGCTAGACTTGCATGTTTCAGCCTCCATTGTAGTTAGGTCTTAGAGTGTGCCTGCATATTGTACAAAGAAATGTGAGCTGAAGTGAAATGTGCTACTACCAGCCCTAGCTTAAAAAATCTCCCTCAGTGTCTCCAGGATCTTCCTTATGACAGACTGAAATAGCGAATTGCATTATGTTCTTAAAATTCACTACTTAAAAATGGTAGCAGTAGGCAGTTATACAGATATAGCATACTAAAATGCTAAAAATAACGTTATTCTTTAGTCAAATATTTGTTTAAACTGCTGCTTATGAAGATTTTGAAGAAAGACCAACAATCTACCAAAACTGTAGCTCAGGGGAAAGAGGTTGGGAAAAAGTCAGGATTCATTTAAACTGGCTGCTAAATAATGTATTTGCCCAATTACATGTATTATATTTGAGAAATAAATGAGCTCAGGAAAGAACTGACTGATTTGCAGGCAGACATTAAGGGTCTTGCAGTGCTGGAAAAGCCAACTTCTTCAAAACTACTAACATAAGAGATATAAGCGAAAAAGGCTTTGAGCACAAAGTCACAAGAAGTTTTCTCAGTTATAAAAGGTACTCCATCCTGAAACTAAAAATAAGATTAAGGATGTTACCTTCTTATGAAAACCTATTGTTCAGATGGCAGCTACTACTTTGGTGAAAGAAATAGGCATGGGATCAAAGCAGCAAGAAAATTCAGAGAGCTTGAAAAGTGAATCTAAAAAAAGATCTTGGGTATGCTTACTAGCATTAAAATGGAAACAAATACATTAGAAATTTAATAAGTTTTTGGAGGAATTTCTATTGCTAAAGAATTATGAGCTTGGCCAAAAAAAAAAAAAAAGCAATTTTTTAAAATCACAGAATGTAAAATAACCTTTAGGCTCCTAATTGTGTGTGATTACAAATTGGGCTTTGATTTTGGAGGAACCTCTCCACAATATTTTCTCTAGCAGCTGTACCATTTTACATTCCCATCAAAGAAATCATTGCCAACACAAATGTCTAGACGTTTCTCCTGCTTTTTTTTCTAGAAGTTTTACTGTTTCAGGTCTTACATTTAAGTCTTCAATTGATTTTGAGTTGATTTTTGCAAATGGTGTAAGATAGAGGTCCAATTTCATTCTTTTGCATGTGGCTATTTGGTTTCCCAGCAACATTTATTGAAGAGACTCTCCTTTCCCCATTGTGTACACTTGGCACCCTGGCTGAAGATCAGCTGACTGTAATCACGTGAGTTTATTTCTGAACTTCCTACTGTGTTCTGTTGGTCTATATGTCTGCCATATAATCCAGCAATCCCACTTCTGAGTATAGATCCCAAAGAAATGAAGTCAGGATCTCAAAGAGATATCTATACTGTCATGCCCACTGCTGTATTATTTACAATAGCCATGATATGAAAACAACCCAAAAGTCCATCAACAGATAAATGGATTTAACAACATGGCATATACATACAGTGGAATAATATTCAGCCTCTCTAAAAATGAAAATCCTACCATTTGTGACAACATGAATGAACCTGAAGGACATCATACTAAGTGAAATAAGCCAGTCACAGAAGGACAAATACTGCATGATTCCACTTATTGGCGTAATATTACATAATCAAACTCATAGAAGCAGAGAATAGAATAGTGGTTGCCAGGGGCTGGTAGGAGAGGGAAATGGAGAGCTGTTGCTCAATAGGTATAAAGTCTCAGTTACACAAAACAAACAAGTTCCATTTATCTACTGTACAATGTAGGGTCTACAGTTAACAATATGATGTTATGCATTTAAAACTTTGTTGGGGTAGATCTTGTGTTATTTGTTCTTAGCATAAAAAAAGAAAGAAAAATAAAAAAAAAACAGAAAAGAGCACAGGAAAATTTTTGAAGTTTTGTAAAAAAAAAAAAAAAAAAGTATGTTTAATACTTGATTGTGATAATGATATCACAAGTGTATGCATATATCCAGACTCATCAAATTATCAAATTGAATATATTAAACGTGTGCCATAAAGTATGCGAAGCAATATATATTAGCCCGATGTAGCCATTTCACAATGTATATATATTTTGAAAAAACATATTGTATACTTTATATAATTTTCATTTTTCAACTTAAACATTTTATTTATTTATTTTTTGAGATGGAGTCTCGCTCTGTCACCCAGGCTGGAGTGCAGTGGCACGATCTCAGCTAACTGCAACCTCTGCCTCCTGGATTCAAGCAATTCTCCTGCCTCAGCCTCCCAAGTAGCTGGGATTACAGGCATGTGCCACCATGCCCGGCTAATTTTTTTGTATTTTTAGTAGAGACGGGGTTTCACCATATTGGCCAGGCTGGTCTCGAACTCCTGACCTTGTGATCCACCCACCTCAACCTCCCAAAGTTCTGGGATTACAGGGGTGAGCCACCGCACCCGGCCAACTTAAACATTTTTTAAGATAAAAATAAATGTGCAGTTTTTTTAATATATCAATTGTACCACAATGATGCCGTTAAAAAATTGGGCTTTAAAAGCTATGCAGCTTCCCAGGAGAGCAATACTCCCCAGTCCCCACTTCAAAGATGTCTGTAGAAGAAAATATACAAGAAAGACCCTCTAAAAGGATAGCACTGGTGTTCATAGAGATCAATAGACAAGGATTCCTTCCAGAATGCTGACTTCAGATCTAACCATTAAATTTCCTCCACTGCCATCGCAGAAAAGTTTTAGAAATACCTTCCCAGAAGGAGTTCAACATTGCTCTGTGAGAGTGCCTGCCATGAGTTTCCCATTCATCCATTTTCAGAATGGGCTTTTTTATGGTTGTTATATACTTGCTTCACTAGTGTATGCTGACTTTTAGTTCCTGGGAATCAAAACACAAGAATACACACTGGTCTTGATCAATAGAACTGAGCATCTTCCAAATACTTTTGAAATATTTGATTTTAAAATTGGTGCAGGTGTGACATGGGGTTTTAGTTTCCCTCACTTGAAGAGAAGAAGAGTCTTCTGCTTTAAACATAGGAAAAAGGCTACAAGAGTCTTCTGCTTTAAATATAGGAAAAAGGCTACAAATTAATATTAATATTTCATGACCAGAGGGGCAAACTGTGGCAGAAACTGCTTGCTGTTTACAAAAACAAGACAATCACAATGAAAACTACATTCTCTTCTTCAAGTGCACAAAATTAGACAGTATTTTTAATAATTCCTTTTATTATGGTCTGTCCATGTGATGAAGTTGAAGTGATATGTGCTATTTTGGGGTTTAACCAATGAAAACATCCCTAAATCTTTACACTACAGATCACTGAAATAAGATTATCATGCTATCCTTGGATACCTCATCAGAGTTTTCATCAATGTGAGTTTCTGTGTGACAGATAGCAAGGAAGAGAGTTGTTCCTGTCCCCAAGTAACACCTGCCTTGAACCATCATATGAGAAAGAAATGAATTTATCTTGTTCAGGAGTTTTTGGTGAGAGGAGCTAAAAATATACTATACATCAAAATTTTAAAGTACTACTTTCATAGCCATTCACCTATAGATTTATTAATGTTCCATACATTACAGTTCCTCCTCTAAATTGTAATGTTGGGTAAGACAGCATAATCTGCATGTACTCCCTGAGGTTCTTCAAACTTTGTACATAGCTGTCCTATTTTCAGATCAATCGTTAATGTTTGTACAAAACCTATATAATAGTCCACCTGAGCTATTAAACGGTCTACTGTCAGGTATAATTATTTTCCCAATTATATACCTTTGGACATTGAGACAGAAATAGGAAAAATGAAAACCTTCTTCTCAATCACATTTTGGGAAATGTTGGACCAGGATTTAGGCTGAGGCAATAAGACCCCAGAAGTTATACTTAACTATGGCCCCATGCAATGGCTTATGATGAAATGCAAAACTGCTGTTCCACTTGCCGTCCTCACCATGGCTGCCAAACAGCTTTGCATGTTGCTGGCTAACACTGTTAGCACAGAATTCCTACGATTTGAGAAATATGGATAAGACTTAGAGAAATTTACATTACAGAAGAATTCCTTATTTTGGAAAAGATCCCAGCAAGAATCCCTATAAACAAAGAGTTATCTTGGTGATTCTTAAGCAGAGTTGACTTCACAGAAATTTGAAGAAATGTAAAGATTCACACATTTATTGGATGAAAGTAAAGGGTAGTACTTAATCTTCTCTACCCTAAATATATAGTGTGTAGAGGCAAGGTTTGAAAGTTTTTAAATATATTCATGGAATTAAAACACTCTTTCCTTCTAGTAAAGGGAAACTGATTCCAGAACTCGTTTGAAAAAGCACTATTTCAGGCCTTAAGTTTTCTCATAAAATATTTTGCCTTGGTGCCAGGTTTTGGTGTGAGTTCCTTCTATCAGAATGTCATAATAATATAGTTCGTGGATTTTCTACTTGCTTTGAATTAATAAACAATTTTTTCTTCCCATACCACAGTGGATTCTATTTCTGTGTATTCCTTTTCTCATTTATTTACAACAGCAGTCCCCGCTTATCCACAAGTGATATGTTTCAAGAACCTCAGTAGATTCCTGAAACGTCTGATAGAACTAAACCTGATTGCCATCAAGCGGAATGTGTTTCTGTTCATGTCTGCTACTCTCAAGTTTAGTATCTTTTGCATCTTAACTGAGCACTTAAGATTCACTGTGGCTTAACTTTTCTGCAGTTTGTGGCAAAAATAGCACCAATTTATTTTTCCTTCACAATTTCATGGACAGAAGATTCATTTTTACCATACATCTCACCAACCTCAGGATACAATTTTTTTCTTTTCTTTTTAAATCAATAATTTTTACCTTTTCACTTAAAGGAAACACTTTACAGCTTCTCTTTGGCATATCTGAATTGCCAGCACCACTCCTCTCACTTTGGGTCCATTATTAAGTAAAATAAGGCTTATTTGAATACAGGCACTGTGACACTGTTAAAGTGGGTCTCATGACCAAGATGGCTCCTAAGCGACTAACAGCTGGGTCACTCAGACAGTCTAGATACACTGGACAAAGGAATGATTCACATCCTGAGCAGGAAGATGTGAGATTTCATCACATTACTCAGAATGGGGTGGAATTTAAAACTTACGAACTGTTTATTGCTATAATTTTCCATTTAAAATTTGTGAACTGTGGCTGACCATGAGTAATGGAAACCTCAGAAAGTGAAACTAGACAAGGGGGGACTATTTATTACTTCAATCATTCAAGAGGTGTTGACTGTCTATTGTATTTATAAATCATTATGGTATATATAAATGACTAAAGTCCATGTCCAACATTCAGAACAATGCCTGGAACACAATGGGCACTGAACAAATATTTATAGAATAAATGAGTGAATCAGTTAATGGATCAAAAAATAGTCTTAGTTCAGCAACTACAACAAACTGAAACTTAAAACAGGAGACACGGTCAACACTTGAATCTATCCACATCCATACTCGAGTGTGGCCTACAGTGTTTGGAAGGGAATCATATGGGAAATAGACCTTCAGTTGAGATTCAAAGGATGGGCATGATGAGTTTTAAAAGATTCAAAACAGGACACGAATGGTAAACAAATTAAAAAGGAATGGATACACATGATATGCTTAGAGTCAATAAAGGAACCAGTCTGGTTATACAGACTGTTTTCTTATCATAGCCACATGGCCTCAGTGCCCTAAAAATGTCCCCAACAATTAGGCCTCTCACTTCCTACACTAATCTGGTGCTCTCCTACTGCTCAGGGCATTGAAAGGGATGGGTCCAGCCTAAGCACTGAACATGTCTTCTAAATCACCTTCCTGGCAGGAAGCAATGGTAGGGTAACTAGCTTACTTGAGACCTGAGGGAAATCACTGCTAGTTAAATAAGAACACATAAAATTGAGGGAGAAGACCACAGATGTTAACTATAGCATGGTTTGAAAGAACTATTTGTCCTTAGAGTCCCATATATTCTTTTCTTTCAGTATTCACTTTAGAAAGTAATTGATTCCAGTCTTAAATCATAAGTAGAAGGTATATGTTGGCTCTTCTGATAAACATAGAAGTGCTAGGGAAAGACATCCATTTAAATAAATCACTTGAATGTCAAGGGGGAAAACATTTTAAAAGTATATTTACATTAGGCTTTTCTGGCAGAAGTGAGCCTTTAAATTCTTTTTAAAAAACCATCCACAGAAATCCTTCTTAGCCCTCTATATTAATAGTGGCATTATCTACAAGCAAGACTTCATTCTCTGTTTCTCTTTGCTGTACTTCTATTTACACCTCCTTAACTCTCTATGTGATCATATTTTGAGACTGGTTTTGCAGCTTAATGTCATAGACAAGTCAAGGTCCTATAAGTAAAGGAAATTGGGTTCTAGTCTAAAGTGTTACTACTCATCCCTCTTGTGGCATCAATCATACAGTACGATTAGGTGAACTTTAAAATTTGCTCCTGTTTGAAAATCTATACTTAAAATATTCAGGGTCCCTTAATATATTTTCAAGAAAATCTAAAAGAATTTAATTAGACATGAGAGACATCTTTTTTAGAACATTGTTCTTTTTGTCTCCTTAGCCATGTGATAAAAAAGAAACAGTGCTTTCTAAAAAATGTGAAATCTCTGTGCACACAGTAATTTGTGCTGCGAGTAAAGATTCAGCCCATTATATGTCACTTACAGCACTCTACTCCTGGCTGCTGTCATTTCAAGGACGAATGATGACCCAGGTTGGCCAGATCTCTTTCCAGATATTTTGAAAATTTGGACTGGGGTACTGAAGCTGAAAATATGTGAGTGTATTGCTTCTTTCAGACACTCTGATGGGAGAGATAGTCTGAGAACATTAGGCTATCTTACAGAGAGAAAGAGCAATGAGAAACTAAAATCTCTGGTCTATGGTTGGTGAGACTTCTGAATTGTAAGACAAATTTCCATTTTATTTGAGTTAGATTTCTATAATTTATAGTCAAGTGAATCCTAACTAATAAAAGTGCAATAGAGTAGCACAATTAGTGCTGTGTGCTTATTTTTTTACTGAACTATATATTTTAAGCTTATTCTATTCTATTTCTTTTCTTGTAAGAAACCTAGCCTTTTGTCTACTTCATGGCTCTTTTGTATGTTAAAACATCATTATCTTATAGTACATGCTAAATGCTGTCTATATCATTCATTCTATTTTTAGCCAACATCAAATTAACAATGCTTTAAAATATAAAAATTATTGTCAGGATTTCGTACACAAAAATTATGCAATAATTTTACTTTCTGTTATCAATTATTTGGCCAATATTTTATTTATTGCAAGAGTTGTATTATAAATGAACATTTAAAAGTTCAAAAATTTGAAAATATTTTATAGTATATATTCTATGAAGCAGCACCATTTGAAAATACTCTGGTTCTATATTTTTCATTTTCTCTCAATTCCAGAAAATTTTGGAAATTATATAATTTGTATGCATATATATATTTAAATGCTTCTAAGTTGCCCATTCAAATTTAATTTTTTTCATTCTTCATGTCTAGAAAATGAGTTATTTAAATTAAAACTGTGTTATAATTTTTTTAAGATTATTGCCAAACAACTTGTAGACATGGGTAATTAATATCATACAAATTTTACTCAAAACCTTACTTGAGAATGCCACATATATAATACATGCATAATTGCCTGTGTATTGTTTAAATAGGGGAGGGAATCTCCCAATTTAATGGAATGTAATTGTTACATAAAGAGTGCTAAGAAAACTCATCAAGTCATAATTAATAGCAACACTCACTCTGCACAGAAAATAAATGTTTTTTTTTTTAAGTTCAGGGGTACATGTACAGGTCTGTTATACAGATAAACTTGTGTCATGGGGTTTGTTGTACAGATTATTTTGTCACCCAGGTATTAAGCCTGGCACCCATTAGTTATTTTCCCTGATCCTTTCTCTCCTCTCACCCTTCACCCTCAGGTAGGCCCCAGGATCTGTTGTTCCCCTCTATGTGTCCGTGTGTTCTCATCATTTAACTCCCATGTATAAGTGAGAATATGCAGTATCAGAAATTTTTTAAATATTTTATTTAATTCCATGTTTAGTCTCTCACCAATACTAAGACCACAGAGGGGAAATTATAATTTTTTTCCTATTTTTATTAAAGAAATAATTAAAGCATTTTTATACACATTCTTAGTCTTGGTTATCCATTTGTACTATTTTCTTTTTGAAGCTAAAGCTTCTATCTATATCTGACATGACAGAATGAGTCTATACCCACATGATTAGAACTAGTTGCAGAAAGTAGACTCAGAGATCTAAGTTATTATATATATGTGTGTATCATAATCCTACAAAATATATATTTTGTATACAATTTGGGGGATCCTCTTTAGAAAAAATATAAAATTACAAAAACAATTAAGGCATAGGATCTTGGAAGGAAGCCTTGCAAGTGACGTTCCCTGAAGCTTAAACTTCATTAGAGTAATGTTAAAATTTTCTTTGGGTGGACATAACAGTTTTCTTCCATGTTAGTCTTTAACATTCACACAATTTTGTGAATACCTGAATTTCCAAGAGTAACATCTAGGTAATACTTTCAGCTAATTAAAGGAGATATAGGTCAATAAGAATATGCACAGTTGATCTGAAACTATTGAATATGATGTTCAGAAATCTCACTTAGTCATGTCTTTTAAAAGTCCTATAATGATTTTATTATCTGATTCCATTTAATTGTGATGTATTAAACAAAAAGAACAAAATGGGGAGAACGTTTAGAAAAAATAGTATGCTTAGTCATGATAACCATATATGAACAAATTTTTATGGAAAATACCATAATTAAAAATTAGTATAGAGCCTTCCATAAGAGAAGCATTCTTTTTAAAAAATATTTTCAATAGTTACCTATTTTTTTTTGTGTGTGTGTAATCAGAAAAATATTTTATTTGTTTATTTATTTTTTATATATTTTTTTATTCAAGTTATTTTTTTTTTTTTTTTTAGTATTTATTGATCATTCTTGGGTGTTTCTCACAGAGGGGGATTTGGCAGGGTCATAGGACAATAGTGGAGGGAAGGTCAACAGATAAACAAGTGAACAAAGGTCTCTGGTTTTCCTAGGCAGAGGACCCTGAGGCCTTCCGCAGTGTTTGTGTCCCTGGGTACTTGAGATTAGGCAGTGGTGATGACTCTTTTTTTTTTTTTTTTTTTTTTTTTGAGCACGCTGCCTTCAAGCATCTGTTTAACAAAGCACATCTTGCACCGCCCTTAATCCATTTAACCCTGAATGGACACAGCACATGTTTCAGAGAGCATGGGGTTGGGGATAAGGTTATAGATTAACAGCATCCCAAGGCAGAAGAATTTTTCTTAGTACAGAACAAAATGGAGTCTCCCATGTCTACTTCTTTCTACACAGACACAGCAACAATCTGATTTCTCTATCTTTTCCCCACATTTCCCCCTTTTCTATTCGACAAAACCGCCATCATCATCATGGCCTGTTCTCAATGAGCTGTTGGGTACACCTCCCAGACGGGGTGGCTGCTGGGCGGAGACGCTCCTCACTTCCCAGACGGGGCGGCTGCCGGGCAGAGGGGCTCCTCACTTCTCAGACGGGGCGGCAGGGCAGAGACGTTCCTCACCTCCCAGACGGGGTCGCGGCCGGGCAGAGGCACTCCTCACATCCCAGAAAGGCGGCGGGGCAGAGGCGCTCCCCACATCTCAGACGATGGGTGGCCGGGCAGAGACGCTCCTCACTTCCTAGATGGGATGGCAGCCAGGAAGAGGCGCTCCTCACTTCCCAGACTGGGCAGCCGGGCAGAGGGGCTCCTCACATCCCAGACGATGGGCGGCCAGGCAGAGACGCTCCTCACTTCCCAGACGGGGTGGCAGCCAGGCAGAGGCTGCAATCTCGGCACTTTGGGAGGCCAAGGCAGGCGGCTGGGAGGTGGAGGTTGTAGCGAGCTGAGATCACGCCACTGCACTCCAGCCTGGGCAACATTGAGCACTGAGTGAACGAGACTCCGTCTGCAATCCCGGCACCTCGGGAGGCCGAGGCTGGCAGATCACTCGCGGTCAGGAGCTGGAGACCAGCCCGGCCAACACGGCAAAACCCCGTCTCCACCAAAAAAATACGAAAACCAGTCAGGCGTGGTGGCGCGCGCCTGTAATCCCAGGCACTCGGCAGGCTGAGGCAGGAGAATCAGGCAGGGAGGTTGCAGTGAGCCGAGATGGCGGCAGCACAGTCCAGCTTCGGCTGGGCATCAGAGGGAGACCGTGGAAAGAGAGGGAGAGGGAGACCGTGGGGAGACGGAGACGGGAGACGGGAGAGGGAGAGGGAGAGGGTGAGGGAGAGGGTGAGGGTGAGGGTGAGGGTTACCTTTTTTTTTTTACTTTCATTTTAAGCTCAGGGTTACACATACAGGTTTGTTATATAGGTAAACCTGTGTCATGGGGATTTGTTGTACAGATTATTTTATCACCCAGGTATTAAGCCTAGTAACCATTAGTTATTTTTCCTGATTCTCTCCCTCCTCCCACACTCCACCCTCCAAACGGCCCTGGTGTGTGTTGTTCCTGTCTATATGTCCATGTGTTCTCTTCATTTAGCTCACACTTATAAGTGAGAACATGTAGTATTTGATTTTCTCACAACAGAAATGTTCTTAATCATAGTCTGCAAGTTCAGAATGGAAGTTCTAGAAGGAACTCTAGAGTTCATTTTACTTCCAAATAAAGTTAAACTATCCTAACATGACTCAGCCTTTAGTAACTTCTGTTGTATATCTTTTTCAATTCAGAGGATAACATGACATATTAAGACTTGCATTTTTGGGTTTGCATTAATATCAAATGTTTAGAAGTGCTATGGAAAAATGTATATAAATTTGATTCCCTCTTTCTGATGGTAAAATTAAAGCAGCTACAGGAGGCTATACCATATGGTTTTTGGAGTACAAGAAAATTGAGTCTGAATTAATTTCTGCCAATAATTTGCTGTGTGATCTGAGCCTCCTTTTCTACATCTGTAAAATGAAGATGAATTAACTACATTATAATGATTACCTACAGAGAGAAATGAGACGGGATGATATGGTGTGGTTCTGTGTCTCCATCCAAATCTCCTGCCAAGTTGTGATCCCCAGTATTGAAGGAGGGGCCCGGTGGAAGATGACTGAATCATGGGGTAGTTCTTAATGGTTTAGTACCATCCCTCTTGCTGTTCTCAAGATAGAGCTCACAAAGTCTGGTTGTTTAAAAGTGCATAGCACCTGTCCCCTACCCTTCCTGCTGGCTATGTGAACATGTGCCTACTTCCCCTTTGCCTTCTGCCATGATGTAAGCTTCTAGAAGCAGAAGCCTGTACAGCCCATAGAACTATGAGCTGATTAAGCTTATTTTCTTTATAAATTACACAGTCTCAGGAATGTCTTTCTAGCAGTGTGAGAACTGGCTAATCCAGAAAATTGGTCACAGAGAAGTAGCGCATTGCTGTAAAGATACCTGAAAATGTGGATGTGACTTTGGAACTGGGTAATGGGCAGAGGTTGGAAGTTTGGAGGTCTCAGAAGACAGGAAAATGAGGGGAAGTTTGAAACTTCCTAGAGACTTGTTGAATGGTTGTGACCAAAATGCTGATAATGATATGGACAGTGAAGTCCAGGCTGAGAAGGTCTCAGATGAAGATGACGAATGTATTGGGAACTGGAGTAAAGGTCACTCTTACTACGAAGAGGCTGGTGGCATTGTGCCCCTGCTCTAGAAATCTGTGGAACTTCTAACTTGAGAGAGATAATTTACGGTATCTGGTGGAAGAAATTTCTAAGCAACAAAGCATTAAAGATAGAGCCAGCTGCTTCAAACAGCATATACTCATATGCGTTCACAAAGAGATGGTCTGAAATTGGACTTAGATTTAAAAAGGAAGCAGAGCATAAAAGTTTGAAAAATTTTTAGCCTGACCATGTGGTAGAAAACAAAAAGTCATTTTCTGGGGAGGAATTCAAGCCTGCTGCAGAAATTTGCGTGAGTAACAAAGAGCCAAATGTTAATAGCCAAGAAAATGGGGAGAATGCTTCCAAGGCATTTCAGAGAACTTCACAGCAGCTCCTCCCATCACAGGCTGTAGGCCTAAGAGGAAAAAAATGGCTTCAGGGGCTAGGCTCAGGACCCTGCTCCTCTTTGCAGGCTTGGGACACTGCTCCCTGTGTCCCAGCCACTACAGCTGCATCCATGGCTAAAAGGGCCCCAGATATGTCTCAGTCAGCTGCTCCAGAGGCTGCAAGCCAGAAGCCACCAAGGCTTTCATGTGGTGAAAGCTTGCACCCTCTGCCAGCCACCAAGCGTGTAAGGCTTTCACAGGTGCACAAAGGGCAAGAGTTGAGGCTTGGGAGCCTCTGCTCAGATTTTAGAAGATATATGGAAATGCCTGGATGTCCAGGCAGAAGTCTGCTGTAGGAGCAGAGCCCTCATGGAAAACATCTACCAGGGCAGTAGGGAGGGGAAAGGTGGGGTCGGAGCCCCCACACTGAGTCCCCTTTGGGGCACTGCCTAGTTGAGCTGTGAGAAGAGGGCCACCATCCTCCAGACCCCAGAATGATGGATCCACCAATAGCTTGCACCATGCACCTGGAAAAGCTACAGGCAGTAAGCACCAGTCTGTGAAAGCTGCTGTGGGGGCTGTACCCTGCAGATCCATAGGGCCAGAGCTGCTCAAAGCCATGGGAGCCTACTCCTTGCATCAGTGTCACCTGGATGTGAGACATGGAGTCAAAAGAAATTATTGTGGAGCCTTAAGGTATAATGATTGCCCTGCTGGGTTTCAGACTTGCATGGGGCCTGTAGCACCTTTGTTTTGGCCAGTTTCTCTCATTTGAAATGACAGCATTTACCCAATGCCTGTAACCCATGGTATCTTGGAAATCTCTAATTTTTTATTTTACAGGCTCATAGGTGGAAGAGAGTTACCTAGTCTCAGATGAGACTTTGGACTTGGACTTTTGAGTTAATGCTGGAATGACTTAAGACTTTAAGGAACTGTTGACATGATTGTGCCACAAGGCATGATTGTGTTTTGCAATGTGAGAAGGACATGAGATTTGAGAGAAACCAGGGGTGGAATGATATGGTTTGGCTCTGTGTCCCTACCCAAATATCCTGCTGAATTTTGATCCCCA
The DNA here is from genome assembly GCF_000001405.40 of Homo sapiens. NCBI lineage: Eukaryota > Metazoa > Chordata > Mammalia > Primates > Hominidae > Homo > Homo sapiens. The sequence continues at coordinate 120,144,552 of NC_000005.10, read as the reverse complement.
GTGTTGGAGGAGGGGCCTAGTGTGAGGTGACTGAGTCATCAGGGCAGGTCCTCATGGTTTAAGAGAAGGAGGATATCTTAGGGTTCATGTTTTGTGAGTCTGAGATTATGGCAATGCATGCCTCCTGGTTTATCTCAAAAAAAAATGGACTCTGCTCCCCTGTAGTTACTTCAAAAAGCATGGACAAAGAGAAATGCACACCACATAACTAAATGAATTGTTGTCTACCTTGATTATGAAACCAATGTCACAAGCATCAGTTACACTTGTTAATTCAAGAGTCTAGTTCTATTTTACTTGTTATGCTCTTTTTTACACCTTTTATTTTATCCTCTTTATTTCTCACATTCTAATAATGCTAATTGGGCTGGCATACTAGTCAGGACCTTAGCTGGAAATAATGACACAGTTAGTATAACTTAAGAAAGATTTAATAAAGTGACTAACTACAAAGCTATAGAAACTACAAAAGGGAGTGTTGAACCCTGGAAAAAAGATAGGCAACTGCTAAAATCAATAGACCTAAAAACTTTGGAAAGGGAAGAAGTTACCAGAACTTGGAAAGAAAGTGTTGAATAGACCAAGGCAGCTTGGTGGAGCAGTGCCATTTAGTTGAGGAACATAGCTGTTCTGATGCACCTCACTGGGGGAAGCTCGCTTACCTCACTCTCTTCCCTCTCTTCAATATTATCACTGTCTGGAGGGCAAAGGAGCCTCTTAATACAGGCCATGCAGATCAGCTTCTTTAGCAGAAAGCCACAAGAAAAATAGTGGAAAATAGGCATGAAGGGGCAAACAGATTTCCAGCCTAGCTAATTAAACTCAGCCAATGAAATGCTATAATTTTTTAAAATTAAAATGATGAATATGTCCTCACATAAGTCAATACTCATTCCTTCACCCCTCCCAACTGTTGTTATTTTTAACTTTAAAAGTTAACATTGTATATTTAACAGAACACTGATTTTCCTCAATATGCTGTTTTTTAATTATAAAGAAAGCTTATTTTACTGGATGTTGATTAAGAAAATTTATCTTCTGGAAACTTTCATGAAAGTAAGCAAACTTTGTTTTACCACTGTCAGGTTCATTAAGATAATTTACAAACAATAAATTTAACACTTTTTTAGTATATAATTCTATGAATTTTGACAAACACATACAAATAAAAAAATAGTGTATTTTCATCACTCTAAAAAGTTTTCTTGTGCCACATTATAGTCAAATCTCCTCCCATAATGCTAGCCCTTGGCACCCACTAATCTTATTTATTTCCCTGCCTTTTTTAGAATGGAATATAAATAAAATCACATAATATGATTATATGATTCATTATTTGCATAATGCATTTCAGAGTCTTCACGCTGTTGAATATAGCATTTTCTTATTAGCCTAGTATGAATACACCACAATTTATTTGTTTATTCATTTGAGCATGCTAAGACTTTTTAAGAGAAAAAAAAGATGCTCTTAATATAAATGTGTATTATGTCACTCTGATTAGCAGTATTTTTTTCTCTTCCTGATTACATTTTCTGCCTTTCAAATTATCTTTATTAATATATTTTTTAAAATCAGATCATTGTTTATAATTTCTTAAAGAAAGGAGGCTATATTTTTAAATTTCATTAAAAGAATAAATTTTACAAAACCTTAACAAAATCCATGGAATAAAAATGTTAATTCTAAAAGTGTTAAAAGCAGAGACCACAATTTAAAAACTGTAATAAAGAAAATTTTATAAGATTCTACATAACTCATTTGAAGAAAGTATATCAAATAATAATTTAATTAAAATTATTTTTAAAAAAGAATTAAGGGCTAATTTTATATGTAGTGCTTTATAATATACAAAGAGTAGTTTTCATAAATTATTTCAGGTAACCAGAATGACAGATGTCAATACAGTGTTTTGGCAATCAAAAATTATGCCATTTTTATCTTTTAATTTATTAGTCATAATGATAGTAAAAACAGAGTTTTAATTTTCACCACTGCTGTCTGGAAAGTTAACTTTAACCTTCTGTGGCAAAGAGAAAAGTATGACATCTGAAAGCAATCTAATGAAAATGACACAGGATGAATTTTTTAAAAAACTTATAAATAGGAGAAATAGTGTCGTTTTATCCAATATTACCAAAATATATGAGAAGAAAGTAGCTTTTACTTAGATTCTATAAAAGCTCTTCATGCATTTTTATATAAAATTTCACTTGAAATATTTTTTTTATTTGAATATCAAAATCAAAGAAAATGATAAACAGTAATAAATCAAGCAGGAGTGTATGTCACACTAGCAATACTTCACCCAGAACTCTTGAAATTATGGAAAGAACTTTCTGATAGATGAAAAATAATTTTATCCAATATAAAAATGAAGTAAACAACTTGTTAATTAATTATAAAGTCAGAGCATATCTATGGGAAAGAAAATTGCAAAGGATTTTTTAATAAAAAAGGAATCATTTTAACAATTCTTCTGCATTCTTTTTTGTTTCAAATTTTGTGCAGAGGTCACTCTATTTCTTATGGTGTATTGTCCTATTACCTAACAAGTGCATATTCCAATTCACCAGGAAATTCTCCCAGCCAGTTTTCAGGTGCCATTCAACTCAATGTACATGGTATCTTTTTCATATCTCCAAAGCTTTACTTTTATTTCAGTGAAGTAACTTGGCTAATAAAACAGTGTTTGGAAAGTTGATCCAGACATAATAAAAAGATGGTTTCCCCAGAATAAAAGAGGTTTATATATTTACAGACTTCACACTAAAGCAAAGCCACATGTGAACCAATAATGCCAAGGAAACTTACGATGAGAGAGAGAGAGAAATATGAAAGTTTGCTGGTATAAAGTCAGAAATATTAGAGAACAAGTTTTATTCTCTTTACTCATTGCTATACCCAAAACTAAGGGGGGAAAAAAACAGCTTTCCAAACACATGGACATATCAAGATACTGTCAGGAGTTCATTCGAAGTCCTGTTAGTTAAAAAAAGGGATCCTGGGTATTTATAAAGTATAGTAAAAAAGGGTATAAGGGAAAATCTACAGGGACACTTCATTTCTGTTCCAGCCATCTTCATTCAGGGGAAAATGTGACAAGTGATAGAAAAGAGTGGAGGGTATTGTGCTTGATTAATTCATTAATTTTCAGTGTAACGGTAATGAAATCAAAATGTCAGCTCCTCCCTTATTGAATCAGTTTATGTTTCTAAGAGAAATTCCCCTTTTGTGGCCACAGACAGTTTGTTTTGGTCATAATCTTCCATAAAAATATCCTTTGATGTTGTGCATGTCCTAATCGGCAAGAGTACTAATAGATTACACAAGGTCACAATAGATTAAACATTGTTCCTTAAGAACAACTCAAACAGACAGACAGGATTTTGCTAAGAATTCATTTGCAGAGCAAAGCAGACACATCTCAGATTTATCTATGGGTAGGAAACATTGTCCAAAAAAATGTTCAAGGTGGTCTCAGAATCTGAGTCCCATGTATATGCAGTAAAAAATTTTCAGAGCAACTAGTGTAAGTCTGTTGAAATAGTTTTGTGACACTTCCCAGAGGGCTTCTGCTGCTTTCTACACGAGAATAGCCTGGGTATATTCACTTGCCCAATTATATTTATATGATACATGGCGCTAGAAGTTGGGAATACAACAGTAAAGGGAACAGACAAATTTCATTCTCTACTGGAACTCACAAAAAATGTAAGACATGAAAAATCCTATAAAGGAAATGAAATAATGTCATAATGAGTGTTGTATGTTTGAAGAGGAAGTTGAATTGTTTAGCCAAAGAAGGTGTGACATTTGAACTGCAACCTGAACAATGAATGAAAAAGTGTCAGCCATGAGAACCCAAAGGACATTTCAAGTAGAGGAAAGAGCAAGTGCATCATTGCCATGTGACTTTACCTCTCAGGACCGCATTTCTTAGTCTATGAGGAAAGATGACAATGCTTGTCTTGTGGGTTATCATAAAGACTTACAGAAAATCAGCCTAGCACACACCATAATGAGGGCTCCACACCCCCTTGTCATGACCATTATCTGAGTTGCCATCTCCTTCCCTCTGATGAGAAACCCCTCCCTCCCTAACACTCACTCCAAGAGTCAGTGTTGCATATCTTACTAACAGTTGGGGGTGGGGGATGATATGGATACTTTTTAAAGACAAGCAAAATTTTCAGAGAAAAACTATTACAGAAATAAGGTATGCATTCCACATATGTTATAAAGGAGGTGTTTCATATTTTTAAATAAAAGAAAAGAGGGTAACTGAGCCTACAAATTTGAGGTAACTACCCTGAGCAGGAGTCCTCTAAAGGAGCATATGAACAGCCTCAGATAGAAAGGACAGGCCTTGCCTCCAGAATGTCATCTGCCTCAAGACAAATCCCAATTTGTTTCCAGCTCAGTTCCTCCCCAAATGATCACCACACAACCTTATTAGGTAAAAAAGACCACCTCTCATATGTGTTTCCTTCCCAATAAAACTGCATCTTTTTTTTCTATGTGGGAGCTCCCCATACCTTTTTAAGTGACATGCTACAAAGTGACAAGATCGAGAAGAATCAAGGAAGAAGGCCAATCCACAGGATCCTTCTAGAGAAAGTGAAGGGCCATTTCCTTCCAAGCTTTCTTCCTTCCTAGTTCTCCTCTTAGGCTGCCACAGACAGTCTGGACTACACTGAAACTGTTGAGATCTAAATAGGCAACTTCATAACCAACACAATGCTGGGTTCTGACCCGGCAGGTAAGCAAGATAAAATATAAAAATGGGGAAAAGGAACAGGTAAGGATGCCAGGTATTAGCATTTAGAATGCCTTTAATAAAGAACCTGAACAATCTAGTAGGATCCAATAAAAACTGTAGACTAACTATTAAGTAAATTGCCAAAAGATACATCTTCCCCTAGAAAAAGTAAGTGTGCTGCAAGCATGATTATGTAGACCTTGAAAGAACAGCTGGAACTAAGTACATTAAAATAACACTGAACAAAATATGGGTTTTGGAAGTACTAAATGAAAAACTGTTTTCATTTTGATTTAATCTGTATTTTTAAAATAGTATATTAACAAAGATGACAAAAAGGTTTGAAGTTTTTTCTTCAGTAGGATATATACAAACTCCTATAAAAGAACCAAAAATACATGATATTCTTATAAAATCTTAGCTAATTACTGTCGGTTTGAAAGATATGTTTATTTAATTCCAGTTGGACTTCTGGTTTACTCACTTGGTGATTTCCAGGAAAAGACAACTTACGACATTAACAAGGGACAGGCCTCTGTTTCCCAAGAACTGTTGAGCAATATCAGTGACTCATTTTGGGGAATAAACAAAAAGACTAAGAAAAAGAAAAGCTATTTCACAACTATAAATACACACTACAGTTACAGAGCTTTTTCCCATAGAAGCCTATACAGAAAATTGTAAAAAAAAAAAGAAAATGGTTGTGCAGAAAATAAACATAGAGGAAAGCAGTAAAAGAGAGTCAAGTAATTTTAAAATTAAAAACACTTTGCTTTCAAAGAAAGTAAAGAGTATATAAGAATTATTGCTTTGTTGTTGCTTTGTGCTTTTCCTTTTAACCACCTGGCCTTTTTTCCGAGTGTCAAAAAATGGCCAGTAGTATCACTTACCACACTGATTTAGCCTAAGTACTATTACTTGAAACACTCAATTCTTAGCAGTAACAGAATGATCTTTTTATATTTCATTAGGTTTGCATCTGCATCAAAAATTATTCCAGGTGCAGTGGTTAACACATATAATCCCAGCACTTTGGAAGGCCAAGGCAGGAGGATCACTTGAGGGCAAGAGATACAGATCAGCCCTGGCAATACAGTGAGACTCCAACTTTCCAAAAAAAAAAAAAAATATATAGCTTCTGGTGGTGGCACACACCTGTAATCCCAGCTGTGTAGGAGGCTGAGGTGGGAGGATTCCTTGAGCCCAGGAGGTCGAGGTTGCAGGAAGCCATGATCATGCCACTGCACTCCAGCCTGGGTGACACAGAGAGAGACACTGCCATTAAAAAAATGAAATTATACACTTACTGTAGTCTTCTAGTACAATGTACTATATTTGAACTGAGTGGTTCAAAGATATTTTCCTGACACAATGATAAATTTTAGGCAAAAAATATTATTTTGAAATTTTATGTTTTTAATTTTGAAATAACAGCAAACCTACAAAAAAATTACAAGTATAGTTCAAGTGACTTCCATATTCTCTTTACACAGAGTGCCCAATTATTAATGTTTTACCACATTTGTTTCATTACCCTCTCATTCTTTCTTTCTATATACATAGTCCTTTTTCTAACAGAATGCCCTATCACCTCTAAATACTCCAGTGTGTAGTCTAAAAGCAAGGACACCCCTATACTATATCAACATATATCCTTCCCCTTTAGTAAATTAGCATAACACTACTATCCAGCTCACTACTATCCACTCAAACTTTGCCAAGTTCCCTAACAATATCATTTTGACCTTTTTGGTCCAGTAAACCATCCAAGAATATACACTGCATATAGCTGTCATGTCTCATCAGACTCCTTCAAGCTTGTTAGCCCTCTCCTACTTCTCCTGTCCTTGGACAGTCTTAAAGAGTATAGGCCCTGCATGCTCTCATAGACCCTCATACATATGACCCTCAACATATGTCTGTCTGATGTTTCCACATGACCAGACTCAGCCCACGCATTCTTGGCATTGCATCAGGAGGCACACTATGACAATGGTGGTCATAGTGTGACCATAGTCATAGTGTGACCACCACACAACTCTGAGTATATGGTAAAGCTGGTAACTGCCACGTTTTCTCTTTAGAAACCCAGGAGGGGATTTTACCAATTGGAGAAAGGATAGGCAGAAGAACAATGAGTGAAAACAAGCATACTCTAAGACTGAGCCTGGGAGAGACTGAAGCAGCAAAGACCCTGAGTCCACTCCCATGTAGCACCTAGGGAGACAGAAGGCAGGAGATCTGTGATGCACAGATTTGAAGTGATCAGATGTGATGTCTCTGACTTCTAGCACGATGTTTTAGGAAAACAGAGAGTTGTATGCTAAGCATCTGAATTCTTGGTCACCACATATTCTAAGGCACCAAGTATATGAAAGAAAAAAATAAGTGTATGAAATCAAGGCTTCTTTAAGCTTGGTCTTTGAGTGTCCTGTTAGTTACTAGCATAAATAAGAGAGAACAGAATAAAGGGCCTGCTTGGTGCGTTAAAGCTATGTAAGGAGGCCGTAACAATGACTAAAATTGAATTTTCTAGCAGACAGGTGGGATGGATGTCCAAAGCATACTGAATTTGATTTAAAAGAAATATGACATTTCTACTAACCTGCTTCATTCTCAACCAATCAGATAAAGGGATTAGAAATGGCAAGCTACAATTACAGTCTAATTAATAATTCTCATTATGAATTGACAGTAATATCACTTATATGTACATGTATAGTTCTTTGAATGTTCTTGGCAGACATGCATAATATATTAATGCACATTTTTTATGTCTCTTGATTAATATCCCAGAATATACTAGACATGCTTTAAAAATCAGGAACAGAAACAAAAAGTACAGAGGAAATTGATAACATAGTTTTTTTAAAGGAGATTCAAATATTCTAGTCTCAAATCTCAGGTTATGGTATAATGAAATTTCTATACATATTGTATGAATATTTATGCATAGGTATTGAAATAGTTGACCTCTAAAGTCCTTGACCATTCTAAGAGTCTATGATTCCTTTTTTATTTTGGGTCCAGAAACTGAGTAGAAAAACAATTCATCTAGTTTGGAATCTATTTCAAGGAAAAGAAACCAGTGTCTAAGAAATACATTAATGCAGGTGATAAAAATAGAAGAAAATTATAAAGTAGTCAGTTGTAAATGTGTAGCTACATGACTGACAATGAGAGATGCTTTAACCTCTAATTTATTTAAAGCAGAAATGGTTACTATGATCCAGCTACAATTTAATTGCAATATTGCTACATGGCCTTGCACTCATTATTATCATTCAGCTATAATTTCTCTCACTCCTGGTTGCAGACACAGTTGGTCTCCCACCCACATCCCTTTGACTGTACCATTTCAACTCAAGCTGGTCTGACTTCTAAATACCAGCTTCTGCATCTCTTTATCCAACATCACCCTGCTATGATCTAAGTCTTTCTTATGTATAAAGGGCATCTGGGAAATCTCTATGTACACTGTCTTGGTTTACATTCACCCAAAACCAAATCCTGAGACAGGATCTGAATGAATTTTGTTTTTGTTTTTGTTTGGGTGGTGAGTGATCCCAGGAAGCATGGTGAGGGAGGATAATGAAACAGAAAAGGAAGAACATATAATACAGGATATATAAAACATTAGTGAGCAGTTAGTTGATGGACAACTGTGGCCAATCCTTTTGGGAATCATTCAAGTGACTATGTACTTAAACAAAGCTCAGAATTGCCTCTTAAGAGGTTAGATACCTACAGTATTCATCTACAAACTCCTGTCCTTCATTTTTTGAAGGTCACTTTGTAAGTTAATTCATCAGCATTTCTGGCCACCTTCCTGTGCTGGAAAAACAATCTGGCCAAAGAACCCAGGCTGACAGACTCAGTTTCTTGAGATAGGAAGCACATGCAGTTAGTTTATAGGGCAACAGTCCACTAGAGCCATTGGTGATCTCTCGTATGGACAAAGGATACTTGACTAAGCATCATTCTCAGCAAACTAACACCAGAATGGAAAACCAAACACCGCATGTTCTCACTCATAAGTGGGAGTTGAACAATGAGAACACATGGAGACAGGGAGGGGAACATCACACAACAGGGTCTGTCGGGGTGTGGGGGGGCTAGGGAAGGGATAGCATTAGGAGAAATACCTAAGGTAGATGACGGGTTGATGGGTGCAACAAACCATCACGGCATGTGTATACCTATGGAAGAAACCTGCGCGTTCTGCACACGTACCCCAGAACTTAAAGTATAATTTAAAAAGAAAAAAATGAGAGTATCTGCTAAGAATATATTACTTCTAATATTAAATTTTAAGATGTATTTATTATGTACCTTACTAATCACAATTTATTTCTCTTCGCAAAGCAACTGAGAAGCTCACCCTGTCTTTGTCTGCAACATCTACAGCTATTGTATAGGGAAAATATTAAGTAAACTTGATTGGGAATTTAAAGGTCCATGCCTATGCTATCCAGGGAAAAAAGTAGAAGAAAATGAGCACCCTATTTTATACAGTAGGTTGGACTACATAGAAATAGAAGCCAATAACTGAAATATTATAATCTGTTAATTACTCAACATGTTTTTATTCTCATGAAATTCAGTTCTCATAAATTGCACATAGGACTGAATGTGAGATTACCTCATGCTGAGGCAAAGAACCTTCAATAAATAAACATCCCTAAGTTTTTGTGCCATCTGGTCTATTTTAATGAGATAAAAGGATATGTTTTGGAAAATAGATTTTAAGGGTTTTTATAACAATTTTACAGTTAAAGCCCTATGATTTAAAATACCATATATTTACAATATTCTGTATATTCTTCCAGTTTCTATTTAAAGTTGTTTTATAATTTAAGCACAGTAAAATTCACCCTTTTTAGTGTATAGTGCTATGAGCTCTGACAAAAACAGTCATATGAACACTACCAGAATCAAATATAAAATATTTCTATCTCCCTCTTTAAACTGTTAAAATTTTCGCAATCACTTTTATTATTAAACACAATCATAGTTAAGACAAGTAAGCCCTTGACCACTTATTCCAGTCCCTCTTCCTCTCCACAAAGAATCACTATTCTGTTTGGGATATTACCTTCATGAGCTTTTTCTGCATGTGTGCAATTATTCTAGTTCCTATCAGTGACTAATATAAATTTATATATACATAAAGAGATTAACACTGAAGCTGTGGATACTTGCTATGTTAAAGATTATGTTTATATGTTTTAACATTATTTTGGACACATTATTTTATGTGACATCTCTATTTTTATCTTTTAAAATATATATACTATGATTGAGGAATTGTATTGATGTTCTAGTGTGGTTATTTCTTTTTATTTTTTCCATTATCATGAGCATTCATTATTATAATAACCTTGTAAGGGGATTTTTAATAAACTCTGAGTAATATACAATATGGAATAGGGATATAATTACTGAAATTAATAATAGGAATATAATTTCACAATTTACAAAACATTTGAAACCACTATATTTAAGTTGGTACAATTACTTTTGCACCAACCTACTATTATTTGTGATTATAAAAGAGATGCTTACTACACTAAAAAGGGCAACAAAAAAGTTACTGAAAAATCACTTTGTGGTAAAGTTTTAAATGTATATAACAATAAGAAAAATGTGTTTCCTCCTTCTTTCTCCAACATAACACTTAAAGGCACCAATATGCTTATTTTATATATATATATATACACACACACACACACACACACAAAATACATATGTGTATAAAAATCTTATTTACAAGCTTAAAATACATATGCTTATATATTTTTGTACATATTTATATATGCTTATTTCCATATAAGTATATTTTGTATTTAATCATAAAGATAAACATATGTACACATTTATTTCTGGTTAGTTTTCTATCAAAACAATGAAATTGTACATATTGCTTTGTTACAAATAAAGCATATATCACAAACTATCTTTACAAGTAAGCACATACTCATATATATCACTATATTTCACATGTGTAAAGCATTCAATTTTATAAATCAACTACTCCCAAAAGCTGATGCTAATAATGAATAAATATTTTTTGCACATTTGACAAATATAAAAAAAAAACTATTGTTTAAATTTGCATTTTAAATGTTTATTTTTATCATGGTTATTAGTCATTACATTTCTTCTCTAAATTGTTGGTTCATTACATTTTGCCTATTTTATTTTCTAGGCTGCTGGTTTTCTTGCATATTTTGTTTTACTGTATCTTTTTTATATAGTGAGAGTATTAAGCCTTTTTCTTTTCAGTTAGGTTTTAAATATTTTTAATTTTCCCTTCTAACTTTGTTAATGGTGTCTTTAACCATATAAATTTAAAAATATTTATAAGATCAACTCTGTCAATCTTATTCTTTATGGTTTCTGAGGTTTATGTTACAGGTAGAAAGGCTTTCCATACAATAATATTTATAGATTCTGTTTTGTTTCAACTTTAAAAAATTTATTTAATATTTTTGAGAATATAAAATACGGACAAAGTTTCTCTTTATTCAAATAGATGGCTAATTATATCAGTCCAATAACTGAAAAATAATGTGACCTGATGGTATAAAATACCTTATTAATGCTACCCTAAATTAATCCTCTATATCTCATTCCATTTTTACAAAATAGTTATATAATGTCTCGTATTAAAATGGCATGATGCTAAAACAAAAATTTAGAGTTGAAACACCTTCAATATTTGTGTTTGTGTCACTTTAAGAAAGTAACTTAGATCATTGAGGGGTGGAGCCACGATGGCTGAATAGGAAGAGCTCCAGTCTACAACTCCCAGCATGAGCAACGCAGAAGACGGGTGATTTCTGCATTTCCATGTGAGGTACCGGGTTCATCTCACTAGGGAGTGCCAGACAGTGGGTGCAGGACAGTGGGTGCAGCGCACTGTGCGCAAGAAGAAGCAGGGTGAAGAACTGCCTCACTTGGGAAGCTCAAGGGGTCAGGGAGTTCCCTTTCCTAGTCAAAGAAAGGGATGACAGATGGCACCTAGAAAATCCAGACACTCCCAGCCTAATACTGCGCTTTTCCGACGGGCTTAAAAAATGGCGCTCCAGGAGATTATATCCCACACATGGCTTGGAGGGTCCTACGCCCACAGAGTCTCACTGATTGCTAGCACAGCAGTCTGAAATCAAATTGCAAGGCAGCAGTGAGGCTGGGGGAGGGGTGCCTGCCATTGCGCAGGCTTGATTAGGTAAACAAAGCAGCCAGGAAGCTCAAACTGGGTGGAGCTCACCACAGCTCAAGGAGGCCTGCCTGCCTCTGTAGGCTCCACATCTGGGGGCAGGGCACAGACAAATAAAAAGACAGCAGTAACCTCTGCAGACTTAAATGTCCCTGTCTGACAGCTTTGAAGAGAGTAGTGGTTTATCCAGCACGCAGCTGGAGATATGAGAACAGGAAGACTGCCTCAAGTGGGTCCCTGACTCCCCAGCAGCCTAACTGGGAGGCACCCCCCAGTAGGGGCAGACTGACACCTCTCAAGGCCGGGTACTCCTCTGAGACAAAACTTCCAGAGGAACGATCAGGCAGTAGCATTTGCAGGTCACCAAAATCCGCTGCTCTACAGCCACCGCTGTTCTGCAGCCACTGCTGCTGACACCCAGGCAAAAAGGGTCTGGAGTGGACCTCTAGCAAACTCCAACAGACCTGCAGCTGAGGGTCCTGTCTGTTAGAAGGAAAACTAACAAACATAAAGGACATCCACAACAAAACCCATCTGTACGTCACCATCATCAAAGACCAAAAGTAGATAAAACCACAAAGATGGGGAAAAAACAGAGCAGAAAAACTGGAAACTCTAAAAAGCAGAGAGCCTCTCCTCCTCCAAAGGAACGCAGCTCCTCACCAGCAATGGAACAAAGCTGCATGGAGAATGACTTTGACGAGTTGAGAGAAGAAGGCTTCAGACAATCAAACTACTCTGAGCTACAGGAGGAAATTCATACCAATGGCAAAGAAGTTAGAAAACTTGAAAAAAAATTAGATGAATGGATAACTAGAATAACCAATGCAGAGAAGGCCTTAAAGGAGCTGATGGAGCTGACAGCCAAGGCCTGAGAACTACGTGAAGAATGCAGAAGCCTCAGGAGCAGATGAGATCAAAGGGAAGAAAGGGTATCAGTGATGGAAGATGAAATGAATGAAATGAAGTGAGAAGGGAAGCTTAGAGAAAAAACAATAAAAAGAAATGAACAAAGCCTCTAAGAAATATGGGACTATGTGAAAAGACCAAATCTACGTCTGATTGGTGTACCTGAAAGTGACGGGGAGAATGGAACCAAGTTGGAAAACACTCTGCAGGATATTATCCAGGAGAACTTCCCCAATCTAGCAAGGCAGGCCAACATTCAGATTCAGGAAATACAGAGAACGCCACAAAGATACTCCTCGAGAAAAGCAACTCCAAGAAACATAATTGTCAGATTCACCAAAGTTGAAATGAAGGAAAAAATGTTAAGGGCAGCCAGAGAGAAAAGTCGAGTTACCCACAAAGGGAAGCCCATCACACTAACAGTGGATCTCTCAGCAGAAACTCTACAAGCCAGAAGAGAGTGGGGGCCAACATTCAACATTCTTAAAGAATTTTCAACCCAGAATTTCATATCCAGCCAAACTAACCTTCATAAGTGAAGGAGAAATAAAATACTTTACAGACAAGCAAATGCTGAGAGATTTTGTCACCACCAGGCCTACCCTAAAAGAGCTCCTGAAGGAAGCACTAAACATGGAAAGGAACAACCGGTACCAGCCACGCCAAAAACATGCCAAAATGTAAAGACCATCAAGGCTAGGAAGAAACTGCATCAACTAACGAGCAAAATAACCAGCTAACATCATAATGACAGGATCAAATTCACACATAACAATATTGACTTTAAATGTAAATGGACTAAATGCTCCAATTAAAAGACACAGAATGGCAAATTGGATAAAGAGTCAAGACCCATCAGTGTGCTATATTCAGGAAACCCATCTCATGTGCAGAGACACACATAGGCTCAAAATAAAGGGATGGAGGAAGATCTACCAAGCAAATGGAAAACAAAAAAAGGCAGGGGTTGCAATCCTAGTCTCCGATAAAACAGACTTTAAACCAACAAAGATCAAAAGAGACAAAGAAGGCCATTACATAATGGTAAAGGGATCAATTCAACAAGAAGAGCTAACTATCCTAAATATATATGCACCCAATACAGGACCACCCAGATTCATAAAGCAAGTCCTGAGTGACCTACAAAGAGACTTAGACTCCCACACAATAATAATGGGAGACTTTAACACCCCACTGTCAACATTAGACAGATCAACGAGACACAAAGTTAACAAGGATACCCAGGAATTGAACTCAGCTCTGCACCAAGCGGACCTAATAGACATCTACAGACCTCTCCACCCCAAATCAACAGAATATACATTCTTGTCAGCACCACACCACACCTATTCCAAAATTGACCACATAGTTGGAAGTAAAGCACTCCTCAGCAAATGCAAAAGAACAGAAATTATAACAAACTGTCTCTCAGACCACAGTGCAATCAAACTAGAACTCAGGATTAAGAAACTCACTCAAAACCGCTCAACTATATGGAAACTGAACAACCTGCTCCTGAATGACTACTGGGTACATAACGAAATGAAGGCAGAAATAAAGATGTTCTTTGAAACCAACGAGAACAAAGACACAACATACCAGACTCTCTGGGACACATTCAAAGCAGTGTGTAGAGGGAAATTTATAGCACTAAAAGCCCACAAGAGAAACCAGGAAAGATACAAAATTGACACCCTAACATCACAATTAAAAGAACTAGAAAAGCAAGAGCAAACACATTCAAAAGCTAGCAGAAGGCAAGAAATAACTAACATCAGAGCAGAACTGAAGGAAATAGAGACACAAAAAACCCTTCAAAAAATTAATGAATCCAGGAGCTAGTTTTTTGAAAAGATCAACAAAATTGACAGACCGCTAGCAAGACTAATAAAGAAGAAAAGAGAGAAGAATCAAATAGACGCAATAAAAAATGATAAAGGGGATATCACCACTGATCCCACAGAAATACAAACTACCATCAGAGAATATTACAAACACCTCTATGCAAATAAACTAGAAAATCTAGAAGAAATGGATAAATTCCTCAACACATACACCCTTCCAAGACTAAACCAGGAAGAAGTTGAATCTCTGAAGAGACCAATAACAGGCTCTGAAATTGTGGCAATAATCAATAGCTTACCAACCAAAAAAAGTCCAGGACCAGATGGATTCACAGCTGAATTCTACCAGAGGTAAAAGGAGGAGCTGGTACCATTCCTTCTGAAACTATTCCAATCAATAGAAAAAGAGGGAATCCTCCCTAACTCATTTTATGAGGCTAGCATCATCCTGATACCAAAGCCTGGCAGAGACACAACAAAAAAAGAGAATTTTAGACCAATATCCTTGATGAACATTGATGCAAAAATCCTCAATAAAATACTGGCAAACCAAATCCAGGAGCACATCAAAAAGCTTATCCACCATGATCAAGTGGGCTTCATCCCTGGGATGCAAGGCTGGTTCAACATTCACAAATCAATAAATGTAATCCAGCATATAAACAGAACCAAAGACAAAAACCACATGATTATCTCAATAGATGCAGAAAAGGCCTTTGACAAAATTCAACAACCTTTCGTGCTAAAAACTCTCAATAAATTAGGTATTGATGGGATGTATCTCAAAATAATAAGAGCTATCTATGACAAACCCACAGCCAATATCATACTGAATGGGCAAAAACTGGAAGCATTCCCTTTGAAAACTGGCACAAGACAGGGATGCCCTCTCTCACCATTCCTTTTCAACATAGTGTTGGAAGTTCTGGCCAGGGCAATCAGGCAGGAGAAGGAAATAAAGGGTATTCAATTAAGAAAAGAGGAAGTCAAATTGTCCCTGTTTGCAGATGACATGATTGTATATCTACAAAACCCCATCATCTCAGCCCAAAATCTCCTTAAGCTGATAAGCAACTTCAGCAAAGTCTCAGGATACAAAATCAATGTACAAAAATCACAAGCATTCTTATACACCAATAACAGACAAACAGAGAGCCAAATCATGAGTGAACTCCCATTCACAATTGCTTCAAACAGAATAAAATACCTAGGAATCCAACTTACAAGGGATGTGAAGGACCTCTTCAAGGAGAACCACAAACCACTGTTCAATGAAATAAAAGAGGATACAAACAAATGGAAGAACATTCCATGCTCATGGGTAGGAAGAATCAATATCATGAAAATGGCCATACTGTCCCAGGTAATTTATAGATTCAATACCATCCCCACCAAGCTACCAATGACTTTCTTCACAGAATTGGAAAAAACTACTTTAAAGTTCATATGGAACCAAAAAAGAGTCCACATCGCCAAGTCAATCCTAAGCCAAAAGAACAAAGCTAGAGGCATCACGCTACCTGACTTCAAACTATACTACAAGGCTACCGTAACCAAAACAGCATGGTACTGGTACCAAAACAGAGATATAGATCAATGGAACAGAACAGAGCCCTCAGAAATAATGCCACATTTCTACAACCATCTGATCTTTGACAAACCTGACAAAAACAAGCAAAGGGGAAAGGATTCCCTATCTAATAAATGGTGCTGGGAAAACTGGCTAGCCATATATAGAAAGCTGAAACTGGATCCCTTCCTTACACCTTATACAAAAATTAATTCGAGATGGATTAAAGACTTACGTGTTAGACCTAAAACCATAATAACCCTAGAAGAAAACCTAGGCAATACTATTCAGAATAGAGGCATGGGCAAGGACTTCATGTCTGAAACACCAAAAGCAATGGCAACAAAAGCCAAAATTGACAAATGGGATCTCATTCAACTAAAGAGCTTCTGCACAGCAAAAGAAACTACCATCAGGGTGAACAGGCAACCTACAGAATGGGAGAAAATTTTCACAACCTACTCATCTGACAAAAGACTAATATCCAGAATCTACAATGAACTCAAACAAATTTACAAGAAAAAAAACAACCCCATCAAAAAGTGGGCAAAGGATATGAACAGACACTTCTCAAAAGAAGACATTTATGCAGCCAAAAAACACATGAAAAAATGCTCATCATCACTGGCCATCAGAGAAATGCAAATCAAAACCACAATGAGATACCATCTCACACCAGTTAGAATGGAGATCATTAAAAAGTCAGGAAACAACAGGTGCTGGAGAGGATGTGGAGAAATAGGAACACTTTTACACTGTTGGTGGGACTGTAAACTAGTTCAACCATTGTGGAAGACAGTGTGGCGATTCCTCAGGGATCTAGAACTAGAAATACCATTTGACCCAGCCATCCCATTACTGGGTATATACCCAAAGGATTATAAATCATGCTGCTATAAAGACACATGCACACATATGTTTATTGCGGCACTATTCACAATAACAAAGACTTGGAACCAACCCAAATGTCCAATAATGATAAAATGGATTAAGAAAATGTGGCACATATACACCATGGAATACTATGCAGCCATAAAAAAGGATGAGTTCATGTCCTTTGTAGGGACATGGATGAAACTGGAAACCATCATTCTCAGGAAACTATCGCCAGGACAAAGAAACCAAACACCGCATGTTCTCACTCATAGGTGGGAATTGAACAATGGAACACAGGGACACAGGAAGGGGAACATCACAATCCAGGGCCTGTTTTCGGGTGGGGTGAGGGGGGAAGGATAGCATTAGGAGATATACCTAATGTTAAATGACGAGTTAATGGGTGCAGCACACCAACATGGCACATATATATATATATATATATGTAACAAACCTGCACATTGTGCACATGTACACTAAAACTTGAAATGTAATAATAATAAAAAAATTTAAAAAAAAGAAAAAGAAAAGGAAAGTAACTTAATCTAATCTCAGTTTCTACAGTCTTAAAACAGAGATAATGCCTTCTTCCTAGGGTTGTATTAAAAATTCAATGACATGACAAAATTACATTGCCTGACATATGCTAGGAAATCAATTAATGTGGATCCTTCTTTCCCATCTCCTTCTATCCATTCTTACCAAAAACTTTTATTACATTATCCCAGTTAACACATTTTACATTGGTTCGTTCTAGTGAAAAGCTTGAACTGCAAATAAGAGAAACAGAAATTGAGAAATTCAGGGAACTGATATAGAGGCTCCCCAGATTAATTTTCCTTTGTAGTTGCCACTGTGCACTGTGCTAATATTTAGAGCATCTTGTCTCTGGGGTATCACACAAGCATACTGTGACTGTATGAAAGAGTGGGTGACTTTTAGTTCAGCATACCTGTCATGTCATTTCGCAAGTCAGCTTCTTTCCAAAACTTGAGGTATAATAATATGTCATTTTTGTTAAAGAAGTAAGTTTTCTTCAGACCATTCTATTCAAAGTAATAAAAAAAAAGACATAGAATCTCAATAGTCAGGAAGGTAGAATACACTGGAAGAAAGTTGTCAGAGAAGTAAATGATGGAAAATATGTAGCATTCAAATGAAATTGACAGTGTTCATAGTGGTGTGAAGAAGTTCTTAAAATAAATAACAGAAAAAACAGTTAATGTAATATTATTTATACTTTTAATAATGAGTGTAAGGTGTCCTATGGTATTATAATTATATGAAGCAGGATTTTACACATTAAACAGGGCAATTGAAACAGGAAAAAAAAAGCAATAGTAGACACTTTTGTTTCACAGTTGAAAGGAGAAAAAATCAAATTAAAGTCAATATATATTTCATGAACTACCTGGCCAAGTACTAGAAGCTATGGTCTCACAAAAATACTTTGATTTTCCATAAACATCAGAACTATCAAAAAATAATTTTGTTTGTTTTCAAGGTTTAGTAAAGCTTTCATGCAAGTCAACATATATGTGATGTAATTTACTGAATACTTAATGATATTAAGACTTTTCTTCAGTGTGATAATAGTATTGGGGTTAGGTATTGTTTTACATGCCCTCCTCTTTTGGAAATAAGATGCTATAATATTTTGGATTTGTTTTAAAATAATCCAGTTTTTTTAAAACGGTACATGTAAGAGTACAGATGAAACTAGATGGCATATGAGTGGATTATTATTAAAGCAGTGTGACTGGTACACAGGACTTCCCTCAACTGTCATATGTATTTGAAATTTTCTATAATAAAAAGTCTCAAATGACATGTGATACATCAAATTCACAAATATTAATGAATGGAGCTTCTATTTCATGCCATGTGAAAAAGTGATTTTCCTTTTCTCATCATATGAATTCACTCTAATTCAGATTCTTTAGGATCAAATCTCAAACTCTGTTACTTAGTAGCTGTGTGATATTAGCAAGGTCAATTACCCACTTTGTGCCTTGGTTTTCTCGTCCCTAAAAATCATAAGGTTGTTATGAAGATTAAATCAGTTCATCCCATTTGAATGCTTAGAATCATTTTTGGAACACTGTAAATACTCAGTATTTGTCTGATATTTTTGTTGTGTAGTAGAAATAGTTATTTTTGGTCTCCAGCTGCATTACTCAGACAAGAAATTCACGTGATCTTGTCCTGGATTATTAGGCTTGCAACAAGCAATTTGTTTGTCTTGATAAATCTCATCTGGTTGACTCATGTCTTGTTCTATTTAATAGTAAGAAGAAATACATGTATTATAGTTTTTAAATTATCAAGCTTAATGTTTATAATACTGACAAAAGATAAAAATTAATTTAGGCAGATTGAGAAAAGTAAAATGTACTAATTCAAACATAATGATAAACTTAATAAACATAAACTTAATGATAAATCCTAATACTAAAAGTTACTCCTAAAACCAGCAGAACATATAAGAAAAGGATGAACAAACCAAGAGAATACACATGAAGAAACATAATACAACATACCAAATAGTTAAGGAATACTTTAAATGGGTGCCTATGAACTGACGTGGTTCAAATCAGTGTGGTCACAATGGTAACCTCAATGTTTGAAATAAGTGATAATAGAGAGTGCTGAGGACTGCAGCAAACTGGATCTAAAAGTACTTGCTGAATCCAAGGGCATTCCAATTTAATTATTTTAAACACAAAGTGAGCCAGCACACATTAGGACCAACCATAGCTCATTAGTCACTGCTACTTTGTAATTTCTGCCTTAGACCAATATATTGATAGAAAATCAACTTGAGTTCCATGAAATTCAAAAGTGTCTTTCAAGGATAAAATAACTGAATTTTTCCTTCATGGATTCTGAATTTACTCACATGAAGTACTCCCTTGGTATTTCTTGCTTTGAATATTTTAATGGGTGCCTAACTTGTTTCTATGCTTATGGTCTCATAGGCTTCCAGGCTCTCCCAGTACAGCCCCAGTATGCTCATTTTTAGAATCATCTGTTTATATCAATTTGCTTTAAATTCTGAGCACACTTACAGAACACTTCAAAATGTCATTTCTCAATATTCTAGTTATTTATCTAGCATTTCCCACACCTGTTCCCATCCTTCCAAACGTGGTGAAGAACTTATTTGGCAATGTATCAGTCTAGCTCATATCTGGATGCTTTGTATCCTGTTCCCTTTTGTTTTTCACCTACTGTGTTACTTTCTATATTTATTCAACATCCAATTCAAGTGTCACATTCATCTGAACCCTGTCTTGTCTGAGATAGGAGCTTCTCCTAAGTGCTCCTACCCTTCCCTATTTATATCTCCTTCCCAGCATTTATTATGTAGTTTTATAATTGCTTACTTAAGATTGCAGAAGAAAGTGACCACTTTTTTTTTTTGGAGATGGAATCTTGCTCTGTCGCCCAGGCTGGAGTGCAGTGGCGTGACCTCGGCTTACTGCAACCTCCACCTCCTGGGTTCAAGCAATTCTCCTGCCTCAGCCTCCTGACTAGCTAGAATTACAAGCATCCACCACCATACCCAGCTAATTTTTGTGTTTTAAGTAGAGATGGGGTTTCAACATCTCTACTGGTCTCAAACTCCTGACTTCAGGTGATCCACCCACCTCAGCCTCTCAAAGTGCTGGGATTACAGGCGTGAGCCACCGTGCCCAGCCAGTGACCATCTTTTATTTCTGTGTTCAAAGTTTTGTTCATAATACCTTACATATAGCATGTACTCAGTGTATTTTTCTTGAACGAATACATTAATGAATATGAATATAAATATTGTCTGCTCTATTCTATGTACAATTTTTTTTTGTTAAATTGTGCTAACCACATGATATGGTTATCATTTTTACTTGAGCACACAGTATCTCCTAGACCTAAGTATAAAACTGTAAAAGAAGAAACTACTGATTCTACCTCATTGGAAACAATACCACTACTGGCAAATTGAATGTTGATTGCCTGGATGTATAAAATGCCCAACATGGAGTGAATGGTTTTGTGTAGAGATTTTTATTTGAGAACAATGAATATTTTCTGGTTAAAGTGATTAGTAATTTTAAAAAATATTCTATGATAAATATCACTAAGAGATTTTTTCCCAAAAAGCAATGACATAATATCACTTCATAGGTGTATTATTGAATTTTTCCACAGTAAACTTTAAGCTTTCAGTTATTATATTTCCTAAGTTTATTCCCCAGATTATTTTATATACACTGTTCTACTATTATCTGACAAATGCAAATCAGTTTTTAAAAATTTAACAAGAAATATTAAAAAAAACTGTTTAATTAAGTTACTCATTGCCATTTCAGGTTGAATTCAGAAGTACCTCAAACATAACAGGATCAAGAAGGATGCAGAATTGTCTGGACTTACAATGTCAATGACCCTTAGGCCATCTCTGTTTAGCTCACCTTTGTATCTCCATGGAAACTAATTTTTTCTCCATGTCTAGAAAATGAATCATGGGAACACTTACTGTGTTCCCATGGAGATCTGGAAGCCCATATTAAGCTTTTCCTTTGAATAATAGCCAGATATATAATTTCCCCTCTTGTTTAAAAGGTAAATGAGCATTCATGAATTTTACAAAAATATAAAGTGATTATGAGCTTGAAAATGAAAAATAGAAAAAACAAGTAAAGATGGAATTGTATACTAGAGATAACTCACCATTACTGAATTTTTTAAATTCAAAGACCATAAAAAATCAGCTATAGATTCCGACTAAAACCCATCTAGCTGAAAAATTAGCATATAGACTAACAAGTAGACACTGAATGAAAAATAGAAAAAACAACTAAAGATGAAATTGTATACTAGAGATAACTCATCATTACTGATTTTTTTAAATTCAAAGACAATAAAAAATCAGCTGCAGATTCTGCCTAAAACCTATCTAGCTGAAAACTTAGCATATAGACTAACAAGTAGACATTGATAGTCTAGATGATAATAGAGACATTACCATGTAAACAGGAATAAAGAAGTTTTAATCAGGATTTCCTCATTCTATAAGAAGATGTTAGATTATTCTTCATTAGATTATTTCTAGAAAATAAACATGTCTTTAAATGAGAAGAAATCAAATAGTTAATTTTCTGGGATGTACAATCTTATATCCTTAAGTTTTCTTTTGTGCTCTGATAACATTATATTACGTTTAATTTTCTAACCTTCATCTTCAAAATCCTAAATAAAAGACATTGTGTGGTTGACAAGTTACCTGTTTGGGTGTTATAAAACATAGAATAGATTAACTCATTTTATTATATATTGTAATTGAGATCTATTGATTGCCAGACAGACATCTCCAACTTTGACATTAATCCCATCTTTCATTGAAAACCACGTCATATATATCTTCAGTTCATGTAGTTTCATAGAGCTGGCCCCATCTCAGGCTACATGAATGGATTTATATGTCAGCAGTAGCCAGTTAGAGAACTGCATACATACCCTAGCCTGGTCTAACATGAATATGCTATCCAGGTAAGAAAAATAAAATTAGATTCAAATACTTTATGATAAACATTGAAAAAGGTTAACCATGGAGGTGTTCTATAGGTTATGTATGTATTGTCAGCACATTAGTGCTCAGAGGAAGAAATTAGAATGAAAGTCATATCATACCTATCCTGTGTTCATTATGTGCGTACTCCAAAATTCTCAGTATAAGTCCTGAGATTTTTGTTGGATAAGCTTAGGACACAGTTTGAAGACATGGTGTAATCTGTCTTGAATCACTTTGGCAGGTGGTGGTAATCAGGAACAGATGGAAAGTAAGAAAAGGCAGTGGATAATGGGAAAATAACCAACAAGTGTCTGCTACACTCACAGAGTTAGGCGTTTTTTTCCTCTGTGTTCCGAAGGCACCCTGTGATAATGTGTCTAGTCACAGAAAACACATAGTATTATAACAACGTGCTTACAGCTTCCTCCAGTAAGCTGTGAACTTCTTGCTGGGAATGATTTTATCTTCATGTATGTAACACCTAGCACAGTAGCTAACACAGAGCAGAAGGGGCATAAATGTGTATTGCTATTAAATCATATGGTTTAGAATTGGAAACGTTCAGTTTATTCAGCACCTTATTTTCTAGGTGTGAATATAGAGATATCAGAGGTAAAATTATGACCCTGAAGCCACAGTTCATTGCAGAGGGGAAATTAGAAGCAAGTCATATTATACATAATTCTGTATTCAGTAACCATTACCCTTAAATGTCTACTAATTTTTCTCATTTTCCCAAGTGAATGATTTGTACAAAGGTCACCACTGGAATTTACATACTTTTCAGCCTAATAGTAGACTGGTAGTTTGGCAATAAAGTAATAGCTTTACAAAGAAGTCTTCTGAAAAAAAAAAAAAAAATCCTAAAGAAAGAGTATTGGCTCAGTAATAAAATTGAATTACTGGGCTGTCAATCAGTTAGATTTTTTAATGTCCTGGCCCTTCATGTAATTATGCGTTAATTGAAATCAGACATTGCGAATAGATTGAATAACTTATTACATAAAGTTTTTAACATTTTAGAGAATAACTAGAATGTAATAAATTGCACATATTTACTTACAGGGTACAGTCACATAAGTTCTAAAATAAAAACAACCATAAAACCATCACTACAATCAAGAAAATGAACATATCCATGACCCTCAAATTTTCTTCATGTTTCATTATGATCATCCCTCATGTGCCTCTATCTTCCATGAGGCAACGCTAATATGCACAATGTACTGTGAATTAGTTTGCATTTTCTAGAATTTTTATTAAGTTTGCATTTTTAGAATCTCAAACAAACAGAAACAGACAATATTTACTCTTTTTTCTGGCTTTTGTTCAATTAGATAAATTGGATACACCCATGTTTCTTTTACCAATAACTTCCTTCACTGCTCAGTACACCTCGTTTGTTTAATTTTCTTTGTCTTCTTTATGTATTTTGAAACTCTAGTGCATGCATATTTAGAAGTTACATCTTAGAGAATTGAACCCCTTTACCGTAATGTAATGTCTGCCCCTTTATATCTTCGGTAATATTCCTTGTTCTGAAGGCTGCATTGTCTGGTATAAACATAGTTACCCCACCTTTAATTTACATTTAAATGGTATATCTTTTATCATCTTTTTAACTTTAAATTATGTATCCCTTTATATTTAAAATAGGTTTCCTATAGGCAACATACATCTGACCCATGCTTTTTTTTTTATACTTTAAGTTCCAGGGTACATGTGCACAATGTGCAGGTTTGTTACATAGGTATACATGTGCCATGTTGGTGTGCTGCACCTATTAACTCGTCATTTACATTAGGTATATCTCCTAATGTTATCCCTCCCCCCTCCCTCCACCCCACAACAGGCCGCGGTGTGTGATGTTCCCCTTCCTGTGTCCAAGTGTTCTCATTGTTCAATTCCCACCTATGAGTGAGAACATGCGGTGTTTGGTTTTTTGCCCTTGCGATAGTTTGCTGAGAATGATGGTTTCCAGCTTCATCCATGTCTCTGCAAAGGATATGAACTCATCCTTTTTTATGGCTGCATAGTATTCCATGGTGTATATGTGCCACATTTTCCTAATCCAGTCTATCACTGATGGACATTTGGGTTGGTTCCAAGTCTTTGCTATTGTGAATAGTGCCACAATAAACATATGTGTGCATGGGTCTTTATAGCAGCATGATTTATAATCCTTTGGGTATATACCCAGTAATGGGATGGCTGGGTCAAATGGTATTTCTAGTTCTAGATCCTTGAAGAATAGCCACACTGTCTTCCACAATGGTTGAACTAGTTTACAATCCCACCAACAGTGTAAAAGTGTTCCTATTTCTCCACATCCTCTCCAGCACCTGTTGTTTCCTGACTTTTTAATGATCTCCATTCCAACTGGTGTGAGATGGTATCTCACTGTGGTTATGATTTGCATTTCTCTGATGGCCAGTGATGATCAGCATTTATTCATGTGTCTGTTGGCTGCATAAATGTCTTCTTTTGAGAAGTGTCTGTTCATATCCTTTGCCCACTTTTTGATGGGGTTGTTTTTTTTCTTGTAAATTTGTTTGAGTTCATTGTAGATTCTGGATATTAGCCCTTTGTCAGCTCAATAGATTGCAAAAATTTTCTCCCATTCTGTAGGCTGCCTGTTCACTCTGATGGTAGTTTCTTTTGCTGTGCAAAAGCTCTTTAGTTTAATTAGATCCCATCTGTCAATTTTGGCTTTTGTTGCCACTGCTTTTGGTGTTTTAGACATGAAGTCCTTGCCCATGCCTATGTCCTGAATGGTAATGCCTAGGTTTTCTTCTAGGGTTTTTATGGTTTTAGGTCTAATATTTAAGTCTTTAATCCATCTTGAATTAATTTTTGTATAAGGTGTAAGGAAGGGATCCAGTTTCAGCTTTCTACATATGGCTAGCCAGTTTTCCCAGCACTATTTGTTAAATAGGGAATCCTTTCCCCATTGCTTGTTTTTGTCAGATTTGCCAAAGATCAGGTGGTTGTAGATGTGTGGTATTATTTCTGAGGGCTCTGTTCTGTTCCATTGGTCTATATCTCTGTTTTGGTACCAGTACCATGCTGTTTTGGTTACTGGAGCCTTGTAGTATAGTTTGAAGTCAAGTAGCGTGATGCCTCCAGCTTTGTTCTTTTGGCTTAGGATTGTCTTGGCAGTGCAGGCTCTTTTTTGGTTCCATATGAACTTTAAACTAGTTTCTTCCAATTCTGTGAAGAAAGTCATTGGTAGCTTGATGGGGATGGCATTGAATCTATAAATTACCTTGGGCAGTATGGCCATTTTCATGATATTGATTCTTCCTGTCCATGAGCATGGAATGTTCTTCCATTTGTTTGTGTCCTCTTTTATTTCGTTGAGCAGTGGGTTGTAGTTCTCCTTGAAGAGGTCCTTTACTTCCTTTGTAAGTTGGATTCCTAGGTATTTTATTCTGTTTGAAACAATTGTGAATGGGAGTTCACTCATGATTTGGCTGTCTCTCTGTTATTGGTGTTTAAGAATGCTTGTAATTTTTGCACATTGATTTTGTATCCTGAGACTTTGCTGAAGTTGCTTATCAGCTTAAGTAGATTTTGGGCTGAGACGATGGGGTTTTCTAAATATACGATCATGTCATCTGCAAACAAGGACAATTTAACTTCCTCTTTTCCTAATTGAATATCCTTTATTTCTTTCTCTTGCCTGACTGCCCTGGCCAGAACTTCCAGCACTATGTTGAATAGGAGTGGTGAGAGAGGGCATCCCTGTCTTGTGCCAGTTTTCAAAGGGAATGTGACCCATGCTTAAAAAAAAAATCCAATTTTATAATCTCTGTCTTTAAATTGGTAGGTTTAGACCCTGTATATTTTAATGTGAATATTAATATAGTCGATTAAAATTTACCATTATCCTAGGTATTACCTATTTTTTAATTTGTTCCTCCTTTTCTGCCTCTTTAAAAATTAATTGAACATTTTTTAAGATTTGGTTTTACTCACAATAATGGCTTACTATCATTTCAAAAAATTGAGTTTGATGGTTGTCCTAGGACTTACAATAGACTTCTTTAATTAATCAGAATCTACCTTCAAGTAATATTATACCACTTCACTTACAGTATAAGAACCTTACAACAATATATTTCTAATTTCTTCTTATCCTTTGTGCTACTGTCATATATTTTATTTTTACCTGTTGGAGATAGGGTGGTTCAATTTTTACTAAATGATACAACAGAGTTAAAAGCCATCTAAGTAAAGGATTAACATTCAAGTAAACCAGATTAACAGAAAAGGCTTATTTTCAACTTAATATGTACATTTTTTCTAATAAACTTAATTTTTAATTTTTCAGGATGAAGGTTAACTGAAAGAGGGCAAGAGATTCAATGATCATGTATTCTTGATCTTTTCTTATGAATTTTTATTCTAAGATTAATAATATACTGATCATTCTACATTCTTAATTTTAGCAAGTATTTATTAAGTTTTTATGTTTTATTTAATACAAACTATTGCTAAATATTTGTACACATTTTGTCTTGTGGGTCCTAGTTGACAATATTGATTCCCACCCATATTGAATAGCATTTCATATCATTTATTACATTATTGACATCCATTGTGTTATTTCAGCAATCTTATGAAATATGTTATCATTTTCATTACATAGATTATAAATATGAGGCTCAAAGATATTGTTAAGTGACAGGCTTTATCAACAAATGAAAACATCACATCAAAATCTGATCTCTGCACCTTACTGAATCTGAGACATGTATTACCCAAGTCATCTTTGTCCCAATGCTATATTGCATTGACATCTTATCCAGTATCAGTTTTGCAGCCAATCTAACCAAATTGAGTTTTTTATCATAACAGGTTAGCAGCCTATCTGCATATGCTTAAAAAGATCTCTGTGTGGGCATACTCGATCTACTCTATATATAGTGATACCTTTCTACTTTTAATTCTTAGGGAATTAAGAATACCTCCAGAGAAGTCCCTATATCTCAAAAATTAGATAATCATACTTTAACTGGATACAGTAAGATGGCTATGATTTATTGATGAATTTTTAGACCACACTACTCCATGCTCAGTGGTTTTGAGCAAACTGTGTGAAAATGCAATGACTATTTTATTTAATGCAGTGATTGCAACATCAACTGTTAAACTGAAGATTATTTTATAGCATATTCACTGAGCATATGATATATGAAAGCCTGTAAATTATTAGAAATTACCCATCTCACTAGCATTTCAAATGAAGATATTGCGTCTATCATTTCAAAATAAAGGTTTGTGAATAACCTTGTGTATTACTCCATTCTTTCATGGCTACAAAAAAATACCTAAAACTGTAATTTACAAAAAGGAAAAGAGATTTAATTGCCTTACAGTTCCACAGGCTATACAGGAAAAATGGCTGTGGAGGCCTTAGGAAACTTACAATCCTGGTGGAAGACAAAGGGGAAGCAGGCATGTCTTATATGCCTGAAGAAGGAGGAAGAGAGCAGAGGGGCAGGTGTTACACACTTTTTAACACCCAGATCTCATGAGAACTTACTCACTCTCACAAGAAAAATGAAGGAGGGGCCACCTCCATGATCCAATCACCTCCCACCAGGTCTCTTCTCCAACACTGGGGATGACAGTTCCACATGGGATTTGGGTGAGGACACAAATCCGAACCATATAATTCTGCCCCTGAGCTCTCTCAAATTTTATGTTCTTCTCATATTACAAAATAACTGTTCTCAATAGACCCTTAGTCTTAACTCATTTCAGTATTAACTCGGAAGTCCACAGTCCAAAGACTCATCCAAGACAAAGTAAGTTCCTTCCACCTATGAGACTGTAACCTCAAAAACAAGTTATTTATTTCCAAGATACAATGGGGTATAGGCACTGGGTAAATATTCACTTTCCAAAAGAGAAAAATTGGCCAAAACAAAGGGGCTACAGGCTCATGTAAGTCCAAGTCCAAAAACCAGCAGGGCAATCATTAAATCTCAAAACTCCAAAATAATCTCCTTTGTCTCCATGTCTCAAATACAGACAACACTGATGTAAGAGGTGGGCTCCCAAGGCCTTAGGTAGTTCCTTTCTTATGGCTCTGCCAGATACAGCCCCTGTGGCTTCTTTCATGTGTTGACATTGAGTGCCCATAGCTTTTCCAGGTTCACAGTGCAAACTGTTGTTGGATCCATCATTCTGGAGTCTAGAGGATGGTGGCCCTCTTCTCACATCTCTACTAGGCAGTGCCCCAGGGAGAGCTCTGTGGGTGGGCTCCAACCCCATGCTTACCCCCAAATTGCACTAGTAGATGTTCTCCATGAGGGCTCTACACCTGCAACAGACTTCCGCCTAGACATTCAGCCATTCTCATACATCTTCTGAAATCTAGGTGGAGGCTCCCAAGCCTCCACTCTGACCCTCTGCACATCCCCAAGCTTACCACCACATGGAAGATGCCAAGGCTTATGGCTTACACCCTCTGGAGCAGTGGCCTGAGATTTATCTGGGGGCCCTTTTCACCACTGCTAGAACTAGAGAAGCTGAAACACAGGGAGCAGTATCTCTGTGTTGCACAGTGCAGTGGTGCACTGGTCCTGGCCCACAAAACCTTCCTCTCTTCTAGGCCTCTGGGCCTGTAAAGGGAGGGCTGCCATGAAGGTCTCTGAGATGTCCTGGAGACATTTTCCCCATTGTCTTGGCTATTAACATTTGGCTCCTCTCTACTTAAGCAAATTTCTGCAGCAGTCTTGAATTCCTCCTCAAAAAATGGGCTTTTTTCTATCTTATGGTCAGGCTGCAAATTTTCTGAACCTTTACACTCTGCTTCCCTTTTAAATTTAATTTCCAGTTTCAGACCATCTCTTTGCTCACACATAGAACCATATGCTATTGGAAGCAGCCAAGCCACTTCCTGAATGCTTTGCTGCTTAGAAATTTCTTCCACCAGATACCCTAAATCATCCCTCTCAACCTCAAAGTTCTACAGATCCCTAGAGCAGGGGCACAGTGCTGTCAGTCTGTTTGCTAACACACAGCAAGAGTGACTTCTACTCCAGTTCCCTACAAATTCTTCATCTTCATCTGCGACCACCTCAGCCTAAACTTCATTGTCCATATCACTATGAACATTTTGATCACAACAATTTAACAAGTCTCTAGGAAGCTCCAAACTTTCCCTATCTTTCTGTCTTCCCCTGAGCCCTCCAAACTGTTCAAATCTCTGCCTGTTACCCAGTTCTAAAGTTGCTTTTACATTTTCAATTATCTTCATAGCAATGACCCACTTCTCTGTACCAATTTTCTATATTAGTCCATTCTTGCACTGCTATAAAGAAATATCTGAAACTGTTATTTATAAAGAAAAGAGGTTTAATAGGCTCACAGTTCCACAAACTATATTAGAAGCATGGCTGGGGAGGCCTCAAGAAACTCAATCATGGCGCAAGGTAAAGGGGAAGCAGGCATGTCTTACATGGCTGGAGAAGGAGGAAGAGAGTGAAGGAGAAGGTGCTACACACCATTTTTTTTTTTTTTTTTTTTTGTGATGGAGTCTTGCCCTGTCACCCAGGCTGGAGTACAGTGGCGTGATCTCGGCTCACTGCAACCTCTGCCTCCTGGATTCAAGCGATTCTCCTGTCTCAACCTCCCGAGTAGCTGGGACTACAGGCTCATGCCACCATGCCCAGCTAATTTTTGTATTCTAAGTACAGATGAGGTTTCACTATATTGGCCAGGCTGGTCTCGAACTCCTGACCTTGTGATCTGCCCACCTTGGCCTCCCAAAGTGCTGAGATTATAGGTGTGAGCCACCATGCCCAGCCGGTGCTACACACTTTTAAACAACCAGATATAATGAGACCTCACTATCACAAAAACAGCAAGGGAGTAGTCTGCTTCATGATCTAATCACCTCCCACTAGGTCCCTCCTCCAACATCGGGAGTAACAACTTGACATAAGATTTGGGTGAAAACCCAAATATCAAAACCATATCACCTTGTATGACATCTTCAGTGAATGATTTAAAAAGTATTGATATTGCCAGAGATTTTACATTTTGATAGAAACAGGGACTTAGTTCAAAATTTATAAATATTGTCTTTAACTACATTGGACTAATAATAAATCATGCTAAATTTAGAAGAATTTTTTTTTTCATGGTAGAAAAATCACTTAAGAGAAAAGAAATTGTCAGTCAGTTTCAGAGAAATATGAACTCAGTTTCCATGGTTAAATCTATTTTGTTTCCCATGAATCTTAAAAGCCCTGCTGCTAAAGTTCTTTTACATTGATTGCCATTATCAGATTATCTACCCTTAAAAATATATATTTTATTTCTCATCAGTTGTATGTTTAGAAACAAAAGTGTAAACTAAATCTCTGAATAAACTCAGCAGAATATGAGAATATGTTCTCCTTGTCATTCCCCAAAAGCTTCCAGTGGTTGTCCAAATGTGATAATGTGTGTTTCTGCTTTAAAAGTCTTCACTGTCCTGAAAATATTTCCAAAAAACCAAATGATAGGTGGATATCATTAAGTAAGCAACAGCACCTCTTACTCATATAGCCTCTAATAAAATACCTTATCCAATTAGGGAAGTTAAGGAAAAGAACTTAGATAGAATAGTCTTTAATGGATATATAACATTTGAAAACAGACCATGCTATTCATTTTTTAAAGCTCAAAGGAATTTGTACTAAATTATTTTATTTGTCATGAGTGGAAAATGGCCTTGCTATCCATCTTACAATGCAGGAAATTGCTTTGCCTTCAACCAATTGCCTAAATTGAGAAGTAGGGTGGAAGAGGAAGAAAAGCACAAAGGAGGAGGATATTATAAGAATGATAGAAGAGTCCGGACGTGATGGCTCATGCCTGTAGTCCCAGCACTTTGGGAGGCTGAGGCAGGCGGATGAACTGAGGTCAGGAGTTTGAGACCAGCCTGTCCAACATGGTGAAATCCCCTCTCTACTAAAAATACCAAAATTAGCCGGGCATGTGGAGGGCTCCTGTAATCCCAGCTGCTGGGGAGGCTGAGGAAGGAGAATCTCTTGAACTGGGAAGGCAGAGGTTGAAGTGAGCAGAGATTGCATTACTGCACTCCAGCCTGGGCAACAAAGAACAAAACTCTGTCCAAAAATAAAGGGGAGGAGGGTTATATATAGGCAAGAAAAAAATAGGAGAGAAAGAAAGTACTGATAACTTATTAGGCTCTAGGAAATATTTGTATGCCCCATCCCCTACATCATGTTATACATCAAGATGTCTTTATATCCTCACTAAATATTTTGTCTGTGCAACCATCTAAACATACAGTAATTGCAACCAACTAGGTATAACCACTATTTTTGTGGCCTTTTAAAAGTATTAATCCATTTTGAATACCTGCCTTTCTTTCAGTATTTTAGAGCCCATAATTTTTAAGTCTCCAATATCTTTATAAGTTATTGAAAAGCTAATAGGCCTGAGGAGTTGTGTCTGTGGGAGTCAAGGGATAATGCCGTCTTGCCAGGGCATAATTTGACTATTGGCCATGAAGCTACCTGTCTTTGAGTTATTCATCTAGGGAAAATGTTCAATATTTTCTACTACTTGTATTTAAAAATCTTAAAAATTTAAACAGAACTGTTTTAAATAGAAGTGAATACAGATGTGAGAGTATTGTCAAGGTATCCATTTCTTAGAACCTGTTTTAAGATATTATATACACTGGGTCTGGGTTTAATTTTGATATTTTATTCAATTCTTTCTAAAATAATGAAGGCATCCTTATTAATCATAACTGCCTAATAAGTCTACCTTGACTTTCCCATTAATTCTTACACAATCTGTTCATTTCTATACAATTCCTTCCATCATCCAACTGAAATTATTTTCAAAAAGTATTGTTGAGATAAGGGCTATATCAGAGAGAAAGAAAAAATAGGAATAAATTTGGAAAATTCTATAGGCATCAGTAATGTAACAATAATAGACAAATAATTTGGCAGGATCCATGGCCTAGTTCTCAAATAAATAATTACTTTTCTTTATCACCAATAAGTTGGGTTAAAGTTTAACTCTCCCTTCCCCCAAAAAATAAACTATAATTTTTTTCATGGCTCTTGCCCTAAGTTGTCATGGTTTACCAAAATCAAAAATCAAGTATCATCTAAATATCTAGAGTTAATTTTATCTCTAAACCTCCCTAACCCTAGAACACCCACTAGACTCCTCACTTGTGCCCCTCAAGTCCCTAACAGCCTTTCTCCTCCTCAAGCCTTAATGTAAAGGCGCAGCTTCACTTCCTGATAAAATTGTTAATTTTAAAGAAAACAAACTTTTTTTCCCGTAAGAAAAAAAAGATAATATATTACATTTTTAATAGATAATAATAACTTATCCTGTGGTTCCCATAAACTTAAATGCGTTCAGGGCCAGACAAGCATCACAAATATAGGAAGTAACCTAGCATAAGGTTGAGATATAAAAAGCCTAAGTTCTGAAATATATGTATAATATTTAAAAATGCTCTTAGGCTGGGCATGGTGGCTCATGCCTGTAATCCCAGGACTTTGGGAGGCCTAGTAGACATAACACGAGGTCAGAAGTTCGAGACCAGCCTGACCAACATGGTGAAAACCCATCTCTACTAAAAATGCAAAAAATTAGCCAGGCGTGGTGGTGTGCGCCTGTAGTCTCAGCTACTTGGGAGGCTGAGGCAGGAGAATCGCTTGAACCCAGGAGGTGGAGGTTGCAGTGAGCTGAGATTGTACCACTGCACTCCAGCCGAGACAACAGAGCGAGACTCCATCTCAAAAAAAAAAATAAATAAATAAATAAATAAATAAATAAATAATAAAAACACTCTTATAGCCAAGTAAAATGCTGCAGTCATCAATTTTCAGATCCTGTATTAATCCTTATCATATTTGTTATGGAATTTTCTTGTATCTAGTAATTATTTAGTAAATAGATGGATGGATGGATAGATAAATGAATGTATCAATGAATGGAAAGACGGTAGAATATTTAAATAAATGACTTTTTTTTTTTTTTTTTTTTAGACAGAGTCTCACTCTGTCACCCAGGCTGGAGTGCAGTGGCACAATCTCTGCTCACTGCAACCTCCACCTTCTGGGTTCCAGTGATTCTCCTGCCTCAGCCTCCCAAGTAGCTGGGATTACAGGTGGCCACAACCACACCCAGCTAATTTTTGTATTTTTAGTAGAGATGGGGTTTCACCATGATGACCAGGCTGGTTTCGAACTCTTGACCTCAAGTGATCCGCCCACCTCAGCCTCCCAAAGTGCTGAGATTACAGGTGAGAGCCATTGTGCCTGGCCTCAATAAATGACTTTTGATTAGAAAAATTGTTTTTGGTTGACTATAGCCCCTCAAAATTAAATATGTAAATAATACAGTTGATTTCTGAATATCACAGGTTTGAATTGCATGAGTCCACTTACACAGGGATTTTCTTCCACCTCTGCCATCCCTGAGACAGCAAGACCAACCCCTCCTCTTTCTCGTTTTATTCAGCCATTCACCATGAAGATAACGAGGATGATCTTTACAATGATCCACTTCCACTTAAGGAATAACAAATGTATTTTCTCCTTCTTATGATTTTCTTAATCACATTTTCTTTTCTCTAGCTTACTCTATTGTGAGGATACATTATGTCATACATACACGAAATATGTATTAATCTGCTGTTTATGTTATTGGTAAGGCTTCTGATCAACAATAGCCTACTAGTAGTTAAGTTTTTGTGGAGTCAAAGCAATATGTGGATTTTCAACTGTGCAGACAGAGATCAGCACTTTTAACTGCCACATTGTTAAGGGTCAATAGTACTAGCTTTGCTTTTTTTCCCATAGGTTATGGGTTACAAGTGGTATTTGATTACATAAGTTCTTTAGTGGTGATTTGTGAGATTTTGGTGCACCCATCACCCAAGCAGTGTACACTGTACCTTATTTGTAGTCTTTTATCCCTCTCCCCCTTTTCATCCTTCCTCTCAAGTC